>NC_000006.12:87023261-87648261 GCF_000001405.40 Homo sapiens | reverse complement strand
TAGAATGACTATAGCAAGCACTTTTTTTTTGGTTTTGTTTTGTTTTGTTTTGTTTTGTTTTTGAGGCAGAGTCTTGCTCTGTTGCCAGGCTGGAGTGCAGTGAGGCAGTCTCTGCTCACTACAACCTCTGCCTCCTGGGTTCAGGCAATTCTCATCCTTTAGCCTCCAGAGTAGCTGGGACTACAGGCGCATGCCACCATGCCTGGCTAATTTTTTGTATTTTTAGTAGACAGGCGGTTTTACCATATTGGCCAGGCTGGTCTTGAACTCCTGGCCTCAAGTGATCTGCCTGCCTCGGCCTCCCAAAGTGCTGGGATTACAGGCATGAGCCACTGCGGCCATCAAAGCACTTTGGATAAACCAAACCTAACTGAAGAAGATCACTTGAAAACAACTACAAAATATTTAGCTTATTCCAAAAAAGTGTGTTTATATATAGCACCTCAAATAAAAAATTAAGGATTGAGTCTAGCTATCAGACAAGCATTTTTCAAACTGGGTTTCAACTCCTTTGTCAGTCATGAACCAATCATTCAAGAGATATTTATTGAATGCACACTACATACTAGTCACTGTTCTGGGCATTTGAGGTACACCTTATTGAATCAAAAATCACTGTCCTCACGGAACTTACATTCTAGTGGGAGAGCTGGGAGAAGCACAGACATGCACTATCTATCTATATCATATATACGATATATGCGTTAAAAATTGATAAATGTTATGGAAAAATATTGAACAGAATAAGCGGAGAGCCATGGGAGGAGGAAGCTTTCAATTTTTAAATGGTTAGGGCCTCACTGAAAAGATGACATTTGATCAAGTACATAAAGGAGGAAAGGAAGTTAGCCATACAAATATCCAGAAGAGCTTTTCCTGGCAGACAGAACAATGGGTGCAAAGGTTCCATAGTGGGCATATCTGGAATATTCAAGAAAACAAGGAGGCCAAGATGTCTGAAATGGAGAGAGAAAATGAGCAGTAATCAGAGAGAGGCCATGTGGGGAGAGGAGGGGGGCAGTCACATAGTGTCACTGTATACGGCTTTTACTCTGAGTGAAATGCGGAGTTAACGGAGGGTTTTGAGCAAAGGAGTAACATTATCTGAAATATTTTAAAAGGACTATTCTGACTGCTACTTTGAGAAGAACCTGTAGGGGAGCAGAAAAACCAGAAAGGAGGCTACTGCAATAATACAGGTGAGCAACGACGATGACTTAGACTATGATGGTACAAGTGAAGGAAGGTGGCAAGAAGAGGTCTGATTCTGGATAAATTATGAAGGCAGAGCCCAGGCTTCTGGTTTGAAAAATCAGAATGATAAGAGACAGTAGGAAAATGATAGATTTCAGGGGAAGATCAGGAGTTCAGTTTTGGGTAGGTTAACTTTGAGGTGTGTATTGGATATCTAAGTGGAGGTATTAAATAGGACATAAATGGACATAACAGCCTGGCACTCAGGAGAGAGGTATAGGCTTACGATTAAGCCCTGGGGCACTGTAATGTTAAGATGTCAGAGAGAAGAGAAAGCACTAAAGGAGAATGTAAAGGAGCATATACTGAGGTAGGAGAAAAACCAAGAAAGTCCTAGAAATCCATTAAGAAGGGAGTGATGAACTGTAGTCAAATGCTGATAACAGGTTAATGCTAGATTTAGGAACATGGAGGTCACTGGTGACTTTGATCAAACTAGTTGTGATCTGGAGCACAAGCCTAATTGTAATCAGTTAAAGAGAATGGGAGAAGAATTAGAGACAGTGAGACAATGCTTTCCAATTTTGGTACATTCCAACTAACATTTTGTTTTAAAATAAAGAGAATAAAATTGTAAAGAAAATAGCAGAACTAAAAAGTTTGAAAGCCACCATGTGAGATTAAAGAGAAATAAAAAAAATGTCTAAGATAGGTCACATTAATGCCACAAAAGAGCGATTTATCTTTATCCCACTTAATTAAGAAATAATTACTTCACAATTGGCAGAGCACGGTAGCTCACGCCTGTAATCCCAGCACTTTGGGAGGCCGAGGCGGGCGGATCATGAGGTCAGGAGATCGAGACCATCCTGGCTAACACAGTGAAACCCCATCTCTACTAAAAATAGAAAAAATTAGCCGGGCTTGGTGGCAGGCGCCTGTAGTCCCGGCTACTCAGGAGGCTAAGGCAGGAGAATGGCGTGAACCTGGGAGGTGGAGCGTGCAGTGAGCTGAGATCATGCCACTGCACTCCAGCCTGGGCAACAGCGCAAGACTCCGCCTCAAAAAAAAAGAAAAAAAAAAGAAAAAAAAAGAAAAAATTATTTCACTATCAGGTAAATGGTCCAAAAAATGCCTGTGATACCTAATGTATTAAAAGCTTTATAGGTAATCTGTCACAGGAGTTGAGAAAAACAATAAAGGCTTTATAGATTGTCATTTTTTAAAAAAGTTTTCTTAACTAAGAAAGAGAATCATTAAGCAATCATTAAAAGCAATCATCCTGCAGGGCAATGGAGTATTCTGCTTCATCATACAGAAAGCCAATAATTTCTGGTTAAGTACTAATTATATAAATGTCTGATTATAAGAACTGGCTACAAGGAAAAACTGGCCAATCCATGGCTAATGAAAACATCTTTTGCCTGACGAGTTTTCAAATTCTAAACAAACATTACCATTACCAGCTAGTTTTGAAAAATACTCAGAACTCAAACTTGCAAATGTATATATATCAATGAAGGCTGGAAGTTAAGGAAACAAAACAAAACAAAAAAGCATGTAAAAATAATAAAAAGCATGTAAAAAAATTAAGAAGCATGTAAAAATAAGAAATTGTCTTATTCAAAGACTAACACAACAAAGCAATTATGTAGGATGATAACAATGAAACAGAAACCAAAAGTATGTGTATCGCCTCCTAAGCCTTGATATTTCATATTAGGTGCCCCTTCCTAGAGAAGCTGCCAACCCCACAAATGGAGGTTAACTGTCCAGTCTACTGGTTCCTCAGCACCCTAGCCCTGACCCATCACAGCTCTTACTACTCTGAATTGTAGCTCTCTACTGTTCATGTCAATGATTTGACCAAAATTCTGTATAGGTAAGGACCAGGGTTATCTTTGTCATCTGATCAGTGGTTTCAAAAATGAAGCATTTAAAAAACCCCTTTTTTTTTTAATGGATGGGCAAAGCAATAACCATGCAATAATTAATAATTTCCTAACCTAATGCCTTAGTGAAGAATACTTTTTCTAAAGAGAACAGTTCTCAAACTGGTTCATCCTGGGAAGCACCTGGAAGTCATGATGCCCTTTGTGGGATGCCATGCTTTTTTGTGGAATACATCAAAAAGAATAAATTTAATTCATCACATGGTTAGAAGCAACTTGAGTAAGTTCAAATATACACATACTTTATTGATGCAATTTTTTTTTTTTTGGATGGAGTCTCGCTTTGTCACCCAGCCTAGAGTGCACTGGCACAATCTCAACTCACTGCAACCTCCACCTCCCAGGTTCAAGTGATTCTCCCACCTCAGTCTCCAGAGTAGCTGGAATTATAGGCACACGCCACCACGCCAGGCTAATTTTTGTATTTTTAGTAGAGACGGGGTTTCGCCATGTTAGCCAGGCTGGCTAACTCCTGCAACCTCCACCTCCCGAGTTCAAGCAATTCTCCTGCCTCAGCCTCCCTCGTAGCTGGGACTATAGGCGTGTGCCACCACGCCCGGCTAATTTTTGTATTTTTAGTACAGACAGGGTTTCACTATGTTGGCCAGGCTGGTCTCCTGAACTCAGGTGATCCTCCTGCCTCAGCCTCCCAAAGTGCTGGGATTATAGGCATGAGCCACCATGCCTGGCCTATTGATGTAATTTTTAAAAGTACAGTCAGCCGGCCGGGCGCGGTGGCTCTACGCCTGTAATCCCAGCACTTTGGGAGGCCGAGGCAGGCAGATCACGAGGTCAGGAGATCGAGACTATCCCGGCTAAAACGGTGAAACCCCGTCTCTACTAAAAATACAAAAAATTAGCCGGGCGTAGTGGCGGGCGCCTGTAGTCCCAGCTACTTGGGAGGCTGAGGCAGGAGAATGGCGTGAACCCGGGAGGCGGAGCTTGCAGTGAGCCGAGATCCCGCCACTGCACTCCAGCCTGGGCGACAGAGCGAGACTCCGTCTCAAAAAAAAAAAAAAAAAAAAAAAAAAAAAAAGGACAGTCAGCCATCTGTATCTGTGGGTCCCACATTGGTGGATTCAATCAACCTTGGATTGAAAATATTTTGGGGGGTAGGAGAAGAGACCGTATAGAACACGTACAGACTTTTTTCTTGTCATTATTTTCTAAACAATACAATGTAACAACTATTTACATAGCATTTATATTGTATTAAGTAAAAAGTAGACATGATTTAAAATATATGGGAGGATGTGCACAGCTTATATGCAAACACTATATACCATTTCATATATGGAACTTACGGTGTCCTCTTAAAACCAATCCCCCACAGACAGTGATGGATGACTGTATAACCCTGAGTTCACAAGAAAGAAAGAAAAGAGTTGTCAAAATTTGATGAGTTATTTCTGAGTTTTTAAAATTAATGTTTCTTAGTTATCTGTTCATTTTGCTAACAGAAAAGTGACAGTAGGCAGTAAATGTTTAATAAAGAAAAACAAAATACAAATTCAGATCTTTTTTTCTGTTTACTGTGATAAAAACCATTAGCTCACTATTAGCGGAATACCGCAGTCCAGTTTTCGAGCCAATTTGAGATCAACTGCCTACAGCCATTCAGCTTCTCCACAAATAAAGACTTTTCCTTTGATGGCTTCATTGTTTTCCTCAAAAGTTTCCCCCTCCCCGCTTTTTTTTTTTTTAACCTCTCCCTTTATTTTCTGGAAGTATTTGTCAAAGTATAGTTCCTGGGTCATCTGTCTGAATGTGCCAGAGTGCTTGTTAAATGCAAATTCCTGCTGAAACACCATACCAGCGTTCCCAACAGAAGCTCTGGGGAAAGAGCTGAAATGATCAATATCTCAGCTAATTCTCTGACCTCCTGATCAGCCCGCCTCCCAAAGTGCTGGGATTACAGGCGTGAGCCACCTCGCTAGGCCATATCTCAGCTAATTCTTATGCACATTGAAGCCTGGAAACCATTACACAAAAAAACAGTGACTCTCAATATCTTTTGTTTCAAAGAGAGCTTTAACAATTCTGTCCCAAGCCTGATTTCATCATCTGTAAGCCTACAGATAATTGTGAAGGCCCTAATGTGATGCAAATTCAGGATTGGCAATTCCTTTTCTAAAATAAAGAAATTATATTATTTTATTTATTTCTATTTTTATTTTTCATTTTATTTTTATTTTTTATTTATTTATCTTTTTTGAGACAGAGTTTTGCTCTGTCGCCCAGGCTGGAGTGCAGTGGTGCGATCTCGGCTCACTGCAAGCTCCACCTCCTGGGTTCACGCCATTCTCCTGCCTCAGACTCCTGAGTAGCTGGGACTACAGGCGTCTGCCACCACACCCGGCTAATTTTTTGTATTTTTAGTAGAGACAGGGTTTCACCGTGTTAGCCAGGATGGTCTCAATCTCCTGACCTCGTGATCCATCCGCCTCGGCCTCCCAAAGTGCTGGGATTACAGGCGTGAGCCACCACACCCGGCCATTTATTTCTTTATTTTTCATTTTATTTATTTATTTTTGGGACGGAGTCTTGCTCTGTTGTCCAGGCTGGAGTGCAGTGGTGTGATCTTGGTTCACTGCAACCTCTGCCTCCCGGATTCAATTGATTCTCCTGCCTCAGCCTCCTGAGTAGCTGGGATTACAGGCATGTGCCACACTAATTTTTGTATTTTTAGTAGAGACGGGGTTTCACCACGTTGGCCAGGCTGGTCTCGAACTCCTGACCTCAGGTGATCCACCCACCTCAGCCTCCCAAAGTACTTGAATTACAGGCGTCAGCCACTATGCTCGGCCTATTTATTAATTTTTTTGAGACAGGGTTTCACTCTGTTGCCCAAGCTGGAGTGCAGTGGTACAATCACAGCTCACGGCAGCCTCAACCTCCTGGGCTGAAGTGATCCTGCCTCAGCCTCCAAGTAGCTTGGGCTATAGGCATGCACCACCACGCTCATATACTTTTTGTATTTTTTGTAGAGATGGGGTTTCTCCATGTTGCCTAGGCCAGTCTTTAACTCCTGGGCTCAAGTGATCTCTCTGCCTTGACCTCCCAAGTGCTCTAATTCATAGGTGTGAGCCACCGTGCCTGCCAGAAATTATATTTTAATGATGCAGTCTTACAAAGCTCTTGGATGGATAAATCTACATCATCATAAGTTAGATTATTAGGAAGCTTATCATAGATTGTGGAGCTGTGTCATTTTTCCTAAGTAGATCTTTAAATATCACCTAAAGTTGATCTGCAAAGTCAGGAAATAATGCATTACTTAGAGTCCAAATTTCTAGTCTCTTTGAACTAAGCTGAAGTGATCAAATGTTAACATCATTATTCAGGTCATGTTTTTATTTTATTTTATTTTTTTACTCAATGAAAGCTGAGCTGACCTGCTAATATATTACTGTTTAAGTCAAAAGCCTTACTCAGAAATTAGAATAATTCCTTTAGCCTAAGGTAAATTCCTCCAGCTATCAATCACCTTCGATTTGTAAGTCTGTTTCTTTGCAAGCTCATAAGGTTACACTTAGGATAAGCAGACTAGACACTGTGGCTCCTTTCATTTATGTCTGTGTCCTGTGCCAATATGACTAGTGTCAGGATGGGGGAGGAGGGTATCTGAGTCCACAGAAGCTTGCTCTGCTGGTTTAAAATTTTGGATACACTCTGAACATGTAATACTGGCCACAAAACCATAAATTTCCTTTTATTACCACCTCTAAGTAACTGGAATAGGGTTGAAAGAGTTTCAGCTCTGTCAACTGTAGAAAAGTCAATGTTTCTGGCCTTGGTTTCCTCATTTGAAAGAAAATGGAATAACTGTAGATGAGTAATTCTCAATTGATGAGGTAGAGCACATAAATTCCCCTAAGAAGTGGGGCACACTTTTCATTATCCCCAATCCAAGAATCCACTGCTACTGGTATGAGAGTGTAGTACTCTTCAGATCTGGCTGATCCAACATACTCCTTTAAGTTGAGGCTCTGATTTTTTTTTTTTTTGAGATGGAGTCTCACTTGGTTGCCCAGGCTGGAGTGCAATGGCAAGGTCTCGGCTCACTGCAACCTCTGCCTCCCAGTTTCAAGTGATTCTCCTGCCTCAGCCTCCCGAGTAGCTGGGATTAGAGGTGCTTGCCACCACGCCTGGCTAATTTTTTGTATTTTTAGTAGAGACGGGGTTTCACCATGTTGGTCAGGCTGGTCTCGAACTCCTCATCTCCTGATCTTGTGATCTGCCCCCACCTTGGCCTCCCAAAGCGTTGGGATTACAGGCATGAGCCACCACACCCAGCTGCCTCTGATTTACAATAACCCTTAAAACCTTATTTATGCAAGGTTCAGTGAATTTTAAAAATATGAAAAATTACTGGCCTAGCATTTGATTTCTAGATGGGTGTTCAGAAATTTTCTCCAATAGAGGGGTAAAATTTTCCTCTTACAGTCTTTCACATCTGATAAGGAAAAACAGTTGTACTTACCTAGCTCACTGCTGGGTTAGCATCATTTGTTACTACTTTCTGTTCCCAAATGGCTTTTTAATGGAAACATATCCTTATATAATGACACAGGGTTGAGTGAAAAATTAACCTACTCATATCCCATATAGGGATGTGGTCTTCATACTCCAAGAGTTGACTGAGCAAGGAAAGGCAGAACATATGCAGAACCACTGAGCTCATGTCAAATAATGGCATATATTATAAATGAACACTTGCATGCTCCCCACACACATGAATGTCTGTTGCATACATTTAAAAAATAACTGTGATATAAAATTATATAGGTCTTTTTCCACTAATAAATATGTGACATAAACATTCTCCCACATTATTACAAAGTCACTGTAAATATGTTTTAAATGGTCACCAGATATTTCTTCAAGTAGATGACATATTGTTTGTTTTATTTTCCAGGTTTCAACAGTTTTATTGGGAGGTTTTGTTTTCTGTGAAATACACTAGAGGCTGGCTGAAGAAGGGGACACATTCCCTTTACAAGATAAGGGTTTCCCACCACTAAAGAAAAGGCATGAGGCGTGACACACTGGGGTTTGAATCCGCCTCCTTCTGCTTTGCTCACATTTCTTTTTTTCTCTTTCTTTTATATGTATATTTTTGAGACGAAATCTCACTGTCACCCAGGCTGGAGTGAAGTGGTGCGATCTCAGCTCAGGGCAACCTTTGCCTCCCAAGCTCAAGTGATCCTCCCACCTCAGCCTCCAAGGATGGGACCACAGATGTGCACCACCATGCCAGGCTAATTTTTTTTTTTTTTTTTTTTTTTTTGTATTTTTGGCAGAGAGGGGGTTTCACCATGTTACCCAGGCTGGTCTCAAACTCTTGAGCTCAAGTGATCCGCCCACCTTGGCCTCCCAAAGTGCTGGGATTACAGGCGTAAGCCACTGTGCCTGGCCTCTTCTTTCTCAAAAAGTATCACAGAACACAAACACAAAGCCAAGAGATAAAAACAGCAACATCAACCTCCAACAGGGCCACACCCACACCTTGTCCCACTCCCCAGGCTGGGTCAGGCCTGGGAGGGGCTGGGGCAGCTACTTACTCTACAGTCCCCAGGCTGCAGAAGGCTGCAGGCTCAGAAGGGGTGGGACTAAATTAATAAATTAGAATAAATTGGGGGGAGGAATGCAACTTTGTGCTGGGAGGGCCCCTTCTCTCTAACACGCAAGAGAGTTGTTGGGGGAAGGTAGGAGGCATCGCCAAAGGCCACTATGGTGGGGGTAAGAGCAGCGGAGGCAGAAGTCACCTTTTCTTCCATGTTCTTCCCAAACAAAGCAGAAGAATTAGGGGTAGAGGGATGTCTACAGCCATACTAACCTGAATGGGCTGGATCTCATCTGATCTGTGGTTATTTAAACATGTCAGCTTCCACATACAGATTGAGTATCCCTTATCTGAAATGCTTGGGACCAGAAGTGTTCTGCATTTTGGATTTTTTCAGATTTTGGAATATTTGCCATATGTGCATAATGAGATTATCTTGAGAATGGGATGCATGTCTAAACACAAAATTCATTTATGTTTCAAATACACCTTCTACACACAGCTTGAAAGTAATTTCATAGAATAATTTAAATAATTTTCTGCATGAAACAAGGTACACTGAATCATCAGAAAGCAAAGGTGTCACTATCTCGGCCAACTAGATGGACAATCAATCTGTAGTTGCTTGGTATCCCCATCATTACTGACTCTTGAATTTATATGCAACCATTTTCTTACACTTATTCACATATAAGTACTTAACACTTAAAAAACAGGACACACCATTGGTACAGTGAAAAAATAATGTGTTAAGTGTAACTAAGTAATACCCATATCAGTGTTAAACAACAGCAACAAACAATGGCAAGCTGAATAAACTGTGGTGTGCCTCTGTTTTGCTGCAACCCATTTCATGAGGTCAGGTGTGGAATTTTCCATTTGTGGTATCACAAGTGCTCATAAAGTTTTGAAATTTGAAGTGTTTCAAATTTTAGAGGACTTTGAATTTCAGATTTTCAGATTAGAGATGCTCAATCTGTAAAAAGCATTTTTTCTTGAAAAATAATTTAAGCTGATTCTTATAAAAAATTTCAAATAAGAAATTTAATTAGATTATGTTTCTAATAGTACCTTAAGCAGTTATTCTTTCCAAAGCATCATTCAGGGGTCATTTTAGTCTTTTCTCTCATGAGTTAAATAAAATTTCAAGACAGGTGATGAGAATGGTCTCAAGTTCAGGTGATGCCTATTGAGAATGCCTTAACTAAAAAGCGTCCCTGACTTCTGCTCTACATCAAATCTGTACAAAGGAGAAAAGGCTGATTCCAGCCCAGAGGTTCCCCAATTCCTTTCCTCTTTTATAGAACCCAGACTCCTGCCTGTCCTTGCTGTAGGTATTATATTTGACCCATAGTGCTTTTTACATTGCTTTGCTCTTGACTGCCCATGTTTCTGACCTCAGCTTAGCAAAATGAAATCTCATTTTCTATTTTTTGCTTCTGCTGTACTCAGATCTCCAAATCCATATTTTAGATCTTGGCCAAGAAAAGCAGAAGGTATAACAGCTTTGAAGTCAGACCTGGAGTAGAATCCTGGTTCCCTCAGCAGCTAGGTGATCTCAGGCAAGTCACTTAATCCCTGTGTGTGTTTCAGATTCCTCAGGGGGTAAAGTGTGCCTAATAATATCTACCATAAAGGTATATTAAGAGTTTTAGATTGGAAAATGTACTGAGAGTGCCTAACAAAGTGCCTTGCACACAGCAAGCCTTCAATAAGTGATGGTTACTGCTATCACCATTACTACTGCTGCTCATGTTTCCTTACCCTACTTTGGAACTGGCATTCTTGGTTCTTGACTGTACCCTAAGACAACTGGTGTTGGGAGGTTCAGAACAAAAAGAACAAGTTCCTCTTTGACAAAAGAATCTATGAATCTGGGAACACCTCACTGGAGAAGGAAGACAATTACTAATCACAAAGCTTAAAAGAGAAAAACCTGAAAGAATCAACTGGGTATATAAGATAGGTATATTTAGAAAGCAAAATAAGTCTCAGAAATACTATAGTTGACATAAGCTTATAAATACATAGAAATCTTATTGGGATTTTTTGGTTTCCTTATGGGTAAAAAAAAAGAAGAAAAAAGAAATCTTGTTGGGATTTTAAAAAATGAAATAAAACACAGCTTTTCAGTGGCAATCTAGTTTCCATGGGGAGGTATTTTTCCAGATAGCATGAAATTCATTTTCTATCTTAAGCTGCACCTGCTAGATCACTAATATTTGTATTATTAAGTCTCTGGACTTGAAGTGCTTTCAGTGTGAATTTTCCTCCTACTGTGCCCATCTGTTCTTTTCTTGTGGGCCCAGAGGAAAGCAAGACTTAATAAATATTCAGTTTTCAGACTTCTTTAAAATATTTTTATATAAGCATTTACAACCTCTGAGGAAAATTATAAAACTGGCGAAACTTAGCTCACATGTGATTTCCCCTTATAACTATCCAAGTGTCATTTTTTTATGGAAGACTAAAAAGTAACTATACATATAAGAAGTGAAACCAAGGAATATAAATAATAACTTTAACACTAAGATATTTTATTTACTTGTATATTATTAGATAAATAATTTATGAATTAGCCAATGTTAAGGTGAGGGAAGGCACCAAGGCCACTGCCTACTCCTTGCTGCTCCTAGTCAAGGTCAGCTGTGACCACTGGGTACATATCACCCAATGATGCTCTTCCTGCATTCAACCAGGTTGGGGACATGGTGACCTCACTTTTCATGACTTGCTTTCCCTGCCATGATGTAAAGTTGGCTGGATTCAAATGATCCATATCTAAGCTCTCTTAGGGTAGTGTCAGTATTTGACTAAACAATCATGGATTTTCCTTTAAAAACCACAAGCTCAAATGCAAGGTTAAACCAGCAAAGAAACGGATAGTTGCTATATTAAAAACATCATAAGCTACATGGATAAATTCAAGATATATGCAAATATTCTTAGACACAACATGGCTATTTATGAAACTTTTTGGCAGGCAGGGTTCTAGAGGAAGGTGCTACTTACTGGCAGGCTTATAGCAGACAAAAATAGAAAAACAAGAAAAAACAAAACTACCTCAGCAGCTGCAAGACTGATGCATACTCCTCTGAATCCCATATGTTCTTTTCTAAACATGTACAGTACAACTCTCTGATCTGTAAGGGAACAACACATTTGTGAGGAACCAAAAGTGTATACACACTACTAGTTTGGCAAAAATCATTTCTGGTCAACACAAAAAAAATTAATGTTATTAAAAGTCATTTTCTTTAGATTATAATAGACTTGGCATATATCTCATGGATCAGGCTTTATAAGAATGCAATTTACGGCCAGGCGCGGTGGCTCACGCCTGTAATCCCAGCACTTTGGGAGGCTGAGGCGGGCGGATCAGGAGGTCAGAAGATCGAGACCATCCTGGTTAACACGGTGAAACCCCGTCTCTAATAAAAATACAAAAAACTAGCCGGGCATCTGTAGTCCCAGCTACTTGGGAGGCTGAGGCAGGAGAATGGTGTGAACCTGGGAGGCGGAGCTTGCAGTGAGCCGAGATTGCGCCACTGCACTCCAACCTGGGTGACAGAGCGAGACTCTGTCTCAAAAAAAAAAAAAAATGCAATTTATATAAAAGTAAAATGAGGCTATACTGAGATTGGTTGATATCAGTGGTCATTTTAAAATAAGAAACTGATAAAGGAAAAATGAGAAAAAGAGGCTCATTTAAGGCTCAATGGCAAAAATCACCTCATGAACAAGTCATTCTTTTTTTTTAGACGGAGTCTCACTCTGTCATCCAGGCTGGAGTGCAGTGATCTCAGCTCAGTGCAACCTCCGCCTCCCAGGTTCAAGCCATCCTCCTGCCTCAGCCTCCCTCATAGCTGGGACTACAGGTGTGTGCCACCACGCCGGGCTAATTTTTGTATTTTTAGTAGAGACAGGGTTTCACCATGTTGGCCAGGCTGTTCTCGAATTGCTGACCTCAGGCGAACCACCTGCCTTGGCTTCCCAAAGTGCTGGGATTACAGGCGTGAGTCACTGCACCCAGCCAACAAGTCATTCTTACATACTGGTATTTGTTCTCCAAAGCTTTGAGCTAAGATGATTTAGGAATATAGAATTTCTCTGCTAAAATCTACTCTACAGATGGTTGATAGGTTTATCGAATAACATAAAGGCCAGCTGAGCATAATTTTTCAAGCAGCAGAAGTACTGCTTCTCTTTTTATTCTGGGTGTAGTGCAAGGTTAACCATCAAGCATTCTCAAACAGATTCCTTCTTCCATTAAGGGAAGAGAAACAGCTCTCTCAGTACAGGTGACAAGGAAGTGTTAAAGAAGGAAAGTTCAAATGCCTTAGTACAAAAACATTGTAGGGGAAGCAACACCACTGGGATTCATACGGCTGTTTCTAGCTGTGGCCATCTGAACAAAAAAACAATATCAATTACCAGTAATGTTTACAGCTGGAATGGATTTAGATTGTGTTCTCATTGTAAGGATTGGCTTCATTTCACATTCTGATGCCTGAATGCTACAAAAACCAAAGCAAGAAAATACTAACATTCCTACTTCATGGATTACAAATGAGGAGGCTTGGATTACCTGTCGACCTAGTGGATACTTGGGAAGAGAAGAGGTGAACTTATGAAGACATCTCAAAACCAGGAAGTAATTCATATGATAAACATGCAGGTTTTCTAGTAATAATTGTGTTTCCTCCTAAAAATCACAGAATATATTATTAATATGTAAGTCAGCTAATAAAAGAGCATAATAATACAATCTACTTCATGGCTATAAAAATTTCTGGAAAACTGACAAGATTCAAAACTACAAATTAATTCATGAAAATTTGAAATACATATAAAATCCAGAATACAGGCAGAGCATTTCTGATTTAGTATCAAGTCTGGTGATACTTTACACAAGCCAGAATTGATACTGTATTTTAATCTCCTGATAGCTCTAGCATTCCCACAATACTTTGGCCACCAAAATTACAAGTATGCAAGAAAGCACCTTAGTGGATGCTTGCCTGTGCCCATCACCTGGTGTGTGCCACAGCAAGGGAAGGTGCTTTATCCTCCACCTTGCTAGCATCAGAAGAGTGAGATCACCAGACAGAATGGTACCAACCTAATGAACTTGCTAAAGTTCTGCTTATGTTGCATACTTTTCCTAAAGTACTACTCAAGTGTGTTAGTGTGTTTGAAGGGGAAAATGAAAAGACTATGGCAGAAACACAAGTGATTCTGATGAGTCCCTGCCTCTTGCTGAGATCTCCAATACTGGTTTTATTTGCTTCACCAATTAAGAAAAAAAAAAGAATAAATAAATAAATAAATCTGAAGCCAACAAGTTTTATAATTTAGAATCTAGCAAGGATGATGACATGAGGGATAGTGTCTTAAGAAATCTATGCAGGTGTAGTGGCTCACGCCTGTAATCCCAGCACTTTGGAGGGCTGAGGCAGGAGGATAGCTTGAGCTTAGAAGTTTAAGACCTGGGTGAGCAACATAGTGAGACCTCATTTGTATAAAAATAAAAAACCCACAACCGAAAACTAGCCCTACTCGCCATATTAGGGATTTAGATACAGAAAAAAAGAAGAAACCTATGGATGATTAATCTCACAAATCAGTTTCAAAAGGTTTTGTTGAGGGGAGAGAGAGGTTTTCTAGAGCCTCCTGAAATAGTTTAGAAATGATTTTAAAACATTATATCCTATCAGGTAATTTTCAGGCCTCAATTCCTTTTATAACCACTTACTCTGTAACATTTTCTTAAGAGGATTATCATCTGTGCCATGGTCTTCAATATTTTTCTCCTTTAAGAAGTCAAATAAAGGCTTTGCTGGGCTGTGTCTTTATTTCAGTAATATCTTGCAGATACCCATTATTTTTAGTGGTCAGCCATATAGAAAATAACTCAGATATCAATAAATTCAAGCAAATCTAACCTCTATAAAGCAATAAATATGACATATCTTCCTAAACACCAACTCACTTAGGAAATCAATTCCTTGGTCAACGATCTACGGGTCATTACCTGAAAGCACATGGCAGATTAAAGAAAAGTTTTTAGCACCTAAATGTTTTCCCTCCCATTATTTGAGTTGATTGGTAATTTCAAAATCTATGTCTCCTATCACAACAAAATCTAAATCTCCTATCATAACAAAAGTAGCCATAATCAAAAATTGTTTTAACCACCATTGGGAGGGTATACTTTAGTTCTAAACTTTAGCTTAGTTCTTTAGTTTTTTACTGTGAGCCATAACATACAGATGGCATAAAGCCATTAATTACCTTGATGTGTGCTTAAATAGCTTTTAAACAGGGGGAATATTTTGAAGAAAATGAACTCTATTACTGAGTAATCACACTGCATGCTACTTGTGCTACCTATTTTCTTTTGCCTTGTGGAATAGCTATGTGTACAAGTATCTGGGTGATGCAGTAGAAGTGAGTATCTTCATTCCATTTACTTGGATAAGGAGAGAAAAGAAATACTTTACCCACTATAGGGCAATACTGCATACTCAAGGAACATACCTGCCCTGGAATAAGTGTTCGATGAGGAATATAAACATGTTTTTCTCCTAGGTGGTCTCAGTTCCTTCATACTTTTCACTGTGTGGTGCATCCCTGTGCTGAGTAGAGTTCTAGTGTTTAAAAAATGTTTTGTTTTGCTTTAATCATTATTTTATTTTAAGATAAAAATAAAAATTTTAAGATGAAGTCTAACTCTCTGCTCACTGCAACCTCCACCTCCCAGGTTCAAGTGATTCTCTTGCCTCAGCCTCCTGAGTAGCTGGGATTACAGGTGCCTGCCACCATGCCCAGTTAACATTTTGTATTTTTAGTAGAGATAGGGTTTCACCATGTTGGCCAGGCTGGTCTTGATCTCCTGACCTCAAGTGATCCACCCACCTCAGCCTCCCAAAGTGCTGGGATTACAGGTGTGAGCCACCGTGACTGGCCTAAAAAATGTTTTGTATTGTATTGTTTTGTTTTGTTCCATACAACATGGCAGACTATATCATCTGGTGCTCAACTGAGGAAATGGTGGTTGGTTCCAACAATGGGGAAAAAGACTGGCTATGATGGACTTA
This sequence comes from Homo sapiens, assembly GCF_000001405.40. Classification (NCBI taxonomy): domain Eukaryota; kingdom Metazoa; phylum Chordata; class Mammalia; order Primates; family Hominidae; genus Homo; species Homo sapiens. The sequence continues at coordinate 87,632,449 of NC_000006.12, read as the reverse complement.
ACGAATGAGAGAAGGTTTGCTGTACCTTTCTAAGGGATTTTTCAAGAGTAATTTTGACCATCCCAGATCTTCACCTTATGTGCTGACTTTAGAACCTAATCTCCACATAATAAAGATTTCATTGTTATTTATATGTGTTTTTATCAGTTGCAACAAAAAACATCACAAATGATTAACATTTTCTTATAACATGTCCTCTAAGTTTTCCATCTTACTTAGATACCTGCACATATGTATCTGCCTTTACTTATTCAAACAATAATTCTTTTTTGTTTGTTTGTTTTTGGAGATGGAGTCTTGCTCTGTTGCCCAGGCTGGAGTGCAGTGGCGTGATCTCAGCTCACTGCAACCTCCACCTCCCAGGCTCAAGCGGTTCTCCTGCCTCAGCCTCCTGAGTAGCTGGAATTACAGGCGCCTGCCATAATGCCTGGTTAATTTTTTGTATTTTTAGCAGAGATGGGGTTTCACTGGGTTGGCCAGGCTGGTCTCAAACTTCTGACCTCAAGTGATCTGCCCACCTTGGCCTCCCAAAGTGTCGGGATTAGACACTGCGTGAGATACTGCACCCGGCCTTAAAACAATAATTCTTAATGTACTTATGGACACTATTTTACAAACTCAAACCTGTAAAAGGTTTTGATATATGAGAAAATTTTCGGGCCGGGCAGGGTGGCTCACGCCTGTAATCCCAGCACTTTGGGAGGCCGAGGCGGGTGGATCACCTGAGGTCAGAGTTCAAGACCAGCCTAGCCAACCTGGCAAAACCCCCTCTCTAGTAAAAATACAAAAATTAGCTGGGTGTGGTGGCAGGAGCCTGTAATCCCAGCTACTTGGGAGGCTGAGGCAGGAGAATCACTTGAACCCAGGAGGCGGAGGTTGCCGTGAGCCAAGATCGCGCTGTTGCAGTCCAGCCTGGGTGACAGAGTGAGATTCCATCTCAAAAAAAAATTTTCCATTTAATACATTACAGCAGCATCATACCATGTACATGTGAAAATAAAGCCTGTTGAAATATTAACCCTACTTTCCATATGTTAAATTTTTCTTCAGGCACTTTTTCTGCACACTAGTCATAGCTGTCACCATTTTGTTTCATAATTGTGTTTACAATGATTCTTTTCTACGGAGATACACTTTGTCTAGGAATATGCATTATTTACTAAAAAGATATGCTTTCTCTGTTCTTTAAGCATGAAGACTTCTTAGTCTTTACTGATTTTTGACAAAGGAACAGAAATATTTCTCTGCTATAAGAAAAACAGGCATGGCATAGTGGCTCATGCCCATAATCCCAGCACTTTGGGAGGCCATAGTGGGAGGATCACTTGAGCCCAGGGGTTCAAGACCAGCTTGATAGTGAGCAACATAGTGAGAGACCCTGTCTCTACAAAAAAAAAAAAAAAAAATTTAAATTAGCTGGGCATGGTGGCATGTGCCTGTAGTCCCAGATACTCAGGAGGCTGAGGTAGGAAGACTGCTTGAGCCCAGAAAGTCAAGGCTGCAGCAAGCTATGATTGCACCACTGTACTCCAGCCTGGGTGACAGAGCGAAACTGTCTCAAAAAGAAAAAAAAAAAGCAAAGCAATACATAACAGCCTCCTTGCTCTTCTTCAAATATGGCAGACATGCTCCAACCTCAGGTCCTTTCTACCTGCTTAGAATTCCCTTCCTCCAGATTCTTGAGTGGCAAGCTCTGTGACTTCCTTTAGGTCTTTACTCAAAATTTACCTTCTCAGTCAGGTCCTTATTTAAAATTTTGACTCCACTTCCCACGCACATGGAACTTCATATCCTTCTTCTCTGCTTCATTGTTTTTATCTCAGCACTTATCACTAACAGATATTTTACTTATTTATCTTATTTATTGTCTGTCTCCCTGATACAATGAAAACGGTAGAAGTTTTGGCTGTTTGGTTCACTCCTGTATTCTCAAAACCTAGATTAACACCGGGCACATAATAGGCACTAGAAAAATATTGGCTGAATGAAGAGTACATTAATGAATGAAGGCTGAACACTTAGTCTCTCTTTTATTTATTTTTAATTTTTGAGACAGGATCTTGCTCTAGCAACCAGGCTGGAATGCAGTGGTGCAATCTCAGCTCACTGCAGCCTTGACCTCCCAGGGTCAAGTGATCCTCTTGTCTCAGCCTTCCAAGTAGCTGGGACTATATATAGGTGCACACCACCACACCCGGCTAATTTTTGTAGAGATGGGGTCTCATTATGTTGCCCAGGCTGATCTGCTTGCCTCGGCCTCCCAAAGTGCTGGGATTACAGGTGTGAGCCACTGTGCCCAGCCTCAGTCTCTCTTTTAAGTAAGAGCAACCATATTTTGTCTTGCTGGATGTGGTCTAGATTTCCTGATTTTTCAAAAGTCTGAATTTGTAACGTAAAATTTCTCAATATGTAAATATTGGTTCTAACATTTTTTTTAAATGTATGTTTAAAAAACACATTTACATTAGACTGTGGGTTGCCTCTTAATGTGCAATATACCCTCTTAAATTAGTCATCTCCAACCTCATCAATCCTGTCTGTTATTCATACAAAAATCATTCACTGATAGCATGTCTTTTGCAGCAACATGGATGGAGCAGGAGGCCAGTATCCTAAGTGAAATAACTCAGAAACAGAAAATCAAATACCGCACGTTCTCACTTATACGTGAGAGCTAAATAATAGGTACACATGTATATACAGAGTAAAATAACAGACACTGTGGACTTCAAAAGGGGTAGGGTTGGGAGGGGTGACGGCAGAGAAATTATTTATTAGGTACAATGTTCACTATTCAGGTGATGGGCACACTAGAAGCCAAAAACTCACCATCATCCAATATGTAACAAACTGCACCTGTAACCCCCTGAATCTATTTTTTAAAAATCATATATCACTGTTTACTTATATGACAGACCCCCTATTGTTATTGAGCTAGCTGCTTTCTCTGGAGGAGAAGTCAATACATATGTAAAACTTATACAGGTAAAGAAAAAAAGGCTAGGCAGAATTACATTTGCCATGCATTTATTTCTCTTCTACTTCCATAGTACTTACCACTTTTGTCTCTAAAATTGTATGTATAGGGGTGAACAGTGACCTCAGATTATAAAATAAAGTATGTAAAAATGACTATAAACTTCTGTAATTTCTTTTCAATCAATTCACTGATCATTAAAAACTGGTAAAACAGACTGTTGAATTTTAGGATTAAGAGATATCAGCTGTCTAAGAACACAGAATTTTCTCATTTATTATCTTGTTATAACTAAGCCTTATTTTTCTCATTAGAGAAAAATGCTGGCTGGCAGTGTTTTCCAGACTTAGCATATTACTGCTATCTAATAAGAATGCCAAACCACAGCTTTCTCCTAGCACTTATGTGGCAAGAGTGCTAGTCTTCTCATCTGTCTCTACCTTTTGTTCTCCATATTCCTACCTCAGCAGTATAGATCAAGAGAAGCACTTGACAAAGAGTTTGAATTTAAATGATTAATTCCTGACACACTAGGCTAATGCCCAGCTCATTTGATCACATTTGATAGACTGTGATTGTTTTCCTTTTTCCTTTACTTTTCCATTTATTATTTTTTCTAAGAAATTTTCTTCCCCCTGTCTGCCCTGTAGGTCTGACAAAAGAAACAGAAAGAGGTGGGGTCAAAGGTGAAAGGCAGGTCTTCATCAAACTCATGAACTGATTTTGTGCCTTTTGTTCATGAGACACTATGATAAGCATACTAAACGGTGAAAAGAAGTCCTTACTCTACCATGAACTTGCTCTGTGACATGAGATATTTCACTTCCTTTCTCTTGGCTGCAGTTCTTCATTTTTGAAATGAGGGTGCTAAAGGAGTTCAAGGTTTATTTCTCACTCTAAAAGGATTTAAAGTCTAGTTGGGAAAATAGGTATAAAGACGTGAAACATTAACAAGTAAGAATAATAAAACTTCAACTGTCACCTGCAAGGGAATGAATCTAAGCTTTCTACATAGTATGAAGATTTTCAGTATTTCATCAGCTGTACCAGGTCTTCTAATGTCCCTCCTTAGTAGGAAATTCCTAGCAAATCACCTACAAATGTACATTGTTTAGTCAGGTAAAGTTTTAAATTTTATTTTATTTTAAGTTCTGGGATACATGTGCAGGACGTGCAGGTTTCTTACTTAGGTAAATGTGTGCCATGGTAGTTTGCTGCACCTATCAACCCATCATCTAGGTATTAAGCCCCGCATGCATTAGCTGTTTATCCTGATGCTCTCCCTCCGACCTGTGCTCTCATTGTTCAGCTCCCACTCACAAATGAGAACATGTGGTGCTTGGTTTTCTGTTCCTGTGTTAGTTTTAGTCAGCTAAATTTTTACATTTAAAAGTACACTTTTTAAAAAACTCATTACTGAGTTCATTAAATTCAAAGCTGACATATAGTTCTGAAGCAGTGGATCCATAATTTTGAGGGAGTTAAAGGTTTTTGTTAACGTCTTGATTCTAGTCAGAGGATAACTGAGATCAATCATTTGTTTAGGTGGGAACTTAATAGATTAGTTCTAGCTTAAGAAAATGAGGTGATGGGGGAAACAATAACAAATGCTTCCTCCTAGGGAGGCAGTCTAACTTAGTAGTTCTTGAAGTGTGGTTTCCAGTTATACAGACTGTAAATTTCTCTGGAATATTCTGTGAGGTCTAGCTCTTAGACACTTGAATATAGAAAATGGGCACAAAATGATAAACTCTAATGGTAGGCATGTCTATACAACTATATAACATAAGAGTATTATAAATATTACATATAGATTGTATATTATAATACATAAAAATGTATATACATCTTTATATACATTGAAATGTGTTCATATTGGCTGGGTGTGGTGGCTCACATCTGTAATCCCAGCACTTTGGGAGGCCTAGGCGGGCGGATCACTTGAGGTCAGGAGTTCAAGACCAGCCTGGCCAACATGGTGAAACCCCGTCTCTACTAAAAATACAAAAATTAGCCGGGTGTGGTGACCCATGCCTCTAATCCCAGCTACGAGGGAGGCTGAGGCAGGAGAATGGCTTGAACCCAGGAGGTGGAGGTTGCAGTGAGCTGAGATCGTGCCACTACACTCTAGCCTGGGCGATAGAGCGAGACCCCCTCAAAAAAAAAAAAAAAAAAGCTGGGCGCGGTGGCTCACACCTGTAATCCCAGCACTTTGCGGGGCCGAGGCGGGTGGATTATCTGAAGTCAGGAGTTTGAGACCAGCCTGGCCAACATGGTGAAACCCTGTCTCTACTAAAAATACAAAAAATTAGCCGGGTGTGGTGGTAGGCACCTGTAACCCCAGCTACTTGGGAGGCTGAGGCAGGAGAACTTCTTGAACCTGGGAGGTGGAGGTTGCAGTGAGCCGAGATAACGCCATTACACTCCACCCTGGGCAACAAGAACAAAACTCCACCTCAAAAAAAATAAAATAAAATAAAAATAAATAAATAAATAAAATGTGTTCATATTGATCTTAATTTTTATGAGTGAAAAATATATAACAAGTTATTATTTTCATTTATAAAAGCTTTATCATTATATTTGTTTTCAAATCACTTTTATTTGCTGAACAAACTTTGATTATCACTAACCTTATGAAAAAATCATACTAGGAATTATTATCCTACTTTTTTTTTTTTTTTTGGAGACAGAGTCATGCTGTGTTGCCCAGGCTGGAGTGCAGTGGCGCTGTCTCAGCTCACTATAACCTCTGCCTCCCTGGTTAAAGGGATTCTAGTGTCTCAGCCTCCCAAGTAGCTGGGTTAACAAGCACACACCACCACACTTGGATAATTTTTTGTATTTTTAGTAGAGAAGGGGTTTTGCTATGCTGTCCAGGCTGGTCTCAAACTCCTGGCCTCAAGTGATCTGCCTGCCTTGGCCTCCCAAAGTGCTGAGATTACAGGCATGGGCCACCACACCCAGCCTATTATCCTACTTTCTATATAAGAAAATTGAGGCTTAAATAGCTCCCATTCACAATTACTACAAAGAGAATAAAATACCTAGGAATACAACTTACAAGGGATGTGAAGGATCTCTTCAAGGAGAATTACAAACCACTGCTCAGTGAAATAAAAGAGGACACAAACAAATGGAAAAACATTCCATGCTCATGGATAGGAAGAATCAATATCGTGAAAATGGCCATACTGCTCAAGGTAATTTATAGATTCAATGCCATCCCCATCAAGCTACCAATGACTTTCTTCACAGAACTGGAAAAAACTACTTTAAAGTTCATATGGAACCAAAAAAGAGCCCACATTGCCAAGACAATCCTAAGCAAAAAGAACAAAGCTGGAGGCATCATGCTACCTGACTTCAAACTGTACTACAAGGCTACAGTAACCAAAACAGCATGGTACTGGTACCAAAACAGAGATATGGACCAATGGAACAGAACAGAGGCCTCAGAAATAACACCACACATCTACAACCATCTGATCTTTGACAAACCTGACAAAAACAAGCAATGGAGAAAGGATTCCCTATTTAATAAATGGAGCCAGGAAAACTGGCTAGCCATATGTAGAAAGCTGAAACTGGATCCCTTCCTTAACCTTATAAAAAAATCATTCAAGATGGATTAAAGACTTAAATGTAAGACCTAAAACCATAAAAACGCTAGAAGAAAACCTAAGCAATACCAAGACTAGGCATGGGCAAAGACTTCATGACTGAAACACCAAAAGCAATGTCAACAAAAGCCAAAATTGACAAATGGGATCTAATTAAACTAAAGAGCTTCTGCACAGCAAAATAAACTGTCATCAGAGTGAACAGGCAACCTACAAAATGGGAGAAAATTTTTGCAATCTACCCATCTGACAAAGGGCTAATATCCAGAATCTACAAATAAGTTAAACAAATGTACAAGAAAAAAATAACCCCATCAAAAAGTGGGCAAAGGATATGAACAGACACTTCTCAAAAGAAGACATTTACGCAGCCAACAGACATATGAAAAAATGCTCATCATCACTGGTTATCAGAGAAATGCAAATCAAAACCACAATGAGATACCATCTCACACCAGTCAGAATGGCGGTCATTAAAAAGTCAGGGAACAACAGATACTGGAGAGAATGTGGAGAAATAGGAACACTTTTACACTGTTGGTAGGAGTGTAAATTAGTTCAACCATTGTGGAAGACAGTGTGGTGATTCCTCAAGGATCTAGAACAAGAAATACCATTTGACCCAGCAATCCCATTACTGGGTATATACCCAAAGGATTATAAATCATACGACTACAAAGACACATGCACACGTGTGTTTATTGCGGCACTATTCACAATAGCAAAGACTTGGAACCAACCCAAATGTCCATCAATAATAGACTGGATTAAGAAAATGTGGCACATATACACCATGGAATACCATGCAGCCATAAAAAAAGGATGAGTTCATGTCCTTTGCAGGGACATGGATGAAGCTGGAAACCATCATTCTCAGCAAACTATCACAAGGACAGAAAACCAAACACCACATGTTCTCACTCACAAGTGGGAGTTGAACAATGAGAACACACGGACACAGGGTGGGGAACATCACACACCAGGGCCTGTTGGTGGGTGGGGGTGCTGGGGGAAGGATAGCATTAGGAGATATACCTAATGTAAATGACGAGTTGATGGGTGCAGCAAACCAACACGGCACACATATACCCACGTAACAAACCTGCACGTTGCGCATATGTACCCTAGAACTTAAAGTATAATTAAAAAAAAGAAAATTGAGGCTTAAATAAGGTAAGTGATTTTCTTAAATATAGATAGCTAATGAGTAACTGCAGTTCAAATACAAAATTTCCTATATTTTGTAGTACCACATTATTGTCATGTATTTTTACAAAACCATAAAAAGAGAAGCATTATTATGAGAATATTCAAAGATACTTTAAACTAAAAAATCAAGACACATTCTTTTGTTTTGTTTTGTTTTTGTTCTTTGAAACAGAGTCTTGCTCTGTTGCCGACGCTAGGGCATGATCTTGGCTCACTGCAACCTCCACCTCCCAGGTTCAAGTGATTCTCCTGCCTCAGCCTCTGGAGTAGCTCAGATTACAGGCATGCACCACTATGCCCGGCTAATTTTTGTATTTTTAGTAGAGACAGGGTTTCACCATATTGGCCAGGCTGGTCTTGAACTCCTGACTTCAAGTGATCCGTCCACCTCAGATTCCCAAAATGCTGGGATTACAGGAGTGAGCCACCGTGCCTGGCCTAAAACATTCATTTTTTCTTAGACACTTTCTGTCTTTTGATTTCAGCAGGTAGCCTGCAGCTAACTTTTTCAGGGTAAGGGTACAAATCTCTGTGCTTTTTCATATTTCTCACTGTATAAGTCTCTAGAAAACATGCACTTATATGACAAAGTATGTAATTTGAAAATGAATACACCAAAGATCATAACAAGCAAAACTGACAGTGCAACAAGAACAAGGATAGCATAAATAAATGCTAAGAAAATATGTAAAAAGTCACTGAAAAGCAGACATAAATGTCAGGCTCTTTTTGTTTTGTTTTGTTTTGTTTTTTTTTAAAGACAGAGTCTTGCTCTGTCACCCAGGCTGGAGTGCAATGGTACAATCTCGGCTTACCACAGCCTCCACCTCCCAGGTTCCAGTGATTCTCCTGCCTCAGCCTCCTGAGTAGCTGGGACTACAGGCATGCGCTACCACGCCCAGCTAATTTTTGTATTTTTAGTAGAGATGGGGTTTCACAATGTTGGCCAGACTGGTCTTGAACTCCTCACCTCAAGTGATCCACCCACCCAGGCCTCATAGAGTGCTGGGATGATAGGCGTGAGCCACCGTGCCTGACCAATGTCAGGCAATTTCTATAATACACTAGCCTAGACATTCTCTCCCTCTGTCATCTCAATGGTTAAAGGTACTCTTAAAAAATCTATTCCTGGCTTCTGAAATAACTCTGACAGAAAGTTCTAGCAGGAAATGGACTTGGCAACTAGCTGACTCAACAGAGAGCTAATCTAGCTAATCTCCAAAGACTCAGTAAACATGCACACATTCTTTCTCACTAGTTCTTAAATTTCTTCCCAGCAAAACAACCTGCATGGAGGTCTGAGAACCTCCTATACTGCTCTGAAGGCATTACAGAGATTACTAAAATGATTATTGAGCCCAATCTAGAAGTGACTTTATATTACGGCCCAGTGTGGATTCTACATTAGAAATAATGTTTAATAAAAGCCATTCTGAATATTTTTTGAGCATTTATAATGGGCATAAATTACCAATGGAGGGAAACACATGCCCTCTAGAATCTAACATTTTTTAAAACACATTTTTAATTTTTTAAATGGATATATAATTGTACATGTATAAGATCTAACATTCTCTTGTTCAAAATCTGAAAATCGTATGTATTACCAAAACTCATCTTTAGCACTATGGCTTACCTTCAATCTCATCTTACTATCATTACAATATTCTAACAACTTTTTCCTAAAAAAGGCATGAGGAGTATGAAAATAAATGTGACATTATGTGTTTCTAAATGCTCATCAGTAAGAGGCATGTTCTTAAAAAAGGTACATTAATTCAATAGACTACTATGTCACTCTTCAGTACTAATATGGAATGATTTCCAAGATTAAGTACAAAATGAAACAAGGTGCAGAATATTGTAAGAAGGCAGCAACTGCCAAAATATAATATAATTACTTGTATGTATGGAGACTCTATCTAGAATGAAATATAAGAAACTAGTAACACTGGCTGTATCCAGGGAAGGGACATGGGTAGTTGGAAGACAGGTGAAACGAAGCCTTTCACTGTATATTATATACTATAACATATATAGTATACTATATCCATTTTGAATTATATACTACATCCAAGTATTATTTATTCAAGAAAGAAGCCCTCCTTCTTTTGATATTCCTTATGTTGTACAGCTCACTGATAATTTTCTAAGCTCATTACTTCTTTCCTAGCTTTATATTATCAATATATAATGATATTTCTTCAAATCAAATCAATACCCACTTAGCAGCAGACGCCTAAGCTGCCTGGCTTCTAAATGCTTTTATTTATCACAGCCTTTAAAAAGAACATTACAACGAAATTGCTGGCAGATTCCAAAACTGCTAGGTGGAAAAAGATTCACATAGCAGATCTCTATAGATCTAAAGGTGCTTTCAAAATAGGCCACAAGAGAAACTTGGTGTTTAATATTTTTTCTTGATTAAAAAAAGCCTCAACTTTTAGAGCTAAGGTTTTATGTCATCTTTAAAACTCACATTCCTAGGTGACTATCAAGACCCAGTACTTCACTGTATAAATATTAAGATGCACAAATATGTTTTATTAACTCAATAAATGTTACATGCATATTCTTCTTTATGAAAGGAAAAAGAGAATGAAACTGAAACACATTCACATTCCTACCTTCAAATATCTCTCATTGGTCAAGAGCGCAACTTGCTTTTCTGAAGCTTGCTTTTCCACGTACCTAGAATTTTCACCATTCCATACATAAAAAGAGAAAATTAAACATTCAACATATTTAAATAGCATATTGGGAAAAAGAACTACCTAGATTGGTAGCCACATTTTTTTCATTTCTTCACAAAAATAAATTCAGTATGACATTTATGGTTTAATGGTAATTTTAAACTCCTTAAATCAGCTGGACTTCATAGTCTATAGATATAAACATTAAAAAAGGCCATAAACCCCAGGAATAGGAAATGTTATTTCTAAAAAGTAACTCTGGAGAACTTGCAAATTATGTCCCTTTGTAAAAATACTTTTCTTTTTGCCAAATTTTCAAATCCAACAAGGGAAATCCCACAATTAAAAACAGAATAGGTTACTATTTCTTTCCCTACTTCAGAAATAACTGGATCTGAGATCTCTTATTTAGTACCAAATTCTAGTATAGTATGTGTTAAACATGTACTTCTCTTTTTACCTCCTAAAAGATGGTAGACGTCGGATGTTTTCACATTGATTATTTGATAAAAAATTTATTCTTCTTTTGGCTTCTGGAAGATTACAGCACAGGACACTTAAGGGCTGGGAATAGAAATGCTCTAATAGAGAAAGCTGAAAGACATGTGAAGATTAAACATATTTGTTATATTTTGGCAGTAAATCTATTGCGCTACAATCTGCTCAATTTTAAGGATTTTTTTAAAGAGCCAAAGTATTTATGGCACTAATATATTTAATAATGTCACAATAACACTGCAAACAACATAAAAATGGCTATATAACTCCATATTTTAAGGTTCCAATTCTGTGAAGAAGGTCAGAAAATGGTAATCTTTGAAATACAAACTAAGATAAACTAATGCAAATGGATAGAACAGCTATCTGCAAAAGCAACACATAATAATTACAAATGTGGTGTGGACCAAACTGAGGTTTAAAGAAAGGGTCTAATAGATACCCCAAAACTCATAAGAAAATGCCAATCTAAAATCAGTGTAAAAACTGGTCTGTTACAAAAAATAATGCTGCAATGGTAGGAGCTGTGCCTATGGATTAAAGTGAATGATGAAAATTTATCTTTACAAATTAATTTTTTTCCCATGGAGGAAAACATGGTGTACTATCTGGTAGATATAAGCATTTTAATAATAGAATGCTGTGGGCTCTATGGTAGAAGGGAAGACAATTTTCCAGATTCTAACATTCAGTTTGCTTAGAATCAACATAATGAACGTTTGGATAATCTTGTATACATTTGGATAGTCTTGAGTTTTATACCTAGAAACTGGTATAACTTGCAAGACTATGCAAATGTTCATTATGTTGATTCTAAGCAAACTTTGCTTGACCAGTTTGGTATTTTCAGGTACCCTGATACTGGTCACTCCTCATCACAAATTAATAAATTAGCATGTTAGGTTACATATCCATCTTAAGGTATTTGTTTGGGATGAATCAATAATCTTGGGCTTGATCCTTCCTGGGGGAACTGATAATGAATTTCTGAGTTCATAATGCTGACAACAAGATACCCAAGGCTAGAGGAAATCTTCCAAAATAGTCCATTCTCTAAGGCTGTAAGGCAAAGGGCCTGCCTAACTTAGAAACAAGTACAAAATAGAAAGCAACTGTTTATGCCAGGTGCTAAATTACTTTTGCACATATTAACATAATTTTGTTTCTTCTCTTTTCTAATTATGTCAAAGTGATAATGCTTATCCCAATGTTAACAGTACTTTTCGGACATGAGAAAAATAAAAACTAAACAGGCTAAGGGGCTTGCTGCGGAAGAGGAATGGGAGGAAGCCACAGAAGTTACAGTAGAGCTACAAATAGGATATGAACCCATTATCACTTAACTATTTTGTTCAAGTGTGTTTTCAATATCTGGGTCAATCAACAAGTTGGTTAACATATCCACCTAATGAAGGGAAGGCTAAAACACACAGAATGATAATATGTCCTGCTGTACATCCTATGGAAATCAGGAATTACATAGTCCTAGTTACTCAGGAAACTAAGATGGAAGATCGCTTGAGCTCAGGAGTTTGAGACCAGCCTGGGCAACAGAGTGAGACTCTGTCTCAAGTAGAAATCACGACTTACCAATATTTTCCACTGAGGACTAGGAAAACTGGGGAAATGAGGTCTAAAGATGCTGTCACTTGTTAGTGGTGTGACCTTGGCCAAGCCACTTAACTTAAATCTTAATTTCTTCATGTGCAAAACTGAGGATAATACACATGAATAAAACCATGCAGGCCAGGCAAGGTGGCTCACGCCTATAATATCAGTACTTTGGGAGGCCAAGGTGGGTGGATCACCGGAGGTCAGAAGTTCGAGACCAGCCTGGCCAACATGGTGAAACCCCATCTCTACTAAAAATACAAAATTAGCCAGGCGTGGTGGCGCATGCCTGTAATCCCAGCTGCTCAGGAGGCTGAGGCAGGAGAAGCACTTGAAATCGGGAGACGGAGGTTGCAGTGAGCTCAGATTATGCCACTGCACTCCAGCCTGGGCGACAGAGCGAAACCCTATCTCAAAAAGAAACAAAAACAAAAAAACCATGTAAATAGTTTAGTAAAGTGTCAAGCATAAAGGAAGTGCTTAATAAATTATCAGGAAACCATAAAATCATCTAATCTGATTGCTTTATTTTACAAATGAGAAAACTGAGACCCTGAGAGATTAAGTAACTTGGTTAATGTCCTTTACTTTCTGTCTCAAGGTATTTAGAGTACAGTTTCTATTTCCTGAATCTCTTTTTCCCTTGGCTTCAGTGGTACTCCACTTTCTACCGGTTCTCCTTGTTTTTAGTCTCCTTTTCTACTGCTCAGTTTTACAGGTCAGTTTGTCTTAAGGTGCTGCCCTTAGCCTTTCCTTACTCCCTCTAGCTGACATTTCATCCTCATAACATTATTTTAACTGCCACCTTTTAAGGATAAGTCCTAAATATCTATTTCCAGTCCAAATCTTTCTCCTGAGCACAAAATCTTTATGTCTAACACACCCCTAAATTAACCAGATACAAAAAGAAACTCATCCTTTTCTCACAACAACCTTGCTCTTTGCTATGTATTAACATGTACAGTTAATAAACGGTACTAACCTCCAATCTGCCAAGCTAGAGCCTGTGTCATCTTACTCCTCTCTTAACCTTTCAGCTTCAAGTCAAGTAAGAAAAAAAAAAACAACAGAACATCCTATGACCTACTTAGTCACTAGGTTTTTTTATTCGATCTCATCCTCAAATTTGTTTCCTCCTCTCCAGTTCCACTACCATTACCTTAGTTTATTTAAGTCCTTGTCATGTCCTGTCTAGATTACTGCAATAGCATTCTAACAGATCTCTCTTCCCCTACTGTTGCTTTTGCCTGAAATTCTGACCTGGCTCGCTCCTATTTCTTAGGCATACACTTCTGTTTTCCTATGGAACCCCAGGGCATGTTTCTTTCATAGCACTGACTACTCAGATTTGTGGGTTTACTGTTTTGCCTCCATCATTAAACAAATAACAATTTGAAGGCAGAGATTTCTTTTTTTTTTTTTGAGATGGAGCCTCACACTGTTGCCCAGGCTGGAGTGCAGTGGCATGATCTCCGCTCACTCGCTCACTACAACCTCCACCTCCCAGGTTTAGGTGATCTCCTGCCTCAGCCCCCCAAGTAGCTGGGATTAGAGGCATGCGCCACCATGCCTGGCTAATTTTTTGTATTTTTAGTAGAGACAGGGTTTCACCATGTTGGCCAGGCTGGCCTCGAACTCCTGATATCATGATCTGCCTGCCTCGGCCTCCCCAAGTGCTGGGATTATAGGCGTGAGCCACCGCGCCCAGCCCAGAGATTTCATTTTTATCTGTATCTTCAGGGTTCAGCATAGTGCTTGGTTGACAATAGGTTCTTGACAAGTATTTATGAGTAAATGAATGAAATGAAATTAAAGAAATAATTTAGAAAGTTTAATCTTAATATCATTTAATTCTACATATTCCTAAGGTAAATAATGCTTTATTCTTTTAAAATACTCTTTAAAAAGTCAAAGTTGGGAGGAAAAGATACATATTAGCCAAAGAAACCACTGCAATCTTTTTTTGAAGGAAGGAAACATGAGAAATAATTTATAATCTTCAAGGCACTACACAAAATGAAGTATTATCAAATTGAATTTTTGCACCAAAGGTTACTAATACATATATAGGTTTTTAAAATCAGAATTTTGTTTGTTTTTTATAGAGACAGGTCTCTTGCTCTGTCACCCAGGCTAGAGTGCAGTGACACAATTATGGCTCACTGCAGCCTTGACTTCCCAGGCTCATGTGATTCTCCCACCTCACCCTCCCGAGGACCTGGGACTCTATAAATAAGCCACCACGCCTGGCTTATTTTTTATTTTTAATAGAGATGAGGCTGCATTATGTTGTTCAGGCTGGTCTCAAACTACTAAGCTCAAGTGATCCTCCCACCTTGACTTCCTAAAATGCTGGGATTATACGCATGAGCCACCGTGCCTGGCATAATACATAGGTTTTAATGAACTAGACAACTGGCATGTATTCAAAATGACTACACTTATGTAGCTTCCAAGAAAAGGAAATAATACTAACTTTTAAACAACTGGAGAATGGGGATCTTTTTTAGGTTACAGCATATATCATGAAGCTAAATTCCTGAATTAGCTTCAGGCAATTCATGAAACTAGTGAAAATGAATTCCCAATGTATCAGAATACAAATTACAGAGACACACACACACACACACATGCATGGTCCAGAAACTAAAAACCTTTTTTATATCTTTAAAGGATTATTAAAGAAGAAGAAACAGAAACAGCAACAGCAGTGACCACATGTAGCATGCAAAGCTAAAAATGGGCTGGGCGTAGTGGCTCAGGCCTGTAATCCCAGCACTCTGGGAACCAAGGTGGGTGGATCACCTGAGGTCAGGAGTTCGAGACCAGCCTGGCCAACATGGTGAAGCCCTGTTTCTACTAAATATACAAAAATTAGCCAGGCGTGGTGGCACGCACCTGTAATCCCAGCTACATGGGAGGCTGAGGCAGAATTGCTTGAACCCGGGAGGCGAAGGTTGCAGTGAGCTGAGATCATGCCACTGCACTCCAGCCTGGGCAACAAAGTGAAACTCCATCTCGAAAAAAAAAAAAGCTAAAAATGTTTAATATCTGGCCCTTTACAGAAGTTTGCTGACCCCTTATATATAGCATTTCCTTGGTAGAAAAAGTCCATAAGCTCTCATGAGAGTCTCGGAAACAAACCAAAAAAGTCTGCTTGCCCCTACCCCCAAAATGGTTAAGAATTGCTGGAATAGAAGTCTTTTCCCATTATTGATATCCTAATGAGTGCATTCTCTACAGTTTGCTGCAAGGTAACAAAGGAATTGTAGAACCTAGAATAAAATAACTGGAATTTACTTATTCTAGATTTTGCCATTTAAAATGCCTATCACACTAGACAGCCTGAAATAATGTGCAAATTATTTAGAATCAGCTTGAGAATTTTCAAACCCATTACTGTGTTCTTACCTGAAGTCCTTTTATAAAGTTTTGAACTGAGAAATCATGATACAAAAAGATGTTGGTCAGAACCTGTAATACTTTTTCATTTATTTTAAAGGGAAACTGAGTTGTAAGAAGTAGCTGAAAGAGATTAAAAGGGAGGGGGACACACTCCTTGTTAGTCTTCACTCTTCATAAATACTAAGTATTAATAATGAGGCAAAGAATGATATTATGACACAGTTAACTATGAAAGCTGCAATAATAGCTAGTTTTTTAAGCTCAAATGTCAACAAAAATTTTAAGTTAATTTATACAAGAGTAACAAAAAGAAGCTACTTATACTGTATCTTCAGAACCAAAGATCTATACCATCTTCCATCAAATTCCTAATTAAAAAAAAATACCACCTATTAACTATATCATCCTTTTTTTTTTCCTCACCAGAAACCACTGAAGAAGCTGCAGGCTTTGGCAATTCTTATTACCAGATGAGATTTTTTTCATTACTACTGATTCAAATTAATGAAGAGTAATATATTATGTATTGTTGAATGAGAAACACAAATGTCTATTTCACAGATGTCTATTTCAAAAGTATAGAATAGCTGAATTTGTATTATTTGGCTAATTTTCAATTGTCTATAGTGATGTTTTACATCTGGAAATGAAAAGTCACACAAGGCTTCTTAAACAGAAGCATAGTTGTAAAAGGCCAATTGAACTTGGCTATAACCAAGTTTTTTGTTTTCTTTTTGTAGAGGAAAGTTCTTGCTCTTTTGCCCAGGCTGGAGTGCAGTGGTGGCATCATAGCTCACTGTAGCCTTGAACTTCTGGGCTCAAGTGATTCTCCCACCTCAGCCTACCAAGTAAAAGGGATTATAGGTGCTTGCCACCCTTTCCGGCCTAGCCAAGCAAATTTAAAAATAGCAGCTTGAAAACATTTTCCTTAAAGTGTCTATAAATCACCTTTATGGAAAAAAAGAAAAACACTAAAACCCATGTGTAAGTGGCTAGTGGGCAGGTTGTTTTTAGTTTACCTTAAATAAGCAGCATAAAGCACATCTTAAAGGAGGTGAGTCCAGAAGCAATTTGGGGAAGGTCAATGATATGGTTTGGCTGTGTCCCCACCCAAATCCCATCTTGAATTCCCAAGTGCTGTGGGAGGGACCTGGTGGGAGGTAACTGAATCATGGGGAAAAGTCTTTCCCATGCTGTTCTCATGACAGTGAATAAGTCTTATGAAACCTGATGGTTTTATAAAGAGGAGTTCCCCTGCACAAGCTCTCTCTCTTTGCCTGCTACCAGCCATGTAAGATGTGATTTGTTCCTCCTTGCCTTCCACCATGATTGAGGCCTCCCCAGCCATGTGGAACTGAGTCCATTAAACCTCTTTCTTTTGTAAATTGCCCAGTCTCGCCTATGTCTTTATCAGCGGTGTGAGAACAGACTAATACAGTAAATTGGTACCAGTAGAGTGGGGCACTGCTGAAAAGATACCCAAAAATGTGGAAGTGACTTTGGAACTGGATGACAGGCAGAGGTTGGAACAGTTTGGAGGGCTCAGAAGACAGGAAAATGTGGGAAAGTTTGTAACTACCTAGAGACTTATTGAATGTCTTTGACCAAAATGCTGATAATGATATGGACAATGAAACAGGCTGAGGGGGTCTCAGATGGAGATGACAAACTTGTTGGAAACTGGAGCAAAGGTGACTCTTGTTATGTTTTAGCAAAGAGACTGGCGGCATTTTGCCCCTGCCCCAGAGATTTGTGGAACTTTGAACTTGAGGGAGATGATTTTGGGTATCCTGAGGAACAAATTTCTAAGCAGCAAAGCATTCAAGAGGTGACTTGAGTTCTGTTAAAGGCATTCCATTTTATGAGGGAAGCAGGGCATAAAAGTTTGGAAAATTTGCAGCCTGACAATGAGATAGAAAAGAAAATCCCATTTCTGAGGAGAAATTCAAGTCAGCTGCAGAAATTTCCGTAAGTAACAAAGAGCCAAACGTTAATCCCCAAAACAATGGAGAAAATATCTCCAGGGCATGTCAGAGGTCTTCATGGCAGCCCCTCCCATCACAAGCCTGGAGACCTAGGAGGCAAAAGCGATTTCACGGGCTGGGCCCAGAGTCCCCGTGCTGTGTGCAGCTTAGGAAATTGGTGCTGTGTCCTAGCCACTCCAGCTGTGGCTGAAAAGGGCCAACACAAAGTTCGGGCCACGGCTTCAGAGAGTGCAAGCCCCAAGCCCTGGCAGCTTCCACATCGTGTTGAGCCTGTGAGTGCACAGAACTGGGGTGTGGGAACCTCCGTCTAGATTTCAGAAGATGTATGGAAAAGCCTGGGTGTCCAGGCAGAAGTTTGCTGTAGGGGCAGGGTCCTCATGGAGAACCTCTGCTAGGGCAGTGTGAAAGGGAAATGTGGGGTTGGAGTCCCCACACAGAGTCCTTACTGGGGCACTGCCTAGTGGAGCTGTGAGAAAAGGGCTACCATCCTCTACACCCCAGAATGGTAGATCCACCAACAGCTTGCACCGTGTGCCTGGAAAAGCTGCAGACACTTAACACCAGCCCATGAAGGCAGCCAGGAGGGAGGCTGTAACCTGCAAAGCAACAGGGGTGAAGCTGCCAAAGACCATGGGAACCCACCTCTTGCATCAGCATGACCTGGATGTGAGAAATGGAGTCAAAGGAGATCATCTGGAGCTGTAAGACTTGACTACCTCGCTGGATTTCAGATTTGCATGGGGCCTGTAACTCCTTTGTTTTGGCCAATTTCTCCCATTTGGAATGGCTGTATTTACCCAATGCCTGTACCCCCATTGTATCTAGGAAGTAACTAACTTGCTTTTGATTCTACAGGCTCATAGGCAGAAGGGACTTGCCTTGTCTCGGATGAGACTTTGGACTGTGGACTATTGAGTTAATGCTGAAATGAGTTAGGACTTTGGGGGACTGTTGGGAAGGCATGATTGGTTTTGAAATGTGAGGACATGTGATTTGGGAGGGGCCAGGGGCAGAATGATATGGTTTGGTTGTGTCCCCACCCAAATCTCATCTTGAATTCCCAAGTGCTATGGGAGGGACCTGGTGGGCGGTAATTGAATCATGGGAGCAAGTCTTTCCTGTGCTGTTCTCATGATAGTGAATAAGTCTCATGAGATCTGATGGTTTTATAAAGAGGAGTTCCCCTGTACAAGCTCTCTCACTTTGCCTGCTGCCATCTATGTAAGATGTGACTTGCTCCTCCTTGCCTTCCACCATGATTGTGAGGCCTCCCCAGCCAAGTGGAACTATGAGTCCATTAAACCTCTTTCTTTTGTAAATTGCCCAGTCTCAGGTGTGTCTTTATCAGCAGCGTGAGAACAGACTAATACAGTCAATATTAAAGAATCATACTTGCATTTATGTAGAAACATAGTTAATTAACTTTAGTTGCTAAGGTCTAGGAAAATGTTAGTATTTGTTGTCAAGAGCAGCATGACAAATCAGTTAGGAAACAGTCCACTAAAAACTTCAAATCATTTTATACAAAATGTAAGGAGTCAGGCTGGGTGTGGCGGCTCATGCCTGTAATCCCAGCACTTTGGGAGGCCAAGGCAGGTAGATCACTTGAGGTCAGGAGTTCCAGACCAGCCTGGCCAATATGGTACCCTGTGTCTACTAAAAATACAAATTAGCCAGGCGTGGCGGCACACCTCATGAAGTCCCAGCTACTTGAGATGCTGCGGCAGGAGAATCACTTGAACCTGGGAGGCAGAGGTTGCAGTGAGCCAAGATTTCGTCACTGCACTCCAGCCTGGATGACAGAGCTAGACTCCTTCTCAAAAAAATAAAAATTAGAAAAATCAAAATGTAAGAGTCAAAATACATTGTTACTACAAAGTCTACAAATTCTGTAAAAATTTACATTATAAACCTATAATTTTCTATTGAGTAAAGATATAAAGAGATTAAGTACATAGAGAGATATGATCACTCTTTTCATAAAGCTTATATTTTACCTGAAGAGGTAATATACAAAATCACTGTAAAACTATAAAACACTACAAAAATTATTAAGTAAAAATATTAAAGTATGTGAAGGAATATGTTCAATATAGTACTCAGAGAGTTGTAGAGGCTTATTGTTAACAGTTATCTTAACAATCTATTATTGGCAGTTTTCTTTTCATCCTATTTCACTGGTAAAACTTATTCTTTTTACCTTATCGAGTACCGTAGTCAGGTGCTCCTTACAAGACAAAGATTGGAACAGTTCTATGCACAATAGAGATGATACTGCATGAGGAAGCAATCGGTGGATGATAATAGGAGATGTGGCTATTCCAAAAATGAGTATTAGTGGAAATTCATGGAGATGTTGACTAGTTTTGAAAGACAGACACAAAAGTGAAATTTATTTAGCAAATATATTTCAATACATCATATTTCAACATAAGACAAACTTTATTTTAATGCTTACTTTATAAGACACTGTTAAGGATTATCATTGCAAACACTAAAATTTTCTAAGTCTTTCACTTTCTTCTATTAAACAGAGAAATAATTACTTTCCAGACAGTCTAGCTTTGAAATCAATCTCTTAATAAATCCTCTCATTTTATAAATAAGAACAGAGAGGTCCAGAAAGTTTTCCTGAAGATTATACCATCTTTTTTCTTTTTTTTTTTTCAGATGGAGTCCTGCTCTGTCACCCAGACTGGAGTGCAGTGGTGCAATCTCGGCTCACTGCAACCTCCACCTCCTGGGTTCAAGCGATTCTCCTGCCTCAGCCTCCCGAGTAGCTGGGACTACATGTGCGTGCCACCATGCCTAATTTTTTAATTTTAGTGGAGATGGGGTTTCACCATATTGGTCAGGCTGGTCTCAAACTCCTGACTTCATGTGATCCACCCACTTCGGCCTCCCAAAGTGCTGGGATTACAGGCGTGAGCCACCATGCCCGGGCCGAAGATTATACAATCTTAAGTGTTAGAAGAGATGTTAGATACCATTCCATTTAATATCTCATTCAAAGTTTGAGCCCTTTCTATAGTCTTCCTCACTTTTGATGGCTAAGGTAGTCATTAAGTCTAAGCTCCAAAAAAAAGTACAGCTTTTCTGTCACTATTTTGTACTATGTACTTTCCAAGCATGCTAAGCAGTTCAGTGTCAGCATTAAGAAAAGTCCTAGGATCTGGGCTGGGTGCAATGGTTCATGCAAGTCCTAGGATCTGGGCTGGGTGCGATGGTTCATGTCTGTAATCCCAGCACGTTGGGAGACTGAGGAGGGCAGATCTCTTGAGGCCAAGAGTTTGAGACCAGCCTGGGCAACACGGCAAAACCCCATCTCTACAAAAAATACAAAAATTAGCCGGGCATGGTGGTGTGTGCCTATAGTCCTAGCTACTTGGGGACCTGAGAAGGGAGGACTGCTTAAGCCCAGGAGGTGGAGGGTGCAGTGAGCCAAGATCATGTCACTGCGCTCTAGCCTGGGTGACAGAGCCAGACCCTGTCTCAAAAAAAAAAAAAAAAAAAAGAAAAGTCCTAATATATAGAACTCTTAGAATCAATGAAGGAAAAAAGATCCTATCAAAGTAGAAATTTAAAGTATATTAGTAGGCCGGGCGCGGTGGCTCACGCCTGTAATCCCAGCACTTTGGGAGGCCGAGGCGGGTGGATCATGAGGTCAGGAGATCGAGACCATCCTGGCTAACAAGGTGAAACCCCGTCTCTACTAAAAATACAAAAAATTAGCCAGGCGCGGTGGCGGGCGCCTGTAGTCCCAGCTACTCGGGAGGCTGAGGCAGGAGAATGGCGTGAACCCGGGAAGCGGAGCTTGCAGTGAGCCGAGATTGCGCCACTGCAGTCCGCAGTCCGACCTGGGCGACAGAGCGAGACTCCGTCTCAAAAAAAATAAAAAATAAAAAAAAATAAAGTATATTAGTAAATTAGCTGGGTGTGGTGGCTCATGTCTGTAATCCTAGCACTTTGGGAGGCCCCAAAGAGCACTAAGGAAGGCAGATCACCTGAGGTCAGGAGTTTGAGACCAGCCTGGCTAATATGGTGAAACCCTGTCTCTACTAAAAATACAAAAATTAGCTAGGCGTGGCAGCGGGCACCTGTAATCCCAGCTACTTGGGAGGCTGAGGCATGAGAACTGCTTGAACCCGGGAGGCGGAGGTGGCAGGGAGTTGAGAAGGCGCCACTGCACTCCAGCCTGGGGGACAGAGCGAGACTCTGTCTCCAAAAATAAAAATAAAAATAAAGTATACTAGTAAATTATTTAACACAATATATAGCTTTAGGCAAATGTAGCTATAACTATTAAAACAAGTTGACATATAGAAGAGGCCAAAATAAATTCCATCCTAAAAAATACACCAGGGAAAATGCATGTCACTGGATTTTAAAATAAGAGTTCATTATTTCAATTCTGAGTCTCACATGATTGCTTTGAAGACGCAATGCAATCGTGAAAATAGTTTCTCACTAGAAGTATTATATAAATGCAAAATAATGTTATTTAGAAGACACTTTTGCTTAGTAAAACTATATGCAACTCAGAGCATCTAAGGATGGATGGGTATCAGAAAATAAGACCTAATAAAAATCTCAACTTAGCCAGGTATGGTGGCTCACTCCTGTAATCCCAGCACTTTGGGAGGCCGAGGCAGGCAGATCACCTGAGGTCAGGAGTTCGAGAACAGCCTGGCCAACATGGTGAAACTCTGTTTCTACTAAAAATACAAAAATTAGCCAGGTGTGGTGGTGGGCACCTGTAATCCCAGCTACTCAGGAGGCTGAGGCAGAATTGCTTGAACCCAGGAGGCGGAGGCTGCAGTGAGCCGAGATCGTACCACTGCACTCCAGCCTGGGCAACAGAACAAAGCTCCATCTCAAAAAAAAAAAAGAAAAAAACAAAAACAACAAACTCAACCTGGAGTAGTTTATCTATTTAATGGGTGAGTAAGAGACAGTCAATCTTGGTGAGAAAAACCATATTTAATACTATCTTACCATGTCAATTTAAAACTGGCTAAATGTGCCTTTGATTCTCATTCTTGGCTCAAAAAGCAAATGGAAAATCTGATAGGAAGTCTTTGAATATTCAATTATAAAGAATTTGAATACTTTGATTTTTATCCAGTTGGTATTAAAATGAAGATTATACTTTTCAAGTTAAAAGTAGTATTTTCTTAAAAAGGGAGTTTTTCATAAAAGCCAGGTAATACACCATCTACCTGCTGATAATTATGAAGTCTTGTAGTACTTTTGTGGCAAAGCTTTCCATATCCTTCAAGATAACGACAACAGGAGGAGACTGCCATTGGCTAGAAGTAGTCCTTTTTTTGCTTAGCATTTTTGGGTCCGTCTTCTTTTAAGCCATTGCAGAAAGAAAGAGTTAAAGGTAAGCCTTACCACTCAAACAATGTTATAATGCCACATGTTGACATATCTCTCTTTAAATTTCACAATAACACTGTTTATTTTTTTTCTACCACACGATAAATAGAAACTCAGGTTACTAGAATCTTGCTGTGTCTGACATGGGAATAATAACCAAGAAGAAAAAGGTTCAGTAAAAATCTATAACTCATATGAAATATTTATATTTTCTGCTAAGGAAATGACAGAAAAAAACATGGAAGAGGAAATTTTCTACAAAATTGATTTTTCTGTTGGTAGAAAGTTATATTCTGCTTTGCTTTATAGTGAGAACTAGTATTTTTAATGAAAAAAATATAATGAATAGTAGTGCTTGCTACTCTGCCACTGTGAAATTTCAAGCCTGAAATGGATACTAGGTATCATCTGGTCCAATCTCAATTTTTAAAAAGATATCTGACATAAACCAAAAGTAGCATTTTATCTGGAAAGTCTAAAATTGTGGAGCAAATCAGGTATTATGGTAAGTATTAGACGTAGTTTAGTCCCTATATAAAGCAAAATGAAACTTCACTTACGATGATTTCAGCAAAAATGTTGATTGGAAAATGTAACCACAGTATTTTTTTTCCCATACTGTCTGGCTACACAGCACCATAACCTAAGACTATGGTTTTATGACGCAATTACCTAGTGTTAACCTAGGTTATTATTTTTCACCAGACTGTCATGGTAGAATGGAACTTCTTTTTACTTATCTGTTTGTCTAACATACTTTACTTAAAGAACACTGATTCCCTAAGAACTCTAAACATAAAACAAATTAGACTTTAGAAAATACATGATTATTCTTCATTGAACTAAGTTGACAGTGGATACTAGCAGCATGGTTCTATTGGACAAAGCAAACATTGAGGAACATAAGAGATAATATACTAAAGTTATAGTTACTGTCACAGAGATGGAACATGCAACAGAAGCAATTCCTGATGCTCTGTTTTTGTCATTAGAGGACATTCTCCAACAAATAATATGTCCTTGTAAAAACCTAAGCACTTACCTGGAATTAGGCTGCATACTAATAAAAGAACATTTTAAAATTCGAGTAGCATTAGAAAAAATAAATACCTACTTTTAAATTAACACCTAGTGCTGCAGAAACATATCCTTGTTAGATCAAAACAGTACTGTCTAATATTATTCCAAGCCACATCAATCATACGTCAATTTCCTGGGAGAAAATCATCAGTTTATATCTACCTGTGTGACAGTCATATACCAACTGGAAAGTGAATCCATTGAATAATGTGTCTTTCTTTGGGTGACGTGAACACTTTCCTCCTCTTTGGATTTTATATCTACACAGCAGTCCATCAACTGTGAGATCAACTTTTGCAAAAAATGTTTCATATCTGTGGAATATAAAAAGTAAGAAAGCTTATCTCTGCCTCTTCTAAAAATAAAACCAAAGCTCTTGAAACTTCTTGCTGAGTGTATTACTTTTTTTTTTGGTAGAATGTGTTTTTTTATACTTACCATCAATACAGCTAATGTAACATTTAACATATTAACTACTGATGCTCATTAGTACCTTCATTAATTCAGACTAAGACTAAACCAAAGCTTATGTATATTATCTTTATTTTTTTTTTTTGAGATGGAGTCTCGCTCTGTTGCCCAGGCTGGAGTACAGTGGCAGGATCTCGGCTCAATACAACCTCTGCCTCCCGGGTTCAAGCAATTCTCCTGCCTCAAGCCTCCCCAGTAGCTGGGATTACAGGCGCGTGCCACCATACCCAGCTAATTTTTGTATTTTTTAGTAGAGACGGGGTTTTGCCATGTTGGCCAGGCTGGTCTCGAACTCCTCACCTCATGATCTGCCTGCCTCAGCCTCCCAAAGTGCTGGGATTACAAGCATCAAACACTGCTCCCAGCCATTTATGTATATTATCTATAATAAAAAGGTCACAGAAGCAAATGTGTAGATATGCAAACTATAAATTTTAGGAATATGTATTTAAATTACATAGGAAAATAAACAGTTTTCAAGTTCCCTAAGAAAAATCAAGTGTCATATGAATTATTTTACTGATTATAAATCTTTCATATAGCCATTTTTAAAGATGCCTTTAAGGGCTTTTACTTAATTTCAATCAGTTTATGAATATGAAAGCAATATAAGCACATAAATCTCTTTTATCAATCTAATCCAAACAAATTTTACCACATTAGGGCCAGGCATGGTGACTCAAGATGTAATCCCAGCACTTTGGGAAGCCAAGGCAGGAGGATTGTTTGAGCCCAGGAGTTCAAGACCAGTCTGGACAACACAGCAAGACCCAATCTCTACAAACAACAACAACAACAAAACCCCACAATGTAGCTGATGTAGCTGAGCGTAATGGCATGCACCTGTAGTCCTAGGTACTGGGGAAGCTGAAGTGGGAGAACTGCTTGAGGCCAGGAGTTCAAGCTGCACTGAGCTATGATCATGCTACTGTAGTACAGCCTAGGCAACAGAGTGAGACCCTGTCTCAAAAGAAAAAAAAAAAAAGCTTTTTAATATATTAGTGTGAACACTCTTTATGATTTCATGGGTTCACATGCTCAGGATTACCTCTGTCAGTGGACTATTTTTCACCATGGTGGCTTTTCAAAGTGGGACAATAAGATGATTTATGGCTGAAACATGAGCCCATGTGGTCTACTCTCTTTTGAGCTGACAAGAGCTCCTCATTCCCCAATTCTCAGCTTTCTGTCCTAAGTCTTTCTACTTATTAAACGTTTCACTGGGTTAAAGAATGCATCTCACAAAATGCCTGGACTGCTACCGGCAGTTAAGCTGATAGGGCAGAAATGGGTCAAGAACAAAGACAGCAAAAGAAGGCAGAGTTCTGTAATAGTCACAATTACTCTGAGAGCCCCCAAACCTCACCCTGCCTAAAACATAGCACTGTGTTCTTTCCACCAAAAAAAGGGATAAAGAAAGCCTGAAAAAGAGAGAAAAGGATGAAAGAAGTCTGTAACATCTCATCAAGGTTATTATGGCATTTATATTTTTACCTGGACAATCTTTAGCTTGCAATGAGACTACATATGGTGTGACATTATTCTGAAGGGCCTCTGTTAGACTTCCGAATGTCAAATCATGATCTGTGACATTCACACCTATGAGATAATACATCAATATTACATCACCATTTTTATTAATAATAATTTAATGACAAAAGCTATTTAACATATCAAGCAAACAAGTAAAAACATTTAAAAAATGATTAATAACAGAAACCAAGGAAATATACTATATAAATGATATCCATTAACAATAGCTATCCAAAGGCATAAACTATATTTGTCAGGAAAGATATTTTGCACAATTCCTCTTTCAAACAAATTACTGGGATGTGCACTTGAAAGCTTCTTTTTTTTTTTTTTGAGACAGAATCTCGCTCTGTCATCCAGGCTGGAGTGCAGCAGCTCAATCTCAGCTCACTGCATCCTTCACCTCCCAAGTTCAGGTGATTCTCCTGCCTCAGCCTCCTGAGTAGCTGGAATTACAGGCATGTGCCACCACACCGGCTAATTTTTGTAGTTTTAATAGAGACAGGGTTTCACCACGTTGGCCAGGCTGGTCTCAAACTCCCGACCTCAAGTGATCCACCCGCCTCAGCCTCCCAACGTGCTGGGATTACAGGCGTGAGCCACTGTGCCCAGCCGACCCTTGAAAACATCTTAGAAGTAATTTCATTGCTTTGTCAAATTCCTAACAAGCTCTTTAAGGAAATTAAAACTGGCCAGGTGCAGTATAGCTCATGCCCATAATCCCAGCACTTTGGGAGGATCACTTGAAGCCAGGAGTTCAAGAACAGCCTGGCAAACATGGTGAGAACCTGTCTCTATAAAAATTTTAAAAAAGTAAAACTATGGGTTCTTTTGGTATTTACGGAATCCCTGGTTTTCATTTCTGCAAATCAGAGTTTCAGGGCACCGCATACAGTTATCAAATTTTTGAGTGAAAAATTTCCCACTACTTTGGAAAAAAATTCTGTTAACTGGTATCTTCCCTAACATAACCATCTGTGATTTCTAGAAAGTCATTTGGTGCTTAGGCAGATAACAGCAGCAGCCACTTTCAAACTGCTTAAGAGTTACAGCTGCAAAACTTTCATTGCTTGGAAGAAAAAGAAAAATTTCAGAATCATCCATGCCAGCAATAATAAACCATTTTTTTTTTCTAGGAGAGCCAAAGAATAAAAATATTAGCAGACTATTTTTTAAATGGATATTGAAAATAGAAAATATCAAAATGATTCCTAGCATGCATTATGGTCTATGATTATAATAACACATCCCTGAACAAATTTAGAAGTTCAGTAAAACACTGGGTTATCTTGGCTTTCACTGACTGGCTATAAGCTATTTATTAATAACATTATATTCGTTATATTTGTATTATAAAACAATGAACTTGTCTATCACAAACAAGATAATCAACAATGTGTTTAACTAGAAAAATGTTCTCCTCAGACCATGATTTTAAAACATTCTTTCCATTAGCTTGGTACAAGTGGGCCATCACTGGGCCTCAGTTTTTCCTCAAATGGGAGAATTTTTAGATGTTGCATTGTAAAGCTGGTCCACAGCATAATAAAAATCATTCCCTTGAGTCTTATTAGTGTGGTCCTGGGACTATGGGCATCAGCTGGTACCCTGTTAGAAATGTAAAATTTCAGGCCCCACCCTAGACCCATTAACCAAAATCTACATTTTAATACGATCCCTGGAGGTTATCTGTGGGTGCATTGAGGTTGAGAATTAATTCCTTATCTCAGAGCTAACTAGCATAACAAATCTTGAATAAATTGAAAGAGAAATTAAGAGCATGTTTGGAACCCAAATAAATTCAACTTTGTTTTCAAAGGGAATGAAGAAAATTTGCTAATATTCCAAAGAAATTTTTTCCATTGTGCTGGAATCCAAATGTTTGGTAAAGATGAGATATTAATGATGGATGTTTAAGTACTTAAGAAATTTACAACCTGCAATTTGAAAGCAATTTATGTGCAATTCATCCAAACACCTCCTTGTAGGTAATTAATATGAATATAATGAAACAATCTAAGATGGAAAAACTATGCACAGGAAAATAAAATTAAGGTCATAGAGTAATTCCATTGAAGATACGACTAAAAAAAGTATGAAAACCAAATCTACTAACACTGGTAGTTTCTTTATTACCAAATCTCATATACTCTTGTAATGTATCTACAAAGAAAGAGTAAAACAAATATATTTTCCCTTCCGACCAAAAGTTGGGGAGAACATTAGCTAGATAAATTCCTTTTAATTTACAAACATATGATCGTCTGTAAAGATAAGGAATTTTTATTGGTTTTTGAAAATATGTAATATAAACTATAGTTGGTTTAATTGTACAAATAAGAGAGACAAAATAGGCTCATCAAAACAGGTCCTTCCACTATTCTCAACAATAAAAAAAAATTTAAAAACGAAATACACAGAGATGCATGCATGAACAAACATACGCATATATACCAAGAACAAGAGCAGCAGTTGGAATTTCTCTGAGTTTTATTTGACCGCCCAAGTCTCTTGAATTCTTCTGGAATCCAGAATGTGATTTTTGCAGAAATTCAATCAGATTGTCAAACAAGTTTTTATTTAATTCCTCTTGTAGTCGCTACAAAGAACACACAAAAACTTATTATTATTAGAAATAATAATCTGATGTCTTTCCTGGTTGTGGAAAGAAAATTGTCATGGATTCAATGATGTAAAATGATCAAAAGATGAACCTAATTAAAAAATGTTTTTTCCTTAAATCTCTAGTAATTAGTGCTCTGGGTTCCCCCATTAAAAATTCCCTCTCAAGCCTGGTCGGCATAGTGAGACCTCATCTTTTTAGATAAAAGACAAATTAGCTGGGTGTAGTGGTGCACATCTGTGGTCCCAGCTTCTAGGGAAGCTGAGGTGAGAGGGTCACTTGAGTCTGGGAGGTCAAGGCTGCAGTAAGCTATGATCATGCCACTACACGCCAGCCTGGGTGACAGAGCAAGACCTTGTCTCAAAAAAAAAAATTGTATATATATATGTATATATATATATATATTATATATGTGTATATATATATAAACGTGTATATATATATATAATATATAATATATATATGATATATGACATTAAAGGGTTTGGATTTTGTCCTATGGGGAGCACCACTGAAGGGATGTGAAGTAAAGACATAATTGGATCAGGGTTAAGAAGGGTTAATCTGGCAACAGGGCTGGAGGGGTTGCCTGGAATTGGGCTGCATTTGCCTTGAAAAGGGTCTTTTCTAATTTGGCCAATGGTGTCAGGGATGCCAGTCAGGAGGATATAACAATCCAGATTCAGAAATGAAGACGGCCTAAACTGGAAACCACAAATTCAAATACCTTGAAGGATCACATGGAATACGTGAATGAGCCTTTGCTCATTACCACTAGGTGTAAATCAGTAAGGACTGGTAGGCGGCAGTAATAAACTGGAAAGTATATAACCTTCCGAAAGGCAATTAAACCAAAAACTACAACACTGTGTTGGCCAAAAAAAAAAAAAAAGTTGTCAGCCTAAAATGCTGGCCCTAGAGCTACCAATTTGCTATAGTGAAGAAATGTTTCAGAGCTGGAATATAAAGATGAGAAAGTGAAGGAGTTTAGAAACAGCTTGATTTCACAGTTGTATACCTGAAAGGATAATTTAAGAGCGTCACCATTTGAAAGCTCCTTGCCTTAACAGCTATCATAAACATCTGTTCCACTCACAAGAAATATGAGTTTTTTTTGTTTTTGTTTTTGAGACAAGATCTCTCTCTGCTGCCCAGGCTGGAGTGCCGTGGTACTATCTCGGCTCACTGCAACCTCCACCTCCCAGGCTCAAGTTATCCTCCCAACTTAGCCTCCTGAGTAGCTGGAATTACAAGTGCACACCACCATGCCCAGCTAGTTTTTGTAGCTTTTGTAGAGACAGGGTTTCACCAAGTTGCCCAGGCTGGATTATGGTTGTTTTTTTAAGGATATACAGGCTATGCTTGACCAATACTTCCTATATTTCATCAATACTCTTGTAAACTGGTGGAAAGGAAGATGAGATGCAACAAAAATGAGACTTAGGGTGTTACAGAAAATTATTAAAAAAAGTATTCACCTCATTTTCAGATTTCATCTGCTGCCATATCAACTGATAAGTTTCGAATCGAAGCTTACTGTCCTCAGGCTCATTTTTCCCTTTGTTAAAATAGTCCTCTAAAAACAGAAAGAAATAAGTCAGTTTCTTTTTTCATATAATAGTATAAGTTATAGATCTTACGTGCAAAGTTACACAGTAAGTGACAGAAGTGAAATTTTTTTTTTTTTTGATATGGAGTCTCACTCTGTCACCCAGGCTGGAGTGCAGTGGCATGATGTTGGCTCAGTGCGATCTCCGCCTCCCAGGTTCAAGTGATTCTCTCCTGCCTCAGCCTCCCGAGTGGCTGTGACTACAGGCACGTGCCACCACGCCCGCTCAATTTTGTATTTTTAGTAGAGATGGGGTTTCACCATGTTGGCCAGGCTGGTCTCAAACTCCTGACCTCAAGTGATCTGCCCACCTTGGCCTCCCAAAGTACTGGGATTACAAGTGTGAGCCACCTTGCCTGGCCTTAATTTTTTTTACATTCATCAAAAACATATATTTGGGGACAGGTAACATTCAATATCCTCTGTATTTCATTTTTTATAATCTTTTATTTTTACCATATTTATGGCATATTTAAGATTAAAAATGTCAATCTTTCTACTGTATTTCTATCATTTGCTTTTTAATTTCTAACAGTTTTTATTAAGTGGCTTTTTTGAGTTATATACATTTAATAATGTTTTCATTATTTGCTGTTATTCTACAACCTTGTATACTTTGTTTCATACATTTGCTTTGAACTCTCCTCTATTGAATGACTTACTACTACTATTCTTACATTTTTCCACTGACATAGTTTAGTCCAGTCTTTCATTTATTCTGTCTGTATATTTTTGTATCCTTTTTGAATGCTTTCTCCAAATGGTTAGCTATTTGTGAAAATACCATTTATTGCACTGGCTTTCAAACTTTTCAAACTATAATCCACATTAAGGAATACACTTTATATCATAACCTAACACATATACACATGAACAAAAACTAAAGTCACAAAAAACAACACTCACCCTTATTATGTAATAGCAAATGTTTTCTTTCCTGTTTTATACTCATAGTCCACTAAATTGATTTCATAACTCACACATAAATTATGACATTTGGTTTGAAAAACCCTCCTTTATTGTACAATCCATCCTTCTCCCGCTGATTTGACATGCCCTTATAGTCTAAATACTTATATATACTTTGAACTATGTTTGAACTTTTTATTTTGTTCTACTGAATCCAACCCTATTCTCCTACCAGTCTTGAACTGTTTTAATTATTATGGCTTTGTATGTTGTACATTTTATCAAATACATTTAGGTCTTCCTCCCACTGCCCCCAAACATTGTTATTCTCTTTCAAAAAAATTTAAGCCACTTCTTCAAATTAATTTTACAGTAATCCTGTCACTTCTCAAAACTAGTTGTACTGGTATTTGACTAGATAAAATCAAATCCATAGACTGATTTGGGGAAAAATCCCATCTTTAATATGTTAAAAAATCCCCAACCCCAATATCACAGGTCTCTTTTTTTAATCAAATATTTTAGATTCCTTATAGTTTTCTACTTTCCCTCATATTTCTTGTTGTTTACTGCTACGTATTTTATTGTAACAACTGGAGTGTTCACGTTAAATTTCTGCTGCTAATAATCTACCACCAAGTTTTAATGTTAACTGATAGTTTGGAATATAAATTCACTTCATGTTAAGGAACTTCTCTCCTAATCATAGTTAACTCAGAGTTTTTAGCAACTATTGATTTTTAATTTTATCAAAAGCCTTGGAATACATTGAAGTCATCGTACGGTAAAGTGGCAGACAAGGTTATAGAATTAAAATGCCAACAAAAAAAGAAAGCAAGGAGACACTATTATTACTATTACTATTATTTGAGACAGGGTCTCGCTCTGTTGCCCAGGCTGGAGTGAAGTGGTGAGATCTCAGCTTACTGCAACCTCCGCCTCCCAGGTCCAAGTGATTCTCCTGCCTCAGCCTCCCGAGTAGCTGGGACTACAGGCGCCCGCGACCACATCTGGCTAATTATATTTTTAGCAGAGACGGGGTTTCACCACATTGGCCAGGCTGGTCTTGAACACCTGACCTCAAGTGATCTGCCCACCTTGGCCTCCCAAAGTGCTGGTATTACAGGCGTACATCACCCCACCTAGCCAGAGGACACTATTATTAAGAGACAAAGCAGGCCAGCGTGGTGGCACATGCCTGTAATCCCAGCGCTTTGGGAGGCCAAGGTGGGCGGTTCATTAGCTCAGGACTTGGAGACCACCCTGGCCAACATGGTGAAACCCCATCTCTGCTAAAAATACAAAAATTAGCCGGGCGTGGTGGCATACACCTGTAGTCCCAGGTACTCAGGAGGCTGAGGCAGGAGAATCACCTGAACCTGGGAGGCAGAGGTTGCAGTGAGCTGAAATTGTGCCACTACACTCCAGCCTGGGCGACAGAGCAAAACCTTGCCTCAAAATAAATAAATAAATAAATAAATAAATAATAAAAAAAAGAGACAAAGCAGAACAACAAGGTAGCTTTAAAAAGAACAAAAATAGTCACTTTACATTAATAGGTAAAATCATAGCATAACATGAAAGTGGCAAATCAAGACACAATTTTTATGTGCAGAATAATGCCGCATCAAAATACACATGAAAAACCTCTTAGAAACTGGGAAACACAGCAGTAGGATACTTTAAACTGTTACCATGACTTCTCTCAGTCTGTTACAGATCAGGTAGGTAAATTTAAAAACTACACTGAAGAATATAAGCTCTCACTGTTGCCAGGTTTCTACCTGCCTCGGCTCCTATTCACAGTGCTATACTTCAGTGTGGGTATCTCCTACAGTGCCAGTGCTGCTGCCAGTCTCTCTCTCTCCAGTTCCTATCCAGTTGTTTTGCTGGATATGCAGTCATCCACAGAATACTGAGGAGAGGGAGAGTTACCAGTCTTAATTACGTGCCCAAGTGTCTTCAGTCAGGGGACAGATGGTGGGCAAAATGCAGAGCATCTTCCTACTTCTTCAGTCAATCTGTTTCAACAACTGAAGCCAGTGAAGGCAAATGTTAAAGTCTGGGTATGTTTCCCTCATTCCTGCTCCATCTGCCTTATAATCAGGGTCAATTCCTCAAAGATTTTCGTATTATAACACTACCCGTTGGTCTTAGAGCCACATAATGAAAAAAAAAAAAAAGCCTAGCAAACTTCTAAAGCAAAATTCAAATCATACAATTATACACATCAGGTTTACTAGTACTAAAAACTATAAACCAATCCTAATAAGTTGTAGCTTAAATTCAATACAAAAAGTTCTAAATAGAAACTTGGCCTTATATAATGAGAGGCAGTATTAAGCTATGGTTAAATCATGAGCTCTGGAATCAGACAGGTTGGGTTCAAATCCTAGCTCTATCATTTACTAACATTATAACATTGAGAAAGTTATATGTCTAAGTATCCTTATATATTTCAATGGCGATAATACATTCCTTGTAGTTTGCTGAGGGGATTAATCAAATTAACACATATAAAATGATTGAAACAGTCTGGGTCTATAATCCCAGCGCTTTGGGAGGCCAAGGCAGGTGGACTGCTTGAGCTCAGGATTTGAGACCAGCCTGGACAACAAAGTGAGATCTCACCTTAAAAAAAAAATAAATAAATTAGCAAGCAAGGTGACATGAGCCTGTAGTCCTAGCTGAGGCTAAGGCAGGAGGATTCCCGGAGCCCAGGAGCTCAAGT
Source organism: Homo sapiens (assembly GCF_000001405.40). Classification (NCBI taxonomy): domain Eukaryota; kingdom Metazoa; phylum Chordata; class Mammalia; order Primates; family Hominidae; genus Homo; species Homo sapiens. Next base: position 87,598,110 of record NC_000006.12, on the reverse strand, counting down.
TTGCAGTGGACTATGATTGTGCCACTGCACTCCAGCCTGGGTGACAGAGTGAGATCTTGTCTTGAAAAACAAAACAGTCTGGCACACTGTAAACATCCAAGAAATATTAACAACTGTATTAGTTATAATTACATTGGTGATGATATTAGATGTCACTGCATGCTATGTGTCCCTAATGATAATGGGGGAACAAGTCTTTAATTTTCTCTGACCTATTTCTAGTAAGTTGAGCAATCTGCAACATTAAAGAAATGTGTGGCCAGGCATGGTGACTCACGCCTGTAATCCCAGCACTTTGGGAGGCCAAGGTGGGAGGATCACTTGAACTCAGGAGTTCAGGACCAGCCTGGGCAACATAGTAAGATCCCATCTCTATTTTAAAAAAAAATTATATATATATGTGTGTGTGTGTGTGTGTGTGTGTGTGTGTATATATATATATCATTACTTAAAAAAAATCCTATTCTATATATTCAAGTTATCCATTTATTTCCTTAGTCAAACAGTGGCATAGTTCATTTTTTCAATTCAAAACTAGTACATGGGTATGCTTAATTCCATATCATAATTTTTCCACTGGAATTAATTTTCACAGTGCTGAATATGGAATGTATATACTCAATAACCCTGTGGGGAGCTTTTGAAAAATTCTAACACTTAGGCCCCACTCTTGAGATTCTAATTCAATTGATCCGGGTTAGGGTCTTAGCATTGGCACAGGTTGAGCATCTCTAATCCAAAAATCTGAAATCCTCCAGAATCTGAAACTTTTTGAGTACCAACATGATGCCACAAGTGGAAAATTCCATATCTCACCTCAAGTGACAGGTCGCAGTCAAAACACAGCCAAAACTTTGTTTCATGCACAATATTATTTAAAATATTATGTAAAATTCGTTTCAGGCTATGTGGTTAAGGTGTATATGAAACATGAATGAATTTTATTTTTAGACTTGGGTCTCATTCCCAAGATTATCTCATTATATACAGGTATATATTTCAAAATCTGAAAAAATTCCAATAACCAAAACACTTCTGGTCCCAAGATTTGGGATAAGGAACTCTCACCCTGCATTTTTTCAAAGTCCCACAAGTTGGAATTGAATAAGGTCACTAGATTGTATTAATATCAGTTTCTTAATTGTGACACTGTACTATAGTTATGTAAGATACTGCCACTGGGGATAACTGGTCGTAGGGTACTTACTGGTGGAAGAGTATTACCTGTAATTATATGTGCATCTACAATTATATTAAAATAAGACTTTTCAAAGTTCCCCAAATGATTCTAATGTGAAGCTATGATTGAGAACCGGTGCAATAAATACATTCTGATAGTAATACTGGATTTGATTGAAGAAGTCAAGTCTTCTTAATTTGATCACTAAACAGGTATCAGGATATAAATGAAAAAAGTGAAGACAGTATCTTTTTTTATTAATTGAATTTTATTGAGGTATAATTTACAAATAATTAAACACAACCATTTTAACAGTTTGACCCAGGTATATACTTACATAACCACTCTGTCAACAGAGAACATTTCCATCACTCCAGAAAGTTCCCTCTTGCCTTTTTGCAGTTAATTCCCCCTACTTCATCCCAGGAAACCACTGGGACTTTAACACAACCTGTGTTGTTTTTGCCTTAAAAAAAAAAAAACAACAAAAAAACAAACAGCCGAGCACAGTGACTCACACCTGTAATCCTAGCACTTTGGAAGGCTGAGGTGGGCAGATCACAAGGCCGGGAGTTCGAGATCAGCCTGGCCAACATAGTGAAACCCGATCTCTACTAAAAAATACAAAAATTAGCCAGGCATTGTGGCGCATGCCTGTAGTCCCAGCTACTCGGGAGACTGAGGCAGGAGAATCGCTTGAACCTGGGAGGCGGAGGTTGCAGTGAGCTGAGATCATGCTGAGAGCTAGACTCCGTCTCAAAAAAAAAAAACAAAAACAAACAAACAAATTAGGCTGGGCACAGTGGCTCACACCTGTAATCCCAGCACTTTGAGGTCTGAGGTGGGAGGATCACTTGAGCCCTGGAATTCAGGACCAACCTGGGCAACAAAGTGAGACCCTGTCTCTACAAAAAATTTTAAAAAATAATTAGCCAGGCGTCGTAGCGCATGCCTGTAGTCCCAGGTACTTGGGAGGCTGAGGTGGGAGGATCATTTAAGCCCAGGAGTTTTCAAGGCTGAAGTGAGCTATGATCAGGCCGCCGAACTGAAGCCTGGGTGACAGACTGAGACCCTGTCTCTAAAATAAATCAACAAACAAAACCAAAAGAAATGTCTTTCCTCTCTTACACACATGGGTATATGAGTGTGTGAGTATGCGTATGTCTGAGTGAGTGATAAAAATCCACTCCCTTAATATCATGAGTATGTGTGTCTATGAGTGATTAAAACTCAATAATTTAACAAATTTGTTTTATGAAATGAAGAGTGATTGAGAACTGTGTGGGACCCTGGTGCTTCCGAGAGATGATGGAGGGTGCAAACTGGTAGAAAGGATGTGAAGACTAAGAGAGGAAATCTGGGCCACTTGGAAATATGTAGCCATTGTGAGAGTAGAAAGTCTTCTGCTACTCATTCTCAGCTTTTTCCCTTCCCTCAGGCTAGTGAGAGATAGGAGTCTTGGAACACAAACTATAAGGCCAAGGTGGTAACAATCCATAATAACACAAATTTATTCACATGGTATTTATGATAGTCTTACAAAGCACTACATGTTAGCTCTTAGAGAGATAGAATGAGAATAGGGAGAAATCTTAGTGATAAGTGAGTATAGTTGCTCATTTTACAGATGAAGAGACTTAGGGAAAGGTTAAACAGCAGGGCCAAAGCCATAGAGCTGGTCAGGCTCAGGATCACACTCCAATTCCTTTACTTATAGTCCAGGTGATTCCATAACTTTGTGCTCTAGCAGGTAGAATTACTGTAAGAGATCCAAGACCTTGGGCTTTTTTCTCAGCATGTATTGATGTGCACAGCATTTATCCCTAAGTTAGAACATGCAGTATTCTAACACACATGTAGTTACTAAGCCCTAAGTTCTAAAATGCTCCATACAGATAGATGATTGCTTTAATTTATTTTGCCAAGTTTATTCATAAAATGGAATATCACATCAAAATTTTTAAGCATATTTAAGTCTCCCCATGAATATTGTATTTTAACTCAAAAATAATTTTTATACAATTTTCATTAGAAAATATATACAAATTTATAATCATTCTTTCTTAGGTTTTCCTTATGTTACCAATTATCATTTTATTTTCTAAATAACATTTCCCCCATCATTAGAAATCTGGGTTGCCAGTCAGCCTTTATTGTTTTGATTACTTCATCAAGGATCAAAATGTTTCTCTAGCAGAAACTCACTTTCATTTCTAAAGTTGTAGATAAAAAAACAATGGCAGAGAAGTAATCAAAAAGACAATCTCTTTTAAAGAATAGCAGCATATCCTTTGAAGGAAATTTGCTTCCAACTTACCTTTGGAAGGTGTAATTGGATTCTCTTTTCAATTAGAGCCCTGGGGTGTCCTCTTATCTCTTTGACCAATGCCTTGGAACATAAATGCTACATCAACATGGCAAGTAAGCCAAGGTTAGACAAGAGAATTACTAAATTCAATTAGGGTTAGTTCCTAATAGTTTAAGAAGGTAGGGAATAAAAAATTTAATATTCAGACACCTTACCTATTGGCAGAGAGATCTTTCTCTTTTTGGAGTTTGGCTTAAAAACAAAGCAACCCTATAAAAAGAAAGACGAAAAGCATAAAGTCAAAGTAGCCAAGGAGCAGAGAAATCTGATTAACCAAATATTTTATGGGTAAGCACTTTTTTAAAAAAAGATGTTAGGGGAGAGAACACATTTCTTTCAGGTTCTAAGAAATCACATCACTTCTCTCTGACCTATAGAAGGAAAATTCTAAAACAACAAGGGGGACTATCTACTCTCTCCCCTCCCTCCCATGAGATGCCCATTTTTGATTTTGCTCTTTGACACCTGATCTAAGAGGTAGACAAAGAAAATAAAAGCTGATTAAATTTAAGCCCAGAAAGGTTCCATTTTCATAAACTTAAAGGAATTAATACTACACATTAAAATGGGCTGGGCACAGTGGCTCATGCCTGTAATCCCAGCACTCTGGGAGGCCAAGGCGGGTGGATCACAAGGTCAGGAGTTTGAGACCAGCCTGGCCAACATGGTGAAATCCTGTCTCTACTAAAAATGCAAAAATTAGCCAGGCGTGTTGGTGTGAGCCTGTAATCCCAGCTACTCGGGAGGCTCAGACAGAAGAATCACTTGAACCCTGGAGATGGAGGCTGCAGTGGGCTGAGATCGTGCCATTGCACTCCAGCCTGGGCAACAAAGAGCGAAGCTCTGTCTCAAAAAATAAATAAATAAAAATGAAGATTAAAAAGGTTGAAAATAGTGATGTTCTCCCAACCCGAAACTTATTTAAACTCGAAGTATCTATAACCTTAGTAGTAAATAGATAATTGCAGCTGTTTCACTCTACATACTTCTCTTCATCTGATAAATGCCTACTCATTTATCCATTAAAGTTTGACTCAACACTCATCTCCTTCAGGAAACCTTTCACAATTCTCTAGCCAGAAATTCTCCTTTCCTCGAGATCTCTCAGTACTTGAACATCTTTATTTTGCATTGTTTTAAGTCACTTTAATTGTATATCGTAGTTGTTTATGGGTGTGTCTCCCTGAGTAGACTGTGAGTGCCTTCAAGCACAAACTGTATTTTATTTATAATTGTTTCTCCAATGTTTGGAATAGTGCTAACATACATATTAGGCAATCAGAATATGGAATGAATAAATGCTTGCCAAATAACTGTCCTGGTAATTTCCCAGCTATGTTTAGTTTCATATTATTGTTTGACCAGTGGTAGATCACCCCCAAGTTAGTGGTCCTAGTCTATTCTACCAATTCTAAAGTCATACATGATGGATAGCTTATAGTTTTTTTTTGTTTGTTTGTTTGTTTTTTTGAGACAGAGTCTCGCTCTGTCGTCCAGGCTGGAGTGCAATGGTGCGATCCTGGCTCACTGCAACCTTTGCCTCCCGGGTTCAAGCCATTCTCCTGCCTCAGCCTCCTGAGTAGCTGGGATGACAGGTGCCCACCACCATGCCTGGCTAATTTATTGTATTTTTAGTAGAGACGGGGTTTCACTATGTTGGCCAGGCTGGTCTCGCACTCCTGATCTCGTGATCCATCCGCCTCGGCCTCCCAAAGTGCTGGGATTAGAGGCATGAGCCACTGCACCCGGCCTGATGGATAACTTCTTAAATATTTCGATTTCTATGGAAAATAAAAGACAGAATGAAAGAACGATACCTAGGAAAAGTTGTCTCAGGATAGTGTTAAAGACCGCTGTGCAACTATAAAGTAGCCATTTGGATTACATGTTCCCATTTAAGAACTGTGCCTTAGATTCTTTTTTCTGCTATTGTTGAGACAGAGTCTCCCTCTGTTGCCCAGGCTAGAGTGCAATGGCACAATCTTGGCTCACTGTAACCTCTACCTCCCGGGTTCAGGCGATTCTCCTGCCTCAGCCTCCTGAGAGGCTGGGATTACAGGCGCCCACCAACATGCCAGGCTAATTTTGTATTTTAGTACAGATGTGGTTTCACCATGTTGGTCAGGTTGGTCTCGAACTCCTGACCTCAGATGATCCACCCACCTCGGCCTCCCAAAGTGTTGGGATTACAGGCATGAGCCACTGCACACAGCCCTGTGCCTTATATTCTTATATCTGCAACTAGCAGAAGTGTGCGAAATCACATACATATTTAGAAAAATCATGTGATACCATGACAAACCTGTCATTACCTCCTTTCCAAATCCACCTGCAATTCAGTAAAGGAAAAAGGAGCTTCAAAGGAGCAAGACATGAGGAGTGATCAGAAAGGATCTTAATATAGGGCAGTGGTAGTAACATGGTTAACCATTTGGAACTGCTGGTCAAGTGATGGTGTTTGAGATAGAGGAAGGCCAACAGCCAGAAAATTTCACGATGAAAGAGACACTAAAATGTTTTGATATGTTTAAGGACCGGGCGTGGTGGCTCACGCCTGTAATCCTAGCACTTTGGGAGGCCGAGGCTGGCGGATCACTCGAGGTCAGGAGTTCGAGACCCGCCTGGCCAACATGGTGAAACCCTGTCTCTTCTAAAAATACAAAATTAGCTGGGTGTAGTGGGGCATGTCTGTAATCCCAACTGCCCGGGAGGCTGAGGTGGGAGAATAGCTTGAATCGGGGAGGTGGAGGTTGCAGTGAGCCGAGATCGCGCCACTGCACTCCAGCCTGGTAACAGAGCAAGACTCTGTCTCAAGAAAAAAAAGAAAAGAAAAAGAAAAAAAGCTTGCAGTTCCATAAATTCATGAAATAGTTCTTAAAGCTTCTTATTCATGTAAGGTCTCATCCCAATACAGACATTTGTTATAATACCAAAAATGCTTTCCTGAAAAATCTTACTTTCTGCAAGATACATAAAAATAAGAGGTGCTTATGCAATCAACAGGATTAAGGGATAGACCATTCAAAACCTACAGAACATTATAACCAGGACAAAATAAAACCAGTACCATTTCTAATAAAAATACTACCTTTGAATCTCTACTAGCATAACCTTAAACCCCAGGGCTTGTCCTTTTTCCTTGAGATGTAGTCTTTAAAAGCACTGCTTCTCATAAACCGTTTTAATCAAAATAAAAAATCAGATCCATGACATAGCCTTCTTCATCAATCCATTGTTTTAACATAGGGAGAATGTAGCTTCTTCATGTGCATTTTTCAGCTTTCTCAGACAGCTTAACTTCAGGGGCTTCCCGCTGCACTTACAATAGAACTCAAGGTCTTACTTTTTGTGGTCCAGAACAGCGCTGTCCAACAGAACTTTCTGTAATGATAGAAATGTCCTATATCTGCACTATCTAAAATGGTAGCTGCAGCCACATGTGATGATTGAGCACTTGAAATGTGGTTAGTGCAACGGAGAAACTGAATTTTTATTTAATCTTACTTTATTTTAACTCAAATTTAAATAGCCACATGTGGTGAGTGACTAACACATTGGACAATACAGCTCTAGGGCTTATCTTCTTACCAACTACACTATGTCTTGCAATTTCTTGCCATCTAGGTAGCCAACATGAGGAGGTCTATAAGATATCCCACCACACACACCCGCATCCACATTACTTTTTCATTCTCATTTTTCATGACGCTCCCACTCTTTGTCTACTTTCTGATTATGATTTTTAAATTCCTCTAATATGCCATTTTATTTCTATCTTCTGGGCCGAAGAAACATGCTGTTCTCTCTGCCCTCCTCGCCCTAATCCTTAACCTAACTTCTACTCATTTTTCAGGTCTCAGCGAAAGGGTCACTTTCTCCAAAAAGCCTCCGCTAACCCCCGACAACCTATATTAGGTTCTTCCCACTCTTCTGTTGTCTGCCTAGAACTCTTTTCCTTGCTAACACTTAAAATTTGTGATCGTCAGTTTATCTATGTTTACCGACTTTCTTGACTGCAGAAACTGAATCTGTTTTGTTTACCACTGCATCTTGGTACCTAACGGAGTGCTTGGCGCACAGTATTTGTGAGATGGAAAAATGAGAGACTGGGCCACATCATCAGGACATCCGACCTCCACCAACCAGAACTTAAAAATCCTCCTAGCCATACCACAAGGCAGATCCGCGTCCTCGCTCCCCAAGCAAAGTTGGCCTCAACTGATCTGGAGCAAGGACGCCTCAGCTCAGTACGCCGCTCCCTCCCTCCTCTCCAGCCAGGGAAGGGATGCCTACGTAACCTCGGCTTCATCCCTTCTTCAAAGGGGAATGAGGCAGCGGTAGAGCCACAGTGCGCATCGGCCACCACATACCTTAGACATCGAGGACGTAGCCATGGTCTTACTGACTCTGCGTATTCCAGATGCACTCGGGATTTCCCGCGCGCCCTCGCGGCTGCAGGGCAGAGGTTAGTGGCGAGCCACACGGCTCCTTGATTGGCTGGCATCACCCTCCGGGGCGGGTTTCCGGCGCGGGGAGGCGGGTCGTATAAGGAGGTGGGGCGAGGCCGGAACTGGCGGACTGCGGCGCACTTCCGTAGAGGTGGACATGGCGTGCGGCTTTCGCCGCGCTATTGCTTGCCAGGTATGGATCCCGGAGCGCGCAGAGGAGTCCCTGAGGAGCTAGGGACCCCAAAGGCCTTTCACCGCTGCGGGCCAGTCCTCAGTCAGCTGGAGGGTGGGTCCCACGGAATCCTGTTAGTTTCTACCACCTCCTCCCCCTTCTCTGGAGCTGGTGGAGCTTCAGAAGTCCTGTGGAGCGTCGGCTGGGATCAGTTTGTCTCGGTGAAAAGTAAACTTTGAAAGGTACCTGGTGCTTTCTTCTCTCCTTCCCACCCCACAGCTATGAATGCTTTACCTGGGTGGCGGCAAGTCATTAGACCATGATTAGACCCCATAGAAGTTAGTGTTCTTTACACTTTAGTGACATTGATGATGGATCTGGATTGTTCTTCAGAAGGACCTCATTTTAAAGCTGCTTATTTCTCTTGCAGTCACTTAGGCAGCCTACCCTAGAATTGTTTTTGGTAACGCCCAAAGATATAAGAGCTATCTGAGACTCAGTTTTTCTTGGTTCAGGGTCGTATTTGAACAGCTCTGTTGTGAGGAAGGGCTTACAAAATTGCAATATAATTGCTTTGTTTTGTTTTTCCTTTTTGTGGAGAACGGGGTCTCGCCGTATTGCCCAGGCAGGCCTCAAACTCCTGGGCTCAAGCTGTCCTCCCTCCTCTGCTTCCCTAAGAGCCGGGATTACAGGCCTGAGCCACCGCGCTGGGCAAAATTGCAGTATAAATGTGGAATTAATCAAAAAGAATTTTTAAGACTCATTGGCCACCCTTGCAAGGAAACTTTCTATTGTGGTCTTGGCTAACCCATTTCCTTCTGATTAATGGATGTACTAGTGGACGTAATTAGCCTGGTGTATAATTTATCTTGGCTCATTTTTACAGTATTTCTAGACATTTGTGGGGAAATCCCTCTGCCTTGTCTTTATGTTTATAGATGTACTGCCCTGTCCGGTGATAATTCGCCAAATATCACCAACATGACATTTTGTTAAGACAGCTGAATTTATTGCTCACTGGGATAAGGAAGAACACCACTGAGAGCTTTGGTAGTGTATTAAACTGGGAAAGCAAGGTCAGATTTTACTGATGGGTATGGCTTAAGGCTGGTCTTTCAGAGGGAGAGGGTAGGAGGGTGTTGGAGGAAGATGGCTTGATTAGGGTTGGACTCTGATCTGATACAGCGGTTTAAGATTGATAGGAAAAGCAAAGAGTGCAAGAAGCCTTAAGGCATAAACTATTGAGGTTTTCTATTGGAAGAACTAATAGGCCTGGCATGTGGTTCATGCCTATAATCCCAGCACTTTGGGAGGCCAAGGTGGGAGGATGGCTTGAGCCCAGGAGTTCGAGACCAGCGTGGACAACATAGGTAGACCCCGTCTCAACAAAATTTTTTTTAAAAAGTAGCCAGGCATGATGGTGCACCTCTGTAGTCCTAGCTGCTTGAAAGGCTGAGTCTGGAGGATCACTTGGACGGACCCACGAGTTTGAAGCTACAGTGAGCTATGATTGTGCCACTGCACTCCAGGGTGGGTGACAGAGCGAGACCCTGTAAACAAAAAATAAAAATAAAAAACGTGAAAAGCTAATAGATTTCTCATGAAGTTCTTATAATGAATGATTAAGTTATTTGGGCAGAAGTCTTCTAGAACAGTAAAGTTATGCTAATGAAGACAAAAAATAATAAATTCATGTTAATGTAGACAGTAAACCATATCAGGGAAGGTAGTTTTGGACCTTAGTATCTAAGCTGTGTGTAAGGGTGGACGTTTTCCATTCTTAGCCCTTAAGTAAAGATAGTGCCATGATGAGAAACAAATTGTGTTTAGTTTTGCAAAGGCTGTGTTCTTTGTAAAGACTGTAAATTGGACCAGGCATGGTGGCTCACACTTGTAATCCCAGAACTTTGAGAGGCCGAGGTGGGAGGATCCCTTGAACTGAGACGTTCAAGACCAGCCTGGGCAACATAGGGAGACCCCCATCTCTATAAAGAAATAAAAAACAAAACTTAGGTGTAGTGGCACACACCTGTGGTCCCAGCTGCTTGGGAAGCTGAGGTGGGAGGATCGTTTGGGCCCAGGTGGCTGAAACTAGCAAGCTTTGATTGCACCGCTGCACTTCAGCCTGGGGGACAAAGTGAGTCCCTGTCTCAAAAAAAAGAAAAAGATAAGTTGGAGAAACAAGAACTAATATATTGAGTATATATTTGTGCTAGTTACTACACATTCACATTTAAGCTCATGGCAACCCTGTGATATAGAAGTATTAACCTTATTATATAATTGAGTCAGTTGAGATCCACAGAGATTAAATAACTTACCCAAAGCCACATCATCAATACATTGTAGAGTTGGTTTATGAACAGAACTCTAACTTTAAAATTAGATCTTTCCTATATACTGTGCTCTTTGTGAAAGCAAGAAGCACAGTCCAATCATTGAACAGAATCTAATGGATTTATACAGCAGTGTAAATTATGCAGATATATATGTATTTCTCTGAATATAGAGTCATTGGGGAATGATCTGAAACTTGAGGATAAATAATAATATTTTCAATACGTTAGGACATGGGGAAAAAAGAGCAAAGAAAAAACATGTTCCGTACAGTTTGAGCATCCCTAAGCTGGAAATCTGAAATGCTCCAAAATTTGAAACTTTTTGAGTGCTGACATGAGACTCAATGTTCATTGAGTTCATTGGAGCTCAATTGGAAATTGGAAATGTTCATTGGAGAATTCCAGATTTTCAGATTAGGAGCTGGGTATGGTGGCTCATGCCTATAACCCCAGCACTTGGAGAGACTGAGACAGGCAGATCACTTGAGCCCAAGAGTTCAAGACCAGCCTGGGAAACTAATTAGAAAATTAGTTGGGCATGGTGGCACCCTCCTGTAATCCCAGATACTTGGGAGGCTGAGGTGGAAGGATCACTTGAACCTGAGAGGTGGAGGTTGCAATGAGCCAAGATTGTGCCACTGAACTCCAGCGTGGGTGGTAAAGCAAGACCCTGTCTCAAAAAATAAATAAATAAATAAATAAATAAATAAATAAATAAATAACCAACCCCACAGATTTTCAGTTTAGGGATGCTCAACAGGTAAGTATAAAGCCAATATTCCAAAATCTGAAAAAATTCAAAAGTTGAAACACTTGTGGTCCCAAGGATACCCAGCCTGTATTTAATACCTTTGCGAATGAGCATCGTTTTGCTATAATAGTTTAGGAATGAAGGAATGTGTAACGTGCAATGGCAAATGCATTTAGCTAACTTTGATTAATTAGTCGACAGTTTTCTAAGCACTGTCATCAGTCCCAAGGCTAAAAGTGAACGGAAAATAGTTTCTGCCCTGAAATGGCCTCAGACATGCTTGGAAAACGATGTAAACCGGTAATTGCATTGCAGCCTGTAATCACTGTATTAGAAGCATGTGCAAAGTGCCAAGGGAACTTGAAAGCTCCTAAGGGTCAGACAAAGTTTTGTAGAAAGGTGATGTTAGGTCTCAGTTTTGAAAGGGATATGGGTAGGAGTGTGCCAAGTAAATAGAGTGAGAGCTTGGGGAGAGGTCAGGTATTGCAAGAGGAGGATGTGCATAGACACAGACATCTGGAAAGCATGATATGTACATAGAATCACAATATTTGGATTCCTTTCTTCAGCAAGTCCTGTTGATTTTATCTTTATATCTTGAATCCATCTACACTATTGCTGCTGCCTCCCCCTCTCCTTTCTCTATTCCACACCAAGCCCCCATTATCACCTATATTGACTGCTTACAACAGCCTTCTGATGGGGTGTTTGTTTCCATTCTTGCCCTCCCTCCAGTTCATTCTCCATGTATCAAGAAAGGTGACATCTAAATTGTGAATCAAATCATATCACTTATCTTTCTTTGTTGCACGAGTCTCTACCAGAACCTTAACTTCTTCAACTTCCATTCATGCCCCATTCTATCATTTTTGTAGGAACCTAGCTACAATGTTAATTTGTTTTTCTAACATAGCAGGGTCTTTCCATTCCCATTGCGTAGATTATTCCTTGTGCCTAAAAGAAATGCATTTTATACTATCACTCTTTATGCACGATGAAAGTTTCATGAAACAATACTTATTTATACTGTATTCTGTCCTGTTTTATACGTATTTTTTAAGACTGGTGGTTGGGACTCAACAGAATTTATTTTTATTTTTATTTATTTATTTATTTATTTTGAGATGGAGTCTTGCTCAGTCGTCCGGGCTAGAGTGCAATGGCGTGATCTCTGCTCACTGCAAGCTCCGCCTCCTGGGTTCACGCCATTCTCCCACCTCAGCCTCCCGAGTAGCTGGGACTACAGGTGCCCGCCACCACACCCGGCTAAATTTTTTTGTATTTTTAGTAGAGACGGGGTTTCACCGTGTTAGCCAGGATGGTCTCGATCTCCTGACCTCATGATCCACCCATCTCAGCCTCCCAAAGTGCCGGGATTACAGGCGTGAGCCACCGCGCCAGGCAAAGGAATTTATTTCTAACTGGCAACCTATAATTTGAAAAGTGTGTCCTCTAGTTCTCTTAGTCCCTTGTTTGCTTCTATGATGACAATAATAAGAGTAATTGTTTTGTTTTACTTGTTTTAGTGTCTGTTTCCTCTATAAGCTTCATGAAGACAGAACATGTCTTATTCACTCTTATTTCCTCAGCACCAGCAAAGTGCCCGAAACATAAGTGTTTAATGTGTATTTGAAGAATGAATACCTGAGTATCTCTGTTGTGATCTCATATAAAATATGCAGCTTCACTGAATGAGTTCATAATTTTAAATCTATGGAGATGACGTGGTGTGGTGGCTAAAGGAACTCCATCTTGGATGCTAATCTGCCATGTTGACTTTTGATTATCCCCAGTTCCAGGAATACCTGTAAGATTTCTATTTTATCTACTGTTTATAGTACTTAAGGGCAGGATTTCTATTTTATTTACTGTTTATAGTACTTAAGGACAGGATTTATAATTCTTGCCCTTAAGCAAATGATAGGCTATGACATAGCATTCTTGATTTTTTCTAAGGGGTTGACTTCGGTTGTCTTAGACATCCCTTCTGAAGCATGGTTACCCCTTCTCTATGGTATATACCATAGAGAAGCCCTGGGTCTTGGGGTAGATAACTGCACAAGGATTCATCATCTTGTCTCTTAGCTTCCTGAGATATGACTTCTGTTCATAAATCCATATTAAATGTTTCTTTCTGAGAAGCTGGGTTTGTCAGCTGCTTTCTTCAGTCTCTCAGCATCCTCAGTCTTTTGAGGGTAGATTTGTATAGACCTGCTTACCATGGAGCACTTAATAATGGTGGGAAGGATTAGAATTCTAGCTTCACTATTTGTGTAACTAACTCTTGGCAAGTCAGCTGTAAGATGATGGTTTTGATTCCAAGTTTACAGGATTGCTGCAAGGATTAATAATGATGTTGAAGATTATAATAACTACTATTTATGGGATACCTCACTTGTACGGTGCCGTATTTTGCTTTGCTTTATAGGGCTATTAATAAAATGTAATGAGATAAAGATAACAGTGCTTAATGTCAGGAGTTGCAAAGGGTCTGTGATTTTACCCTCTTAAGTTTCTACCACTGTTCCATGGATGGTAGCAGAAAACATCAGACCCCTGAATGAGGGAAAAGGATTTTACTATTCATAGCAATAGCAGTAGCCACAGTATCAACATATTTTGTGTGTCAATTTCCCAAGTTCTTTTTCTTCCCATGCCGCAATGTGAAGATAATACCTCTATATAAGCTGTGTACTGTGTTACAGGAGAGAAACCTTGAGTCTTTTATAATGGGCAGTAAGCATGCCTGCCCTTTGCTCTGGAGTGAGGAACCATCTTTATCTTACAAATCTGTATCCTTGAAAGATAGTCCAGAACAAAGGCAATTTGTGTCTTGTTTACATACGCAGAAATGTTGGAGTCCCACGAGGATTTGTCGCTCAACACTAAGCACAGTGGTATATTGTGCTTAGTGGTACACATACAATGTACAGTACTTGAAATTTTCATTTCATCATCTCAGTCATGCCATTGCTATTTGTATTGTATCCTTATTTTACAGAAAAGGACACTGAGATTCAGGAACATGAAAGGAATAACCTAAGGTCACTCAGCTATAAAATTCTAGAGTTGAACTACTAACCTAGCTATTTGCCTCAAAGCCAGAATTCTTTGTATTCTATATGTAGAGTTAAATTTGTAAAATGGCCAGTACGTGTCTGGCTCCGAAATAATGATGGAATGTAGATTTGTCTCCCTTTCTTACTTGCTTTTCATTTTGCTCATTAAACTTAAATTCAGCTGGTTCTGTTTTTTTTTTTTTTGAGACGCAGTTTTGTTCTTGTTGCCCAGGCTGGAGTGCAATGGCACAATCTCGGCTCACCGCAACCTCCACCTCCCAGGTTCAAGCGATTCTCCTGCCTCAGCCTCCCAGGTAGCTGGGATTACAGGTATATGCCACCACACCCAGCTAATTTTGTATTTTTAGTAGAGATGGGGTTTCTCCATTTTGGTCAGTCTGGTCTCAAACTCCCGACCTCAGGTGATCTGCATGCTTCGGCCTCGCAAAGTGCTGGGATTACAGGCAAGAGCCACCATTCCTGGCTCAGCTAGTTCATTTTAATTTTGTATACTTTTAATTTTGAAATAATTTCAGACTTATAAAAAGTTGTGATAATAGTACCAACAACTCCATATCCTCTTTATCTAGATTCAGCAGTTATTAACATTTTGCCACATTTCCTTCATCGTTCTGTATAACTTTTTCCTGTGTCATTTGAGAGTAGGTTTCATACATAATGCTCCTTTACCTCTTAATATGTAATTGTTTATTTCCTAAGAACAAGGCTTGTTTTACATGACCATAGTACAGTTATCAGATTCATATAATATTGATAAAATGCTTTAACTTACAGTCCATATTCCAGTCTTGTTGATTTTTTTCCCCATATAGGATCACAAATTGCATTTAGTTTCTTGTAACTGGTACATTTTAAGTAGCTTTACGCTCTCGTTATTAACTTACATCTGCATAGCTTGATAGAGGAGCTACCCTGCTAATGGTGAGCAGGAAGACCGGCTTTCTTGACTCTGCTGATGAGTTTATTATCAAATTTCAGGTGTGGCCTCAAGAAGCAATTAAACTAGTTGTCTAATTGTTGTCATTTAGTCCTGAGGTGCAATATGTATGTTGGGCAGATATTCATCCACATTAAGGTAAACAGCAGGACTGACTGAATTATCTACGTTTGTACTGTTCTTTGCTTCCAATCTATTCTCACAGACCCACCAGCATTCCATTCTGCTTAGAAGCACAAGTTGTATAATAATAACCATACTATAGCAAAAAACAAACAAAAAAACTATCATCAGAGCAAACAGGCAACCTACAGAGTAGCATAGAATTTTCACAATCTATCTGACAAAGGTCTAATATCCAGAACCTACAAGGAACTTAAAACAACCCCATTAAAAAGTGGGCAAAGGACATGAACAGACACTTCTCAGAAGAAGACATTTATGTGGCCACAAACATTCGAAAAAAAGCTCAACATCACTGATCGTTAGAGAACTGTAAATCAAAACCACAATGAGATACCATCTCATGCCAGTCAGAATGGTGATCATTAAAAAATCAAGAAACAACAGATGCTGGTGAGATTGTGGAGAAATAGGAACACTTTTACACTGTTGGTGGAAATGTAAATTAGTTCAGCCATTGTGGAAGACAGTGTCATGGTTCCTCAAAGATCTAGTACCAGAAATATCATCTGGCCCAGCAATCCCATTGCAGGGTATATACCCAAAGGAATATAAATCATTCTGCTACAAAGATACATGCATGTGGATGTTCACTGCAGCACTATTCACAATAGCAAAGACATGGAATCAACCCAAATGCCCATCAATGATAGACTGGATAAAGAAAATGTGGTTGGTACATATACACCATGGAATACTGTGCAACCGTAAAAAGGAACGAGATCATGTCCTTTGCAGGGACATGAATGGAGCCAGAAACCATTATTCTCAGCAAACTAATGCAGGAACAAAAAACCAAACACTGCACATTGTCCCTTGTAAGTGTGAGCTGAACAATGAGAACACATGGCCATGGGGAGGGGAAGAACACACACCAGCGTTTGTTGGGGGTGGGGTGGGAAGAGTGAGAGCTTTAGGAAAAATAGCTAATGCTTGTGGTGCTTAATACCTAGGTGATGGGTTGATAGGTGCAGCAAACCACCATGGCACACATTTGTCTATGTAACCTGCACATCCTGCACATGTACCCCGGAACTTAATTTTTAAAAAGAACCATGCTAAATTTATTATAGTCATAATTTGCCTTCCAAATTGTTTGGGATATTCTCTTCTAAGCCCCAAAGTTTTAATTCTTACTTTGTTTGCTTCTTGTTTGTGTCTTGAAACTAATGCAGACCTGTTCCTGAGGAAAATTTCTGCAAATTTGGGAGGGCTTCTGCACTGGTCTTGGTGGCAAACCTACAGTGCCTGACTTGGTAGTGTTGGAGAATCAGAAGTGAGGAACAACTGGGGTAATTGCCTTTTTAGACTCATGGCCTATAGATTATGTTAATGTGGATAAAAATACAGAGCTAATCTTCATAAGATGATGTCAGTTTTGCCACCTGAATGTCTGGTTGCTAAAGATATGGATCCCTTTTTCATTAGCAAAATTAGGTTTTTATGCAATTTTCACAGATTTTGATCCTGAACCTGGCAAGTTTAGCTCCTAGCTGAATTTAGTACCTATCTAGAGCCAGACTGAGAATATTTTTTGACTTTGTGCTCAGTTATCTGAGTACTAGCGGTAAGAATCATATTTGCCATTGTATCAGAAAAATAAATGGTTGAGGACTGCTGACAAGCTAATTGATTGATGTGCTTTCCTAGTGAATGCTCTGGAGCCAAAGATTCTATTATATTAGAATCTCTGATACTAGGTTCCTAAATCTAAAGTTTAGAATTGTGCTTGGTACATTGTAAGCACTCACTACATATTAGCCATTCTTATATTACATATTAGAATCTCTGATCTTAGGTTCTCAAACGAGATCTGGCAGTTGTGAATTTTCACTTGATATTCCCTTAAGTGCTTCCTCTTAAAAATAAGTAAGCAAATAAATAAATAAATAAAAGGCCAGGTGCAGTGGCCAATGTCTGTAATTTCAGCGCTTTGGGAGGCTGAGGTGGGAGGATTGCTTGAGTCCAGTTCAAGACCACCCTGGGCAATATACTGAGATATAGTGAGACTTCATCTCTACAAAAATCTGAAAAATAAAAAAAAGTCCTTTTTTTTTTTTTGAGACAGGGTTTCACTCTCAAATTCCTGACCTCAGGTAATCCACCCGCCTCAACCTCCCAAAGTGCTGGAATTACAGGCATGAGCAACTGCACCTGGCAAGAAGTGCTTCTTGCTTTCAACCTCAGATTTGCTCCTCATTCAATGTGTTGTTTAGTTTACTTCTCAAGGACTGTGCCTAATTTTGTGGATGTTATTTCTCTGTTAAAATTTTCAGGTTTACTGTCAGTCTTTTATTATTTGGTTCGCATTGTGTAACCTTTTTAGGATATTTTATTCTGTGAAACTTTTATTACTTTGAGGCCTAAAGAAGATAGTTATCAGTAGACCTTCTTTTCGCTTGTGCTAGTCCTAGATGAAGCCCAATGCCAGGTGAAACAGCCCTACCCGAAGGGAGCAAAAGAAAATAAACCCTGAAGCTAAGCAAACCCATTGGTCACATTCTGATCCAAGAAAGCTCCAAATCCAATCTCAGAGACAGTTGAAGAAAGTCGTATTACTCCCAGAATAATTCTAAACCTGTGAGAATACAAGTGAACTTAAAACCATGCTCCAAGCCTGGGGCGGTGGCTCGCACCTGTAATCCCAGCACTTTGGGAGGTGGAGGCGGGTGGATCACGAGGTCAAGAGATCAAGACCATCCAGCAACATGGCGAAACCCCGTCTCTACTAAAAATACAAAAATTAGCTGGGCATAGTGGGTGCCTGTAATCCCAGGCTGAGGCTGTAGTCCCAGGTACTCGGGAGGCTGAGACAGGAGAATCGCTTGAGCCCGGGAGGCGGAGTTTGCAGTGGGCAGAGATTGCATCACTGCACTCCAGCCTGGCGACAGAGCGAGACTCTGTCTCAAAAAAAAAAAAAAAAAAAAAAAAAAAAAACATGCTCTATGCTCGGTGGCTCTCAATTTGTTTTATTTTCTCTCTCTCTCTCTTTTTTTTTTATGCTGCACCCATTTGAGAGAAAGATAAACCTCTAATTAAAAACATTCACTACTTTGGGCATTGTTAAAATGGGAGGCAACTGCTCTCTCCCTAAGCCGTGGTTCTTAAACACTAGCTGCAGACTTGAATCACCTGAGAAGCATTTAAAACTGCTTAAGCCCAGGCCCTTTAGCCTGAGGTTGGGCATCGGCCTAGAAGTTATAAAAATTATCAGGTGATTCAGATGTTCATCCGAGCTTGATAACCACTACCGAACGGCTACCCAGGGGCAGAAAGGTGTAGTACAGTGGTCTCTCTGCACATTAGATCACCTGGGGAATGTTTTACATCCTTCTGCCCAGAGCCCACGTTGTACTAATTAAATCAAAATATTTGCACATGGGAGCCAGGCGGGTTTTCCTGAAGATTTCCGGTGGTCATTCCCATATACGGCAAAGTATTGGAACTGCTGGTGTAGTGACTAAGAACATTGACCATGGAAGACTCAGGTTTAAATCCAGCTTCTCCTCTGATAGATTTTTAAGTTTTCTTCACCTCGTCTGTAAAATCTGGAAAATTATTTAGCTACCGTATAGATGTGTCATCAGGATGCAAGGTATTAATACATATGGAGTGCTGAGAATTGTGTTTGGTATATTGTATGTATTCAGTATCAGTAAATATTAGTCTTTTTTTTTTTTTTTTTTTTTTTTTTGAGACAGTCTCTCGCTCTGTCTCCAGGCTGGAGTGCAGTGGTGCGATCTCAGCTCACTGCAACCTCTGCCTCCCAGGTTCAAGTGATTCTCCTGCCTCAGCTTCCTGAGTAGCTGGGACTACAGGCACCAGCCACCACGCCTGGCTAATTTTTTGTGTTTTTAGCAGAGACAGGGTTTTGCCATGTTGGCCAGGCTGGTCTTGATCTCCTGACCTCAGGTGATCTGCCTGCCTCGGCCTCCCAAAGTGCTGGGATTACAGGCGCAAGCCACTGCGTCCAGCCAATATTAGTCATTATTATGTTATTTTAGAATATCTCAGGGTGGGGTATTTTGAATACCTCTCCCCGCCTCACCACCATCCTAGGCTTAGCACCATGTGGAGTTAGTAAACAGTACGTGTCTGAGCCATACTGCTTAACATTCAACAGGAATTCCTTAAACATACTTTTATAAAGTTGTGGTTTGGTAAGCGAAAAGTTCTCATTTTTGCAAAATAATGCCTGCTCATTTTAAATAATTAAGCAATACAAAAGGATGCAAAGAATTTTTTAAACTACCCCATAAATCATCAACACTGACTTTTATTTTTAGGTATATTTCTATGCAGATATACAGGCAGAAAAAAGGAAGGAAAATAGGAAGGAAAACTGGATAAATATGCTTTTTACAAAATCCAGGCTGTATTATAATGAGTTTTTATTTTCAGAGTGTTATTTTTAAGTTTTACAATGGAAAAATGTCCAACATATTGAAAAGTAAAATAGTACTATTATTCCTCATGTGCTCATTACTGAAATGCTGTTTTGTTTTTATTATTTTTATTTTTAAATAGAGATGGCGGGGGGGGGGGTCTCGCTATGTTGCCCCAGGCTGGTCTCGAACTTCTGGCCTCAAGTGATCCTGCACCTCGACCTCCCAAAGTATTCGGATTACAGGCATGAGCCACCGCGCTTGGCCTGAAATGCTGTTTTAAATAAAAATGTTAAAAGTAGTTTTGTTTGAATTCAGTGAAAAACCAAAGTGCAGTTCAAAAAATTATTGATGTATTTCCTAAATGAGGTTTTTACAGTAAGAAAAGAAATTGTGAAAAACATTACAATTCGTAGTGTTTTTACAAAAAGATCTTCATGTTTCAAATTTAGACAGCATCACCGTCTACCATAAGGGATGAAGACATTGGCACTCTCACAAATGATATAATTTTCTTCCACCTTTACCAATTTATGTTGGGTAACTTTCTCACTCAAAGTTTATAACATTTATAGTCTGTTTAGTAACCATATCTGCACAACCTCTACTGTTCATTTTATGTTGAACCAGATAAGATGCTTACCACCAATCTTTTTCCTGATATATGGCTTAATTGGCTGTATTTAAGAAATTATGACTTCTCAGAAAAAGTAATCCTAGAAATATCAAAAGGAGGCTTAATCTTTAGAAAATTACCATGTTTAGAAATAAGACTGAGTGCAGTGGCTCACACCTATAATCCCAGCACTTTGGGAGGCTAGGGCAGGATGATTGCTTGAACCCAGGAGTTTGAGACCAGCCTGGACAACAAAGGTGAGATATGCCGTCTCCACAAAAAAATACAAAAAATTAGCCAGGCATGGTGGTGTACACCTGTAGTCCCAGCTACTCAGGAGGCTGGGGTGGGAGGACTGATTGAGCCCAGGAGTTGGAGGCTGCAGTGAGCCATCATCATACTGCTGCATTCCAGCCTGGGCAACAAAGTGAGACCCTGTCTCAGAAAACAACAACAACAAAAGAGTCAAAATCTTTCTTTTAGAAATAAAGGAATAACACTGATTGTTTAGTTCTTATCTCACATTTTTTCTTCTGATACCATGGATGCAAATGCGTAGGGCAATCCCAGTGTAATTGTAAAATTTTCCAATCTTCCTGTGTTGTCAATTAATTCAAATTAAAAAACAACAACTGAGCAGGTGAAACACACTACTTTGCAACTTCTTTATCGAATGAATCTATTCCTATATAATATCACCGTTAAATTATCTGCTTTGACCAGATCATGATCTTTGTGATTTAATGTGACTACAAAGTAAAGTACATTTATTTCATTTCCCATGGAGTTTTCTTGATTGGGTGCTTTATTTTCAAAATTTAGCAACTTATCCAGCATACATCTGTGTTGAATTTTCTGTATATTTTCTTGATATAATTTATCTTGATATGTAGATTCAGTTTCTCTTTTTTAATTGAAATATGTTAATCATAGAAAAGAATATAGTTAATACTTATATGCCCCACACCCAGCTTCGAAAATAAAATATTACAAATACTTTTAAATTCCCGAGAGTACCCATCTCTGGCAAACTCTTACCTTACACAATAGGTAATGTCTATCTTGAAATTTGTGTTGGCCGGGCGCGGTGGCTCACGCCTGTAATCCCAGCACTTTGGGAGGCCGAGGCGGGCGGATCACGAGGTCAGGAGATCGAGACCATCCTGGCTAACACGGTGAAACCCCGTCTCTACTAAAAATACAAAAAATTAGCCGGGCGTGGTAGCGGGCGCCTGTAGTCCCAGCTACTCGGGAGGCTGAGGCAGGAGAATGGCGTGAACCCGGGAGGCGGAGCTTGCAGTGAGCCGAGATCGCGCCACTGCACTCCAGCCTGGGCGACAGAGCGAGACTCCGTCTCAAAAAAAAAAAAAAAAAAAAGAAATTTGTGTTTATTATACCTGTAAATGTCACTCATTACCTATGAATGTATCTCTAAATAGTATTATTTTACAAGTTATTAAATTTTATATAAATTATATCAAAGTGTAATTATCTTTGTGCAGCTGCAGCTTGGATTTTTTTGTTTGACTCAATTTTTAAAGAAGACTTATCCAGCTGGGCGCATTGGCTCACGCCTGTAATCCCAGCACTTTGGGAGGCCGAGGCGGGTGGATCACTTGAGGTCAGGAGTTCGAGACTAGTCTGGCCAACATGGTGAAACCCTGTCTCTGCTAAAAATACAAAAATTAGCTGGGCATGGTGGGTGCCTGTAATCCCAGGCTGAAGCAGGAGAATTCCTTGAACCCAGGAGGCAGAGGTTGCAGTGAGCGATCACACCATTGCCCTCTAGCCTGGGTGACAAAAGCGAAACTCCATCTCAAAAAAAAAAAAAATTTATCCACAATGATGCATGGAGGTCTAGTTCTTTGATTTTATTGCTGAGTGGTGTGCCATAGCAGTAGTGTACCACAATTTAGATTTGGTTCTTTATTTCGTGGAAGTTTTTCCCTTTATTGTTTATATTGTGCCCTGTCTCCCATCACCTTGGTCACACCTCTGATTCCAGCTGCCACAGTTGTAAATACAGGTTTACAACTATTTACACAGGTGTAAACAGTTTTGTGTGTGCTTCCATTCACTTATTGCTAATAGCACCTCATCCTCTCTGGAGCCTGCTGGTCCCAGCACATACATAGCTCCAGTGTGGTGGAATTATTTTGGATAGACAATTCTGGTAGACACTATGTATGTATTTTACGAGGTACCATGGAAATTAAGCCTCCATTGCTTATAGCAATGACTTTGATGGCATAATCTTGTATTAAGTTTTCTTCCTTCCCTCTCTCTCATCACTTCTGCCCTCAGGAACCATCTCCCAAATAAACTACTTGCCTGCAAGTCTTTTTCTCAGGCCCTGCTTTTGAAGAAGCCAAGGTGTGTGTGTGTGTGTGTGTGTGTGTGTGTGTGTGTGTGTGTGTGTGTGTGTGCTTTCTATTTTTTAGGGTTCATCTCTGTGGCTTCTGATAAGTGAGATCAAGTTAGGAGCCCTGCCAAATAAGGCTGCTCCATTCTGCTTCATAATCTGTATTATCTTTTCTTGGAGATCTCTTTTGAAGTTTATGGCTTTGAATTTTGTCTCTATCCTTATGACTGGTTGCTAGGGAAGCAGTCTACCTTCCTTCCTTCCTGTCTGCATGTTTGTTTGCTAGTCTTCATTCTTTTTGTATTTTAAGGACACCAATTTTCCTAAGGTTGGATTATCTTTCTTCAATTCTGTTTATTTTTCTGATTACATTAATCTTTGTATTCTCTGATTAGTTCTTCTGTGTCATAGTATTTTTTTCAATTATGACTATACTGTTATGTTTCTTAATTATTAGTTTTATGGTAAAAAGTTTGGTCACTAATTTTTAGACTCCTTATAAAATTCACTCCTGTTTTTTCATCTTGTCTTTTAGTTCTTGTTTATTTTATTCACATTCTCAGTAAGTTCCAAATCCTGAAGCATTTGTGAATAATGTTCTTCGTATTCATTGGGTTACATTTTTCTCCTGGGCAGAGTTCTTTGATCTGTTGTATGCCACATTTTTTCCAGCTGTCTATCTTCTGGTCTGTGCCTCCCTCCCTATTCTCTCTCTCCCTATTTTTGTTTATTTCAGTTTGATCACCTATTGGTGATGCCTGTTCTTTTTCTTCTTGCTCATGCTTGACAGCTCTGCCCCAGCTTTCCATTTGTTTGCACATTGTGTGGATGACTTCTTCACTCCTCATGTCACGTTTGTTTTTGGCTTACCTCACCTTTGTGGTTGCAAAAATATAAACTCCTCCCCCTTTCCATTCCTCTTTTGTCTCTCTCTCTAGTAGGTCATGGTGACCTGTACACATTATTCCTCAACTCTGACATGGTATATTAAATTTTTGCAAACTAGCCCTGATATTTTTCTGTCTTCCTGTAAAAACTACTTCTCTGATTCTTACTGCTCACACAACACCATATCAAGGTTTGCTTTCTGCAGTAGGAGAATGTATTGTGTTTTCATTGGAAAGGCCATTGGTGTGTTACCCTAGAATTTTTACTTTTGCTGGAAAGTGCTGGAATTCATTTCTGTCTTACTAATTGTTTCCCACAGCTTGGGCAGCATCTCTTAGTTGCAAGAGGGAAAAAATAATGGAATTTATTCAATTTGTTTTTCTCCAGATTTGGGGTGTTAATGAGAATTGTTAATTCATCTCTGACTTCTGATACATGAGGACTGAGTTAGCCTTGCCAAACAGGGCTGTTCCATTCTCCTCCAGAAGCTATTGTATTTTTACTTGACTATCAACTTTGAAGTTTGTGACTTTGAGCTCTTTCTGTCTTGTGTATTTGCTGCTGGAGAACCAACCTACCTACCTGTTTACTCTCTAATTACTTTCCTTCCTTTTCTTTTTGATGTTGGTTGAAGATGGGAGATTATGTGAAGAAGCTTTCATTTCACTACTTTATCCCGGAAGTCTTCTTGGTTTTTTTTTGTGTGTTTTTTTAAATTGTGAAAAAATACACATAACGTAAAATTTACCATCTTAGCCATTTTTAAGTATACAGTTCAGTGGCATTAGGTACATTTACATTGTGCAACCATCACCACCATCCGTCTGCGGAACAGTTTTCATCTTGCACAACTAAAACTCTCTACCCATTAAACAATAACTCCACATTCACCCCAACCCCCTTTTTCTTGTTTGTTTTAAAATTTACATTATGTAAGAATGTTTCTATACTGATATAGTTTGGCTCTGTGTCCCCACCCAAATCTCATGTTCAATTGTAATCCCCAGTGTTGGAGGTGGGGCCTGGTGAGAGGTGATTGGATCATGGGGATGGTTTCTAATGGTTTAGCACCATTCCCCTAGTGCTGCCTCGGTGATAGAATTCTCACAAGATCTGGTTGTTCAACAGTGTGTAGCATCTCCCCATTCACACTTTTCCTCCTGCTCCCACCGTGTGAGATGTGCCTGCTTCCCTTTCGCTTTCTGCCATGATTGAGTTTTCTGAGGCCTCCCCATACGTGCTTCCTGTACAGCCTGTGGAACCATGAGCCAAGTAAACTTCTTTTCCTCATGAATTAGCCAGTCTCAGTTATGTCTTTATAGCAGTACAAGAACTAATTATACATGTATCTTTTGTGAAACTGCTATTGAAACTACTGTCTTGTTATTTATATCTTCATATGAGTAAGATAAACTAGTCTTAGAATTACTTTCAGGAAAACTTCATTCCTGCTATTTACTGAGTATGTATATATATATGTTTACCCTGTATTACTAGGTGTAAAACATGCTGTGTAGATAGATTCCCTTTGTACCTTGATTGCCAAGAAGCGTTAAGTACCTTGAGCTTAGAGTTTTCTGGTATAAATTTATACCTCCATTTCATTTTATGTGCTTAAGTCCCCCATTTCATTTTTGGTAGCAAATGAAATATAGTAAGATAATACATGAGGCCAGCCATGGTGGCGCAGTTCCTTGGAGTCCCAGCTACTCAGGAAGCTGAGGTGGGAGGACCATTTGAGACCAGGAGGTCGAGGCTACAGTGAAGTATGATTGTGAGCCGCTGCACTCCAGCCTGGGTAACAGAGTGAGACCTTTTCTCTGGGGAAAAGAAAAAAAAAGAAGAAGAAGAAATTATTAAGTAGCTTTTAGTTTAGCCAAAAGAATTCTCCAAATGAGAATTGCATGTTGTTCATTTAAATGTAACCTTTTTATTGCTACCCAGGTTCACAACCTATTTGTCAGCTGAAATGCTTCAAAATTGACCTAATAACTGAGTTTTTTTCAGCCGAATTGTTATATTTAAGATAGACATAAAATCTTAGTGATTATGGTTAAGTTTGGAAGATGTGTCCAAAATAAACAAACTTTTTAAAAGGAGAAGGAAATATTTATTACATGTTTATTATATGACATATTTTTCTTAGTCATCACAAGAGCCCTAGTTTATTATTTAACAGATTTATTATCCCCGTATTTCAGCTGTGAAAACTATAGCTCATTCATGTAAAATTACTTTCTCAAGGTCTCTTAACTAATAAAAGTAGAACTGGAATTTGGAATTTGGATCCTTTTTTTTTTTTTTCTGAGAAATTACGATAGAACCTTTATTACTGATGTTTCTGTTCTAGAAACATTTCGTACTATAAACATGAACTGTTTGAGCCTTTATCCTATAAATGCTTTGGAAATATTTACCTACTTCTGTAAATACATCCTAAAGAAATGACTTTTTAGTAAGGAATACAGTAATTTACTTCCTAAAGTCTAGAAAATAAAAATATTGTACCCTGAGAGGAAACTTTAAAAAATCAATCTGTACCAAGCCAAAGTGGAAATGTACAAGCCTCTTAAAGAAAGTGACGTCTCCAGGTCTGCAAGTTTGGGCAAGTTTTTACGGTTAATATGTTTGTGAAATTCAACAAATAACTTCTGTTGACAACAGGAGAGTATATGTTGTTATTAATCAAGAGACAGTGGTTTTAATTTTATTGCTCTCCTGAACAGTCACAAACACCCTTGAAGATGATTTCTTCTTAAACTCTTCTTACATTCTTACTTTTTCTGTTTCCCCCATCATTCCCTTCTCTTTTTCCCAATTCTACAGCCATGTATAGTCCTTTGCAGAGGCTATATGAGTATTGGAGAAGTGGGGGAAAAGTTGAAGACAGTTGTAAATTTATACTGGCTATGCTGTTATTTCACTATTTTGTTTTTATGCATTTCTCAATGAAAGGATATACATATGTGTATTAGTCTGTTCTCACACTGCTAATAAAGACATGCGTGACACTGGGTAATTTATAAAGGAAAGAGATTTAATTGACTCACAGTTCAGCATGGCTGGGGAGGCCTCAGGAAACTTACAATCGTTGCAGAAGGGGAAGCAGACACATTCTTCACATGGCAGCAGCAAGGAGAAGTGTTGAGCGAAGGGTGGGGGAAAGCCTCTTTTAAAACCATCAGATCTCGTGAGAACTAACTCACTGTCACGAAAACAGAATGGGGGAAACCACCCCATGATTCAGTTATCCCCACCTGGTCCCTCCCATGACACGTGGGGATTATGGGAGCTATAATTCAAGATCAGATTTTGGGAGGAAATAGAACCAAACCATATCAATATGGCATAGGGGTTGAGTATAGGTTCTGTTTTTAGATAGCCTGTGTTCACATCCTAGCTTTTCTTTCCACTTAGGCAAGTTAAGTAAATTCCCTGTACTTCAGTTTCATCATTTATAAAATGAGGGTTGAAATAGTAGGAAAGTCTGGGATTGTTGCAAAGAAAAATTAAGGTACTTAAGACATGCCTGTCAGATAGGAATAATTCAGGACTGGTGCAGTGCTCACTCTTGTAATCCCAGCACTTTGAGGGGCGGAGGTGGGAGGTTTGCTTGAGGCCAGAAGTTAGAGGCCAGCTTGGTCAACATAGCAAGACTGTCTCTATAAGAAATAAAAAATCTGGCTGGGCATGGTGGTTTACGCCTATAATGTCAACATTTTGGGAGTCTGAGGCGGGTGGATCATCTGAGGTCAGGAGTTTGAGACCAGCCTGGCCAAAATGGCAAGGCCCCGTCTCTACTAAAAATAGAAAAAATTAGCTGCGCTTGGTGGTGTGCGTCTGTAATCCCAGCTACTTGGGCGGCTGAGGCAGGAGAATTGCTTGAACCCGGGAGATGGAGGCCGCAGTGAGCCGAGATCACGTCACTGTACTCCAGCCTGGGTGACAGAGCGAGACTCTGTCTCAAAAAAAATAAATCATTCAGTACATGGGAATGTCTCTTCCACCTAACTTTGAGTGTCCAATTAGGGTAATAGTTCACAACTTTGGCTATGTATTAACAGTCGTGCGAGGAGCTTTTAGAAAATACAAATCCAGCAAGGCACAGTTCCTCACACCTATAATCCCAGTACTTTGGGGAGTTGATGTGGAAGGATCACATGAGGCCAGGAGTTCAAGACCAGCCTGGGCAACATAGCGAGACTTTGTCTGTGCTACAAAATATATGTATATAACACATCCACCCCGCTATTCTAATGATTAAGCCTTTGATAGGGACGGGGATCACATTTTCCCTGTTATTTACTTGTTTATTTGTAAATGCCATGAGGTTTTGTTTTGTTTTGTTTTGTTTTTTGTCTGTTTTGTTCACTGCTGTATCCCTAATACCTGGAATAATGCCTGGCACATTAAGTAGCCACTCAATTTTTTTAATGAAAAAAATAAGTAAATTATCTGTGGATTCTCAGTGGTTTATCTCCTCTCTTGCCATACTTTTTTTTTTTTTTAATTTACGAAGGTAAAGTTCATTCTTTTTGCTAAACAGTTCTGTTAATTTATGGTCAAATCCTCCCCTTAACCCTTGGCAACCACAGATTTATTCTTCATCCTTAGAATTTTGGGTTTTCCAGAGGGTCAAATAATTGAATCATACACTATATACCTTTTTGAATCTGGCTTCCTTCACTTGGAATGCATTTGGAGCTCATTCGTGTTAAGTGTATTAATAGTTTATTCTTACAAGTGGTATTCCATTGAATGGAACAAATATGTGAACAATCTTACACTGTTTTGTTCTTTTTGATTTTTAGCTTTCCAGAGTGTTGAATCTTCCACCAGAAAACTTGATCACATCAATATCTGCAGTTCCAATTTCCCAAAAAGAGTTAAGTATAATACACTTGTAACAATCTATAAAATGTTGCTGACTTTGTTGATACACCAAAAAAGCAAAAAAGAATTGTTACTCTTCAGTTTGTGGAATAGTCCTTGAAATTAACTGTAAGATATGATTCATTATACTCAGCCTATTACTCCTGTTGACTTAAATAATAAAATTAAAATCTGTATTTTAAATACTCTGATATGGCAGATTGTGTATTCTTATGTTCATTATTTTAGTTATGCTAGTAACTATAATTGTGGCAAAGTCTTTGGGAATGAGGTTCAAATTCAATTCTGTAACAATAAATAAAATAACTAAAATTGTGGTTAGAATCTCAGGGTTTTTGAAGGGATATTAAAGATTGTACAGCCATCTGGTGCTTGAATACTGTTGTACCATATTTATCTACTAGGTTTTTAATGTTGTTTTTGTTTATTGAGTTTCCTTTTGAGTACTCCCAGTGATAGAAAACTGTTGGTTAGGACTACACACAACTAATAGTTGCTTTCTCAGTTACAGAGAGGTATCTCTTTGTGAGTTTGGTCATCCTAAATGATTCTTGTTTACGATTTGGGTAGAAAACTTCAATACTTGGATAGATTATTGTCTGTCAATTAATAATGACAAGAAATTAGCTACATAGTAGTCATTTAAGTCCTAAGCTTTGAAAAGAAGTTAAGATATAATTACCAGTACCATTCTGTCCTTGTATTTTATTCACTTAACTTTGTCAGGACTTTAAGAGTAGAATGAATATTCTTCTCAGAATAGAACAAAGAAGTAAGTGGAAAAGAAAGAGAAAGGCTACATTTGGCCTTCTAGTAAAAGCACCTTTAAAATGGCCCACTGCGGCTTTTTATATTGACTTTCTGTAAGAGAGGCAGCCACTACCAAGAGGATCTCATGATTATATGTAAATAGATGTAACCTTCCAAACTAGTTGCCTATTTCGTAAAATCTATAAATGACATTCTGCATAATAAGGGAAATGTTACTGGTTTGGTGTTTGTTTGTTTTGAGACCAGGTCTCATTCTGTCACCCAAGCTGGAGGGCAGTGGTGTGATCTCGGCTCACTGCTGCCTCAAACTCCCGTGCTCAAGTGATCCTCCCACCTCAGCCTCCAGAGTAGCTTGGACTACAGGCTCACGCCACTATGCCTGGCTGACATTTTTGTATTTGTTGTAGAGATGGGGTTTAGTCATGTTGCCCAGGGTGGTCTTGAACTCCTGAGCTCAGGCAGTCCCCTTGCCTTGGTCTCCCAAAGTACTGGGATTACAAGTATGAACCACCACACCCAGCCTGTTTGTTTCCATTTTCATTTAATGTGTCAAAGGTCTTTAATAAGCTGAACCATCTTGGCCCATCTTTTGAATAGGATTTCCTTTGCCTGCTTCCACTTTAACAATCTGAGGTATTAACTTTAGTTTATAGAAAATAAATATTGGGGCCGGGCACGGTGGCTCACGCCTGTAATCCCAGCACTTTGGGAGGCCGAGGCAGGCAGATCGTGAGGTCAGGAGATGGAGACCATCCTGGCTAACATGGTGAAACCCCGTCTCTACTAGAAATACAAAAAATTAGCCAGGCATGGTGGCATGCGCCTGTAATCCCAGCTACTCAGGAGGCTGAGGCAGGAGAACCGCTTGAACCGGGGAGGCGGAGGTTAGAGTGAGCCGAGATCTCGCCACTGCACTCCAGCCTGGGTGACAGAGCGAGACTCCGTCTCAAAAAAAGTAAATAAATAAATTAAATATTGGGGAGGGCCTCAAGATTTTTCTGGCCTACAAATCTGAAATTCTTCATATTAAGTTTACTTAAAACAAAGGGAACCTCTAGTGCTTTGCCATAATAAATTCAGGTTTCCTTTACAGTATGTAACTAAGCCTAACCGTTCTATATTTCTAACTTTATTCCAGAGTGCTTACAAGTGCCAGGAGAATTAAGAAATAGTATTTTTGTTAACATGGTTTAATTAATATAATGAATTAATTTACTCTGATCTAATTCTCTCGATTTTATTTTCTGTCTACTATCTGATGGTAGTAAACAGAATTAACAACTTTATTATAAGCCAATGGCTATCAAGTCTGTGGATTTCACACTAACCAATATCACAACTCCTCAGAATTAATGGGAAAATAACTATTGCTTTTTAAACTTTTTTAAGTATAAAGAATGAGTGTACAGGGACTAGTTTAATGAACCCTGTGTGTGCCCATCACCCACCATCATCTGTATGGGACCAGTTTTTTCTTTGTTTTTTTGAGGCGGAATCTTGCTCTGTCACCCAAGCTGGAGTGCAGTGGCACAATCTTGGCTCACTGCAACCTCCGCCTCCTGGGTTCAAGCCATCCTCCTGCCTCAGCCTCCCCAGTAGCTGGGATTACAGGCACACACCACCATGCCCAGCTAATTTTTGTATTTTTAGTAGAGACGGGGTTTCACCATGTTGGCCAGGCTGGTCTCAAACTCCTGACCTTGGGAGGCCAAGGTAGAAGGATTGCTTGAGCTCAGGAGTTCAAGACCAGCTTGGGCAACATGCGCCTGCCTCAGCCTCCCAAAGTGCTGGGATTACAGGCTTGAGCCACCATGCCTGGCTCAGTTTTGTTTCTTTTACACGCCGTCTGCTTTCCTTGTCCACATTTTTTTTTTTTTTTTTTTTTTTTGAGACAGGACCTAGCTCTGTTGGTTGCTGAGGCTGGAGTGCAGTGGCAGAATCACGGCTTACTGCAGCCTTAAGCTCCCAGGCTCAAGCTATCCTCCCATCTCAGCCTGTCAATTAGCTGGGACCAGAAGCATGGGCCACCACACTTGGCTAATTTTTTAAATTTTCTGTAGAGATGATGTCTGCCTACATTGCCCAGGCTAGTCTTGAACTCCTCAGCTCAAGCAATTCTCCTACCTCAGCCTCCCACACTAGAATTACAGGCTTGAGCCACTGTGTTGGGCTCTCCTCATCCACAGTTGTTTATTTTGATATCTACTGCTTTTCATAGCTTAGATGTTTTGTCTTTTTAAAGGTTTTATTTTTAAATGTGTTTTTCTATTATAAAAGCAAAACAGATAATCTTCTTAAGGAAATTCAGGAAAATACAGAAGAATAAGAAAAGATAAAAGCCCCCAATAGTCTACTACAGTAAGACAACTGATTTTAGCAAGTTGATGTATTTTTTACTTTTTTGTTTGAAATTTTTTTAGCGTTTAAAAAGACATAGCTATAAAACTACATAGAAAAACATAAGATATTTGAATCCTTTTCCTGACATAATTCTGTTTTTAAAATGAATATCGCTTTTAGCAATATTGTAACATTCCCTTGTTGCTAGACATTTAGATTGTTTTCATTTTTTAATATAAATTTTTTTTCTTAGAGATTGGGTCTTGCTATGTTGCCCAAGCTGGTCTTGAACTCCTGAGCTCAAGCAATCCTCCTGCCTTGGCCTCCCAAATGTTGGAATTACAGGCATGGGCCCCTGTACCTGGCCAAAGTGTAATACATAGTAGGCTGCTGGATGATGTATTAAGGCTCAGGAGAATTCTTAATGGTCATTGTGGACTGGGTTTTTAAATGTGATGTTAACCAGAAGTCACACAGGAATTTTTAGTTATTTCCCTGAGTTTCATAAGTGTTAATGAAGGAAATAATTTGTGCCTTCTCAAAAATAAGTTTTTTCATTCCAGTGACAGATGGGCTGGATAAATAAAGTTTCAACCCTCTTACTCTGCCCATCGAGTCTCATTCTCTAGTTCCATATTAAACACCAGAAGATAAATTAGTGTGAGTAGTTATATAGATGCTTATATGTTGATTAAAAAAATTTTTTTTGCACCTTGAACTATTTCAAACCTACAGAAAAATTCATAGAGAATGATGTAATGAGTACTGTCATGGTCACTTTCTAAGTTGTCAAGTCCTTTTTCCAAATTTACTTCAAGTCTTATTTTGTAGGGAAAGGGAGAGCTTTTGATTTTTGTTAAGCATTACAGATAATGTTGAAGTCACTGATATATATTTGTTTGACTGCATTCCCTACCCTGCTTCCCTAGAGAGAACTGATCTCATGATGCAAATGATTTATTTTCACGAATCAGTTGCTTTGTGTTTGTTTCTTTGTTTTTGTATTTTTTTTTCACCTACCCAGTGAAAAGGATAAATGGCATTGTCCATCTCTTTAATGAACTACTGAGTGTTAAGAAGAATATTCTTCTTTTTCTCATGTTGAAACTCAAATTACAACATTTAAAAAATATGTCATTTGGAGGTCAGTGGAGAGGTTTGAATTAGAAGCATGTATTTGGAGTAGTAGAGGAAGCATTGTAGAAGAGGTAAAGAGACCTGGGCTTTTTTCTCAGTCTGTTTTTATTTGCAGTAGGATTTTAAAGGAGACATTTAGCTTGCCAGACATCAGTTTTCATGTCTATAAAATAAGGTGGCTAGTATAAGAGGAAGAATTTTTTGAGACTAGGTCTTGCTCTGTCACCCAGACTGGAGTGCAGTGGCATGATCTCAGCTCACTGCAACCTCTGCCTCCTGGGTTCAAGCAATTCTCGTGCCTAAGCCTCCCGAGTAGCTGGGCTTACGGGCACATGCCACCACGCCTGGCTAATTTTTGTATTTTTAGTAGAGATGGGGTTTTTCCATGTTGGCCAGGCTGGTCTCAAACTCCTGACCTTAAGTGGTCCACTTGCCTCGGCCTCCCAAAGTGCTGGGATCTGTGCCCAGACAGAAGAGGAAGAATTTTATAAGATGATAAGAAAAACATTCTGAATAAATACTAGGTTATTTCTCATTTTCTTGCTTTTAATTTTGTTTTTTATTTATTTATTTTATTTTATTTACTTTTTTGAGACAGAGTTTCGCTCTTGTCACCCAGGCTGGAGTGCAGTGGCACAATCTTGACTCGCTGCAGTCTCCACCTCCAGGATTCAAGCGATTCCCCTGCCTCAGTCTCCCAAGCAGCTGGGATTGTAGGTACACACCACCATGCCTGGCTAATTTTTGTGTGTGTGTGTGTATTTTTAGTAGAGATGGGGTTTTACCATGTGGCCAGGCTGGTCTAGAACTCAACCTCAGGTGATCCGCCTGCCTTAGCCTCCCAAAGTGCTGGGATTACAGGCATGAGCCACCGCTCTCGGCCCCCTTGCTTTTAATTTTGAAAGTACACATAACACCTTCTTCTGGTAAAGGTATGTCTCAATGGAGAACTCATAGTGATTAGTCTTTGTTTAACAACTAATGCTTTTAAGGTAACAGTTCTATCTCGTTTCGATGTCTGTCTTTAGAGAAGTAGCTGATTTTCAGCTTTCTGTGGATTCTTTATTGGAAAAAGACAATGACCATTCAAGACCAGATATTCAAGTTCAAGCCAAGAGACTAGCAGAGAAGGTACGTTAGCACTATTATCTCTTTTTGACATTGTAATAAACTTGTTATTAAAAAAAGTACTTTGCAGGCTATCTCAGCCATAATAGTGAATTTAATAGTGTTTCTTTGAGGCATCTTGTGTAATATAATTTAAATTCATTTTAGCCATGTACTATAAGGTTATAATGATTTTTCAGATTAGTTATAAAGCACTCCTCTTGAGCTGACATTGTTCAATTTTTTGATTAACCACTTACAGGAAGACTGAAGTGTTAATTAAATTTACAGATTGAAGCTGGATGGACTTTTGAATTTAGGAGAACAAGCTTGATAAATTAGAGCAGTGAGTTGCAATTTTTAAAATGAGTTTCTGAAAAGATGAACATTGAAATATGAGAAGAAATGATTAGATGTAAATAGAATCATGATTACAGAGAAGAGGTGGTTAGATGATTTAATAAGCCTCTTTCATTTCTAAGTTCTCTGATGGGTTTGATATCTAACAGAGGAATTGAAAGGATTGCAAGGAATTACTAAACATAAATTGTTAGTGTAATTCCCTCAGAAAAGGCAGATAATGTTGGACAAGGTTATTAACATACATCCACAGAGTCAGTGTCTGGGAACTCAAAAGAATTGGAACAATGAAAGTCACTATCATAGAAAAAGATGCTTATTTAAAGGGTGACTATGATAAAGGAGCATTGGTAGCTTAGTAAATATTTATTTGATCAGAAAATCACTCCCAGATATTTACCAGGAATAGAATTATTCAAAATACAGTATTTAGTTCCTTTTCCCCATTTCTTGTAAGTTCTTAAAAATAAAGACTAGTTGCTCTTTAGTGACAGCAGATATCTCTTCAAGTTCCATAGGTTTTTCATGAGATGGCTTCGAACATCTAATAGGTTAAAAAGTGAAGGCATATGCATAGAAGACAGACTATCTAAATTACATCTTA
This sequence comes from Homo sapiens, assembly GCF_000001405.40. Classification (NCBI taxonomy): domain Eukaryota; kingdom Metazoa; phylum Chordata; class Mammalia; order Primates; family Hominidae; genus Homo; species Homo sapiens. Next base: position 87,563,189 of record NC_000006.12, on the reverse strand, counting down.
TCTGTTGGTGCAGGTGCTTTAGCGTAGACCCTGACAGAATGTCATGTTCTGTGGCTCTCATGAAAGCTAGGTGAGATAAAAAGTGTTCATCGTATGTCAGAGTAGGTAGAATATGGGTAGAGTGATTTTTCTTACTTGTTACAAGGTGAATTTGAGGGGAGGGAAAGAGAATGAGGAAGAGAGAGACTGAATACAGAATAGCATGTTAGTTGGGAAAAAAAGAAAATGTGTTTACTTAAATAGAAGTATGGAACTAAAGAGATTGCCTGAGAACTGGGACCCGATATAGGGACCATGAAAGATGACTTACTTGTGTCTTTGTAAGCCAAAAATAGCATTAGAACTACCTATCTCATTAGGCCTATTATATAACATACCTACTTTGTGTGATTTGTTCTTTTCAGCTAAGATGTGATACAGTGGTGAGTGAAATCAGTACTGGTCAAAGGACTGTAAATTTCAAAATAAACAGAGAGCTCTTAACAAAGGTAAGAATAAGTTAATATCCAGCCATTGTGCTTTCATTCTGTCTGCTTCAGCCACAGTGGTCTTCCTCCAGTTTTTAAATTCTTTATGCCTCCTCTGGCCTCAAAACCTTTGCACATACTGATCCATAACTTGGAGAGTACCACCCCAAGTTAACACCTACTCATCCTTTAAATCTTGATATTTCTTTGGCAGTAGCTTTCTGACCCCTTCATTTATATGCTCTCATAGCACTGTATAGTCATATACCACATAATGACATTTCATACACAACGTGTATAGATGATGGTCCCATAAGACAATACCATATTTTTACTGTACCTTTCTGTGTTTAGATATATTTAAGTATACAGACACTATTATGATACAGTTGCATACAATATTCAGTACAGTGACATGCTGTACAGGTTTGTAGCCTAGGAGCAATAGGCTGTAGCATACAGCCTAGGCGTATAGTAGACTGTATCATCTAGGTTTGTATAAGCACTTGGGAGGCTGAGGCAGGAGGATCACTTGAGCCCGGAAGTTCAAGACCAGCCCTGGCAGCATATCTCTACAAAAAAATTTAAAAATTAGCCACACATGATAGTTTGCGCCTGTAGTCCCAACTGCTCTGGAGGCTGAGGTGGGAGGATCGCTTGAGCCTGGGAGTTTGAGGTTGCAATGAGCTGTGATTGTGCTATTGCACTCCAACCTTGGTGACAGAGCGAGACCTTGTCTCAAAATAAAAATTTCAATGGCCATGAATTTTCAAGCTTTATTGCAATTAACAAACTAAAGAATTTTTCTGATTTAAGGATACCCATTAGCTCACTTATTAAAAATATTCCCAAATCCTTCTCAATTGACATTGAAGGGACAAGAGTCAGGGCTTTGAAGTCCAACTACTCTTTCTCACATGGGAATTCTTCCGTATTGCAGCCTTGAGGATCTGAATCTTAGTGAGAATTTGAATAAAGGAGCAAGCGGACTGCTTACAGTTGCCCTGCTCAGTGTCACAGTAAAATCAGATCCTGGAGCAGTGAGCACTCATGTTCAGAAAAAGACTATTGAATGTACCTCTGCTTTGTGTTACAATTTTAATGATAATTCTTCTTTACTGAAAATTTAATGTATTCTACATTTGGCTGTCAACCTAAAAGGAGGAAACTGAGGCAAAATTAATATAAGTAGAGAGTTTACTTGGGCCAGGCTTGAGGATTGCAGCTGAGGAGCACAGATTCAAGTTGCCGTGAATATACCCTTTGATAGGCAGCAGTTACAAGTGGATTTTTAAAGGGAAAGAAGAGGGAGTTTGAGTTGTTAACCAGAATTTACATTAAAATAATGTAAGCTATTGATAGGCTGTATATTTTTCTTTGTGTCACAAATGCCAGTAACATGAAGATAATGTGTGAGGCAGCTAGTTGGGAACAAAATCACATAAAACAATTGCCCCCACCCATAGGAGGAAGAGTTTGTGCATAACTGATGTTTGATATGCATGTCTTTCTGGGCCTGCATACCTCACATAGCTGAGACTACTCTGAGCTATTTTTCTTTTCTCAAGCTTATAGCATCTGTTTTTCTCACGTATTGGATCTCTAGTTTTATAATTTTAACTGTTTTACAGTCCATTTTTTAATAAGTAGGATAATACTCTAAAATAATGATTAAAAGTAAATATATAAATCACTAACATAGTCATTTATAATGAAGTATTATGTACTGTACATAATTGTATGTGCTATACTTTTATACAACTGGCAGTGCAGTAAGTTGGTTTACACCATAAGTTTTAGGTCTCAGATGATGGTCATTTGCATGGTTTTTTTTGAGACGGAGTTTTGCTCTTGTTGCCCAGGCTGGAGTGCAATGGCACGATCTTTGCTTACCGTAACCTCCACCTCCCGGGTTCAAGCGATTCTCCTGCCTCTGCCTCCCCAGGTAGCTGGGATTACAGGCATGCACCACCGCGCCCAGCTAATTTTGTATTTTTAGTTTCTCCATGTTGGTCAGGCTGGTCTTGAACTCCCAGCCTCGGGTAATCCACCCACCTCACCCTCCCAAAGTGCTGGCATTACAGGCGTGAGCCACCGTGCCCTGCCATCATTTGCATATTTAATGGATTTTTCAGATCACATCAAGAAAAAAAATTCGATTCTTGTTAGGACCAACAAAGAATTAATATATCTTTGTTTGAGAAATAACCATAATGACATTGCAAAGAACTGTCACTTTGGTACCAAACTTCTACCTGTCAGTAGCTTGCAGTACTTTCAAGAGAAACTGTAACTTCAAATAATATTTAATTGTTAAAAGGGAAAAAAGAAAGTATGATCTCAACCAAATAGGAAAAATTCAAACAAAACCCTGTTTTCTTAGGGATGCTTCAGAAATACACAATGGATAACATCATTTTATTTCACGCTTTTTAATTTGCCAAATTAAACTTTGCATGTTTAACCAAAAGTAAAAGAAAAAGTTAAATTTAAAAATCTCTTAAACCGTTCAAATCATTGAAGGGTTTAAATAAAACAGACTTGATTAAATGTTTGTGCTATGTAAAAAGATAATTAGGTGTTATTGTTTTGTTATATAGTCGTGTGTTGCTTAACAATGGGATACATTCATAGAAATGTGTCCATAGGTGGTTTTGTTATTATGGGACATCATAGAGTGTACTTACACAAACCTAGATGATAAAACCGACTACACGGACCTAGGCCATAAACTTGTGCATCATGTAAAATACCAAATACTGTATTTGTGCAATTGTGACACAGTGGTATTTGTATCTTAACATGTCTAAACATAGGAAGGGTACAGTAAAAATATGGTATTAAATATAAAAGATGCTATACCTGTATTTACCATGAATGGAGCTTGCAGGACTGGAAGTTGCTCTGGGTGAGTGAGTGGTGAGTGCATGTGAAGGCCTAGGACATTACACTACTGTAGACATTATAAACATGGTACACTTAGGTTACAATGGGTTTATAAAAAAATATTTTTCCTTGTATCATAACTTCAGAATAAAATAATAAAAATTAAAAAATATTTTTCTTGCCTGGACATGGTGGCTCACGCCTGTAATTCCAGCACTTTGAGAGGCTGAGGCAGGAGAATCACTTGAGCCCAGGAGTGTTAGGGCTGCAATGAACTAGGATAACACTGCTGTACAGGATCACACTGCTGTACTCCAGCCTGGGTGACACAGCAAGACCCTGTCTCTTTTTTTTTTTTTTTTTTTTTTTTTTTGAGACAGAGTTTCACTCTTGTTGCCCAGGCTGGAGTGCAATGGCACAGCCTCAGCTCCCACCTCCGCCCCCCAGGTTCAAGCGATTCTCCTGCCTCAGCCTCCCAAGTAGCTGGGATTATAGGTGCCCGCCACCATGCCTGGCTAGAGACCCTGTCTCTAAAAAATAAATATTTTTCTTTCTTCAATGATAAATTAACCTTAGCTGACTGTAACATTTTTATTTTATAAACTTTTCATTTTTTAAACTTTTTTCTTCTATTTATTTTTCTTTATATCTCAGCTTGTTTAACTTTTCAGCTGTTTTGTAATAACAGCTTAAAACAAGCACATTATACAATTGTACAAAAATATATCCTTATTCTGTAAGCTTTTTCTAATTTTTTAATTTACTTTTTAGACTTTTTTGTTAAAAGCCAAGACACAAACACATTAGCCTTAGCCTACACAGGGTCAGGATCATCAATATCACTGTCTTCACCTCCACATCTTGTCCCACTGGAAAGTCTTCAGGGGCAGTAACACACATGAAGCTGTCATCTCCTATGATGACAGTGCCTTCTGGAGTATCTCCTGAAGGACCTGCCTGAGGCACTTTTACAGTTAATTGTTTTTAATAAGTATAAGGAGTACACTTTAAAATTATGATTTTAAATATAGTAGGTTAAATACATAAATCAGTACAGTCCTTTATTATTATCAAGTATCATGATGTACATAATTGTATGTGCTATACTTTTATTTGACTGGCAGCCTAGCCTAGTAGGTTTGTTTACATCAGTGTTACCACAAACATGTGAGTAATGCATTGCACTAGGCATTATGACCTGCTGCAACATTGCTGAGTGATAAGAATTTTTCAGCTCCATTATAGTCTTAATGGGACCACCATTGTATATATGTGGTTCATCACTGACTGACACATTGTTACTTGGTGCATTACTGTAGGTGTTGTTTTTGCAGTGGTATAGCTGACAGATGAGGGCCTAAACCAGGGCAGAGGAACCAGTTATTAAATAACTGTAATGATATTTAGGAGATAACACACACAGGGCCCAGTGATTAACAGGTGATTGATTACAGAGGTTGAGGGAATAAGGTTAAGTGTTAGGGACTCCTAGGTTTCTGAGTAGGTTAGTTGGGTGAGTGGTAGTGCAGTTTGTGGAAATAGACAGTGTAGATGGAAGAACAAGTGTATTTTCTGTGAAATGCCTGAAAAGCATATCCAGTCTGTAGCAATAGAGAGATTAAGTAATTAGTATTTGAAGTCTTTTTTTTTTTTTTCTTTGAGACGGAGTTTTGCTCTTGTTGCCCATGCTGGAGTGCAATGGCGTGATCTTGGCTCATTGCAACCTCCATCTCCCAGGTTCAAGGGATTCTCCTGCCTCAGCTTCCCAAGTAGCTGGGGTTACAGGCGCCTACCACCACACCTGGCTAATTTTTTGTATTTTTAGTAGAGATGGGGTTTCACCATGTTGGTCAGGCTGGTCTTGAACTCCTGTCCTCAGGTGATCCTTCTGCCTCAGCCTCCCAAAGTGCTGGGATTATAGGTGTGAGCCACCATGCCTGGCCAAGTATTTGAAATCTTAAGGGAGTGGTTTAAGTCACCTAAAAGTGTAAAATAAAAAGCTAGAAGCAAGAATGGAGCACAGAGTGCAGAGTCAAGGGCAGATGGTGGAAGAAGAGCCTACAAAGGAAATTGAGAAGCAAAAGTTGAGAGAGAATTGTGTCTTTACAACCAAGGAAAGAGGATAGTTGCAAGAAGGGAGTAGTCACCAGGTAAGATGATGTTTGAAAAGTGTTTACTCCTGAGGAAGGAGGGAAGGAATTAGGATAAGGACAGATGATCGAAAGGGACTTCAGCCTTATTTTAAATGATCAATTTTTTAAAAATTATTAATGTTGCCTTTTTGTTGTTTGTGCCAGATAAATCAGTAGATAGAGGGTTATTGTTAAAGAGAATTCTAACTTACTACGATTAACTGTTGTGGAGTCTGCCATTCATTACATAAAAAGGAGAAGAAGTGGGAAAGATTTGTAGACTTTCAACTTAGAATAATCTGAATCTGGATTTCTTCTTACTGATGTGTTCTTGTCATATATATTCTTGGACTAATAATACTGGGACCCTAGTTTACGACAGACACTATTCTGTATACTGTCTATATATTGTATTAATCCTTTATGTGTTTCTTATTGCACAATGTGAGTCAAGAGAGTATTATTTTCTCTACGTCCTTGTGCACATACATACTATTTCTGAACCTTAGTTTTTGCATCCATTAAATGGGAAATGTTGCCCATCTTTAAGATTATGAGGCTTAAAGACAACGGGTACTGTAGGAGCACTTGGTCTTGGACCTAGCACTTTATGCTTCTTAAATGTCGATTGTTATGTACTGGCTGCTGCTCCCTTCTCTGCCTGTTCCATTTAGAGACCATTTTAACCAACTCTTTAATAATAAAATTTTTCACAACATAAACCACATTTTTAAGACTCAAGATGCATTTTGGGGCCAGGCATGGTGGCTCATACCTATAATCCCAGCACTTTAGGAGGCTAAGGTGTCAGGATCATTTGAGCCCAGGAGTTCAAGACCAGCCTGGGCGACAGAGTGAGCGAGAGACCCTGTCTATTAAAAAGAAAAAAAAAAAATTTTTTTTTTTTTTTTTTTGAGACAGAGTCTCACTCTGCGCCCAGGCTGGAGTGCAGTGGCGCGATCTCGGCTTACTGCAACCTCTGCTTCCCAGGTTCAAGCAATTCTCCTGTCTCAGCCTCCCAAGTAGCTGGGACTACAGGCGCATGCCACCATGTCTGGTTAATTTTTTTTTAAAATTTTTTTAGTAGAGATGGGGTTTCACCATGTTGGCCAGGATGGTCTCAATCTCCTGACCTCGTGATCCACCTGCCTCAGCCTCCCAAAGTGCTGGGGTTACAGGCGTGATCCACTGTGCCCTTCCAAAAAAAATTTTGTTTTAATTAGCTGGGTGTGGTAGCATGTACCTGTAGTCGCAGCTACTCTGGAGGCTGAGGTGGTAGGATTGCTTAGGTAGGAAGGTCGTTTGAGTCTGATTGAGGCTTCAGTGAGCCGTGATTGCACCACTGCACTCAGCCTGGGAGACAGAGTAAGGCCTGTCTCAAAAATATAAAAATAAAAGTAAAATATAGATGCAGTTAGGGAAACAAAACCAACTAATATGAGTAAACAAAAGTTCATCACCATTAACATAAAATATGAATTTTGTGAACTATATATCATAGTTCTATGTTAATAACTAAAAACTAACCTGGAATATGTTTGGGAAGTTTCTGTGGGATTTCCTTGTTTCTCACTTGTGTAGCCAATAGGCATTATACATTTTTATCTTTTTCCTACCATTGCTTGTGGTCTTTAATATCACAAAAGCTGCAGCAGCATGCAGCAGTTAACAGGTTAACTGTGAAGTGGAAAAGTTCTTTTCTGCACTATTTAATCCCTCAGTACTTTTCTTTCTTTGTTAAAATAGTTCTTACCTCTATGGCTGTCGTGAGGAGTAAGTAAGTTAATGCATATAAAATGCTTGGAACAGTGGCTGGCACATAGTATGAACTCAATAAGTGTTAAATGGTGCTTCTGGTTTTGTTGTTAATATTTACTGTGGGACTTTTGGTTGTTACTTTACTTCACCAAGCTTCAGTTTCCTTCTCTGTAAAATACCTACATAACTGGTTACTGTAAGAATGAATAGACATGGAGTATAAAAGGGCACAGAACCCTTGTAAATGTTAACTCATGTTACTACTATGACTAGCATTAGTAACAAGAAAAGTGGTGCTGGAGGTAGTGCCACTGAGGATGCTAAGAAATTCTCAGTTCCATAAATTAGAGTGAACAAATTGGCAACATTTAATTCTCAGTAACAGAGTAATTAAAAGCATTGTAATTTTTGTTCATTAAATTACAGTCCTTTAATTTTCAGACAGTGCTACAACAAGTAATTGAAGATGGCTCAAAATATGGATTAAAAAGTGAACTTTTCTCTGGACTTCCCCAGAAGAAGATTGTGGTTGAATTCAGGTGAGGGTGCACCCCTTTTATGTGTTGCTTAATCAAGTTGACTGGGCAGAGGAGTGTTATTACCATCATTATTTGGGGGTCTTAATAAATAACATGTGGAAAACTTGAAAACCAGTGCAATTATGTTATTTCTTGAAATCACAGTGAATCAATCATTGAACTGTGAATAAAAAATATATTTTTGGACCTCCAAAAATGTCTAATAATTATTATTTTTTTAAGTATTAACAATTACTTTTTTGGAAGAACTAGTTATTCACTTTATTTATTTATTTATTTATTTATTTATTTATTTATTTATTTATTTTTGAGACGGAGTCTCACTCTGTCGCCCAGGCTGGAGTGGCGAGATCTCAGCTCACTGCAAGCTCCACCTCCTGGGTTCACGCCATTCTCCTGCCTCAGCCTCCTGAGTAGCTGGGACTACAGGCGCCCGCCACCATACCTGGCTAATTTTTTTTGGATTTTTAGTAGAGACAGGGTTTCACTGTGTTAGCCAGGATGGTCTCCATCTCCTGACCTCGTGATCTGCCCATCTCAGCCTCCCAAAAAGTGCTGGGATTACAGGCGTGAGCCACTGTGCCTGACTAGTTATTTACTTTAATAGACTGTTAAGGCAGAGGTAATGGTTACTACCATATTAGGAATTTTAAAGTGGCCAGACATGGTGGCTCAGCCTGTAATCCTAGCACTTTGGAAGGCAAGGTGGGAGGATCACTTGAGGCCAAGAGTTCGAGACCAGCCTGGGCAACGCAGACCTCGCCTCTTAAAAAAAATAGAAAAATTAGTTGTGCATGGTGGCACACTCCTGTAGTGACAGCTACTTGGGAAGCTGAGGAGGAAAGATGGCTTGAGCCTAGGAATTCAAGGTTACAGTGAGCTGTGATTGTCATGCACTCTAGCTCTGGTAAGACACACCAAGACCCTGTGTCAAAAAAAATTTTTTTAAGTAATTTGATTACCAGAGAAACAAGTCTTTTAGTATTTGTAATAAATGTATTTTTTTAATTACCAGAAAAATAGCTTGAAGTTTTGATGTGCCTCTAAATAGTCTTCATAACTTTCTAACGTGCTGTCAGTATAACTGTCTGATATTTGGACTGTTAGAGGTAACCAAGAGAGAAAAGGGAACACTAAGAACTAATACTTTCATTGTACAGCCGACAGATTGACAACCCTAGGAAATTATCAGAGATGTTGCATTTGTCTTCCTAAAGCTGAAGAACAGTCTTGATGGACTGTTTTTCTACTTAGAAAGATAGAACTTGCTAAGAGCCTTTTGTCTTATTAAGTATTTATGTCTGTGGAAGATTTTTAAAAATTGATATGGGAAGTATTATCTCATGTTTACTAACTCATTATTGCAGTTTAATAGCTTTTAAACTTAGTTATGATTAGCTCCTGGACAATCAGAGAAAGAGCGGGTTTTATGCATGTGTACCGTCTGCCACTCACTTGTCTTCTTAAAGAAGGCAGACCCTCTAAGAGCAAACTCATGAATTTGTAATAAGGACCAATTACTGATTAAGCTTCTACTCCTATGGAGTAGACACATATTATGAATGACTCTAAAACTGCCAGTACACCACAATTATGATTTTTAAAGTTGAGTTTAAATATTTGTTGCATCACAAAGAGTAGAGGGATTCCTACAGTCATCTTCACACTAGAGAGGAACTACACTAAGGCCATCTCCTAAGGAAATTTGCCTGCTTTATCTCCACTTGAATAAGAAACCACTGCAAACCTTAGTGTAGGGATTGTTAAACCTAAGCCCATAGGCAACATCCAGTTTGCCGCTTGTTTTTGCAAATAAAGTTTTGTTGGAACACAGCCATGCACATTTGTTTACATCATCTACATTGGCTGCTTTCATATTGCAATGGCAGTTGAACACAGTAGAGCTGAGTTGAATAGTTGCGACAGATCAGATGGCCCAAAAGCCTATTAAAATATTTACTCTCTGGCTCTTCAAGAAAAAAAAATGCCAGCTTCTGATTAGTGTTTTAAAACAACATCCATTTTGGTACTTATGACACCATGGATTAGGAAATGGGGAGAGAGGGGTATTTCAGGCCAGTGGTTCTTCTACTTGCCTGAGGTCACTTATGTAACTGCGGTCATCTAGAGACTAGTGGGGCTACAAATCAAAAATGGCTCTTTACTTCTCTAGCCAGGCATCTCTCTCTCTCCCACCACATTGTCTCTCCCGCAGGGTAGCAAGACCTCTTTACAAAGGTACTCAAGGCTCTAAGATAGTGAAATCATCTAGTCTTGAAACAGGCACAGCATCATTTTTGTCACTTTCTGCTGATGAAAGCAAGTCACAAGATCACCCCAGATTCAAGGGAAGAAAAATAGAGTACATCTCTTAATGGTGAGAGAAGCAAAGAATTTGTGGTCATCTTTGATTATTTTCATTCATGTCTTTAAATTAAAGGACATACTGCTTTCTTCACTGGGGAGGCACTTCATTACCATATTACTCTTAAACCCCTTTCAATTACCTAACTGGCAAATAAAGGAAAATCAGCAGGGAGGTAATATATTACCTGTTACCGTACATTCATCCTTGAAATAATGCCATTATAAAGTTTCCTAAAATTTGAAAAGTTGCCACCATTACTTACCTTCTTTTGCATTTTTTTTTTCAGCTTCACCATCTTTTTACTCCAGCTAAGCTCTAGAAATACTGTGGCTTCAGTCTTCCTTACTCATTGATTCCCTGGCTTTCCTCTTAAGTTTTGGTTTCCCATATACTGCTCCTTTTTTTTATGCTTTTAAAAAATATCTAAAAATAACCTGTTCTATGTGAGTTGTATTCTGTAGGCTTTTTGTATGGCAGTTAATTTGCTTATGGATTTACCTCTCTTAGCTTTTTTCTAAAGCAGTTAAGGAAAGCTGGAATTTAAATGAGTGTCTGAATGCTGGTGAAGGCAGAGCCTGTCTATCTCCTAGCAGCCATCTTTGCCTCTGACAGTTCACATGTGGCATTGTTGTGAGACCATTGCTTCTCTCTCCCTTAGAGGTTTTCCAGGTGCTATAGTTCTTGCTGTTGTGATTTCAAAGTAGAGACAAAATAGGTAGGGACAGGAAGATTGTTCTTGGATTTCTTCTGAAAATGAGAGAGGTGGGAGAAGAGAATTTTTAAAATATGTAGTATCCTGAACAGACCAAGCAACATTCCCCAGAAAACAAGAGATACCACTGTGCTCAAGAAACTTTCTCCCTAAATTGAGTTGATTATGATAATACTAGATTAAGTAACTTGCCCAGGTTCACAGAGCTAACTCTTGATTCTGAAACCTGTATACTTAACTTTTACTGCCTCCCTGGTACGTAGTGTAGGTTGTCATATATTTTGTCTGATTTAGGAGCAGTGTGATAAAGTACAGGATAAATGGCTGTCCATCATAGATTTGGACTCCTCGTGGTAGATGGTGTAAGACTTGAAGCTAATTACTGTTTCCTCTCTAATCTCTCTCTAGTCAGCCTCTCCTATTTTGTACAAATCAGCTCTGTAAGATCATGGGAAGCAGTGGTAGCCTTTTCTTTTCTTTTCTCAACATGATTTTCCCCAACTCCTGCTGTTCCCAAGTGTGAGACACTCTTCTCGCAAAACAGATTGGAGACCTCTGGCTGGTAAAATGAGAATTGTGGAGGTCAGGGTAGCAGTTCTGACTGTTAGTAACTGGCTCAGTGATCTTGAATGGGACAGTTTATTTCTCTGGCCTCTTATCTGGAAAATAAGAGTAATCTTTTTTTTTTTTTTTTTTTTTTTGTTGAGACGGAGTCTTGCTGTCTCGCTCAGGCTGGAGTGCAGTGGCATGATTCATTGCAGCCTCTGCCTCCCCGGTTCAAGCAATTCTCCTGCCTCAGCCTCCCCAGTAGAGTAGCTGGACTACAGGCATGCACCACCACGCCCAGCTAATTTTTCTATTTTTAATAGAGACAGGATTTCACCATGTTGGTCAGGCTGGTCTCAAACTCCTGACTTCAAGTGATCCACCCAGCTCGGCCTCCCAAAATGCTGGTATTATAGACGTGAGCGACCATGCCCGGCCAAGAGTGATGTTATCTGTCCCTTCTTAACAAAAATTAAGGAAATTACATGAAGTAATTTAACAAAAGTCCCAGTAAGATGCCCAAATTATAATTCATAATAGCTACTTCAGTTGCCAAAAGAATTGAATTTGTATCTTCCATTTCATTGTATTCCCTTCTCAGTAGAAATATGGTATCAGAGAGAAGCAAATTGTTGATTTCAAGGGACATTTTGTCAAAACTTGAAGACCTGGATAGATTCAATTTTTCTAATACCGGAGGGAAAATGGAAAGCTCTGTGAAAGTTTTTTTTTGTTTTTGTTTTTGTTTTTGTTTTTCTTAACAGACATTATAAATACCTAGTTTTTTAAAAATTCAGAGATTACAAAGAGATATTTAATGAAAAGGAAAGCTCTTCCCCATCTCAGTTTCCTCTGTGGGTATCTATTAATCCGAATATCAGTGTTTTATTCACCCTCCTAGAGATGTTCTATGCATTTGTAAACAGACTATACATATTTTACATTGTTTTCACTTCTTGCTTTTTTTTTTTTTCTTAAATAATGTATTTTATGTTCCTTTAATATGAATGCATCCAGGGCTGGCTTATTATTTTTATTGTTCCATTGTATTCTATTCTTTTTTTTTTTTTTTCTTAAATCGGCTTCATTGAGGGATAAGTACATACAATACTTATTTAAACATATAATTTCACCATATTTAAACATATAATTTGATGAGTTTTGGCAAAGATATGCAAGTTGTGTAACTACCTCCACAATTATATAGAGCTGTTTTTCTGGGGTTTTTTATTTCTATTGATTTTTTTTGCTTTACTTTTATCTGTATTATTTTCTTTTATTCTGCTTGCTTTGGATTTAGTTTGCTCTACTTTTTCTAGTTTCTTAAAGGAGAAGCTCAGATTATTGATTTAAAACCTTTTTTCTAATATAAACATTTCATGTTGTAGATTTTTCTGCTTTAGCTACATCCAACAAATGTACTAGTAAGGCAGCAATGTGGTGCAGCGCTAGGACTCCCCTTGTTTGCTCTTCTCTCAGACATCACAGTCCTTCACTGACTATTGTCCAGATTCATAAAATCAGTGTTTCATCTATTTTTCTGGCTTTCTGATTATTTAAAGGCAGAAGAGTAAATCCAATCTTCTTTTGGCTGGAAATGGAAGGTTTTTTTTTAAGCCTTTAAGATGACATTTACTTTCTTTCTAAACAATGATTAAATAAATACGTGTGTAGTTTCATAATTTCATAATTGTGCACACATATCCATAGGATCAAGTTTTTAAATCGTAGTACCCTTAAGGGTGTATAACAAGACTTTGGAGACAGACCAGAATTTAAACTCTAGTTTTACCACTTTTAACCAGCTATGTTCAAGTTAATTTATCTTTTTTTAAATATTGAAAAACTTATGAGATTTTCAAACATGCACAAAACAGGGAACAGTATAATTAACCCCCATATGTTCATTACACATATTCAAGAGTCATCAAGATATTGCCATATTTGCTTCATCATCTCTCTTCGTTGTCCCAGTTCCCTCATCTGTAAAATAAAAGATAAAAGCACATATGAGTATTAAATGAGTTAATGCCCATGAAGTGTGTGAAGCTGTGCCTGTCAGGTAGTGAGTGCTCTAGAAGCATTTGCTATGTTAAATGATTGATTACAACTTCTTGAGCACACACGGGAGTGATAAATGTGTTGATTGGGAATTTGGAGTGGTGAGCCACATTCTGATTGTTCTGGGAGGTTTTATGCATAAATATTTTTACATGTTTTTTTTTTTTTAATTTTACAGACAGAATCTTACTCTGTCACCCAGGCTGAAGTGCAGTCATCGTAGTTCACTGTAACTTTGAGCTCCTGGGCCCAAGCTACCGTTCTACTTTAGCCTTCTAAGTAGCTAGGACTACAAGCATGCACCACCACACCTGACTAATTTATTTATTTATTTATTTATTTTATTTTTTATTTTTATTTTTTTGAGACAGAGTTTTGCTCTCATCACCCAGACTAGAGTACAATGTCGTGATCTCGGCTCACTGCAACCTCCGCCTCCCAGGTTCAAGCCATTCTCCTGCCTCAGCCTCCCAAATAGCTGGGATTACAGGCATACACCACCACACCTCGCTAATTTTTTGTATTTTTAGTAGAATCAGGGTTTCACCATGTTGGCCAGGATGGTCTAGAACTCCTGGCCTCAAGTGATCCATCTGCCTCGGCCTCCCAAAGTGCTGGGATTACAGGAGTGAGCCACCACACCCAGCCACCTGACTAAAAAAAATTTTTTTTGTAGAGACAGTCTTGATATGTTGCCCAGGCTAGTCTCAAACTTCTGGCCTCAAGCAGTCTTCCCATCTCAGTCTCCCAAAGTGCTGAGATTACAGGCATGAGCCATTGTGCTGGGGGTATTTTTACATTTTTAAATTTTGATTTCTGATACAGTAAATACTAGCAGATACCACTTACGTGAATGCTATTACTTCAGGAGTCACAAGATCAATTTCATTAACACAATGTCAAAATTTCGAGTTCTAATTTATCTTTGCTCTAAATTTTTAACTTTTAACTTATCTTTGCCCTAATACCAAAGGCCATACTCCACAGTTTTGTCAAAGTATGGAGGCATGACCTAGTTGATTCTTAGAAGTCTTAAGTCTTAGAATAGAGAAATGTTTCCCATTTTTTTTGCAGTTCACCTAATGTTGCCAAAAAATTTCATGTTGGACATTTGCGTTCTACCATCATAGGTAAGTGTTTAGTTTCACATAAAATGCTAAACGTTCCTTTGAGGAAGTATTTGATAGTTCAATTTAATGTTTTAATGCTTAAATAACAAAATAGCAAAAAACAAAAAGTTTAAATTTATATGAGCCTCCTGCCAATTCAGGAAATGGATGACATTGGTTACACTGTTTTGTGGAAACACAAAATTGATTTCAAAACCAAAAGATTCACTGAGAAACTAATTTTAACTGCTATATATGTTATGATTTTTAACTTTCTAAAAATAAGTATAAATATGGGGAAGACCTGAAAGATGCAAAAGTAAAAATAGTTATGTGGGGATGTATAACCTTTCAGATTTTTTTGTTCATTTATTTTGTGGTTTTTTTGTCACTTAGGCTGGAGTGCAGTGGCGCAATCTTGGCTCACTGCAACCTCTGCCTCCCAGGTTCAAAGGATTCTCCTGCCTCAGCCTCCCAAGTTGCTGGGATTACAGGCGTGCGCCACCATGCCTGGCTAATTTTTGTATTTTTAGTAGAGACAAGGTTTCTACTTAATAACAATTTTTGTCAAAATTAAAAAACACGAATAACAATTTTTGTTAAAAATTCACCTCGGTCATGTGAGCACTTAGTGGAATGTTCAAGACTGGAAGTTAAAACAAGACTATTTCTGGCCGGGCATAGTGGCTCACACCTGTAATCCTAGCACTTTGGGAGGCTGAAGCAGGCAGATCATTTAAGGTCAGGAGTTCGCGACCAGCCTGGCCAACATGGTGAAACCCCATCTTTACTAAAAATACAAAAAATCAGCTGGTGTGATGGTGTGCACCTGTAATCCCAGCTACTCAGGAGGCTGAGGTGGGAGAATCGCTTGAACCCGGGAGGCAGAGGTTGCAGTGAGCTGCGCACCACTGCACTACAGCCTGGGTGACAGAGCTAGGTTCTGTCTCAAAAAAAAAAAGAAAAGAAAAAAGACTATTTCAATAAATAGAGATTACTATATAGTACTTCATAGTTGTAATGCTTCAGTGTATAATATACTTACGATTTTCATTTAACACATGTCATACAGCAGGTCAATTTAAAAACTGAAATTAAAATTATATAATATTAGAATTGGAAGGGACTTTGGAGTTTATCTCAATCTAATCTCACTTCCAATGTAGAAATCTGTCCTATTGCATGCTTAAGAGAAAGTTGTTTAACCTGTACTTCAATACTTTTCAGAATTGGAGAAATTAGTACTTGTGGCATAGATTGTTGTGCGGTCAGCTCTTACTGTTCTTGAGCAGCATTTTAAGAGAAGAAATGACAGGACTTGATGAAAAAGTATAAGAAATATACAGTATAAAAAAAGCTATATGAGTAAGTCAAAAGTATAGGAGTGAGTAAATGATGGGTAGGGTATGATAAAGTTGTTTTCACAGTTGAGGGAAATATTTGGACCAGTTAGAGATAATATTTGAGAACTTAACATGCTGTGTCTTCATGTATTATATCATTCAATTTTATAACAGCCCAGTTTGGTAAATACTGTTAACTCTGGTTTATGGATGAAGAAATTCAGCAGCCAAAAGTAACTTTCCCAACATCCCAAAGTATTGTAGCCAGGATTTGAAATTAGGCAGTCTAATTCCAGAAGTCTAGGTTCAGACATTTAATTGGATTTGTGATATAACAAGGGGCTAAGAAAAAAATAGGAATATGCCATCTGTGTGCCAGCTGGAAAAACAGGTTCCAGTTGCAGGGACTTTATAGATTGGGAAAGTCTACAACTAGGGAAGCTGGAAAAGAAGATAGCTGCAGTAGTTTAAGTCAGGTATGGATATTGGTGAGGGTTTATTTGCAAAAAACTAAATCCATTCTTAGTAAAGGCAGAAGAGGATTTATTGTAGAATATTGAATGGTTTACAAAGTTGTTGGAGGGCTGCAGAAGCTTTGGATTAAGCTGACATAAATAACTCCCAAAACTGCACTATGGAACCTTGTCATCAAGGGAGCTCCTGCCTCTTCTGCAATCCCTTGCACTGCTCTAGAACCATGCTGCCACTGCCATGGTCAAGAAAATGCCACTACTCCTGCCATGCCATCTAGAATTCATACAGGCATAAGAGGCAGCCCCATATACTTTCAATTTCTTTGGTGGCCATCATGGAATACTAGGACCTCTGTTCATGGTGTCACAAAAAAACACAGCCCCCACCACTGTGCTTGTCATAAAAAAATAGAAGTAGCTCACCTTCCAAATCTTACAGACACTGTATCTGATTGCCCAAACCTAGAAGACTACTGGAACTCTAACCACAGGAGACTCTGGGAATTGTACTTTTTACATTTTCAGCCTCGGCAGTAGATGAGGGCACCCAAGAAGGAAAGCAGAATAGATGTTGAGTGTGAAACCAGCATCAGCAGTATGGGAAAGTGAAGGCCTTAGATTATTACATGCTGTTAGGGAGCAGGCATGCAGAGGGTAGATGTTAGTGATTAAAAGGAGATAGAATGAGCTATTTAGAAAACACAAAAAGGGAAAATACAACAGTGAGGCTTCGGTTCTTAGGGCACAGACAAATATATTTCTTGTTAATTACTGGGATTTTTTTTTTTTCTCTTCTTGAAATTGACTAGAATAGCAGTTACTCTAACATGTCCTCAAATCCTATTAATAATGTAGGTGAAAGTTCTGTTACTGTGAAAATGTGAGATTCTTTGGAATAACTGCCCTACAAGTAATTTCTTACTCCCTTTCCATAACACATGAAAACACAATGATGAATGTTTTAGTAAAAAACATTGAGTTGGTAAATTTAGTGAAAAGAATTTTCTACTTATGTTTGATAATAGAGAAGTACATGGTTCTTATGTCAAAAAATGGATAACAAGAATGAGAAACTATATACTTTATTGATTACTAGGAAATTTTATAGCAAATCTCAAAGAAGCTTTAGGACATCAAGTAATAAGAATAAATTACCTTGGCGATTGGGGCATGCAGTTTGGTAAGTACACTTGAGATTTTATTTTTCATTTCATTGTAAAATTCAATTTGTAAAAACTTTGATCTGGACAGAATATAGGCAGAATCCCATTGGATGAAGTAGTATGTCCTACCTATTTTTTTTTTTTTTTCCCTAATGGCTCTTTTGCATAAAATCTTCTATTTATTTGAGTAATTCTCACCACACAAGTTACCTTTGGGGAAGGTAACTTCACACATTCAAAGAAGACCTGGGCCAGGCATGGTATTTCACTCCTGTAATGCCAACACTTTGGGAGGCCAAGGCGGGTGGATCACTTGAGCCCAGGAGTTTGAGACCAGCCTGAGCAACATGGCGAAATCCTGTCTTTACAAAATACAAAAAAATTAGCTAGACATGGTGGCATGCCCTTGTAGTCCTAGCTACTCGGAAGCCTGAGGTAAGAGGATCGTGTTAGCCCAGGAGGTCAAGACTGCAGTCCACTGCACCCAGCGTGGTTGACAGAGCAGGACCTTGTCTCAAGAAAGAAACCCCAGAGTAAGACCTGATGTAGGCTTTTGTGGTTTTAATAAAGAGAAATTGCCTACTTTTATTAGTTAAATGTAGAAGTGAGTATACAGGGAAGAAGTAAGTCTAACTGTGTACACCTTTCTCAACCACAGCCCTGCCATTTTTCAATCTAAGGACATCCAGCCTCCCTGGGCCATTCTACATGAAGTAGGATCCCCTGTTATACCATAGCCAGTGGCCCAGAAGATAAGCAAAGGGTGATACTTTGTCTTCCCCTTTAACTGTACAGTGAGAGGTAGGAGTGGGTTGGGGAAAGTCCAAAAGGAAAAGAGAAAAAGAGAGGAGTGCGATCCAAACAGTTAAGTACTACCACAAATTATCTCTCATATAATGAGTTTACTCAGAACCATTCCTAATTCATGTAAACCAGTAATCAAGGTGTGAGAGGGCAAGGTAAATGAAGTTGTTATGGTAGTGAAGGACGGGGTAGATTGTGAAATACAAACTTAAAAAAAAATCTGTTGTTACCACCATGTGTATTTTAAGAAACAGCTCTAGTATCATTTCTATAAAGCATTCTCTGACACAAAGACACACCCTTGCCCATCTTCTCACATCACCAATTTCCTGGTATCCAGCTCTACTCAAGTATGGTAAGGCTCCTGTCTTATGTTCTTATTTGTGTGCTTCCCTGCCCTACTAGGCATGTTCCTTGAAGGCGTGGACTTAACTTTTATATCTACAGTGCTTGTCACATAAGAAGCACTCTAAGAAGAGTAGACCTTGAACCTGTTAACAGAACCATTACTGTTCACTATGGAAGAATCAGAATACATGCCCTGCATTTAAAAAATCAACCTGTAGTTCACAACAGCTGGTAGTCAGAGGGCTAGGCCCTAGGCTCAATAGTCAGACTTAATAGATAGCACTGATTTTTATTAATTTGACCGATTTAGACATTTCAGAGGCATTAGCAAATATGTGATTAGGGTATTCATTAAATTTTAGCTGCAGGATTTCGTTACAGCAGTTTTTTCTCTAAAGGACTGCTGTGGTTAATGATCTGTCAGCATTTCCATTATAACCATCACTGTTAAAGAATATTTTTGCTGTTTCAGCTATCTCCATTTGAAAGTTGGCAGTTTCTAAGCACAGAATTAGTTTTTGAAAATGTATTAGGCTGAATGTTAAATGGAATTGGCCCTTACTTTTCCCATTTTTGTGTTTTGGAACACTGAGCATCTTTCCACACACTGCTCCAACCACCCTGAATTATAATCACATTTGCTCTTGCTTGAAAGTTAATAGAGCTTCAGTCATCCTTCTTGTTCCTAAGTTCCAAAGTATTGTATATTCCTGTGTCCTGTGTTCAGTCACGTCCCACTTTCTACTGAACCTTGAATAGAAAAATGTGTATCAGTAAAGCCCTTTAGATCTGAAGCTTGGTAATTGATATAGAAATAAATTGTTTTTTTTTTTTCTTTCTGAGATGGAGTCTCGCTCTGTCACCCAGGCTGGCGTGCAGTGGCACCATCTCAGCTCGCTGCAACCTCCGCCTCCCAGGTTCAAGTGATTCTCCTGCCTCAGCCTCCCGAGTAGCTGGGATCATAGGCATGCACCACCATGCCAGGCTAATTTTGTATTTTTAGTAGAGACAGGGTTTTGCCATGTTCATCAGGCTGGTGTCAAACTCCTGACCTCAAGTGATTCGCCCACCTCGGCCTCCCAAAGTGCTGGGATTACAGGAGTGAGTCATCACCCCCGGCCAATAAGTTGGTTTTGTTTTTTTGCTTTTGTTTTTGTTTTTGTTTTTGTTTTTGTTTTGAGACAGAGTTTGCTCTTGTTGCCCAGGCTGGAATGCAATGGCGGGATCTCGGCTCACCGCAACCTCCGCCTCCCAGGTTCAAGCGATTCTCCTGTCTCACTTTCCCTGGTAGCTGGGTTTACAGGCATGTGCCACCATGCCAGGCTAATTTTGTATTTTTTTAGTAGAGACAGGGTTTCTCCTTGTTGGTCAGGCTGGTCTCAAATGCCTGACCTCAGGTGATCCACCCACCTTGGCCTCCCAATGTGCTGGGATTACAGGCATGAGCCACTGCATCCAGCCATAAATTGGTTTTTAAAGTAATAAAACTAATGTTCCTCTT
Source organism: Homo sapiens (assembly GCF_000001405.40). Taxonomy (NCBI): domain Eukaryota; kingdom Metazoa; phylum Chordata; class Mammalia; order Primates; family Hominidae; genus Homo; species Homo sapiens. The sequence goes on along the minus strand of NC_000006.12, from coordinate 87,542,979 downwards.
TTTTTTTTTTATTATTTTATACTTTAAGTTCTAGGGTACATGTGCACAACGTGCAGGTTTGTTACATATGTATACATGTGCCATGTTGGTGTGCTGCACCCATTAACTCGTCATTTAACATTAGGTATATCTCCTAATGCTATCCCTCCCGCCTCCCAACTAATATTCCTCTTAACCCAGGCTGCATATATCCTTTCTAACGGAAGTTATGATCATCTTTATGCAGAATATCTTGAGTCTACATACTCCCAGACTGTACTAGGAATTTTGATATGTAGTTTACCAACCTCAGTTTTTGGTGTTTGGGTTTTTTTTTTTCTTTTTTTTTTTAGGTTCAAATTAACACTATCCCTGAACTCTGAATTTATCATCAAAGACTAAAAAATTATACACAGTCAAATTAAAGATTTTTGTTGCTTGGCTACCTTGAACCTGAGAAATAATCAAGGATGTTCCAAGTTTTACCTTGCTGTTTTCCTCCAATTTTGTTTAAGAACTAATATAACAACAAAACCATTGCTGTCTTCGCATTAATGCCTACAAGTTTAAAAAGAAAGTTTGAAAACAGTTTCCATCAGTTTTTTTAATAAATTTTGAGTGCCTAGTGTCTAGCTTCATGATGTCACTTCAACAGAGTAGATGCTTAATAAATGTTTATTTTTTAATGTCTGCTAGGGTGGTGTTCAGCACTGTTAGTACAAAGATAAATTAGTCCTAGACTTTACCTTTGATGAGCTCATAACCTATTGGTTTCTGTGAGCTTAATTTCAGTGATCTATTCAGTATGTTGAATTTATGATTAAATATATTGAATTTGACTTGTGTCAGATTATGGGGTCATAGAAGGTAAAAGTGTGTTTTGTAATACTTCTCAGGATACATAATATGACAGGTTGGTCTTTTTATAGAATTATACCTATTCCCTGTCATGCCTATTCTCTGTTGTTCAACTTTATAATTTTTCATTTACGGATTATCATGGTAGGTCTTCTGGGAACTGGCTTCCAGCTGTTTGGCTATGAGGAAAAACTGCAGTCCAATCCTCTACAGCATCTCTTTGAAGTAAGTTGGCAAGAAAACATTTCAAAAATTTTTCAGAGTACTATGTAGCTTAGTAACATGTTTTTAATCCCAGAGGTTTATTTTTCTTTATTTTGAGACAGGGTCTCGCTCTGTTGCCCAGGCTGGAGTGCAGTGGTGCAATCTCAGCTCACTGCAACCTCTGCCTCCTGGGTTCAAGCAATTCTCATGCCTCAGCCTCCCAAGTAGCTGGGACTACAGGCGTATGCCACCATAACCAGCTAATTTTTGTATTTTTAGTAGAGATGGGGTTTCTCCATGTTGGCCAGGCAGGTCTCAAACTCCTGACCTCAGGTAATCCACCCACCTTGGCCTCCCAAAGTGCTGGGATTACAGGCGTGAGTCACCACGCCCAGCCTCCAGAGGTTTAAAAAATATGTTCTTTAAAACAAGGAACCAAAACATAATTGAAAATGTTGCTTTTGGCTGGGCACAGTGACTCACACTTGCATCCCAGCACTTTGGGAGGCCAAGGCAGGAGGATTGCTTGACACCAGGAGTTCAAGACCAGTTTGGGCAACATAATGAGACCTGGCCTCTATAAAGTAATAAAATATTAGCCAGGCACAGTGGCCTGTGCCTGTAGTCCTAGTTACTGGGGAGACTGAGGCAGGAGGATTGCTAGACCCCAGGGGTTCAAGGCTACAGTGAGCTGTAGTCATGACACTGCACTCCAGCCTGGACAACAGAGCAAGACCCTGTCTCAGAAAGAAAGAAAATGTTGCACTTATTTTACTAGGTTATTTTTATTTCCTAATCTAAGATTTTTTAAATGTCCTTTTAGTTGATTTGGGACAGTATTTCTTCAGGTATAGAATCTTTTAGAATAAACATGCAAGATAATTATTCGACACAGAAATTTCTCAATTTTCTGTCAGTTAATATGTACTGCAGCTTTTTTCGTGGTAATAACTGTATATCAATTAGACTTGAAAAATGAGTATTTTTGTTCTTTTTCTGGTGTGGGGGACAGCATGTCTATTTCTCTCTGAAATTGTGTGTGCTTTTTCCATTTACATCTTTCACCTCCTTTTCCTGGCTTTTGTCCAAGGTGAATTTCTGCCTACTCTATTTCATTTAGTCCCTTGGATACTTTGCTTCTTTATCTTCAGTTCTTCCTGAAGTTTATTAATAAAGCCCTTCCTGTCCAAACAATCTCCAGGGATGTGTTTCCTTTTTGTTGTCCCTGTTGTTATCTCTGCCGTTTCTGGGCCTCACAGTGGAAACGCGGATACGAAGTCAGCCATATTGGTGACAGATCAGGGGATCAGACTAAACATGTTCTGCTTGTGTGTGAGAAAAAGCACTTGCAAAAATAATGCTTTACTTCTCCAGCTTAAGCCACAGAGGGTGCTTCATCATTTTCCTGTTAACGTGATTTTTTCCTGCAGCTGGCTTTGCAGTTAAATTGAACAAAAACATATTCCAGTTTTTTTTTTTTTTTTTTTTTTTTGAGGAGTCTCACACTGTTGCCTAGGCTGAAGTGCAATGGTGTGATCTTGGCTCACTGCAACCTCTGCCTCCTGGGTTGAAGCAGTTCTGCCTCAGCCTCACGAGTAGCTGGGATTACAGGTGCCCAGCACCACACCCAGCTATTTTTTTTTTGTATTTTTTAGTAGAGACAGGGTTTCACTATGTTGTCCAGGCTGGTCTTGAACTCCTGATCTCATGATCAGCCCACCTCGGCCTCCCAAAGTGCTGGGATTACAGGTGTTAGCCACCGCACCTAGCCCATATTCCAGTTCTTAAAGACCTTTAAAGGTTTGCCATTTTCCCCTGAGTCCATGCCAACACTGCACTCTAAATGACTGCATTTTGATTTATCATGTTAACCAAAAGATTTCTTCTCTCTTTCCCATTAAGAGTTTTATTGATAGGGAGGAATATAAAAATTAATAATTCTTCATGGTTGTCTATAAAGTATGTTCCCTTAGTGCCTGGAGTTTTTACTGTATTTATTTATTTATTTTTACACTTGAATAATTTTACCTCAAGCTTAATCTTTCATGAGATCCAGGCCCACAGATGTTATATGTAAAAATGTTTATTTAGAAATAGCATGCTTGTTCCCCGGTGCCACAAAGAAATAGCACTTGAACATAAATTTAATTATCTCAGCAAGGCCATTTTTACTCTCTGCAGAAAGGGTACACTCGCCAGCAGTTTTGCCACGAGAGTATACCGAACAAAGGAGACAGGGTCATTTATAACTTGACACATCCACCTTACTGCTGTGTCTGGTTTCCATTGGCTGGAACGGAACCTCACATTCTGTATTTGTCCCGATTGGCTAGCAACTTTAACTTTTCAAAAGAGGCAAAGGCAGGGGAGAACAAAGGAAGCAGGAAGTAACTTGTGAAATGCTGAGAAAGGTAAAAACACCTCCAAATAAGGAAGAGGAACAGGCTGTCACCTAATGCTTGCTTGGACCAATGTAAGCATGCCAAGGCAGATATTTAGGCTAAATTGTAGGAGCTAAGAACACAAAGTATATTGATTTCTTTATTACGGCTAGCAGATATTTAAGGATGTTATGACAGGTCTTTGAATAAATTTTACTTCTAAGAGAAGTCACTATTTGTCCTTAATTAGACGGGGAGGAAAGTGTCTTTGAAGGGGAACCTCTACTTCACTTTTTACACAGAGACACCCCATGTTGCAGAAAATACAAATACCTGCTTGGAGACCTTGTGTCATTGATTTAGAGTGCAGCATGACATGTGAGAGTTATTCTTTTTATCTTTCTTCTTCCCCACCTCAAAAGTTTTTATTTAATCTTGCAAATAGTAAACCTTTGTCTTCTATGACATTTTATTTTTATCTTTTATTTATTTATTTATTCATTTATTTATTTATTTATTTATGTGAGACAGGATCTTACTCTGTTGCCCAGCCTGGAATATAGTGGCACAATCACGGCTCACTGCAGCCTTGACCTCCCAGGCTCAGGTGATTCTCCCACCTCAGCAACCCAAGTAGCTAGGACTACAAGCACACACCAGCACACCCAACTAATTTTTTGATTTTTTATAGAGACAGGGTCTCCCTATGTTGCCCAGGCTGGTCTCAAACTCTTGGGCTCAAACAGTCCTCCTGCCTCAAACTCCCAAAGTGCTGGGATTATAGGTGTGAGCCACCACACCCAACCTATTTTTTAATTTTTTAAATAACAATAGGGTCTTGCTATGCTGTCCAGGCAGGTCTCAAACTCCTAGCTTCAAGTGATCCTCCCACCTCAGCCTCCCAAAGTATTGGAATTACAGACATGAGCCACTGTGCCTAGCCATATATAGGTGTAGGTTTTGTGGGTTTTTTTGTGGAGGTGAAGTCTCACTGTTGCTGAGGCTGTACAATATTTTAAATATTTCAGGGGAATCTGTCTTCAAACTCCACAGAAACCTAAGAATATATTTCTTTCTATGCAGTTTAATATAATTTCCTGCCTTTAGAGACTCAAAAATAGTGGAAGATCAACATCTATGTTAGAGGTTATTTACTGATGGGTACACATATGGAAGGAATAAGGGCAATAAGGTACTTCTGTGAATAACTAAAAAGTCGAATAATAATGGTGTTGCTTTCATTAGTGTTCTTTTGCCGAATAGATTCACTGGGAAACTGCATTTAAAGACAAAAGAAGGCAAGATACACCCACTTTGCTATTTGTAATAGACGACAAGACCATTAGAGTATTCAGTTGCTCTTTTCCTTCTCCTTTTGCAGGACAGAAAATATGCAAAGCCTAAAATGGCAGCCTACAGGTTATTATATATGCAAATTTTATAGACTCTGTTTTCATTTTAAAATTACATTTGTCACTTTGGATTACTTTCAAAAACAACTGTTAGCATAAATGAGGAATTTTTTTGAGCTTTAAGCAAATGTTGATGTTATTCTGTTTCTAAAAGAAAATCTGAATGTCAACAACTCAATTTATTTAATAATTGAAAGATGCCTTTGCTTGCCCTGCAATGTCACAAATAGCGTAGGTGGTAATACAGAGACTCTGCCCCATCGTTATTTCTGGTCACCAGAAAGGTGACCAGAAAGTCAGAGATCGTGATTCTATGCTTGGAAAGTGCTTGGTGTATTGGTAAATAATGTTGGCTGATTTATTCGAAGGAAAACTTTAAGATAATCTGCATTTACTCTTTCTTATTTGTGAAAATCTGTTTTCTCAAAGCTTTGATGGAACCCTTGTTTTTTTTCCATATCAAGTTGTAGTTAGTAGTGAGCTCTTTGAGAGGAAGGACCATGTCTTCCTTACCTTCCTTATCCACAACCCTAAATATTATGGCTTGCAGTAAATGCCTGAATGAATTTGCTTTTATAGTTCTCTTTTGCCCCCTTTTCTAATTATATATAATTTGTGGAATATAAAATGTATTGTTTGTCCAGGAAATAAGTAACTATTATAGGATACACTAATTACCATTTGTCAGAATTTAACTTACTTTGTTAACATAGTTTACTGCAGAGGAAACCACAGGCCAAACCCAGGATTCCGGCACAGGTAGTCTGGCTCCTGAGTGCTCTATGCAGTGAATGTCCCCACACCCCCACTATAGAATGGCTTTATGAACCATTGATTTCCATTGGTTTAATTATGTACATAGAATTTTCCTTTCTTTCATCCCTTGAGTTGCTATACCAGGGACACAATTAGTAGTTTAGTTTTGGCACTTTCAACCTTCTGGCATATTTGTTTTGAATTTGGCATAGGCCATCCAGTAGCAGATTTTATGGCCTGCCTTCCTCTAAATTGAACTATGATCAGTATTCTCTAAATTGCACTATAATCAGTATTAGTATATTCAGTTTCTCAGCTAGCTTGGAAATGATATTGTATGATAGTTTCAGAATTTCTTTGATGAAAATATTTAACACCCACAGTCATTTATTGCATTTCCATTTTGGTGCATATGCTTCACTAGTGGTTTTTCTCTGTACCTTATAGCATTCTTTTCCCATGACATCTAGCTGTTTTGTACGTGGGACCTAGGATTTTGTTGGCAAGCATTTGAAACTTTTTCTTTAATTATTCTAATTTGGTTTTTTTGGTTACAAAACAGGGAAGTAGTTTTGTTATAGTTCCTCTTCCCTTGTGAATTGGCTGTTAAATAACTAATATATTTTTTTTATTTAGAATTCACATTAGTGATTCAGGAAAACATTTGCAATAAGCTTTAGACAATATATCAAAAAGCCTTTCCACTTATATTGAAAAGTAATTTCTTTTTTTTTCTTTCTTTTTTTTTTTTTCGTGATGGGGTCTTGCCCTGTTGCCCAGGCTGGAGTGCAGTGGCGTGATCTCAGCTCACTGCAACCTCTGCCTCCCGGGTTCAAATGATTCTCCTGCCTCAGCCTCCTGAGTAGCTGGGATTACAGGTGTGCACTACCACGCCCAGCTAATTTTTTTGTATTTTTGCTAGAGACGGGGTTTCACCATGTTGGCCAGGCTGGTCTCAAACTCCTGACCTTGTGATCCGCCCACCTTGGCCTCACAAAATGCTGGGATTACAGGTGTGAGCCACCACGCCCAGGCAAAAAGTAATTTCTTATGGTAAAAGTTAACAAGTGTTAAATCTGAATCATGGATATGAGGGTGTCATCATTTACTTTTACCTATTTAAATAATACTTTTAAAGGTAACTTATCAGGCTTCCTTTTAGATTTAAATTATTTGAATAGACTTTATTATCTAACAGTATCTCTAAGCATATTAACCTTTTTTTTTGCTATAGAAGGTTTTATTAATAGAACTTGACTCATTGCATATTGCCTATTAATATGGCTTTTGTAACCATAGCCATTCTTATGAAATGTAAGGGCAGCCTCTTATAAGAGATAAATATCATGCCAATAAAATATGGATTAGCCTGTATCCTAGCACTGACATTAAAAAAGGTTACATAGGCCAGGTGCAGTGGCTCACACCTGCAATCCTAGCACTTTGGGAGGCTGAGGCAGGTGGATTGCCTGAGCTCAAAAGTTTGAGACCAGCCTCAGCAACGTGGCAAAACTGCATCTCTACTTAAAAAAAAAAATACAAATAATTAGCTGGGCATGGTGATGCATGCTTGTAATCCCAGCTACTCAGGAGGCCGAGGGACGAGAATCGCTTGAACCCAGGAGGTGGAGGTTGCAGTGAGCTGAGATCACACCACTGCACTCCAGCCTGGGCAACAGAGCGAGACTCTGTCTCAAAAAAAAAAAAAAAAAACAAAACAGTTACATAATAACACAAATAGTATAAAAATTTCTTTAAGTTCAAAATGGCCTCCAAAGGTTCTATTTCAGTATTTCTACCTTGCCCCTTTCTAGCAGGATTTAAGGTAATTACAGTGATGGGCATTTAATAAAAGAAAAATAGTGAGGGGTTAGTGTATCACTAGATAATTTACGTAATAGTTTTGACCCTGAGCTTCCCCATATCAGTAGGCAAAAAAAAATTTTTTTAAATAGGACAAGATCAAAGCACCGATTCAATGAGTGATAATGTTTACTTGCTCTCATTTTTAAAAACATGGAATTAGTATCTATTCCTCAAGACACAATGTTTTTCCTAACTTTAGAGTCTCCAATTTCTCAACTTTAAGTAAATAATTCAAGACTAAATTCTCATCATATGTAGGGATATTTATGCAGTTGAAGTTTTTATTTTATGAAAAATTGCGTTCAAGATTTCATCATTGTTTTAAGTTACATTTCTTTTTCCAGGGAATGTTACTGTTATGGCTAGTATGAATTTTGTTCCTTAATAACATTTATATGTAAGAAATAGTTTTTAAATGATAAGAAAATCTGATTCCAGCTATCACTTGTAAGAGTCAGTGTAAGTCATTGAATTTCCCACCTACTAAATCATGCAAAGTTCCCCAGGCTCTTATGTGTCTCCTAGGACAGTCCTAGAGGACTCTTCTTGTCTTCAGTGCACACTGGTCTCTTACATGTTTAGTATCCCAGCCTGTGTGATGCTTGGAGGCATGCAGCTCTTCTTGTGTGACAAACATTAGCTGGTGGTCCTTGCCCTGTCCACAGGTCTAGAGACAAGATCGCTATGTAGACACACCGTGAACCATTTCCCACTGTGGGCCTGCACCACCCCAGGGGCTTCCTAGCTTCTGCTCTTCTGGAAGTCTTCCCCATCTCCTCCCCATTCCAGGTAATTCTCCTTTCCTCTATCCTGGCAGTTTCTCCACTTGGCCATTGCTCCCTGCTGTCCCTTCCCAACACTGCTTGCTTTTCTACTCTCTCTCTGCTTATTTGGGACAGCACTACAGTGTGTCATTGTCCTCTTAGTCTTCCTCTTAGAATGAGTTTTGAAATACCTAGCAAGAACAAAGTACACATTAATAGCTGAGTAAATATCTGACACCATTGAAATGTGCAAAAAATACTTTTATCAGCATGAGAAATGTTAACATTTATTAGGTGCTTGTGTGTGGTGCTCTACAAGGAGTTAATAATTATCATCCCTGAATAAAGATGTAAGATATAATGAATGTGGTTATGTATATACATAGAGTAAAAGTAGGAGATTCTAAATATGAAAAGATTAATGGAAGGTGAAATACAGTTTATATCCTACTACTAATGTATTAAGGAGGAGAAATTTGATAACTCATGAAATAGCTCAAGTTAGTTATTTTTTTACCTACCACATTTTGGCTTTATTATTAACTGTTTGCAGTATTGATACATTCAATTTTAATTATATAAACACATTTGAATGTCTTTAATTTTTCATTTCATGTTCGGAATCAACTAGCAGCTAAGAAATTTCTGATCAGTGAAACAGCATTAAACATAATGAAGTTGTTCAAATTATAATCATGAATATTTTTACATGTTCTTTTCTAAACTAGGTAAAAATTCAGTGCATTTTAAGATGACATAAATATATGAAAAAAGGGTCTGTGGTTTCTAAGTTTTGCTAACCATCCTTAGCAGTTATTCTCAGTATTTCTAAGATAAGCATGGCTAGAAGTGGGGTTAGAGCCCCACATCAAGGAGTTAAACTGTGCCCATGTGGCTAATGGTATTCTAGGATCAAATTTAAAGGGATAAGAAAGGCTTATCATACTACTTTTAATTTTCATGCTTAGTTCTTTATATTTGGGCAGATCAGCCCAAGAGCTTACTGTAATTATCTGAGTTAAATTCAAAATAAAATGTTACGCTATTTGGCAGGCCCAACATCTAGAAATAGTGAAAAGGGAATGTTAATTTTTTTTAAGGAAGTCTGAGACATTTAGTTTATTCCCTAAAGGAAACACAACTGGTTTTTGTGTTTTCTTCTAAGAGAAAAATTGTGTTTCCATCCTCAAAAACTTTACTAAGCCATGCTGCCTTATTATGAAGCCCAAATTTAAAATTGCCTTTTTATCTCTTTGTGTCTAAATTTAGCCTTAAAAGGAAGATATCTTCAAAATGCGTACTTTCCAAGGGTTAATTAAAAAGGTACATGGTAACTGTTTAGTTTTATATTGTGCATTTATAGGTATATTGGGAAGTGCTTATTAAAGCTCTTCTCTTTGATAGTGTCAGTTGATTTTCACTAATGTTTGTTTTATAAGTACATATTGCGGAAATACTAAGAATATTCACGTTTTAAGGGCTTTTTGTTTTAATTATTTCTATTTTTTAAGAAAGAGAAGATTCTGGTGAAGTTTTTTCTAAAATAGTCATATCATAATGCATAATAGATTTTTAAATGTTTGGTTATTTGAGTTTAAAGTCCTAGATTTAAAAACAAAGAAACTTCACCCTGAAGAAAGGCTTTATGAAAAAAAAAAGAAACTAAACTCTTTTGTGAAAATAAAGACATTTTGCATGTGTTTGCTTATAACTTGTGTGCACATGTATGTATGTGTGTGAGATAGAATCAGAAACCACTTGTGAATATATATTTATGTTTTTAACATCTGTATACTGGACCGTTAAGCAGTTGTCAATGGCTGTGTCATTCAAAAGTCAAGAAGTCCGCAGTTTACTATCTTATGGGGACCCTTTTTGTTTTCCCATACTTTACCAAAGTCTTCTTTGTTTTCTAACTGACATTGTATGTGTTGTTCTGGACTTACTAATAGGACTACATAAACATCACCTTTTTATGATGTGTCAGGTATCCTAAGACCACTCCTCCCCCCGATTCTGTGATTCACGCAGAGGACTCACAGAACTCAGCATAGTCTTACTTGTGGCTATGATTTATTACAGTGAAGGGATACAAAGCAAAATCAGCAGAGGGAAAAGGCATATATGGGGTAAAGTCCAGAGGAAACCAGGCTTTCCAGACTCCCAAATTTTCCCAGTGGAGTCACACAAGGTGCACATACTTCCAGCAGCAAATTATGAGAATACATGTGAAATGTCCACTGGCAAAAGTTCATTAGATACCCTGTGTCCAAGGTTTTTATTGAGAGTTGGTCATGTAGGTACCCTCTGCTTAGAATGTCCTAAATCCCAAACTCCCAGAAGGAAAGCAGAAGTTCAGCCTAAGCTGTACTGTTTGCATCCACAGTGTAGGCACAATGACCACTTTTATCAGTTAAGTTGGTGGAGACATTCCCAAAAATCTAAGTTAATAGATGCCAGCCAGTGGCCAACCTTGCAAGCAGGATGTTTTAAATATAACAGTATCAGACCTGCTAGTTAACTCTTTTCTAGGGGGAAAAAAAAAGGTAATTTTAACTTTATTTAGCAGTATTTATTTATTTAAGTCTGTCATTCCAGTAATTAACATAGATCATCTATGAAAGGTGAAACGTTTTTACCTTGAGAGATGTTTAATGCCCTGTCCCATTTGTTGGTAGTATCTAGTGGGTATAAGCCAATGTGTCCTCCAGCAATAAAATCATTTTTTCCTATCCAAATACTGCTGTCCGGATGTTTTGATAATAACATTGTAAGGGTTTAGAAGCCTTATTTTTTCATAGTTTATTCACCAATTTTTATTGCTTTCATGAGACTTTAATAGCTTTCTGGAAATAATATAGTAAAGTTATCATTGATGTTTCAACCTGCAGGTGAGTTACAATTTGTAAATATTTGTCCATATGTATAACTTCAGTACTACTTGAACTATAATATTAATATTTTAATGTCATTTATTAACATTATATTTTGGAGACTGAAAAATGATTGAAACTACATTGGGAACACAGATTCCTAGAGCTGGAAGAGTAAGCCTGAGCCCTTAATAAACCATCAACTCCACCCTAGTTCTTGGCTGAGTATGGAACTAAACCAGCTAAGACAGGTGATGCAAAATAAAACTCCAGAAGAGGTGCTCAACACAGTTTTTAGGATCTTAAGTTTAGAGTATAATTATACTAACTATCCAAAAGCAGTCCTTTTTACCAAGATCACCTATTGTATTGGTCTTTACACAGTAAGCTATTTAGAGAACAGTTTTAAAATCTTTGATTAAAACAAATGCTAAATCATCCGTTAGCTGTTTCTTTGCCAGATCGAGCCATCCTACTTTATTCAACCTTTTTCAGCGAAGTTACAGGATAATAATATGGCATTTTGAAAAATAACAGAAGAAATGCCAGTTTAGTCTTAAATAGGTATTCTTACCCTGGGGATCTGTGGATTTAGTTGGAAAGAAAAAATTATACTTTGTTTTCCCTGACCTCTCTCGGAAATTGAGTATTTTCCTCCATTACTATATCACAAATTAATTTTTGGCTATTTGGTTATTTCAGAGTAATTCTTTTCTTTGTAACCCTGTGTATTTTATTTTATGAATTTAGAAACATTTTGAGAAGGGGTCTATATGCTTCACCAGGGGCCCATGGCAAAAAAGAAAAAGTTACACTCTGTAATGTACCCAACTTGGAAAATTTTAAATGAGAATTCTCAGAATGTGCTTTTTTTGCTTTCTTTCCGTGTTAGAGATAACAATGACCTGTTATGTACTTCATTTAATGTACTATTGTACTTTTAGGTTTATGTACAAGTTAATAAAGAAGCAGCAGATGATAAAAGTGTAGCAAAAGCAGCACAGGAGTTCTTCCAACGATTGGAACTGGGCGATGTGCAAGCACTTTCACTGTGGCAAAAATTTCGGGACTTGAGCATTGAAGAGTACATTCGGGTTTACAAGGTATTGGTTGACCCTCCCTTCTGCTTTCCCATGATGCAGTGCAGCTCTCGGCTGTTACCTGCATAGTAAAGTTGCGTGTTAAGCTTGTGTTTTAAAAATAGATTTGTAGGTGAATTTAAAATTAAGACTCAAATTTTTTTTTTGGGCTGAAAGAACTGCAAAATAATCCTGAAGCAGTGTCAGGTGATATTCTCATACTTCATTTTTATCTGACTTTTCTGTTCTAGCATTCCTTCACTTTTTCATATTTATTTTTTGTTCTTTCACTTCCTTAGGCTGGTATGTGATGGTTAATAAACTGATTCATTTAATAAACATTTGGTGGGTAGGGGATAATACACAACAGCGAATAGAAGAGGAAAACCCTTGTTCTCGCAGACCTTATATTCTAGCCTAGAGACAGCACAAACTAAACAAATTAAAGATAAAGCAAGAAACAACTATGTTTTTATTAAGTGGTTCTAGATGCTAGCTGGGGAGATCAGGTATGGAGTCTTCAGGTGGAACGACAGTTTTGTAAAGAAGCCCGTGTGACTGGAGTAAGTAAGCAAGATGAACGACAGGAGAAGGTTGAAGAGCTAGTAGCATATGGGGCATGATTCTAGGATTTCTCTAGGGCTGTCCAGTGCTTTTTGTGGTAATGGGAATCTTCTGTATCTGTGGCCGTCTCCTTAAGTAGCCACCAACCACATGTGGCTTGAAGGGTGAATAGTGTGACAGAAGAGCTAAATTCTCAATTTTGCTTAATTCCAGTTTAACAGTATAGATTGTCACTTGGGCCTAGTGATTACTGTATTGCACAGCACAGTACCATTGTGAGGACTTGACTGGTATAGTGGAAACTATTAGGAGGTTTGAGAAGAGGAGTGATTTTTTTTTTTTTTTAAACAAAAATAATGAGGTCCTCGCCATCTTGCCCAGGCTGGGCTTGAACTCCTGGGCGCAAGTGATCCTCCTGCCTCAGCCTCCCAAAGTGCTGGGATTATGGGCATGAGCCACCACACTCAGCCCTTGATTTAATTTTTATTGTGTTCATGTGTGTGACAGGTGGTAGAGCATCCTTAATTTTGCCTTAGGGTAAGAATAGGAGATTCAATTAACATTTCTTTGTCTTTTTGTTTCTGAACTCTTTTAGCGTCTGGGAGTATATTTTGATGAATATTCAGGAGAATCATTTTATCGTGAAAAATCTCAAGAGGTCTTAAAGTTGCTGGAGAGTAAAGGACTCCTACTGAAAACAATGTATGATCAGGTTACTATTCTTCAGTAAAATTATTTGTTCTTTGAAATTGTTATTGATGTATCCTTTGAGTAAGGACAACAGAATGCAATGTGCAGCTTTCTTGGGATTTTTTATAGTGCTTTTTCCTGTTCAGAGTACTTTCCCACATTCTGTATTTTGCTTCCATAGCAAAAGCTGTTCAGGCTTGGAGAAAGGATGTTACTTGTTTTTTATAAGGCTGGGAACTGAAGCACAGAAAATATAAGTGACCTACTTAAGGTCATATAACCTGATAATGATATAACTGAAAAAAGGAAATATATCTTATTATCTTCTGATTCAGTTTTACCTTTTAAAAGAAATCCCTGCCTTTTCAAAAAATATTTAAGGCAGTGTGTGAAGATAAGTATACTATAACAGGCTTATAAATGAGGAAAATGATGAAAACAGGAAGTAGGGGCAGGAAAAGTAATATGAAGTCAGAGATGGTGTTAGCATATCCCTCCTAGAATTCTGTTTTCTTGCTTATGTCAGAGTTTTTTCTTTAAAAAAAAAGTTGTAATTGATGAATGACATATTGTATATATTTATGGTGTACAACATGATTTGATATATGCACACTGTGAAATGTTGAAATCAAGTTAATTAACATACCCATCACCTTACGTACTTACCTATGATGAGAACATTTAAAATCTACCCTGTTAGCAGTTTTCAAGTGTACTATGCATTATTGTTAATTATACTCACAATGCTGTACAATAGATCTCCAGAACTTACTCCTCCTGTTTACCTAAAACTTTGTAGCCTTTAACCAACATCTCCCCATTCCCTGCCCTTGGTAACCTCCATTCTACTTCTCTGCTTCTATGATTATAATTTTTTAGATTCCACATGTGAGACTATACAGTATTTGTTTTCTGTGCATCGTTTATTTCACTGAGCATAATGTCCTTTCAGTTTATCCATGTTGTCACAAATGACAGGATTTCCTTTTATTTTAAGGCTGAATATTACCTGTTGTATATTTTAAAGTCTACTCATCTATTAAGGTTGATTCACATCTTGGCTATTGTGAATAATGTTACAATAACCATGGTAGGGCAGATTTCACTTGGACATACTGATTTCATTTTCTGTGGTTGTATACCCAGATGTGAGTTTGCTGGATCATATATATGGATGTTCTGTTTTCTGTTTTTTGAGGAACCTCCACATTGTTTTCCATAATGGCTATACCAACATTCCCACCAACAGTGTACAAGGGTTCCCTTTTATCCACATCATTGCCAACATTTATCTTTTTTTTTTTTTTTTTTGTTATAAAAGCCATCTTAACAAGTGTGAAGAAATATCTTATTGTGGATTGTGGTTTTAATTTTGTATTTCCCTGATGATTAGTGATGTTCAGCACCTTTTCATATACTTGTTAGCCTTTTGTATGCCTTCCTTGGAGAAATGTCTATACGGGTCTTTGGCCCACTTTTTTTTTTTTTTTATGTTCCCAGGCAAATGTACAGGATGTGCAGATTTGTTACGTAGGTTAATGTGTGCCATGGTGATTTGCTGCACCTGGCAACCCATCACCTAAGTGTTAAGCCCAGCATCCATTACCTATTTTTCCTGATGCTCTCCCGCCTCCCCATCCCCCGACAGGCCCCAGTCTGTGTTCTTTCCTTCCTTGTGTCTCTGTGTTCACATTGTTCAACTCCCACTTATAAGTGAGAATATGTGGTATTTGGTTTTCTGTTCCTGCATTAGTTTACTGAGAATAATGGCTTCTTTGGCCCACTTTTTAGTTGGGTTTTTTTTTGGTAGTGGTGGTGTTGGTTTGGTTTAGTTTTTTTGTTGTTGTTTTTCCATTGAGTTGAGTTCCTTATATATTTTCACATTAACCCCTTACCAGATACATGTTTTCCACGTATTTTCTTTAATCCTCTAGGTTGTCTCTTCATTTTGTTGATTGTTTTCTTTGCTGTGCAGAAGCTTTTTTAGTTTTATGCAATCCCATCTGTGTATTTTTTGCTTTTGTTGCCTATGCTTTGAGGACTAGCTCCAAGAAATCTTTGCCAAGGCTTCAGTGTTTTCCTCTAATAGTTTTACAGCTCAGGTCTTAGATTTGTCTTTAATCCACTTTGAATTGACTTTTGTACATGGTGAGAGATAGGGATCTAGTTTTATTCTTCTGCATATGGATATGCAGTTTTCTCAGTGTCATTTATTGAAGAGACTGTCCTTTCCTTTTTATTTTTTTGAGACGGGGTCTCACTGTATCACCAGGCTGGAGTGCAGTGGCATGATCTTGGCTCAGTGCAACCACTGCCTCCCAGGTTCAAGCGAATCTCCTGCCTCAGCCTCCCAAGTAGCTGGGATTACAAGCGCGTGCCACCATACCCAGCTAATTTTTGTATTTTCAGTAGAGACGGGGTTTCACCGTGTTGGCCAGGATGATCTCAATCTCCTGACCTCCTGATCTACCCGCTTTGGCCTCCCAAAGTGCTAGGATTACAGGCGTGAGCCACTGTGCCTGGCCGAGACTGTCCCTTTCTTATTGTGTTATTTTGGCACCTTTGTCAAAAATCAGTTGACCTGGCTGGGCATGGTGGCTCACGCCTGTAATCCCAGCACTTTGGGAGGCTGAGGTGGGCGGATCACCTGAGGTTGGGAGTTCAAGACCAGCCTGACCAACATGGAGAAACCCCATCTCTACTAAAAATACAAAAATTAGCTGGGTGTGGTGGGGCATGCCTGTAATCCCAGCTACTTGGGAGGCTCAGGCAGGAGAATCACTTGAACCCGGGAGGCAGAGGTTGCGGTGAGCCACGATTGAGCCATTGCACTCCAACCTGGGCAATAAGAGTGAAATTCCATCTCAAAAAAAAAAAAAAATTCAGTTGACCATAAATGTGTGAATTTGTATCTAGGCTCTCTATTCTATTCCATTGGTCCTATGTTTTTGTCTAGTATGATGCTGTTTTGATTACTATAGTTTGTAGTAGATGTTGAGATTAGGTAGTGCGATGCCTCTAGCTTTGTTTTTTTTTTTAAGACAGGGTCTGGCTTTGTTATCCAGGCTGTAGTGCATTGGTGCTTTCTTGGCTCACTACAACCTCCACCTCCAGGTTCAACCTATTCTCCTGCCTTAGCCTCCCAAGTAGCTGGGATTACAGGCATGTGCCACCACACCCAGCTAATTTTTGTATTTCTTAGTAGAGATGGAGTTTCACCATGTTGCCCAGGCTGGTCTTGAACTCTTGGCTTCAAGTGATCCACTTGCCTTGGCCCCCCAAAGTGCTGGGATTATAGACGTGAGCCACCACAGCTGGCCCAACTTTATTCTTTTTGCTCAATATTGCTTTGGGTATTTGGAGGTTTTTTGTGGTTCCATATGAATTTTATGATTGATTTTTCTATTTCTGTGAAAAATGTCATTGGAATTTTGGTAGGGATTGCATTGAATCTGTAGATTGCTTTTGGTGGTGTGGACATTTTTTAAATATTGATTTTTCCAATCCATTAATACAGGATATCTTTCCATTTATCTGTGTTTTGATTTCTTTCATCAGTGTTATATAGTTTTCAGTGTACAGATATTTTACCTCCTTGGTTAAATTTATTCCTATTTTAATTTTGTTGATGTTATTATAAATGGGATTTTTTTTTAAATTTCTTTTTCAGATAGTTTGTTGTTGTGTATAGAAATGCTACTGATATTTGGCTGGGCGCGGTGGCTCACGCCTGTAATCCCAGCACTTTGGGAGGCCGGGGGCGCGGATCACATGAGGTCAGGAGTTCGAGACCAGCCTGGCCAACATAGTGAAAACCTGTCTCTACTAAAAACACAAAAATTAACTGGACGTGGTGGCGCGCGCCTAATTCCAGCTACTTGAGAGGCTGAAGCAGGAGAATTGCTTGAACCCAGGAGGCAGAGGTTGCAATGAGCTGAGATCGTGCCACTGCACCACTCCAGCCTGGGCAACAAAGTGAGACTCCGTCTCAAAAAAAAAAAAAAGAAAAAAAGGCTACTGATTTTCATATGTTGATTTTCTATACTGCAACTTTATGAAATTCATTTATTCTAACAGTTTTTGGCGGATTCTTCAGGGTTTTCCATTTATAAGATCATATTCAGAGTTTTCTATTTATAAGATCATATTGAAAAAAAAAGATTATGTTGCCTGCAGAGACAATTTAACTTCTTTTCCAATTTGGATGCCTTTAATTTTGTTTCTTGCCTAATTGTTTTCTAATTTAGCTTTTAGCTTCCTGTCAGCTAAACAGAGAAATAGCAGTGAAAGAAGCCCAGACCTCTATAATGTAGAGGCAAACCAATTGCTTAAGAGACATGTCACTTTTCATAGTACCAAAGCAAACTTTCTCCTGTCATATTTGTAAGGAAGATGTGAAACATAGTTAATAGCATCCTCGGTAATGTCCTTAAGGAAAATTTTTAGATTGTCATATACAGATTCCAAATTTTGGTCATACAGGAAAGACAAAAATCTGTAGTTTTAATACTTGGGTACTTTGTGGCATGTTAAAAATTATCCCAATATTGAATGTTATAATACCATGAATTAGAAGGAGAATGTGTGACATTTCATAGTTACAATGCAGCTGCATCTCATTTTTCAACTGGGTATATTAAAGAATTTATCTCTGAGTACCTTATCCAGAGCTACAGATTTAAAAGCTAAGATAACCAAATATTAATTACATCATACCCATTCATAAGAGATTCTTGGTCATATTCTTGTTTTTTTCCATTGTTGATTAAAGCTTGAATTGGCACTGCTCATTGCAACGTGGGTAATAAAAATAGCTTCTGGTTTGCTAATGTTTTAGATATTAAAATTTTAAAGGTCTGAATTTATTATGTTGCTTCAGAGTTACCTTTTCGAATTTCTAGAAAAGGAACGGCTGTAGTAGATCTCTCTGGGAATGGCGACCCCTCCTCAATTTGTACTGTAATGCGAAGTGATGGGACTTCTCTCTATGCAACCAGGTTTGTAGCCTCTGTGAGGGTCAACATTTGGTTCTAAATCTGTTGCTTTCAGATGAAACACTATGTACAATTAATTATGCATTATCGGATTCCACAGCTGATGACATTATTCTATAAACTGTAAAACTGAAGTACTTCATAATCAACTAAAAGTATTTTACAATGGCACGTTGGCAGGAAATGTATACTAAAAGATGACCATATTAGCTCAGGGGTTTCCTTATGCTGTAAAGAACATCTTACATGCACATAAATACCAGAACTCATTGGGATTTGGTAAAGCAGGCTGAGGGAGAAAGCAGCCATGTCACATTTTTTTTTCCCATCCATCTCTGTGACTGACCTTTGTGGAAGGGCCAATCTCTGTTCATCAGTAAGAAGTGGGTTTATCAGCACCTTTATTTCTGGGACAAAGCTAATAGGAAAGAGAAGCACTGCTGGCAAAAGTGTCTCCCAGGCCAGAATTTTATATTAGGTCACAAATCACTTTTGTAACACAAAGTCATGATACTTTGTTGTTTTATATTAACTACCATAATTTGTTCCAAACAACTTTAAGCAACCAATTAAGTCTTTTAACTTCCCCTTAGGAAATTCATCTCTTACCTTCTATTACTTTTCGACATTTCCCTTTACCATTTCTATGCAATTGGGATTAGGAAGTGAGAAGAGCTTATATATCTAAGAGGTACATTATTTTTCTAGATAAGCAAATATATATATTAGAAAAGTTTTTTGTATCAACTAATTATTGCTAGATAGATTAAGTAAATAAACTATTGCACAGTGGTTATAAGAAGTATCCATTGAGAACAGAGGCTCTGTAACTATCCGGGTCTGGTTAGTGTCTTTTTTGGGTTATCATTAGGTGTCAGTTTTTCAACACCTATATTTTTCTTTGGAAAAAGAAACATCCCGTCAGAAAAGGGGCCCTATGACATGAAGTCTCTATAACTATCCTAATTTGGTGTTTTTTCAGGCTGTCATTAGATGTAGACTTTTCTGTGTATTTACCTTAACACCTGTACTTTCTCTTTTTTCTTTGAAAATAATTGTCTTTTTGCCACTTATTGAAATGTTTGATTTTTTCACTTTGCTTTAATGTCAGTTGCTTCTGCCTTCTAATGGGTTTCTTATAGAATACCTTTGTGTGGGGGATGTAAATGAAAGTTGTTATAGCAGACAAAACTGCAGGAGAATACTGAAAAGAACAGAGTGTGAGGCTGGAGACCTGGGACTGTCGTTTAACTCTCTGGGCCATGATTCTCTACTTTGTGAAATGAGAGATCTGGACTAAATGACCTAGCACGTCTTCTGGCTTTGAAATTCAGTTTCTACAAACTCAACCTAGAAATTTTTCTTATTCTTTTTTGTTTTTTGATTGAATCAAAAAATTTCCCTTTGTTTTGTCCTTATCTTAAACCAAAAAAATATAACAGGTGTCTATTTGTGACATCATTTTTGTGATAATCTGCTCTACAACTGTTTCTCAACATTTTAAAAATTATAATTCCTCCAAGCAACCTTTTCAGCCATATTTTTCCTAATTGCCAATCCTCATGAAATTTTATCCCACAGATATTCTGTATCTCTGTATATATTGTATACATATCTGTGGTTTATGCATGAAGAATAAGATTTTTTGTTGGCCAGCTGTAGTGGCTCACGCCTGTAATCTTAGAACTTTGGGAAGCCAAAGCAGGAGGATCACTTGAGGCCAGAAGTTTGAAAGCAGCCGGGACAATATAATGAGACCCATCTCTACAAAAAATATGCAGTGGCTCTTGCCTGTATTCTCAGGACTTTGGGAGGACGAGGAGGGTAGATCACCTGAGGCCAGGAGTTTGAAACCAGCCTGGCCAACATGATGATACCCCATTTCTACTAAAAACACAAAAATTAGCCAGTTTTTGCCTTCATTGAGAATGCATGCTCTGTGCAATGTCAGGATCATGAGATAGGTACTAATGACATTTTGATGATCCCTAACATTTTGAAAGATCGAGAAATTTTTTCAGTCTTTCCAGTATCATATATAATCAAAAATAGCTCTAATTTTAAATTTTAATATTTCATAATCCTTGACTTGAAGTTTTGGTTTATGAAATTTTATGGTTTTTCATTATTTCATATGCAAACTAGATATTTGTATCTAATCAGAGATAAAAGAGATAGAAATTCTGTCAAAGGACTTTATGGTCTTTTTTTTTTTTTTTTTTTTTTAATTGAGACGGTGTCTTGCTCTGTTGCTCAGTCTGGAGTGCAGTGGTGCGATCTTCGCTCACTGTAAACTCCACCTCCTAGGTTCAAGCGATTCTCCTGCCTCAGCCTCCTGAATAGCTGGGATTACAGGCGTGCGCCACCACGCCCAGCTAATTTTTGTATTTTTAGTAGAGACGGGGTTTCACCATGTTGGTCAGGCTGGTCTCAAACTCCTGACCTCGTGAACCTCCCGCCTTAGCCTCCCAAAGTGCTTGGGATTACAGGCGTGAGCCGCCACACCTGGCCGACTTTATGGTCTTTTAAATGCGTTAGAAGGTATTCCCCCTGACTGACCCAAGACTTTGAAAGTCCTTAGTAATACTAATAGGAGAGTATCTAGACAATACCTGTTTACTACATCATCTATATTTTAAATATGTTCATTAAGAGAATATATTGCAGAGAAGTAACAGGTGATTCTTTTTAGTAGAGACTTAATCATAAAACATTTATCTACAAGACACTTCACCCAGAGCTATTTTAGTTGTTATTACTACTTGTTGTAGAACTTTTATGTATTAATTTTATTTATTTATATTTATTTTAGGTTTTGCTTTTCCCAGTGTTTTTATTGTTGTTTTTCCCAAACCTATTTTTATCATTTTATATCAAAACATGATATTCGGATTATCTAAGTGTGGGTGGAATTCCTCAGGCTGTGGTATAATTTAAATTCTTAATTAGAAAATGCTCATTGCTATTAAATAGGTAAGACCAATTATTACCCGGATCTGCTTAGTAACTCTTGGTTTATGGCCACTTTGTTTCAGAGATCTTGCAGCTGCTATAGATCGAATGGACAAGTATAATTTTGATACAATGATATATGTGGTAAGTAATCAGAACAAAAAGTTATGATCTCTTAACTCATGAAAACTACAGAGGTAGAAATTGGATGCCATGTTGAAAAACTATGGAAAACTACAGAGAGAAGTCAACATTAAGTATGTTTAAAGTGGGCAACTTCTATTTAAAAGTTTAAACACTTAAAAATGAAAAAGTTTACATTGCTTCATAGTAAGAAAAAATTACCTGAATCAGTAAGATGGTTATGTGAAATTAATATATACAGGTCACTATAATACCAAGTTTTTTTGTTTTTTATTTTTCAATTCTGATTTGGGCTCAACAGTTGTTTTTAAATAACTTTATTTTGAAGTAATTTAATACTCACAAGAAGTTTCAAAATAGTACGGTGTTTCCCCCCAAAGATAGTACATAACCATAGTACTTTTATCAATAGCAGGAAATTAACATTGATAGAGACCTTACTGAAATTTCGCCAGCTTTTACATGTACTCTCCTGTAAATGTTTGTGTGGCTATGGTTTTATGAGACTTTATCACATGTATAGATTCATGTAACCATCACCACATTCAGAATATAGAACTGTTCCATCACAAAACAAACTCCCTCGTGGTCAGCCACTTAATAATCACACCTTCACCCAATCCTAACCCCTGGCAGCCAGTGCTCTGTTCTTCAGCACAATTTTGTCACTCTAAGAATGTTGTATAAATGGAATTATACCATATGTAACCTTTGAGATTGGCTTTTTTCACTCAGTATAATGAATGCCCTGGAGAACTATCCAGGCTGTCCTGTGTGTCAGTAGTTGGTTCCTTTTATTGCTGAGTGGTATTCTAGTATCTTTTCCCCTTTCCTTACTTATCATGTGAAACCTTCCTTTCCACTTAGAAGAAAGTTACCATCAAATATTTATTTAGAGTTTAGCTTTGGTCTCAGAGACCAGGGTCATAATAGCCGAGAGGGCAGAAACTTAAATAGAATACTCAGAAGATTGAAGTTCACATTTCCTACTGACTCGGTGGAGTTGTATGGCTCTTATTTCCCTCCCTTGTAGAGCAGTCCACTTAGACACTCTTCTTGTGGCATCCTCTTTGTGTTTAGTTAAAACATATCAATTGACGACTTTAGTCTGTCAGACCTCAAATATCTTAATTTGATTCAAGTCCAACCTATTTTTATACATTAATTTGTCAGTATTCTTTTATTTTATATATATTTTCTTCCCAAGACAGATAAAGGACAAAAAAAGCATTTTCAGCAAGTATTCCAAATGCTGAAGATCATGGGATATGACTGGGCAGAAAGGTAATGTCTGCATGGTTCTTAATTGTCTGTGCAGGGTCAGCTGAGCCTGAAAATGTACCTAGTGGTTAAAGTTTTTCACTCAGATTTCAATTCTTTGTTTCAAGATACTGGTGTGGAAAGGTAGATTTGATTTTTGTATTATGTCTTGGTTATAATAATTTCCACCTTATAAACATTAAATAACTGTATTTTTACTAGTTATCTGCTCTCAGTGGCTTAGTTTTCAAAATTCTTAATCCACATCTCCTTTTTCTCCTAAAGGCAACTAGTAGTGTAATCACATGCTGGTGATTATAAAGTGAAGCTGTGCTTAACGTCCTTTGTAGCATACAAATCACATCAATTTCATTTTATTAATTTTTAAAAACTCTGCTCTGATGGTTAAAGTTCAAACCACTCTCTGAAAGGTATTATATGCTTTCAGCAGCAGCTCTTGTTTAGCTTTCAGTTAACTAGATGCCCACTCTTTTAGGTGCCAGCACGTGCCCTTTGGAGTAGTACAGGGAATGAAGACTCGAAGAGGAGATGTCACTTTCCTGGAAGATGTTTTAAATGAGATTCAATTAAGGATGCTACAGAACATGGCTTCAATTAAGAGTGAATTCAGTTTTTTCTTATTAAAGTCATAACTTACGTGCCACTTTTATGTTATTCTGGACTTTGGGCAGTGTGATTTATTATGTCTGTCCCTCCATTGAAGTGTCACTAACTTTGTCAAAAATACCTTTCACTAATTAGAGGTGCCAGAATTTTTATACTCGCTACTCAGGAATTGGTCACTTCAATAATCTGAATTACTATAACCTTGGTCCTCTTTTCATGAACAGCTTGAGCACTGACATTCTGTTGTCTAGGTGATTACGTGAAGTTTCTATGTTATAATTTGGATACAAGTCACCAGTCCTTATGACTTTAATTAACCTTCACCCTTGGAAAACTAAGTATCAGATATATATAGATATATATATATACACACACACACACACACACACACATATATATTTATATATATATACACACATACATATATATATATAAAATCAGAAATCCAAATTTATTTTTCCTACAAGTATCTTTTGAATAAATAAATTTGGATTTCTTTCCCTTTAATGTAGGCAGGGGAAATGTCATTATCAAAGGTAAAATAGCCTAAATTAGGCAAGTAATTACTCATTCTGAATCTGTTCTTGATTGTCAGCATACATTTTTGGCAGATGTTACCTTCACTTGGATCCATGATTGGCACAGTGTCATGTAGACTAAAGATAGCTGCCTTTGTCTGTTTCAGCAACTAAAGAACTCAAGAACCCACAAGAGACTGCAGAGAGGGTCGGGCTCGCAGCACTCATTATTCAGGTCTGTTAAGACTCCTACCTGTGAGGCCCTTTTGTTTGGTACTAGAGCAAATCCCAGCAGTGAAGATTTCCTCTGTCGTTTTAGGACTTCAAAGGTTTACTCTTATCTGACTACAAGTTCAGCTGGGATCGTGTTTTCCAGAGTCGCGGGGACACAGGAGTCTTCCTACAGTACACACACGCCCGCCTCCACAGGTGAGAAGAGGCTGCAGGGAAACCTTGTGCTGCACTGTGCTTACTTAGGCTAGGTCCTGTGATTCTAAGACCAGAGGCCCTGTTTTCTGGGCTTTTCCAATATCTTCTATTCACATCTGACTAGAGTAGACCTTCTTTTAGGAAAAAAAAAAAATTTATTGAGCACCTATGTTAGAAATACATTTATGTGTATTATCTTAGTCCTCAGAATAACCCTGTCGAAAAATATACTGTTACCTCCACTGTGTATGGATATTAAGGAGACCAAAATTGTGTATTATAAGGTCATGTTCATCACTTGCAGCTCTGTGCCCTTGTATGACTTTTTAATCTTTTGATGTTTTTAACTTTAAACTTTTGATAAGTTTGGAAGAGACTTTTGGATGTGGGTACCTGAATGACTTCAACACTGCTTGTTTACAAGAGCCACAGTCTGTTTCAATTCTTCAGCATCTTCTCAGGTATGATGTTTTCCAGGGATCATCAAGTGTGCTTCTGCTTATCAAAATGGCTATTAGCATTTTTGCTGCCCAGTAGAGTCAACAGTCCAGTAGCTGCCTTCTGCCTCTAGACTTTTCCCAAAGGTATGCCTTAAAAAGTGATTATTTGCATTTTGAGGACAGAGGGCATAGATTAAGCCAATGCCCAAGGAGGACAGTCTTTGGGTCTTCAGAATATTATCACTGATGAATAGCGCACATGTCTAGCTGCCTCTAGCTCACATAAAGCCTTATAAAAGCATAACCTTTTTTAGTTTTAGTTTGAGAAAGAGCATCTTCTTGCTCTCTGTGGTAAGTGAAGGAAAATACCTGCCTTTGTGCAGCTTCCCAGAGACCGTAAGTCCTTCATTTGCCTCTTGGTTTCGGTTCACAATCTCAAATACATATATGTATGTGATGCTCCCATGCTAGGCAAGACACCCACACATTTTAGCTCTGACGGGCATTGTTGGTGAAGCCAAACATGCCAGAGATTAGTCTCTAGAAGGGATGTGGATGGTTATGAACAAGGTGGTTTTCTTTGATTGCCATATAGTAGTCAGTGGTTCTTTCCTGGAATCAGAAAAATTTACTCACATGTACAATAGGGAATGTACGGAAAAATAAGCCAACTGGGTTTTCTTAGCATTGAGGGTAGACTTTGCTAATTTATATTTTATATTCTTAAACATGGCTGGAGGCTTTTTACATTCACCAGCCATGATTTAAGTTTTTGCTGTGGACTAGGTCTAGGAAATAGCAAGATGATTTAGAAAGTCCCTGCCATCAAAGAATTTGGAAGAAAGAAAAATGTTCCTTTGCCTTCAAATGTACACACAGTTTTTTCATATCCTTCTACTCTTCTTTTTTTTTGAGACGGAGTCTTGCTCTGTTGCCCAGGCTAGAGTACAGTGGCTGGATCTCGGCTCACTGAAACCTTCACCTCCCGGGGTCAAGTGATTCTTCTGCCTTAGCCTCCCAGGTAGCTGGGACTATAGGCGCGTGCCACCACACCTGGCTAATTTTTGTATTTTTAGTAGAGAATGGGGTTTCATCATATTGGCCAGGCTGCTCTCAAACTCCTGACCTCATGATCCACCCACCTCAGTCTCCCAAAGTGCTGGGATTACAGACGTGAGACACTGCGCCTGGCCATACCTTCTACTCTTAATCGTGTCGAGTCAACCTTATATTCACAATCTTTTAATGTCTAATGTCTTAGTGTAATGTGTACAGTCTTTTCCTGTTCACTGTTCCTGTCATCTTTTAGGTTCGACGAGGTGCTTTATAAATCATCTCAGGACTTTCAACCCAGGCATATCGTCAGTTACCTTCTAACTTTAAGGTACTTTATAATCTTCCTGTTTTCAGGTGTTAATGGCATTTGAGACCTTTCTTTCATCTAAAGGTTTCCTGTAAACAAATTCCTTGGCCTAAAATTTGATGTGCTTTTAGTTACAGGAATTATTGCTTCATCTATACAAATTAGCAGTTAATGTTCCTTCATTCATTCAGTGATACAAGGTACTGTCACTGTAGACTGGAGAATGGGAACTGACAACTACAGTTACAGCACAGTGCATGTGTTATGTTAGAGTGAACGTAAGAGATGGTGTTAGGGCAACCAGCCCAGCCTTGAGCGATCAGAGAGGGCTTCTCAGAGGAAAGGAGATATTAATCAGAAGGAATGTGGCTGGGAAGAAGAAGAAAGCCCAGAGTTGAGCAAGAACGTAATAATACATTTTAAAGGATCCATAAGCATTGTCCTGGGAGGGCTGATGAATGAAGCGTGTATAAACCTGTTTGCCATGTACTGAGGCATTTAAACTTATTTTCGGGGTGGTGGGGTCCATACAGGGATTTTAAGCAGAGGCACAGAAAAATAAGCTAGAAAACTTAATTTTTCTAATCTTTAATGACAATTTCATGGTGTCTATTTTAGCAAATTGAAATCAAAATTGAGTCCACCCTTGTATAGCAGCAGCAGCTGTATCTTCTGTAAAGCCATTTAATAAAGGAAATGTTGCTTTTACTCAACAAGTATTGAAATCAGACACTTAACAGGACTGTTTTCTTGATTATACTTTTTACCTTGTCTTCTCTAGATTTATGTAAGGATTTTTTTCTTCCTTTAAATGACACTTAAGACATACAGAGGTGAAGAAGCTACAAAGTCTTTTTTTTTTTTTTTTCTTTTTTTTGAGATGGTGTCTCGCTCTGTTGTCCAGGCTGGAGCGTGATCTCGGCTCACTGCAACCTCCACCTGCTGGATTCAAGCGATTCTCCTGCCTCAGCCTCCCTAGTAGCTGGGATTACAGGCACGTGCCATCATGCCCAGCTAATATACCAAGTCTTATGAAATGTCATTTTATCATTAAAACTGATGTCTTAAGTATCATTTCTCCGGCACATTGTTATACTTGCTGCCATACCTAAATTTAAAAAGATACTTTAAAGAGTGGCCAGTGTGTGTGGAGAGTGGATAGTTTCTACCCACCTCACTGTACAGAGGGAAAGGCCATGCTGTGTTATACATTGGATTGTAGGCTGCCTAAATGAGGAAAAATGATTAGAAAAGGATTCTTTATATTTGTAAAATTAACATTGAAATCATAATCTTTTTTTTTTTTTGAGACAGAGTCTCGCACTCTTGCCCAGGCTGGAGTGCAGTGGCGTGATCTCGGCTCACTGCAAGCTCTGCCTCCTGGGTTCACGCCATTCTCCTGCCTCAGCCTCCCGAGTAGCTGGGACTACAGGCGCATGCCACCACGCCCGGCTAATTTTTGTATTTTTAGTAGAGACGGGGTTTCACCATGTTAGCCAGGATGGTCTCGATCTCCTGACCTTGTGATCCACCCGCCTCGGCCTCCCAAAGTGCTGGGATTACAGGCGTGAGCCACTGCGCCCTGCGAAATCATAATCTTAAGAATTGCCCACCTCTTAGTAGTAGAATAGGGCCAAGATCTAAAGCTTGAGTTTTGAATTCCAGTTTCAACTTCACAATTTTGAATACATCCTTTAATGGTTCTGGGCTTTATTAAGTTGAAGGAGTAAGATTAGATATCAAGCTCATATCTTACAACAGGAAATTACTGCTGGTACTATCGTGATTTCTCTCTTCCTGTTTCAGTCATCTTGCAGCTGTGGCACACAAAACACTACAAATAAAAGATAGTCCTCCTGAAGTGGCTGGGGTACGTTATGTTGAATGTTTTCTGTATAATCCCTAGCTCCTGAGACTAATATTACTAAGTCAGTCTTGTAAATTTTTCTAAAATAGCATTCTGTTGTTCAACTGTAGCAGTATACTTCCTTAGCTAATAATTAGGCTGTAACAATCAATGTGTATATACTTCCCAACATACTAGACTATAAAGCACATTTTCCTACATGAAATATTACAGTGATAAGTTCCCCTTATCTGAAGCCATACTGTATAATACTATCACTCCCACTCCATGACACTTTATGTACAGGTTTTACTGTAAGGGATGCCAGGAATTTATCTTCTCTTGCCTATAGTAACTCTAGGGCACTTTGACATATTGTTCCTGCTTTAAACTAGAAAGAATAACCTTTAAAACCATTCTCATGTATTGAATACATTCCTGTTACTGAATATTTTAAATCATTCTTTGATTTATTTTGTAGGCCAGACTTCATCTTTTCAAAGCTGTCCGTTCTGTCCTAGCCAATGGAATGAAACTTCTTGGAATAACACCTGTATGTAGGATGTAATTTCCATTAAAATGGCTTTTAAAATGTCAAGTGAATTCTAGTTATCTATTCTGAGATGCCTTGCTGTTCAGAATAAATTTAAATTTTTTTTTTTTTTTTTTGAGATGGAGTTTCGCTCTTGTTGCCCAGGCTGGAGTGCAATGGTGTGATGTTGGCTCACTGCAACCTCCACCTCCCAGGTTCAAGCAATTCTCCTGCCTCAGCCTCCTGAGTAGCTGGGATTACAGGCACGTGCCATCACGCCAGGCTAATTTTGTATTTTTAGTAGAGACAGGGTTTCTCTATGTTGGTCAGGCTGGTCTTGCACTCCCGACCTCAGGTTATCTGTCTGCCTTGGCCTCCCAAAGTGTTGGGATTAGAGGCATGAACCACCACGCCCAGCCAAAGTTAAACTATTATTCTGTGTCAGAATCTGTATTAAATGTGACTTGTCAAGTTATTCAGTCTTTATCCTTAAATAAATGAGTTATCTGAATTCTCTCATGGTCAGTAGGTATTTAAATAGACATTGAGTTTTTTAAACCCAAAGCATTGTGGTCTAATGGGGCTAAAGGATTTGAGTTTAAACTTTGGCTTGAAGTTTCTTACCATGTCATTCTTCCAGAAACTATTCTTATAACTGAAATGATTTAATGTTTTCATGAAATAAAAGAATTGGTGAGGGGAAAATATTATCAATTTTCTTGTAATTGTGGCTAGTTTGGAGTAAACATAGGGAGATCAAAAATAAGCACCGTTCTGTCAATATAGCTGACAGCTACTCCTAGAGACAATAGACCTCGTGCTTCCCTTTGAGTTAATATATACAGGGCTGGGCGTGGTGGCTCATGCCTATAATCCCAGCACTTTGGGAGGCTGCGGCGGGCAAATCACGAGATCAGTAGATCGAGACCATCCTGGCTAACACGGTGAAACCCCGTATCTACTAAAAATACAAAAAAAGTAGCCAGGCGTGGTGGCGGGGCCTGTAGTCCCAGTTACTCGGGAGGCTAAGGCAGGAGAATGGCGTGAACCCAGGAGGCGGAACTTGCAGTGAGCCGAGATCGCACCACTGCACTCCAGCCTGAGCGACAGGGCGAGATTCTGTCTCAAAAAAAATAAATAAAAAATATATATATATATATATATATATATACACACACACACACAGGTAACTCTTATTGTGTGAATTCAGGAACTAAATACATTTTAATAGGAAGGAATTACTTGTAAAGACGTTGAATTAGGATCTTTTTGTAAAATGTAGTCCATTAATTCAACCATAATTTGAAATGGAGTTTCTTATGGTTTCCTTCATGTATCTATCTTCATATTTTTGTGTGGCTTCATTAGATAACATGAGCATGGCTTAGGAAACAAGAGTAGGATGTGATGTGTTTGATCAGTACGGCCATTCCCATCAGCCAGCATTTCCATTCAGGTCTGCTATAATTTATTCTAAATGTTGCTAATAGTAGGCTTTTGAATACCAGTGACGGTCTATTTACCAAGTTAGCACAACTGAAGCTTCTCTAGTTAGAGTGAAAATTGTTTCATATTAGCAACTATGGCTTACCTTCTTAGTCCTAGAAAAGATTCAGCCTTGCAGTTCCAATTTAAGTGAATTAGCTCCCAGATAGCTAATTTTCGACTTAAAGTAGTGTCACATTTTTCTTAGCATAAACCAGCCATGGGATAAAAATATAAAGTAGGGACATGTTTTACACATCCAATATCCCTCTCTACTTGTTTGAAGAAACTTTCCCCTTCCAAGATCAGTAGTGTCTTCCCGAGTATTTGAATCGTGAGTGAAACCATACAGGAACAGTAATAGGTAAAGCCAGATCTTTACAAAAGCTGAAAAGACAACTGTCCATTAATTCTTAGAACCTAGACGCCTGTAGCCCTGATTGTGGACCTTCTTAAAAATTCTTTCTTTTTTGCTTAAGGCTTGCCAGAGTTGAGTTGATTTGCAGCCAGAGAACCCTAACCGATAGACTTCCACATATAGAAAATAAAAGTGCATTTCTACATATAGAAAATAAAAGTGCATTATCTTAATGGTCATATCTATAATATAAAGTGATTAAACAATTCTTTCTTACAAATAAAGTTTATTGCTGAATTTCCCCATTAACATTATAGAAAACACTGAAATTTCACAAATTATTGAGAGCCCAACAGTTAAACATACTTTATTTAAAAAAGTACAAAAGTGACATTAGAAATTTTTTTGAAGAAATGTGTATCATCTAACAGAAAAGAAATATGAACCAGATAATGAATGGCACAAATATAGCACTAAAGGGGTACTCACTAAAGGGGTACTCAGTCACCACCCAGAAATTGTCCGAGTTATGAAATAGATTCATTTTGAGAAGTTACACAGTTTGTTTATGAACTAGCCTGTCTTGTTTCTGCCTCTTGTAAGAAAAGAGCTAGGTCTTTATGCTGCTAGGACAAAATACTGTACATGAATTGGAGAATAAGGAGGGGTCATCCTTCTCCCCGGTACCGGAACAAGAGAACAGTTAGTACAGAAATGGCTTTGGCACTTTAACCCTTAGACATTGTCCCAAACCTTGTTACTTGAGTATTGTAGCCTTACCATGATTTTTTTTAACACCGTATCATCTCCATACTTTTTATTTACAAATTATATATACACACAATAATACAATTCCTTCATTCTAAAACAATAGTAGACCCCAAACAGGTCTACATTAAGTTTCTGTATTAGCAGTTCACTCAGATAGCTTCGTTTGTTTGTTGTTGTTTCCACATAACCGCACTGATCATGCCATACAGTTAATTTTTATTTGTTTATGCTACCTTCTGAGATTGACTTAAGGCTCTAGTTTAATGCAAATGGTTTAGTCTTAAAAGGAGTCTCACGTGAGGCTAAAATCACACACCAATAACTCTCTCCTTTGAAGCTGTTTCTCCTTGTTGGATGGATGTAGTGTCTTGTCTGGGTAATCCATAGAGATATATGGAAACACATACAAGAAGAGTACCCAGGGCAAAGGTGAGTGCTGAAAAGAAAAAAAAAAATAGCTTTATCTGTATGTGTGTCTTTAAAATGCCTAATGATCAGTTTAAAATTTTGAAAACTCTTAATTGTGGGTTTACACTATCAGATCATATTTTTATGATGGCAAGGTTTAGAAAGGTCTTCCATTACAGCCAAAAAAAAGGAGAGGGGGAGGCAGGGCGGGTAAAATCAAGGCAGTGTTTTGTTGATCACTGATTACAGACTTTTTAGAACATGAGTATGCCTAACTGACACTATCTGACCACTCTGACAAAGAACATAACTAATTTCCCTATAAAATATATAATTTTTTTTAAATGTAAGTATAAATATATATAAGTACAAAAGAAAATGTGGTAGGATTGGCTTTTCCGTGACAACCAGGAACCTGTGAAAGTTTAGAGTAAAAGACAGGTGACCAATCATTCAAACCATTGATAATTTCTTAATCGGAGATGAGGCGATAATTTACTGAATAAAACTACATTTCCTACTAGTCTTAACCCTTTTTTCATCTTTTTTTTTTTTGAGACGGAGTTTCGCTTTTGTTGCCCAGGCTGGAGTGCAATGGCGCAATCTCGGCTCACCGCAACCTCTGCCTCCCAGGTCCAAGCAATTCTCCTTCCTCAGCCTCTCGAGTAGCCGGGAGGAGCATGCGCCACCGTGCCCAGCCAATTTTGTATTTTTAGTAGAGACAGGATTTCTCCACGTTGGTCAGGCTGGTCCCCAACCTCAGGTTATCACCCGCCTCAGCCTCCCAAAGTGCTGGGATTACAGACATGAGCCACCATGCCCGGCACCTTTTTTCATTTTAATCTTAAAAATCAGGATGCAAGAAACCAAATCATAACTTGTCCTAACTTGACAAATAAATATATTTATATGACATCAAGCTTTATTTTAGTTCACTCCTAACTAAAAAAGACCAGCTTTGCCTTCAAAAAAGGAGAAGGTAGGATAAAAACTTGTATCTAAACAGTTAACTGAAAGATTGCTAAGACATGCTAGTTGACCATCAGTAAGAACATTAAACAAAAGCATTTTCTACTGTTCCTATATATTTCTTATGAGCAATGGTATAAGGATTTTGTTGAACATAAAGATAGATCAGAATTACAGCTAAAAGTTCACCCAAATCAGGTAGAAAAACATCTAAGGGAAAGCCTATAAGTACCTGATACTGAAATGGTAAGTGGTTGGTAAGTAGTGTCAAACACTACTCTAAGCACTTCACCTGAAAACACCACTAGGCAATAGGTGATATTATTCCCATTTTACAGATGAAGAAAGTGTCACCCAGGGAATATAACTTCCCCAAGGCTGCACAGTTAAGAAATGGTACAGGCAAGATTTGCCACAGACTATACATGGTTTTCTAAAATTTCTACAACACTATTTCCATTTATATACAGGAGTCAATTTTAAAATGAAATGTAAATATAAGCCAGGTCTCTTTTACTTAATATATTTAACAGATATTCTTCATACATTGGTTTATATTATAATAATTGATCAGTAAAGAAAATTATTACACTATAAAAGCACCCTGAAATGTTAAGTCAATATCATTGCTTAAATAATTTAGAAGCCAAATTAATGCTGGGTGTGAGAGTTGGGAAAATTATATTAGGACTAACAAAGCAGTGGTACTGGAATGCCAGCTATATTAATGAGTTTTGTATTAATTACATATTGAATGAAACAAAGATACAAAAGACAAAATCTAGATTTTGATTGTTTTCAAAACCGTCTCACACCCAAATGCAAAGCAGTTGGAAAGTACAAGCTGAGGGAGGACTAAAAGATGTTTTCTACATTCTTCTAAATAATGAGCCAATATAGTTTAAACTGACTGCTGAAAATAATTTCCTAAAGTCTTTATATGTATTTCCTTGAGTACCTTCTCACATTCAGACACTCAAGTTGTCCTATATACAATACCTAAAAATACAGGGAGGCCTTGACTGCAAAAAAAGTCCCCTCACTTTCACATAGAACTAGCACCCCTCGTCTTAACCTCTAAGACCACCTAAACAACCAAAGTACTGCTTAGCCACATCCCACACAACTATGAACAGCTGTACTGGTGGAATAAACTGTAGTAACAAAGCTAGGAATTTCTGTAAACAGTATGACCAACTGCCACTTTTAAATAAGGGATTAAATGAATCAAGGAAATGGGAGGCTCTTCCATGTTAAAAACTCAACACAAACTAAGACATACTTATCTGTAATCCAAACAGCATTACTGAAGCAATGGTGGAAAGGACAATGGCCGCTGCTGCAGAAAAGCCTTTCATGATGTTGTCTGTGTACTTAACCACAACAGAAGTGTAGAGGCCACCAACACTTGCAAGAACTTGTATACAGAGAGAAATAAAATCTTATCACTCAAATAAATGAAACATTACATAATGGTGAGGCAATTTTCATCCCCAGAGATGCCATACTTTACCTAGGAAAAGGAAAATACTGTTTTCCTTAGAAGGAGCCATCTGAGAGTTTGTACTAAAATTGGTAGTTCCTATATAACACTGTTTTTCCAAAACAATGCCCAGAGGGCTATGTGGTCTATTAAATTTTACACATTTTTTGCTAATGTTAGATATTTTGGGGCATTGCTATCCCAAAGCAATTTTGCCTTCACAATCAAAACTAAGTCAACAAAATGAAAATTATATTCAAACTGGTATTTACAGTATCAAAGGATTAATTTCAAAATGTTATAACAGCTTAAAATGGACATCTAACTTAAAAAAAAAATAAAGGATCTACTAAGAACCTTTAATTCCTGGATACTTACAGATGACAAACCAGACATAATATGTGTAACCATAGAAAAATCCTTTTTCTTTAATTTCAGCTCCATCTGACAAGTAGACGCCAGCTAATGTCACAATAATCCCTGATAGATACATTTGAATGTTTCTCACCCAAAGAGAAGTATCTGAACTCTTTAAAACTTTTTCAAAATATACTCCTGAAAGAAAATTAGACATGCAAATATTAAAGATTACTATAAATTAACTTAAAATGTCTTTCATTTAGAACAATACCCTAGAGATATATAAAGTATATGATTTGGGGAACAAAACATACTTTACTTAAATGTGCATTTATTATGTAGGTTGTGTGACACATGACATACTGTACATTATAAATTTATGTTTTTACAGAGTATATAGAATAATAACTAATTGGGAAGTTTATAAGCTACATTTAACAGAAGGCTGTTAAATTAAGACAGTTTCTGCCTTTATTAGAGCAGTAAGACCACAAAAGCTCTCTGTACTACTTAATGCCAGTATGTCATTTGCTTTGGTCAGCTGAAAAACTACATTAAGAGTGAATTATCTTAATCACATCCCTGTAATATCTGCCTACTAATGAATACTCCTAATTCTGCAATATAATCTATAATCACCACTAGGAATCTTTTCAGAGTAACAACCAAAACTGAAGTAGAATTTGCTGTGTAAAGCCATTTTCCTTTAAAGCAGGGTTCCACAAGCCAAGTTCATACACAAGGTCAGAAGGATCATGAACTCCCCAACTGGATAATAAATTTTGTGTATATGTGCATTTTTCTGGAGTTGAAGGTCCATAGATTTTTTCAGATACTTCAAAGGAGTACATGATACCCCTCCCCAACAAAAGTCCCCTATCTCTGGATTTATGCTTAAAATGAATGCATATTTTACAAAGCCATTAAAGATTTTAGTTATAAATATCATGCTAGAGACTTAGGAACTGCCAATGAAGTACTTATCAACTAAAAAGTCTAACGAAAAACAAGATTATTTTTGATGAGTCTGTTGGAATGGGAACATAAAATAGCTATTCTTATTTTCACCTCTGATTTTACCTTCTGGGAGAAGCATTTATCCAGTGCTCAGTTACCGTAAACACAGAGAGATATTAAACCACCCTCCATTTCCTCAATTGTGTATTAAGAGAGTGAACTAATAAAATGTTGGACATAATCATTTAACTGTTCAAAATATTGCAAAAAATCAAATAGCATATTTTTTAGGTAACTCAATTTTTGTTCCCAATTTGTTGGTTTCTAGAACACAATGCTATCAGTAAGTATATTCCTGAATTTAAATTTTCCCCTCGTATAAAACATCTTATTTACAAGCAGTATTTTACTTCTGTATTCAGCCTGCTTTCCTAGTCAAAAATAGTCCTGACTTGAAATAGGTACAAATAAATAATAAAGATGTATAGCTATAACTAATATATTCTACTAAAAGCTTTAAGCAGAATATATTAAAAACTAAATCTCTGCTGGAACTATTTCTAAAACTTTTTTTATGTTACACTTAATATTCATACTTTCTTATCTTGATGCATTGGAGGAGTGCTTGTCCCTACACATACAACGCCAGACTTCCGTGGATTGTTGATGTTAGTGATTTTGTGTTGTCTTTCCTCCCTGTTTGGTTATTAGCTTTATGTATTATGTTTTCTAAGGTACTCTCGACCCACCTCATGATCCTACTCCATAGCTCCTAACCTGTTAAAGCAGAGAAAGAACTTGAGGTTATAGGGGAAAAAAAGATACTTAGCTGGTAACATTAACAACCTAAAGCAGCAGGA
Organism: Homo sapiens; assembly: GCF_000001405.40. Classification (NCBI taxonomy): domain Eukaryota; kingdom Metazoa; phylum Chordata; class Mammalia; order Primates; family Hominidae; genus Homo; species Homo sapiens. The sequence continues at coordinate 87,506,797 of NC_000006.12, read as the reverse complement.
TCTGACTTGATAGTGGCAGTTCCAGAAAAAAGGAAAGGGCTTTCTGAAGACTAATTTCCTCCATTTTCAGAAGTCTTTTTTCATTTACTTTTGGGTTTTTGGCCGGACTGAGATGGTCAAGGATAACAGAAGTAGTTAACTGCAAGTATGAATAGGGACTGAGTCTGAACTTAGTTGAACAATGCTATACATTTACTGGAAAAACAGCTGACATAAAACTAAATATAAGCAAGAAGATCAAGTTTAATGGGAATAAAACTGAGAAAGCAAGATAAACTAGACTGGTGTCTAAAGTTTGATGTTTTCGAAAAATATGACAAAAGAATAAAACAATGCTTTCATGATTTACCTGCAAATCCTGAGCACAATACAGCAATAGCTATAGCGCCAAACCCTAATAATGGATTTTGTTCCACCTGCAATATTAATTGTTAAAGTTATTTTTAGTGACTAATAAACAGAGTTCATCCAAGAGTCCAAACAAATAAATACAAAAACCTGTTACAGTCTTACTAAAAGTATATTCCACATCAGACACAGCTATTCTACAGAATAAGACAACTAAACAAAAAGACCATTCCAGAAATTAACCAGGGCACTTGGCTTAAGTGAAAAATGTGTCCCTCAAATCACAGCCATAGTATATGCTTAATATAATATGTGCCCACTGTTTCCTAATACCAATAAGCACTCTAGCATGAACTTTTGAACAGGCCAAGTCAGCATACTACTTAATTTTAATTTCTATTATCACTCTAATTTAAGAGCTTATAGCATCAATCCTGAAAATGATAACAATTTAACTTATTTATTCCTCATCACCTACAGGATACAGTGCTGCCTCTTAAGACTCCCCAATTTATTGAATTTTTAGTATACCTTCTGTGTACCAGATACATTGTCTATACACACTGCTGTGGTTTGAATGTCAACTTCAAAACACATGTTGAGATTTAATTGCCGTTCTAACAGTATTAAGAGGTGGGCATTTAAGAGATGATTAGGTCATGAAGGCTCTGTCCTCAAGAAGGGATTGATGCCATTACTGAGGGAATGAGTTAGTTATTGAGGGAGCAGGTTTCTGATAAAAAGGATGAGTTCAGCCCACTTCCCTCTGTCACATGGGATCGCTTCTGCCTTCTGCCATAGAATGAGCCTCACCAGATGCCAGCACCGTGTTCTGGACTTCCCAGCCTCCAGAACCATGGGCCAAATAAACTTCTGTTTTTTATGAGTTACCCACTCTGCGTATTCTGTTATAGCAGCAGAAAATGGACTAAGATACATACTAAATGAATAAAGAAGATTACAATACACAGCTCTGTTATGTATAGGCAAAATTGACAAGTATATATAACCAAAATAGTGTGAGACCAGTGCTCACAGATCCAAGTATATGGGTCCTAACCCTCTGTTTCACTTTATTTTCTCTTTCTTTTCTAAACTGTCAGGAGCTTTCATCAGTCTTTCCTGAAAGATAAATACTATCTCAATAGTATCACTGAAATTAGAGGGTTGAGATTCATGACTGTAATATGACAAGGAAGTATATACCTTGTTCAAAATAAATAAGCCTGATATAAGAAAAGTGCCACTTTATGGTACCTGAGAGAGCAAGCTTGGTCTAAATTGTTTGCATGAAGATAAAAGGAGAAACAGAAGACACTGTAGACCAGTGGTTCTCAAAGTATGGACCCTGGATCAGCAGCAGTGGCACCACTGGGGGTTTGTTAGAAATAAAAACTGTCAGGCTCTACCCCAGACCTACTGAACCATAAACTATGGGAATGGGCCTAGCAATCTGTTTCAACCAACCTTCCAGTTGATTCTGATGTACGCTAAAGTTTGAGAACCACTGCTATAGACTATACATTATTAACAAGTATACTTTCCTATAATACAAATTTCAAGACTGGCATAGATAGAATAAAATCATAGTGTGAGATACCACCTATCCCAACATCTGCTGGGAAGCTCCAACTGCTAAAAATAGAGTGCCTGATAAATTCTTGACTTAGTTTCCTGCCAGTTGAATGTCTCTACAGTTAGGAAAAATAGTGATGGAAACAGCTTATCTGGACTTGATTCTGACAAGAAACTGCTGGGTGATGAAGTAGATGTGATGGGAACTTTGGCAGAAAGCAACCATGTGATCTGAGCATGAGCCAAACACAGCACAGTTAAGAGACATGTGCTCCAGTCCTGAATAAATCAAAACTCAAAAATGTAAAACTTCAAGTTAGAATTCCATGGCTCGTGAGAAGAACATTCAAGAGAGATTAAGAGTTACTGAAGAAGGAGGTTCTGGTGAAAAGTAAAAAAAAGAATACATAAGGAAATCAACATATCTAAATAAGGGCATCTTCACTGAATTCTGATTTTACAAGAACAAAGCCGAAGTACAGATCACCAAGAGGAATCTAACCAGGAATTTAAGAATAGTATCAAGAAATCGAAAACTCAGAATAAGTGGAGGCTTGCAAAAAATCCTGTAAGGCATTAAAGAAAGCTTTTTTTTTTTTTTTTCTTTTTGAGACAGGATCTTGTGGTATAATCATGGTTCACTACAGCCTCAACCTCCTCGGCTCAAGTGATCCTCCCACCTCAGCTTCCCAAGTAGCTGGGACTACAGGCATGCATCACCACATCTAGCTAAGTTTTAAATTTTTTTGTAGAGACATGGTCTCACTATATTACCCAGGCTGGTCTTGAACTCCTGGGCTCAAGCAATTCTCCCCGCCTAGACTACCTAGCTAAATAAATTTAAAAGACTATCAAGAAAAGTAGGTGAGTTAGTGTATATAAAGCATTTAGATAATGCTAGTATTTAGTGCATTATAAATGATTGCAGCTGTTATTGTTACATTGATTACCAGCAAAATGTTAGAACAGATTTAGAGATGACTTGTACTTAAAAAGCTTAATGGTCATCAGTGGAAAATAGTGTGACTTCACCAAGTGTGAAACATACCAGATTTCCTTACTGAAAGGACTCCTAATGTTAAGTGATGAGGGGAATTCCATAGAGATAATGTTTGGCAAAAAATGTGACAGACTTGCATATTATTGTTATTATTATTATTATTGAAACAGAGTCTCGCACTATCACTCGAGCTGGTGTGCAGTGGCGCGATCTCGGCTCACTGCAACCTCTGCCTCCCAGGTTCAAGCGATTCTCCTGCCTCAGCCTCCTGAGTAGCTAGGATTACAGGCGCCTGCCACCACGCCCAGCTAAGTTTTTGTATTTTTAGTACAGACGGGGTTTCACCATGTTAGCCAGGCTGGTCTCGAACTCCTCACCTGGTGATCTGCGACCAGCCACATAATATTTTTATAGACAACACAGAACTGTAGTGAGGATAAAGGTACAATCCGTAAGTGTGTGAATGCTCATACAGAAAAATGGTAGTTAATTGAACAAAATCAAGCTAGGCCATCAACCAATACCAACTTGCCAGGCATATAGATAAGCCACGTTAGAAACAGATCCTCCAGCCGTAGTCAAGTCTTCAGTTGACTGCAGCCCTAGCCAGTATCTTGACTGCAACCTCAAGCCAGAACCAGCTAGCTAAGGCACCCTCAAATTCCTGACCCATAAAAACTATGAGAGATGATATGTTCAGTAAGCAAGAAAAAGATCAAGCTAGAGAGAATTCTAAAGGTACAGCCACAGAACTCTGGTCCTGTTCTACCTAAAATTTTCATTAAAGACCCAGAAGGCATATTTTTTTTGACTCTGGAAAGCGTAATACCCAAAGGAGAAGCTAATAATGGGTAAGAACTGGAAATAACTCAAGGGGCTGAGCAATGACCCAAAGCTAACAAGAAGAGCTTAATAAATACAAACTCAACCTGCATTCTGGTTTAGAATAAGCCAGAGTTTGAGTTCTAGTGTCAATGAGAGTCTATTCCAGTCCTGACACTTGGAACCCACTTAACCAGTAGTGGAGGAGTGCATGGCAGTGCAGACAGATTGAGGGAACAGTGGGGTGAGAGGGATACAAGATACATTTGAGACAAACTATTTGGGTGACACAGTTACATGTAGTGGTTTATGATCAATTGTAAAATAGATACTTTGCCTGCCCCCCAGAAATTAACAGTCATGTACCACATAATGACATTTCAGTCCATGATGAACCACATATAAAACAGCGGTCCTGTAAGATAAAACTATATTTGTGCCTTTTCTATGTTTAGGTACGCTAAACTTACCACTGTGTTACAACTCGCTACAGTATTCAGCACAGTAACATGCTGCAGAAGTTTGTAGCCTAGGAACAATAGGCTATATACTGTACAGCCTAGATGTGTAGTAAGTAGTCTATACCATCTAGATTTGTGTAAGTATACTCCATGATGTTTGCACAACAGTGAAATCACCTAATGATGCATCTCTCAGAACCCTGAACTTACATTCTTTGTTAAGCGATGCATGACTGTATAACAAGTCTCCGGTATTCAGAACAAAGGGGTAATTACCAAACTGTGCCTCGTATTACTTAGACAACATTGGGAGACAGTGGGGTTTTAGGATATATTGAGAAATAATGACAGATGAATGCATCTAGGAGAAAAATATAAGGAAAAGTGTAGGGGCAGAAGGCAGGGATCAGGAAGTCTGTCTAGAAACCATATTATAGAAAGAAACAGTAGGGTTTTAATTGGGGAAGGAGGGGACCTGGAGGGTGGGGATATGATACTGTTCACAAGCACTGTACATCCCAGCCGCCTTCCATTCCTAAGAGAACCATAGTCTGTTTGCTAAAAGTTAGAGTAAATATTCAACTGTAGGAAACTCCTGACCTTCACAAAACTATTCACTGGCATCCCATTTCCTGTTTCTCTTTGGGGAAATAACTGATTGAGGCATACAATGTAAGAAAAAAAATCATGTATGTATCTTAGCGTTAACTCTTTAAAAATCTGTTATGTACCTTCACATTAACTCTTAAAAACTAAAGATAATTATCAATTATCAGTAAGAACACTCCTTCCCTTGTCATCCTGATCACTGACAGTAGGGAGATGTGCCAGAGACTGACAGTTGAGAGAGAAGATGAAAACTAGATGCAGAAAAACCTTGCCCAGTGTTTCTGAGATGTTTGAAAGAGGTCTAGAAGTTCTAAACATATACAGTATGGAAACTGGCACAGTTGTGGTCACAAGTTAGCTATTAACTAATTTAGGACAAGTTCCTTCACCTCTTTGGGGACTGTCATCCATAAAATGGAGGGGATGGAACACATTATTTCTAAGGTATGTTCCATCTGTAACATATTTTATGCATATTCTCCTCTGAGAAACAACCAATAAGTATTATTATCCCTAATAATATGCTAAAGAAAAAAGGCCTATCTATAAGGCAAAAGTTATTTTAAATCAAAGAAATGTAGTCATGCTGCATGCATCAATGTAACTGAACAGTATAAGACTTAAGGAAGTTTTCTATTTATGGGAAGTTATGGTGTGCATTTTGTTTCTTACCACCACTTTTGTAGCTTGGGCTGGTTTCCACTGTACAAGCGTAACTCCAGCACACAGCATAAAAACTGAAACCCACTGTAATTTGCTGAGTGTCCGGTTTAACATTAAAACAGTGCATAAAGCAGTACACGGAATCTTCAACTGGTAGGTCACCTAAAAAAAAGAGAATGAATTAATAAATTCAGTTAATGTTAGTCTCTGATACAAATATATTATTTCTGGTATCATTGATAAAATTATCAATAAAAAATATTTGATAATGGCCGGGCACGGTGGCTCACACCTGTAATCCCAGAACTTTGGGAGGCCGAGGCGGGTGGTGGATCACGAGGTCTGGAGATCAAGACCATCATGGCCAACATAGTGAAACCTCATCTCTACTAAAAATACAAAAAATTAGCTGGGTGTGGTGGCATGTGCCTATAGTCCCAGCTACGCGGGAGGCTGAGGCAGGAGAATCGCTTGAACCTGGGCGGCGGAGATTGCAGTGAGCTGAGATCACGTCACTGCACTCCAGCCTAGACGAAAGAGCGAGACTCCATCTCAAAAAAAAAAAAAAAATTGATAATATGATAAAGAGTTAATAAAAACTCTTTTTACCATAAAAGATTCTGTGCTTTTCATTATCATTAACTCCACTTACCTGGTACACTGCTGCATCCAGATTGCTAAGAGCTAGGAAAGCCATGTTGTTCTGAACAGCATACACTAACGATGGCACACTTAACTTCAACAGTTCCTTGGGGCTCCCCAAGACATTTTCTCTTAAAGATGCTTTGAATCTACCCAGACTACCAGTTTCTCTTTGAAAACAAAAGGGGGAGATGAGAGGGTGGTAAGGAAGAAAATTAAAGAGTATTATTTTAATAAGACTTCTTCAAACACAGGACAAGCATACTATGCTTGCTGTAATTTAGCAAACTAATAATTTCTAACTAGTTTTAGATTAAAAGAAACATACCAATAATGTATCCTCTTTAAAAAATTATAGTTCTGTTTGGGAAAATATGACAACAACTAGATTTACCACTATCTCTAGTCAAAGCTCTGAGAGATTCTGAGTATATTGAATAATGAGATTAGGAAAACTGTTGATATTACCTATAAAAAAATTCATCCCCTGCTACTTTAACTATTTCATCAAGTTCACCCTGATTACTTTTTAATTGATCAGTTTGCATATCCATTTTTATTTTTATATTTATTTTTGAGATGGAGTCTTGTTGTGTCGCCCCGGCTGGAGTGCAGTGGCGCTATCTCAGCTCACTGCAACCTCCACCTCCCGTGTTCAAGTGATTCTCCTGCCTCAGCCTCCTGAGTACCTAGGATTACAGGCACCCACCACCACACCAAGCTAAATTTTTTGTATTTTTAGTATTGTTGGCCAGGCTGGTTTCAAACTCCTGACCTCAAGTGATCTGCCCGCCTCGGCCTCCCAAAGTACTGGGATTACAGGCGTGAGCCACTGCACCTGGCCTATTTTTAAAGTTTTTTTTAAATTACAATAGATTTAATTGCAAATAAAAAGGCTTTGGTAGTTCGTTAAGTGGGTTAGGAAGAGTCAGGTCAGTATTATTTATAAATGAATTTAGTACTTATGAAATATAGTAGATAATAAATCCTTATGTAAGAATATTCTCATACTTTATATCTGTATAATTCTGTAGCAGATCTGAATAATTTACTAACTCCAACAAAAGTAAACTATATCTCTAATGTACATAAAGTTTACTGTTTGACTGCATATTGATTATGCATGCTCTTAACTATTATTTTTGCTATTATTATTTCAGAAGGACGTGGCTAATCTGGCTTGTATTTCCTGTATCATAAATCAGCTCATTGATTTCCTGAAAGTAAAAATAAAGCAATGTTTTATAATAAGCACCAATACCCCAAAAGAAGTGCTTTATAATAATGGTCCTAACTGCAGCTCACGATATCCTTAAGAAAACCATAATACTTTGTTGGTGAAATAGCTCTGTTCCAACTCAAAGTTTGATAATTACAATGAGATTCTGTATTTTTGGTTAATATATTAGAATCAACAGTTGTGAGTTGAATTTTTTCATTTTTAAATGCTGCAAATATAATTGCCCAAGTTCTGAGAGAAAGCAAAAGTCCATTATATTAAATTGACTAACCTGTGCCTATTTATTTGCTGTAGAACATTCTACCTCCAAGAAAATGCTTAATTAATAAGACAGGAACTTTGACCTAAGCCACAGAAACAAAAGACATCCTTCTTAGTTACAGATCTCTTTGTATTACCAAATCCAAACCCACACCACAGTGTTAAGTCTATATGCTGAAAAGGAACGCACACAGCCTAGTGGTGGACTACAAACTCTATTCGAAAAGCAGAAGAATACCAAAAATACCACAGATTTTCCACCAAAAAATCTATGTAGGAGAGTTTTCCAGGCTTCTGAAGATTGGCTCTTTAAACTAATGTTTGCCTTTTTTTTTAACTGCTTAATGCAAATCTAAGATGCCCCATATACTTTCCTTACATCTTTGTTGTTTTGTTTTGTTTTTTTTGAGACGGAGTCTTTCTCTGTCACCCAACCTGGAGTGCAATGGTGCAATCTCGGCTCACTGCAACCTCCATCTCCCAGGTTCATGGATTCTCCTACCTCAGCCTCCTGAGTAGCTGGGACTACATGCACAGGCCACTACGCCCGGCTTATTTTTGTATTTTTGGTAGAGACGGGGTTTCCATGTTGGCAGGCTGGTCTCAAACTCCTGACCTTAAGTGATCCTCCTGCCTCGGCCTCCCAAAGTGCTGGAATTACAGGCATGAGCCACTGCACCTGGCCAACATCTTAAATAGAGTATAAAGAATAATTTTCAAAATGTTTTCTCCTCAATTATAAAACTGATGAAAAAATTAGAGAAAAAGAGATTAAAATGTAAAATAATCACCTTAATAAGGTGATGTATCAGAGAAGATAACTGAACATTATAATTATCTCTAGTATCATGATAGCATAGATATAAATTTTACAGACTGTATGAAGTGCAAGTTTTAGTGCCCTTCTAAAATGCTGACTCATACACTGATGATGTGTCTTTAAGGTGATACCCAGAAGGAACTGCTGAGAGGTGGCTGTTTGTGCCCATGCTTCACACTCCACCTTCTCCCATATTCATTTATCTCCTGGTGTAAGATTCTTCATGCTAAACCCTCAAAAGCTACAATATAATGGCTATTTATCCTTTCCCTAATCCCCAGCTATGGGCAATGCCACTTTACCTCCACCTGTTAAATATATTATAGCCTTGGTGGGTGTGGTGGCTCACACCTGTATCCCAGCTACTCAGGAGGCTAAGGCAAGAGGATCACTTGAGGCCAGGAGTTGGAGACCAGCCCAAGTAACAGAGGAAAATCCCTTCTCTTAAAAAAAAAAAAAAAACTGCCAGGAGTGGTGGCACATGCCTATCATCCCAGCTACGCAGGAGGCTGAGGTGGGAGCATCACTTGAGCCCAGGAGTTTGAAGCTACAGTGAGCTATGATGCCACCACTGCACTCCAGCCTGGGTGAAAGAGTAAGATACCATCTCTTTTAAAAAAAAGAAAAAAATAAGACATTAGAAGCCTTCACTGGTAACAAACGACCTTTTGACTCTCCAAAAAACAGGGCTGATTCTCTTTGTCCTGTCAGAATATGGGCTACTTAAGGATCCAACTGCTACTCCAAATAATCACGATACCTGCACCAATAAAGGCTGCTGTGGTCCCTTTTCTCCCCACTCTTTTCTTTCTTATCACTTCTCCCTCACTTTTCACATAAAAAGAAGGGCTTATGAAACAAATTAGCAGCCAATCTGAGTATTCCTTTCCTTCAGTGGAGCAAAAAGTAAAGTACAGTGCGTCAGGATTAACCTTCAGATCTGTCTCTTTTGGCCATATCCTTTTTGTTGGATGCTTAGGAGCTATTTTTTCACGGTCAGGATGGCCAAGGTATCTTTTTCTGGTTCCTTCTCTAATGTAGACATTAGAGAAACCAAGGTATACCAGAATGTTAATTGCTGGAAAGTGCAAATATCACTGTAGTACCAAAGATTATAGCAATGTTACATAAGATATTTTGAAATAAGTTACAAAAAAAAACAGAGGATGCTAAAAGAACTAGTAAAAGAGAATAACAGAAAAGTATCAGAAAGTAGAGGAGATTTAGGAGGTATTGGAAAGAATATGTGGGAATCTCACCACACAGAAAGTTTTAAAGAAGAGGGTAAATAATTTCAGTATTAATCAGGTTAAATCCTGCTTAAGTTAATGTATTTATTAAGAATACAGCTCTTAATCTTATATTTAGCTTTACTCACTGAAGTTACATAAAAGTAACAAGAGCAATATATCTGCTAGAAAACACTAGTAATCATCGTTTTGTTTTACTATGAAAGAGATAGAAACAAATGATCAGTCCTAAATATACTGTAATATATTGTAAAAAGGTTACTTTTTCTTCCATTTTCCGGAACTTATATTTTCTGTTTTGGTGGGTTTTTCTTTTTTTTTTTTTTTGAGATGGAGTCTAGCCATGTCACCCAGGCTAGAGTGCAGTGGTGTGATCTCGGCTCACTGCAACCTCCACCTCCTGGGTTCAAGTGATTCTCCTGCTTCAGCCTCCCAAGTAAGTGGGAGTACAGGTGCACACCACCACACCTGGCTAATTTTTTGTATTTTTAGTAGAGATGGGGTTTTTCATCATGTTGGCCAGGCTGGTCTTGAACTCCTGACCAAGTGATCCACCCACCTCGGCCTCCCAAAGTGCTGGATTACAGGCGTAAGCCACCACGCCTGGCCCTCAACTTACTTTCTTAGAAATCAAATCACAAGCACCTTAATGAGCACCTCTGTTAAAAACAAATTTATTAATTATATAAATGACACTGCTAGCTAGGACAAAAGAGCGTATATAATCAAAAACATATATTAAATTTCTTTTTAGATATAGTCTTCCTTGTTAAATTTTCTATTTGAACAATTCTTTTTATTTTTATCATTGGAATAGACCCTGTGCAACCTTTGGTTACCTGAAGAAATTCTGAAGCTCCATGTTGACTGCAGAGAGATTCTGCTGCTGCCTCTCCCACTAAATTTCCTATCAACCAGCTGAAACCATTCTTTCTGACCTCTGTTTGGTCAAAAGTAGGCCTCATTCTTCCAGCTACTGATCTAACAAGAACTACTAGGAGGCATAAAATCCTTGGCTAGGTTACCAAGTCACTGTGCAAAATGGAACACAGCAGAAGTTACTCATGAGCTTAAGAAAGTTAAATTTTGTTTATAAATTTCTTATCATCTACAAAGTTAAGTATAATTAACTCACCTAAAAAGACTTTGATTGGCCAGGCACGGTGGCTCACGCCTCTAATCCCAGCACTCTGGGAGGTTGAGGTGGGCGGATCACAAGGTCAGGAGATCGAGACCATCCTGATTTACACGGTGAAACCCTGTCTCTACTAAAAATACAAAAAATTAGCCGGGCGTGGTGGCATGCACCTGTAGTCCCAGCTACTCGGGAGGCTGAGGCAGGAGGATGGCATGAACCCGGGAGGCACAGCTTGCAGTGAGCCAAGATCGCACCACTGCACTCCAGCCTGGGCGACAGAGCTAGACTCTGTCTCAAAAAAGAAAAAAAAAAAAAGACTTTGAGGGGCTAGGTTAAAAAACCAATAATGAGGTCAATTTGAGGACAAAAATACCCTTCATATGAGGGACATGATTTTTACTTCCTCCCCAACACCCTGAACCCATTATAGCATGGGTACAAAAGGGTACTGAAAATGTAAACCCAGAAGGAGAAATAAACAAAGCTGGATAATCTATAAGTATTTGACAGATACATTAATTTCTCTAGATAATACTATGAAACAGTAGAATAATTTTCTCTGGTCTTAATATGGGTATGTAGTTCAAAGTTAAGATATATTTGGTTTGTTACTAAACACACCCAAAGTGTATGTACATTAACATTTACACATCCTGCTAGGGATAGTCTTTATAAACTATGGTGAATAGCAAACAATAAAAAGTTGTTTGAGCTGGCGCAGCGGCTCACACCTATAATCCCAGCATGCTGGGAGGCCATGGCAGACGGATTGCTTGAGTCCAGGAATTTGAGACCAGCCTGGACAACATGGCGAAACCCCATGTCTACAAAATTAGCTGGGTGTGGTGCTACGCACCTATAATCCCAGCTACTGGGGAGGCTGAGGCAGAAGGATTGCTTGAGCCCAGGAAGCGATGGTTGCAGCAAGTCAAGATCACGCTACTGCACTCCAGCCTGGGTGACAGAGTGATACCCTGTCTCAAAAAAAAAAAGTTGACTTTGTTCCTTTGTTCCAAGGCAATATGAAAGTGTTTTCACTTCCTTTTCTTTATACTAACAATGACAGGTTTAAATCTAAACTGTTAGTGTTAACAGCTGTGATAGAGTCTAGTAAAGCATTATAACAATTTTCCCGTGAATTGCAGCAGTAATTAATTTTATGAAAAAGTACTTTTAAATGTTGTATTGTTTATCTTTCAACCAAATTATAGCTTAGAAATTGATAACTTAAAATTCAAATATTTGGCCGGGTGCAGTGGCCCATGCCTGTAATCCCAGCACTTTGGGAGGCTGAGGCAGGCGGATCATGAGGTCAGGAGATCGAGGCCATTCTGGCTAACACAGTGAAACCCCGTCTCTACTAAAAAATACAAAAAAAAATAGCCAGGCGTGGTGGCAGGCACCTGTAGTCCCAGCTCCTCGCGAGGCTGAGGCAGAAGAATGGCATGAACCCAGGAGGCGGAGCTTGCAATGAGCTGAGATCACACCACTGCACTCCAGCCTGGGCAACAGAGCGAGACTCTGTCTCAAAAAAAAAAAAAAAAAATTCAAATATTTAAAAAAAATCACCTTATTTACATGTACAGCTTTCGCAATATCCAACTGCTAATCTGCCCCTCCCTCAAAACAGAATTTACTAATTTCTCTTTTAATTTAAAAGTTATCTGATATAATAATTCATATGCACAACAGTGTATGTACAAAGATAATTATTACATCTTTGTGTTGGAGTAGAAGACTGGAGACAACCCAAATGCCCATCAGTACAGACTGGTATATATGGTATCTATACATAATGGAATACCATGCAGCTTTTAAAAAGAATGAGATAGATTTCTATGTACTGACATAAAACCACCTCTAAGGTAAAATACTTGTGTTAAAAAAAAAAAAAGGAAAGTGGGGTACAGTGTACATCACACACAAGGCCCAGCAATCTCTTGCACATAACATTTACTACTTTGACCACGTCAACCTTATCTATCAAAGTAGCCATCCATTAATTCCTTCCCACACTCCCTTTTTCTTTTCCAGTTCTAACTTCTTATTGAAATAAGTATAATTTCACATGCCAAAACTTCCAGGGTGTTGTAAGTATAATCAACAAGGATGGGGGAATCTCAAGTTAAATACAAACAGAAGCCAAAAACAACTGTCTACAAAATTATACTTGGAGAAAAAGAGAACTCAAATATTCTAAAACACAGTATTTTACTGTATGCTGTAAAACTAAAACAAAGAGAACTACATACAAATACATACTTCAGTTAGTAGTTTGTTTTTTTCTCAGGTAAATATTAGAAATTCTGAAACTACTCCTTATCTATTCTAGGATTGAGCAAATAAGTAAACATCTTGAGCATAATGGGAGCTAGAATCCTCACCATTAGATAAGGGAACAAACATGGGTAAGGAGAAGTTTAGAATGAACACAGTGATGTTAGATCAAAATTGTGGTATCAATCAATGTAGAACTCTTTGTTATACACACACACACACACACACAACTAGATTTAGATAGGTGTCTATGCATACACATGCATATATATTTCATAGCTCTGCTAAAAGGGTCTAAAGTAATGATACTCCAGTATCAATGTGTATACCAAATGCCTAGATTCTGGTTTCCAAATACCATTCTGGAAAAAAAAGGAATAAAGGATCCTTGAAGAAATGTATGATTTCAGGGTTGGGGCAGGGAAAGTACAAGAAAAGCCTGTAACAAGATATGCTAAAAAGAAACTGTTTAATCCCACTGTGCAAATCTGGGACATTTTGAGCATCAAAATAATGATAATAATGGATTCTAACCTGCACAATAAAATAATCCTTGAGTCCATGTTCACATAAATACAAAGAGGGAGAGAAAGGGGGGAAGAAGGGAAATTTCTAGAGTAGAATGCCAATAAATGTATAGGTAATGATGAAGTATCAGGAAGTTATCATTTGACAACAGTATCAGACCACAAAACCAGTAGGTGAAAGTGTGATGAGAAAGAGAATATTTATCTCGTCTCAAAGTATCTCTCCAAAAGACACTTGTTAATAACAAAGAGAAAACTGGTAACTTTATGTGGAGAAACCTAGCAGGCACTACCTTAATCAAGAAACCAGGATTAGGCCAGGTGTGGTGGCTCGCACCTGTAATCTCAGCACTTTGGGAGGCCAAGCTGGGTGCATCGCCTGAGGTCAGGAGTTCAAGACAAGCCTAGCAAACATGGTGAAACCCCATCTCTACTAAAAATACAAAAATTAGCCGGGTGTGGTGGTGCATCCCTGTAATCCCAATCCTACTTGGGAGGCTGAGGCAGGAGAATTGCTTGAACCCAGGAGGCGGAGGTTGCAGTCAGCTGAGATCATGCCATTGCACTCCAGCCTGGGCAACAAGAGTGAAACTCCAACTCAAAAAAAAAAAAAAAAAAATCAAGATAAATTACCAGTAATGGAACAAATAGATACCACGTACATCTTTATATACTGCACTAAAAGGGACGCATCATTTCTATGATATCCCTGACCCAAAAAAACCCTAAATTTAATCATAAAACTCAATAAACATAATTTGAGAGATTCTACAAATTAAATGGCCTGTGTTAATATCAATGACATGAAAAAAAAAGATGGAGGAACTCTCTAGATTAAAAGAAACTAGAGACATGACAATTAAAAGCAAACTGTAATCCTGGACAGGACTGAAGTCCAAGAAAAATAACTATTTTGCTATAAAGGACATTGGAGGGCAATTGGAAAAATTTATATAAGGTCCGTGAATTAGGTAATAGTACTATATCAGTACTGATGTCTCAATTTCGATAATTTTATTGATTATATATAAGAGAATGTCCTTGTTTTTAGGAAACATGCACTGAAGAACGTTAGGGACAAAGAAGCATCTTGTCTAAATCTTACTCTAAAACAAATCAGAAAAAAATTCTATACATGTTCACACAAATAGAAGAATGTCATAAAACAAAAATGTTTTGTTGTATGTGTAATGTGCTATGGGCTAAATGTGTTACCCCTTAAAATTCATATGTTGAAGCCCTAATCCACAAATGTGATTAGTATTTGGAGAAGGGTCTTAGGTTTAGTGAGGTGATGAGGGTAGAGTCCTCATGATGGAATTAGTGCCTTATAAGAAGAGGAAAAGGCCAGAGCCATCTCTCTCTCCATCACATGAAGATACAGCAAAAAGGCAGCAGTCGGCAAACTAGGAAGAGGGCCCTCACCAGACACCTAATCTGCCAGCATCTTGATCCTGGACTTTCCAGCCTCCAAAAATGTAAGAAATAAATGTTGCTTGAGCCAACTGGTCTATGGTATTTTATTATAGAGCCACCTGAATGAAGAAGACACATGGCAAAGTGTTAACATTTGGAAATAAAAAGTTAAGAGAAAAAATTATTGTAAACTACTGAAATGTCTAACAACGCCACTGTGCTTATCTTTGTCTTAATCAAAAATACTTAATTACTTCATTTTTCTGAAAGACTCATAATTTGAAAATCAGAGTTCAAGAAACTTGTCTTCTAATCCTGTCATTGTCAATTACTTTCTAGGTTCCTTTGGCAAATTAAAATTTCCCTCAGCCTAAGATTTCTCATCAAAGAAGAGGAAATAATAGTTTCAGCCAAAATGAAGATAAAGGTTGAGTAGCCCAAATCTGAAAATTCAAAATCTGAAATGTTCCAAAACCTAAAACTTTTTGAATGCCAACATGACATTCAAAGGAAATGCTCATTAGAGCCCTTTGGATTTCAGGTTTTCAGATTTGGGATGCTCGTATCAAATTAATATAATGCAAATATTTCAGAATCCTAAAAATCCTGAAATCTGAAACACTTCTGGTCCCAAGCACTTTGGATAAGGGTTAGTCAACATGTACAAGAATGAAATGAAAATAAGCTGTATTTACCAGCTTGTTTCCCTCACCTGTTTCTAAGGCTGGACATCAAAGAGTGTTTCCTTAACACTTTCACCCTCTGGCAGCCTGCCATTCTCAATAGCAACAATTCTGAATAACTGAAGGCAGCAAATATAATCTTAAAGGAGGATGTGTGGCATTTTACATAACACATTTTGACAATGATTACTAGTTGGTATTCTACAGAGTATAGCTACCTGCTCTCTAAAGAAGACATCTACTCATGAGGTTTTCAAAAATACTTTTCAAAGTCCCAAAAGGGGGCATTATTCTTTTCTTTGGCTTTTCTAGGGCATTTTAAATTTATAGCAATAATACACTTTCAGTGCTTTCCTCATATTTTTTGCCTAGTTTTCTTGGAGACCACAGCAACATATGCACCGTTGCCTTCTGTTCTTTTACCCCAACGTGAAAGAAATATCTTTTTCCTTTTTTTCAAATAAAAATTACATTGGGAGGCCGAGGCAGGTGGATCATGAGGTCAGGAGTTCGAGACCAGCCTGGCCAACATGGTGAAACCCCATCTCTACAAAAAATACAAAAATTAGCTGGGCATGGTGGTGTGTACCTGTTGTCCCAGTTGCTCAGGAGGCTGAGGCAGGAGAATCACTTGCACCCAGGAGACGGAGGCTGCAGTGAGCCGAAATCACGCCACTGTACACCAGCCTGGGTAACAGAGCAAAACTCCATCTCAAAAAAAAAAAAAAAATGATGACAATATATATCAGGCACCCTTCACTGAAGCAAGTCTGTATTTCTTCTAAGAAGTTAAATATCCTAAAATTTTCAAGTAAATTGCATTTATAATTTTTTTTTGAGACAGGAGCTCACTTTATCCCCCAAGCTAGAGTACAGTGGTACAATCTCAGCTCACTGCAGCCTCCACCTCCCAGGTTCAAGCGATCCTCCTGCCTCAGCCCCTGAAGTAGCTGGGACTAAAGGTGCACACCACCACACCCAGCTAATTTTTGTATTTTCTGTAGAGATGAGGTTTTGCCATGTTGCCCAAGCTGGTCTTTAACCCCTGGCCTCAAGCAATCCACCCACCTCGGCCTCCCAAAGTGCTGTGATTACAGGTGTGAGCCACTACACCCAGTGTGCATTTACAATGTTTAATAGAGTTCTCTTTTAAATATGTTAAATACTGTCTTTGTCTGCTTTGCGTTGCTGTGAAAGAATACCTGAGACTGGTATTAAAAAAAAAAAAAAAAAATTTGGCCAGGCGCGGTGGCTCACCAGCACTTTGGGAAGCTGAGGCAGGCAGATCACAAGGTCAGGAGTTCAAGACCAGTCTGACCAATATGGTGAAACCCTGTCTCTACTAGAAATATAAAAATTAGCCAGGCGTGGTGGCACATGCCTGTAGTCCCAGCTAGTCAGGAGACTGAGGCAGGAGAATCGCTTGAACCTTGGAGGCGGAGGTTGCAGTAAGCCGAGATTGCGCCACTGCACTCCAGCCTGGATGACAGAGCAAGACTCCATCTACAAAAAAAAAAAAAAAAAAAAAAAGCTCACAGTTGAGCAGGCTGAGAAGTTCAAGGGCATGGCCCTGGCTTCTTCGAGGGCTTTCCTGCTGCATCACATGGCAGAGAAGGTCTAAGGGGAGGTGGACACGTGTGAAGAGAGCAAAACATGAGGAGCATCCTGGCTTTATAACCCACTCCCGAGAAATAATCAATTCCTGCAAGAACTAATCCTGTCTCTTGAGAGCCACAGCTCACTACCAGGAAAACAGTACCAAACCATTCATGAGGAATTTGCCCCCACAACCTAAACACCTCCCACTAGACCCCGCCTCCCAACATCACCACACTGGGGATAGAATTTCAATATAAGTTTTGGTGGAGACAAATCACATCCAAGCCACAGCATATAACCAGGACAAAGAAAATATTTGGAATTAGAATTAAGCTATTGTCTTCCAATGTTTTAGCAAACCAGTTATACCCTTCAGCCTACAAAACTTTTACCATACTAATGTGAATGTTAGGATATCCATGCCTCATGGCATGCAACCCATCTACAGCTACCCTAAGGAAGGCATTAAAGGCAAGAGAAAGAACAAAAGACAATGGGGTCTCAGCCCTTTGACCTAGATTGCCATCATGGGTTCTGTCCAAAAAGGACTACCTGGTTATAGAACCTCTCTACCACCTCAAATTCTGAAAAAGAGACTGGCATTTCATTTAAAACATGGATCTGGAACCTTGCTGATCCATTTGGTCACACAAAATTTTTAGTCAGAGATTGTATGAATTAGTCCCTTTCCAGGCTCAAAGTTCTTACACATGAAGTGAGTGTGACTAGACTTCAGATCTCCAAAACCTCACCAAGAACAATCCATGGAGCTACAATTGCCTCTGCTTAAATTCTTGGGACCTGAAGATTCTAATTTGCACACTTGATTGAGTTATACCTACCCTGGCCTGCTTAATTTAACTCTTACAAAGTTCTAGGGCACTGCCTCAGTACCAGACTGACTCCTTTGTTTTTTGAATGTGGAATGCTTTACAAATCTGCATGTCATCCTTGCACAGGGGCCATGCTATCTTCTCTGTACTGTCCAAATTTTTAGTATTATGTGCTGCCAAAGCAAGCACTCCTTTGTTGTTTCTTAAACAAGCTGCCTTCCATTTCTCTAAACAGAGCACACCTATCATGTGTTCCTCTTTATATTAGTCCTGGGGTTTCTGGTTATCCTGTCCAGAAAACAGCAATCTTTAAGGTACATGGAGTCAAATGACATTACAAATAAGATTGTTTTTACACGATCATTGTTTTTTAACAATGTCTTCCAATTCCATGAGATTAAATACTTTTATGTGATAAGAACTCCCAAATTTATATCTCTAGCCCAGACCTCTCTTCTGAGTTCCAGACCCATTTAATCCAACTGCCCATTTGGATGTCTCAAGACATTAAAAACTTTAAATTATACCTACCCAAAATCAAACTGTTGATATCTTTTTCCCCCAAATCTGTTTTTCCTGTTTCAAAAAACAAAAATAATAATAACTCTACCCAATTGTTTATACTAGGAAACACAGATATGCTTCCTGATACCTCCCTTTCCTTCCCCTACTATAGTTGATTATTATTATTCATGGACTGTACGTGTGAATTCTCCACTCATTAAAATGTATCTGTAACCCCCAAATCAATGCTGGTAACACTTGCAGTCATTGGCAGACATGTGCAGAGTGGCAAAAAATTTGATTCACCAAGTGTGCACATTCCTGGCTGACGCTGAACAAGTTAACATTCTGCCTTGTTTCCGCTTTCAGATCATAAACAAGTGCAATCTATTCAGTACCACATTTTTTGCATTTTTGTGCTTTGTGTTGGTGATTTTGTTTAAATGGCTCCCAAGCATTGTAGGGCTGACGCACTGTCTGATGTTCCTAAGTATAAGAAGGATATGCTATATATTATGGAGAAAATACATGTGATAGATAAGCTTTGTTCAGGCATGTTATAGTGCTGTTGGCCATGAGTTCAATGCTAATTAATCAATAATGTACATTAAATAAAGTGTCTTTAGATTGAAGCACACACAAAACAAGGTTATTGTATTGATTAATTGACAAAAATGTGATCAGTTGCTCACAGGAAACTACCCTGTATATCCCCTAGGAGCAGGTTATCCAAACCCATCACGAAGTCCTACAGATTCTACTGCCAGAGCATAACTCAAATCCATTAACTTCTCTTCGTGACCTGTGCTGTCATCCTAGCTGATTATCTCTTGCCTCTATTGTTTCCCTACTTCTAATTCATTCTCAAAGAGGTCAAAGTGACTCTCAACATGGGTTCTATGTTAGTCCCTCACTTAAACCATTTAATGACTTTCTTTTTCTTTTTTTTCTTTTGAGACGGAGTCTTGCTCTGTCACCCAGGCTGGAGTGCAGTGGTGTGATCTCAGCTCACTACAACCTCTGCCTCCCAAGTTCAAGCAATTCTCCTGCCTCAGCCTCCCAAGTAGCTAGAATACAGGCATGTGCCACCACGCCCAGCTAATTTTTGTATTTTTAGTAGAGATGGGGTTTTACCATGTTGGCCAGGCTGGTCTTGAACTCCTGACCTCAAGTGATCCACCTGCCTCAGCCTCCCAAAGTGCTGAGATTATAGGTGTGAGCCACCGCACCTGGCTCCACTCAATGATTTTTCTAATGCACTTCAGATTAAATCTAAAATCCTTAACAGGTCCATACTACTACTGTGATACCCTGATGACCTCTCCTGCTTCATCTCAGCACCAAAGTCAAGGACTTTTCTGCCTCAGGGATTTCAAACACGCAGTTCTCTGCCTCCTCTCTGCTCTTTTCTTGCCTAAAGTCTACTCAATTGACAGGTCTAGGTTTAAACGTAACTTCCTCAGAGAGGAAACCCTTTAATCCAAATGCAGGCCCTCTATCATGCATGTTTGTAGCACCCTCTACTTTTCCCTCATAACATCACCTATTTATTATTTATTATAATATTTGGTTCTCCAACAGACTATAAGTCCATGAGGGCAGAACTACACCTTTTTAATTTGCAGTGTTCTAGTGAAAACACTAGAATAGTGTTGAGTATATAATTGAGGTTTGATAGGTATTTTCTAACTAAATAAATGAATGCGTGAACCTGACTGTCCCATTATATCTTATTAACAATACCTTGAAACAACTTAGAATGACTATTTGCTTCCAATGTTTGGAAGGAATGAAACACAGATTTGAATATGGCAGTGGTATGTTATTATCTAAGTGAACCTTAATTATAACCAAAACATGGTTTCAGGTGCTACTTCGATAAGTTTCTGCCCCCACCTCCCACTCCCGTATAATATATGTACTTTAACAATTAGCCAAGACTATTCACTAAGCAAAGAACATTACTGAGCAAACAGCATCAGAGACCATACTAAATAAACAAACCACCAAATGGACTGCTCTATAATGAGATTAAGCTTTGCACAGTTCCAAAAAAATTGAAGTTCTAGTATAATACTTTGTATCAACCCTATAAAGTTATTGTACTTTATCACAGTGTAAAGAATGGGCAAAAAGGAAGAAGCTTTTACTTCATTTAATCATAGTTTTAAATGAAGTTTAATTTTTTTCCATTTAAATAGTAATTTCTTTTCCTTTCCCTGTATTCATTCTCCAGAAAACTCAAATCAACATTGAGCAAATGTTACTAATTTTTACACTAACTCTGCAGTATTTTTCTGGAAATATGGGGGAAATACACTATTTTAATCATCAGGATCTAAGTTCTTCTAATTTTTTTTTTTCTTTTTCTGAGACAGAGTTTTGCTCTGTTGCCCAGGCTAGAGTACAGTGGTACAATCATGGCTCACTGCAGGTCCTCGCAGGCTCAAGCAATCCTCCCACCTTAGCCTCCCAGGTAGCTGTGACTACAGCCACACACCACTACACCCAGCTAATTTTTTTATTTTTTGTAGAGATGGAGTCTCACCATGTTGACAGGCTGGTCTCCAACTCCTGGGCTCAAGAAATCCTCCTACCTTGGCCTCTAAACTGCTGGGATTACAGGTGTGAGCCACCACACCTGGCCAAGATCTAAGTTCTTCTTAATTTTTCTCCTCTGAAGAGAAAGTTCAAGTTCTAAACCTTTAGTTATTTCTAATATAATTCTTCCACAGCCTCCCATAATATCCTGAAATTGTCATCCTTTCTGTGAGATGATAAAGTCTTCCTTGATTTGAAAGCAAAGAAAAAAGTCTAATTTCATTTTTTTAGCTCTACACAATTATTTTAACATTACATGGGAAAAGAATTTTCAAGCAAATATAAATTCAAACATGAATCAACTTTGGTTTCCTGTGCATATAACAAATCATCTCATAACATTTTTTGTAACAATTATTTTCTGATATTTAGAAGCCTCTCCATCACAGCAAATAAAACACTGACATCCAACCTGTGTTTTAACAGACTAGATAACATCCTGTTTGCCTTTCATCTACTTACTCTTTTTGAATTACCAATTTTAATATGTGTACAAAGAATTGACAACACTCAGAGTACCTGGAAAATATTTTACTTTTTTGCAAACACTAAATCTAAAAGACCATTATAAAGCTCTAGGCCCTTTGATTTGCTGCTCCTCTTAACTGTTCATATCACTCTTAATGGCCCACAGTCTGGCCATGTATTTTATTCATCTGTTAGATACGAGTTCTAAATTTCTCTTCAAAGAATCAGCATGTCAGTACGTTCAATTCTTTGCCTTCTACTTTTAAACTTAACTTCTTTGTAAAGCACCTTTTCCGATTACCCTCTCCACTCTGACTCATTCTGATTACCTACTCCACCCTGACTCATTCCGATTACCTGCTCCACCCTAATTCCAATTACCTGCTCCACCCTGATTCATTCAGATTACCTGTTCATTCTCCATCCTGACTCATTCTGATTTCTTACTCTGCCATAACCATTTTTCCTGCCAAACCACTCACCCCGTTACTCTCTTTAAATTAGCCAATCGGAATTAGTTTAGCCTGTGCGGTCTAACCCTAGCCAATAGGTGAATGACACAGCAGCAGGGGCCACGTGCATCAGGAATAAGACCCCCTTTTCCTCCCTTGTCCAAGTGTGTGCTCACCACTGCTCCAACTGTGAGGGTGTACCCTTCTATAGAAGGAAACTGCCTTGCTGGGAAGAAAAAAAGAAAATTTTATATTCGAGTGCTATTTCTTTTGCAGCACCAAAACTTTATAACAATTTAGGGGCTCATCTGGGATTACATTCCCCTCCAGAGGCGGTCTCTGGTTCTCTCTTGTGAGGAGGTGCACCCCGCCCCCTTGTGGCGTCCTCAGGGGTGAGAAATCAGGACCCGCCCAGTGCAAGGAATAACCCGAGCTCTCAGCAACACAGAAAGAAACCAAACCGGCTGGCAACCTGAGGTAAAGGATCCTCACATACCACAGCAATGACTGTGCACAGACCAATGAAGAAGAAACCACGGGAGCCAGTAAAGTACTTCCTTGGTGGTCAAAGTCTGGAGGGCTGAATGTGTGTGTGCGTGAATGATCACAGACAACCCTGCTTGTGGTGTTGTGTGGATGGTGACAAGTCCTACTGCTGGATGGAGTGAGTGCGTCCTCTCTGCAGTTCCACAGCTACCTCGTATGGCTTAGGGCGGATCCTGCTGTGGGATTTATACCAGCACGCCAACACTAAGAAGGGCCTAATTCTCCCTTGGGGGAGCAGCCAGAGAGGACAACATGAGTGGGAAGTGTGCAAGGGACCTTCAGAGGGGGAAAGGGGAGGAAACATGTCAACCTCCCAGGATAGGCAAGTCAAGACACCCTGGTTTGAGGGGTTGAGGCTTCCGGAGCAGGCAAGGCAAGACATCCCTGGTTTGAGGGGTTGAGCCTTCCACGGCAGGCAAGGCAAGACATCCCTGGTTTGAGGGGTTGAGTCTTCCAGGACAGGCGAGGGAAGACACCCCTGGTTTGATGGGTTGAGCCTTCCGCTAATTTCAGGGGCTGAACCTCAAAGAACTGAGAAATCCCCATTACGAGGGGTTGAACCTCAAAAGAGGTGAAAAATCCCAATAGGGGTACATTGAACCTCAGTGAGGTGAGAAATCCCCATTGTGGGGGGCTGAACCTCACAGAAACCTCCAGTAGTAAGAAAAATATTCAGAACTCCCCTTTCGCTTCTTCTCGGGGGAAAGAAAGGCTAAACTCCACTCCCACTGGTCGCTCCCCTAGGGGAAGGAGGAGAGGGAAGAACAGCAGCATAAGCGGCTGGCAGAGGCAGGGAAAGACCAGCAGAGAGGAAAGAGAAACTGGGAAAGGAAGTCAGAGAGAGAGAGAGAAAGAGAAAGAGACAGAGAGTCAGAGAGAGAGAAAGAGAGAGAGAGAGACAGAGAGAAGTAATAAAAACAGTGTACCCTATTCCTTTAAAAGCTAGGGTAAATTTAAAACCTATAATTGATAATTGAAGGTCTTCTCCGTGACTCTATAACACTCCAATACCACCTTGTTGTCAGTGTAAACAAGGGCACAGCCTGAAAGCACTGAGATCACTGACGACCCATAGCCTTCCTATCAAAAATCCTTAACCCAGTAACCCGCAGATGACCCAAATGCATTCAATCTGTACCGGCAACTGCTTTGCTAACAGAAGAAAGTAGAAAAATAACTTTTAGAGGAAACCTCATTGTGAGCACACCTCACCCAGTTCAGAAGTATCCTAAGACAAAAAGGTAACTTACTAACTCAAAAATCTTAAAGTATGGGGCTATTCTGTTAGAAAAAGATGATTTAACATTAACCACTGATAATTCCCTTAACCCAGCAGGTTTCCTCACAGGGGATCTAAATCTTAATTAATTACCATATAAAGGTCCGACCAGACCTAGAAGGAACTCCCTTCAGGACAGGACGATAGATGGTTCCTCCCGTGTGACTGAGGGAAAAAGCCACAACGGGTATTCAGTAAGTGATAGGGAAACTCTTATAGAAGTAGAGTTAGGAAAATTGCCTAATAGTTGGTAAGCTGTTTGCACTCAGCTAAGCCTTAAAGTACTTACAGAATCAGGAAGGAGTGGTCTATACCAATTCTAAGTTAATTTAAACTAAAGAAAGTCTTATTAATAGCAAAGGATAATTGAAATACCAAACTTACAAGGTTTTCCACAAAGGTAAAGTTTGCCAAAAGTTAGCAGTGTAATATGTATTATCCTAACTTCTAATCTTGTGGCCTTAGGCAGTCTAGTCCACAGACCTGAAGGAAGTTTGCTTTGGAAAAGAATGGTTATCATCTTGGGGGAAAAAAAAGGAGGGGGGGGAGAATTTATATAAAAAGAATGTTATATGGTAAATTATTATCCTAAAATAAATTAACTGGTTATTTAAAGAAAGCGATGTTTACAGGAAGTCAGAAAATTGAGGCCTGTCGAAGATTGCGAAAGTCATGAAAAATGCTATAAAAGGGAACTTATGCAAGAAATGTTGTATAATTTAAAAGTAATTAGGCCTCCTGAATGTAAAACTATTGAAGAAACAGTTTATGTGCAAGGTGTATAATGAAAGTAAAATATACTTTTGGTAAAAGGATAATAAGGAGGCATAGAATGTGGATTTTTACCTACATTAAAAGGTTAAAAAAAATTTTGTTTTGAGCGTTTAAGCAAGTTTTAAAATGTTAATTGTAAAGGAAATTCTGTGTGTAACCATATTGGCTAAAGTTAAAGGGGTATCATCCAGTTTTTCTGTGAACTGGACATTAAAATAAAAGCACAATGGGTTTTTCTTAAAACACTAAAAAACACTAAACTGCTCTTTAACAAATTTTATAAAAGGTTAAAAAGAGTCTATGGAAATCTTACCTTATGGTCAGACATTAAAATCGGATAAATATGTCTACAGGGTTTTATTAAAATTGAGTTTAATATTAATAATACACTAATATAAAGGTGAAATTTAGCTTATCTGGTATAATCATACAGGAAGCACTGTCAAATATAAAATGGTGTTTGGCTTTCTTTGGTCTAAAAACTAATAAAAATAGGTTTCTCAGGAAGTTTCTAAAGGAAGTTTCTCAGGAAGAAGGCACTAAGGACTATAAAGTCCACTGCTGGTGTCCCCCAATTTTTTTTTTTTTTTTTGAGTCAGAGTTTCGCTCTTGTTGCCCAGGCTAGAGTGCAATGGCGCGATCTCGGCTCACCACAACCTCCGCCTCCCAGGTTCAAGCGATTCTCCTGCCTCAGCCTCCCAAGTAGCTGGGATTACAGGCATGTGCCACCAAGCCTGGCTAATTTTGTATTTTTTAGTAGAGACAAGGTTTCTCCATGTTGGCCAGGCTGGTCTTGAAACTCCTGACCTCAGGTGATCCACCCGCCTCGGCCTCCCAAAGTGCTGGGATTACAGGCATGAGCCACCGCGCCCAGCCTGGTGTCCCCAAATTTAAAACAAAAGATCAGTTTCTCATAAATTATATACTTGGTTTATCTTCCACTTTCCTTTCCCTCAAAACTACAAGTCTTTTAGCACAGGTACCACCCCTAGAATTTCTGGTAAACGGGCACTAGCCTGGGGATCACACCCTCATCAAAGGGTAGAAAGAAGGAAAACTCAAGCCAGCCTGAGAAGGACCCTACCTTGTGCTGCTAACCACCAAGACTATGGTTTGTACCACAGAAGGGGGATGGACACATCACACCCGAGTCAAGCAAGCACCATTACCATCAGAATCATGGACCATTGTTCCTGGATCAAGCCTTACCAAATTAAAGCTAAGAAAAGCTTAGTCTATCTATCTTTTCCTTCCTTTCCTAACACAGTGCCTATATCCATTACTGTTCCTACCACTAGCAACTCTAACCCCACTTTAGAGCGTTTCTATGGTTTAGGAGCAGAAGTCACTGGAAAGGACCCTATAGGCTTCTTTAAGATGCGCTTTGTTCTCCCTGCTCTACCTCCTACAACTGCCCCTTTCACAAACCTACGAAATAAAACTATGCCTCGCCTCATGCCAAATGACAAAAGCAAGGTCTCAGTAGTAGAAATAGGAGACCTAAGGCAAACCATAGCTATTGACAGGGTATAAAGATGTAAATGCCTGGTTAAAATGTATTAAATATTCCATTCACACTTTAAACAAAAGTAACTGTTACACTTGTGTGCACGGTAGGCTAGAGGCCCAGGTTGTTACCTTTCCACTGGGATGGTCCTCAAATCAAGTGGACATGGAGTGCATGGTAGCTTTTTCAAGATTCTACTGCCTGGAATAACAAATTGTGCTAAGCTCTTTCTCTGCTATTTCCTGAAGTCCAACACCCTGCAGGTCAGCCCCCAAGGGCCATCCAGCCTCCATCTTCCAAAACCAATTTTACCTCGTGTCTCTAACGACACGGGGAAAAATTTGGCATTTCTTGGAGACTTAACAGGATGCAGTGAAGTTAGGCACTTCCAAGAGGTGACCCGTCAATCTGCCCTTATTCATCCCTGAGCGGATGTATGGTGGTATTATGGAGGACCTTTACTGGACACTCTGCCAAATAATTAGAGCAGTAGTTATGCTCTAGTTCAATTGGCTATCCCTTTTACTCTGGCATTTCATCAACCAGAGGAAGGAAAAATAAGACATCATAAAGTGAGAGAAGCTCCTTATAGGTCATTCAACTCTCATGTCTATTTAGATGCAATTGGAGTCCCACGGGGAATACCAGATCAATTTAAAGCCCGAAATCAAATAGCTGCAGGATTTGAGTCAATATTTTGGTGGGTCACAATTAATAAAAACATAGATTGGATAAACTACATCTATTATAACCAACAGCAATTTATGAACTACACTAGAGATGCTGTTAAAGGAATAGCTGAGCAATTAGGGACTAACTGCCAGATGGCTTGGGAAAATAGGATAGCCTTAGACATGATATTAGCAGAAAGAGGAGGAGTTTGCATCATGATTAAAACTGAATGTTGTGCCTTCATCCCAAACAACACTGCCCCTAATGGAAGTATAACAAAGGCATTGCAAGGTCTGACTGCTCTGTCCAATGAGTTAGCCAGCAGCTCAGGGGTAAATGACCCCTTTACAGGATGGCTAGAAAAGTGGTTCGGTAAATGGAAAGGAATAACAGCCTCAATTCTTACTTCCCTCACAGCTGTAATGGGTGTACTTATTCTTGTCGGGTGCTGTGTCATACCATGCATCTGTGGGTTGGTGCAGAGTAAGTGCTCATAGAAATGGCACTTACTAAAACCTCCCTTAACTATCCTCCACCTTATCCAGAGAAGCTTCTTCTTTCGGAAAATTGAGCAGAACTAAGCCAAGGCATGTTAAAGAAGTTTGAAGAGAAAGAGGTGTAAGGAAAATGCAAGAGGAGGGGATTGTTAGATATGAGTTCTAAATTTCTCTTCGAAGAATCAGTATGTCAGTATGTTCAATTCTTTGCCTTCTACTTTTAAATTTAACTTCCTCGTAAAGCAACCTTTTCTGATTACCCTCTCCACCCTGACTCATTCCGATTTCCTGCTCTGCCATAACCATTTTTCCCGCCAAACCACTCATCCCATCACTCTCTTTAAATTAGCCAACTGGAATTAGTTTAGCCTGTGCAGTCTAACCCTAGCCAATAGGGGAACGACAGAGCCATAGAGGCCACGTGCATAAGGAATAAGTCCCCTTTTCCTCCCTTGTCCAGGTGTGCGCTCACCATTGCTCCATCTGTGAGGGCACACCCTTCTATAGAAGGAAAACTGCCTTGCTGAGAAGAAAAAAAGAAAATTTTGTATTCGAGTGCTGTTTTTTTGTGTGTGGCACTGAAACTTTATTTATAACACATATTTTTCATATTCGAACTACTTCAAGTGGATTAGTATAAGCCTTTTCAAGATCTAGAACCAATTTTCAACACTTTCACTCGGTATCTTTCCCAAAATGATAGCCATGCTTGCAGTTGCATTATCAACTGTCTCATCACACACTGCTGAAGCTGAAGCAATCACAATGTCGTGTAACATTTCAATATTTAAATGTAATGTCTGTTTCTACATAAAAGCCTACACACAACACTATTCCTCCCTGCTTCCCTTCACTCACCAACACACATCTTGAAACCTGTATGACTTCTTAACTGCCCCAATGACTCCTATAGGTCCCCATCTCATAAATCTTTCCCCTGGTAATTTACCTATTAGATTTTATTTAATTTTCAGCACCCCATATTATTTTCTCAAATTAAAAAAATGAACAAACTGAAGCTTAAAGAGGTTACAAGTGTGTATGCAGCCACAATCTCAGTCTAGGATTAAAATTAGGTCTATCTCCTCCAATGCCCCTAATTCTTAACCCTCTCTTATACCACATCCTTAGCTAAACAATTCTTGCATGATGTTTTTGATTCAAAGCCCGGTGCTGCCACATATTAACAGTGTAATCTTAAGGAACCTCAGATGCTGCGTCAATAAAACAGGGGTAAAGTACTTACCTTGAAAATGTGGAAGAAGTAAATGAGAAAACACAAAAAACACATAGCACAGTGCCTAGCACTTAACATAGGAAACACTCAAGAAATGTTATTATTATTATATTCATCCAAAACACAAGTCAATAATTGTTTTCTGTAAGGGCCAAACAGTAAATATTTTAGGCTTTGCAAGCCAGTCAGTCTCCATTACACCAAAACCAGGGAGCAAGCTGGATTTGGCCCATGAGACATAGTTTGCCAACTTCTATTCTACAGCAGCGTTCTTCAACCTCAGCAGTACTGACATTTGGGGCTGGATAAATCTTTGTTGTGAGGCTGTCATGGGGATTGCAGGATGTTTAGCAGCATCCTTGGTCTCCACCCACTAGATGCCAGTAGCATCTCTCAAGTTGTGACAACTAAAAAATCTTCTGGGGGGCAAAATCACCCCTAGTTGAGAAACACTGACCCAGAGCAATTAAACATATAAAGATGTAGCTTGAATTTTCTAACAAATACCCTCACCAGGTAGAAAAATAATTTAACACACTATAAGTATTTATACTCACTTAGCTAAAATTCCCACACTTAGCAATAACTTTATAACTTCTGTGATACACACGGCTGTGGTTGAAAAGTAGAGTTCTTTGTCTGATGTCCTTGTGTATCTTAAAGCTATGGTATAGACTGCAGCCATCAGGGTCATCACTGCCAAGCAGTATAACTTGAATAATAAAGTGACATTGTCTGGAAAATACGTGCAACAAAGACATTACTTAGTAGACAATATATGTATATATAAGTTAATAAACTAGTTATAGCCTAAAAATACTTTCCAATTCCAAGCACAAAATATTTTCTAAAACTCATGCTTAAAAATTTTTTTCAAAACAATGTTTGCCAATTACATGAGCGTGCACACACACACACACACACACACACCACAGCTGACTTTAAACATCAGCCAATTAGGCATAAGTTTTGTTCCTAGGGAGTGCCCCAATTGCAAGACTATGTAGCGTACTGATTCTAGTTCAGGATGTTATAAATTACATTATATATATATTGGTGGTGGTGGTGGGTTTTTTTGGAGACAAGGTCTCACTCTGTCCCCCAGGTTGGAATACAGTGGCGCGATCTCAGCTCACTGCAACCTCCACCTCCCAGGTTCAAGCGATTCTCGTGCCTCAGCCTCCCGGGACTACAGGCGTGCACTACCACAGCCAGCTAATTTTTTGCATTTTTAGTAGAGATGGGGTTTCCCCATGTTGGCCAGGCTGGTGTCTAACTCCTGAC
This sequence comes from Homo sapiens, assembly GCF_000001405.40. Lineage (NCBI taxonomy): Eukaryota > Metazoa > Chordata > Mammalia > Primates > Hominidae > Homo > Homo sapiens. The sequence continues at coordinate 87,476,812 of NC_000006.12, read as the reverse complement.
CTCAAGTGATCCGCCCACCTCCGCCTCCTGAAGTGCTGGAATTACAGGTGTGAGCCACCGTGCCAGACATATATTTTAGGACAGGGTCTCACTCTGTCACCCAGGCTGGAGTGCAGTGGCATGATCTTGACGTGATCTCGGCTCACTGCAAACTCCACCTCCCGGGTTCAAGCAATTCTCCTGCCTTAGCCTCCTGAGCAGCTGGGATTACAGGCACCCGCCACTACACCCAGCTAATTTTTGTATTTTTAGTAGGGAAGAGGTTTCACCATGTTGGCCAGGCTGGTCTCGAACTCCTGACCTCAGGTGATCCACCCACCTCGGCCTCCCAAACTGCTGGGATTACAGGCATTAGCCACCACGCCTGGCCCCAGCACATATTTTAAATATTTTTATGATTACAAACTTGTGGATGCAAAGCATGAAACCAACTGCAGCAATGTATATTCTAGATTTAAAGGCAGCAGAAAGAAAATAATAATTGAGAAATGAGTGGGGCTTAATATAAAACTTTTTCACAATAAGAACTTACAACTAGCCACTCATTTCATTGCATTATACAAAACAATAATTCATAACACAGGAAAAGAATATTAAGAACACACCTCTATAAAACTAGAAATGCAGGAAACATATAAACACTTAATTTAAGAATTGCCTGCAAGTATATCTGAGCAGCAGCCATCTCTCAGGCACCAGAGCCTGTCCAAGACCTTTGGTAAAACCATAAGCAGTGGGTACCAAGTCTCCCTCATACTTCCTTATTCCCAGACCTGCTCGGGTACTGCCATCACCCAAGGATCAAACTATTTCTACTTTCCTCACCCACCTCCCACCTATTGTCCCCCAGTTCCCCTTCACCTCCATTCAAATCTTTAGGCTCAAGGTTAAACAGGGATCAGCAAATTTTTCTGCAAAGGGCCAGAAACAAATATTTTAGGCTTTCCAGAGCCATACTTTGACAACTCCAGGTTAAGAACCAGAAGGACACCAGGTGACTCCAGCCTGCTACTTTAACTACATTATATGCTAAGTAAGATTTTGTTCACTGCTTTGGGAGCCTAATCACAATTCAAAGATAGTTTTCATAGGGAAATAAAACAGGAGTTTCAAACAGATTATCTTTAGATACAGTATGGTTGGATCTTACAAGGAAACAGGTTCTTCAATATAAATATTTTCCCGAGTGCATTAAAGAATATTTTCTGAATTGTAGGCAATTTTTAAAAACCATATCAGGTTTTAAATAAAAAGTAAAACAGAAGAAATAGTTTTTAACTGCTTAAACTTTCTTTCCAAAAGATCTGAGGAGCCAAAAAATCAGTGTTTATATAAAAGGAAGTGAAGGAGATCACTATAATACTTCCTTTGTTCTAAAACTTTCCTACACAAGGGAAGAAATATGACTTCAAAAATATACAGCAATAACCTTTAATCAGTAGAAGAGAAGGCACTTCCCATCTTCTAGATAAAGGGTGAACAAACTATATATGTCGCCAGTTTACATGAGGCCTGTGAACTCACGATTGTTTTACATTTTTAAATGGTTGATAAAAAATGTAATAACATCTTGTGATATGTGAAAATTGCAGGAAATTCAAATTCTAGTGTCCATGAATAGTTTTATTAGAACATAGCCATGCTCATTTGTTTCTAAATTATCCAGGCTACTTTTTTTTCCCTACAACAGCAGATCTGAGTAGTTATGACAAGAGACTATCCAGCCCTTCACAGGAAAAGTTTGCCATCTCATGTCCTAGATTATCAACACTTTCATAAATAAGAGAAGTTAGGGCTGATAAACTAAAAAGTACTTTATTTTAGCTACTGTACAGGTTCCTGATTCCAAAAACAACAAAGTGAATATTTAAACACTAAACCAAATATTGATAGCCTACAAACATATTCTGACTTATAATATTGTCATTAACTTGAAAAAATACCTTTTTGCATAGTGAGTATATGGGAATATATATTATATTCTTGAAAATAACTACTGATCTAAGTGGAAGGGTAATCAAATAAGTTTAGGTATGTGCAAAACAGATTGGGCTTTGACATGGAATACCAGTTTTTAAACGTATTTCAACTTTTAAATACTAAATGTTTTTAAGTACGATTTTCTCTGGCAGTTTAACATCAGACCAAACTATTTCTTGTTCACTCCATTCACAAATTCTCCAGTATAAAACTTCAGTTATTAGCAATTTCAATTATTTCAGGGTAACAGCAAAAGTCCATATGTAATCACTTCAAATTGGGCAAATAATTCAAATCACACCCAATGCCAGTAACTATAAAGCTAGCCCACAACTCAACTGGCAGCCACATCTTAACCCTGCATTGTTCCCTGCTTCTCACGAAATTCTATTAGCTCCCATATAGTGTTTGTGTGGAAATGTCCCCCAAAAGAAACTTACAGTTTAAAATGTTTTTTTTCGGTTATGTTTTACTATAGTTTATGGGGACATTATTTGTAATACTTAAGAACTTAGAAATTCTGTAAGTCCCAGATAAATCCTTTGTGGATATTCGGAAACTATGGAAACTGTAGTTTTGTTAGGATTACAATCAAGGCTCAACAAATATGTATTGGCAATAAGCCTAAACCTTTACATTGTTGCAGCTATTTCAAGTAATGATTTGACTTCTGTAATTTATAAGTTTTCGTTCGGATCAATTTTGCTATCCCCATTCCATTTTAGTTATCAAAACAATTCTATTTCTTTTTCTTTTATTTCCTGTGTTGCTACAAAAAAAGGCTTTTAAGATTGGACTTATTTGAAATGAAACAGAAAGAAGACATAAGAGAAGCATATGCAACTAAAGACAATGCCCCTGGGCAGGGCCTGATGAGAAACATGGACCCCGCAACAGGGAAAATAACTTGAAACCCACGCAAGAAGATATTCCTTATGTATTCGTTCAATATTTATTCAAGGGTGAAGCCAAGTGCTCTATGGAGGAAGGGTGGAGCAAGAATCCGGGTGTTGCCCAACTTCTCCTGGTTAATGCACCACAGTCAAAGAATCCACCTCTGGTCCCAACTTACACACACTGCTCAGCAAAAAGTGGTGCGGAGTCAATTAGACTCGCCCTCCTTAAATGTCAATTAGTCAACAAATACGCCTTCACCCGAATGTGCCATCCCTCAGGAGGAGGGAGGTGGATCTCAGCTTCCACCCCAAATAGCAGCATACAGCATTCTCTATAATTACACACAGCATACAGGTGGGAACTGTTAACGACTGTTATCTTCCTTTCGTTACGATTTCAGTGCTGTTTTGACGCCCCAGTGATGTCTTTAGTGGTTGTTGCATGGCCCAGCCGCCGCATGGGATCTGCGCCCGGAGCCTGCCTTTAAGCCTCTGAGCATCCACAGGGTAGGAGGCGCAGAGGAGACCGGAGCCGCGGGGCCAGGGTGAAGAACTGTCCTGCCTCGCTGGGTAATGCGGTCCAGCCCCGGACCCACGCCCTGGCCTCTCTCCGGGTCCGCCGCAGCCCCGGCCTGTCAGAATTCGGTTCCCACCCACTCCCAGCTAGTGGAGGTCAGTGCGGTCTCTGACTCCGACCTGCCCAGCGCGGAGTCAGCCGCGGAGACTGCAGCCGCAGCGGAAGGCAGGCTGCCCTGACTGCCGGGAGCGGCTCCACGCAAACTCCTGACGCCTCAGCCAGGCCCCAGAGGCACTGGGCAACCAGGGTGCTCCGCTGCCCGACAGGGGCTGACCAGCGCAGATGCTCGCCCGCCGCCGCCCCCCGCGGACTCCCCACTCCCAGCAGACCCAGTTCTCACCTCTCGGGGCAGCCATGGTTCCCCGACAGCCCCCCGCGGAACTGACGCCCGCCCCCTCCGCGCCCCCGCGCAGGACACCGGGGACCGCCCCTTGTGGTCATAGAGACGAAGCCGCTCGGCCTAGAGCGCCTCGCCGGCCTCCCGGTCGGCCACGCACTAAAACTGGGCTCAGGAATCCAAGCTACACCCCAAAATGGGGAGAACGCGGATCGAAGGGAGGCCTTCCCGGCCGCGTCCTAGGTGACAGGTGTGTGAAATTCGGTTGGGGAGGTAGTTCTGTAAACTGCGTCTCCCCGCCAGCTAAGGAAGTTGAGTGAAGGGAGCGTTGCCGTCTGGGAATCGTAGTCCTCACAAAGGCGTGAGTAGGCGGCAAATAAGGATTTGGGTTTAGCCTTGGGGATTCACTCCTGTCAAAGCTGTTAGAGAAGCTCCCAGAACTCGTAAAGTAACAGAAACTACTTGCGGCAACATTTGTAACTTCCACCTGGCTCATTATCTTCCACTGTTACCTTGTGTTCTAGATAAGTTATAATTTATTCTACATATCGTTCAGAAGTCTTGTGCCTGTTCCATATCGTCAGCAGTCATCGGTTGTATTTACCCAGCCAGGCATTCTAACTAATGATCTTCGCACAACAAAACGGCCTTTAAAAAATCAGATGTATCGGCCGGGCGTGGTGGCTCACGCCTGTAATCCCAGCACTTTGGGAAGTCGAGGCAGATGGATCACCTAAGGTCAGGAGTTCGAGACCAGCCTGGCCAATATGGCGAAACCCCGTCTTTACTAAAAATACAAAAAATTAGCCGGGCGTGGTGGCGCGCACCGGTAATCCCAGCTACTCAGGAGGCCGAAGCGGGAGAATCACTTGAACCCGGGAGATTGCAGTGAGCCGAGATTGCGCCCCTGCACTCCAGCCTGGGCGACACAGCGAGACTTCGTCTCAAAAAACAAAAAAAATTAGATATATCAACAGGCATTTTAACCACTATAATCTCCACTTTCACTAGGGGATGTTAATTAGCTATCATAATTGATATTAGAAATAATTCATTGGTGAAATAAATGATGTTCAAGATATGTGGATTGGTTTAAAATAATATGAAAATACCTCAGCACTTACAGGAATAGGGATGCAAGATTCTGAGCTGCCCAGCAGCCCACACCTTCTGCAGCATGTTCTTTCCCCAAAATTGTCCTTTTAGAGGGTTGGTTGTATACCATTGTCTTGTTAAATATACATATAGATATATCTGGTCTGTTAACATTGTTGGAACATTTTGCATGCCTTATTAGCATCATATTAATATTGGGAGGGGCTCCCAGGAGACCAGAGTTGACTTTGTAGAGGCAGACATTTGATTAATCTCATTTTGCAATAGTGTTGGACTTTTCCTCTACCTGGTAGTAAGTGTGCTCACTGGTGCTAATCTTCCCTTATTGTAATTGATACAGTTTCCACTAGTAGAATTATTCAGTTCTCTACTGTGTATGTACTTATGCATACATTTAAACAATATTCATATATGTACGTGAAATTAATTTTAAAAATTAAAAATATTATATCATATAGTCCTTCGTTTTACAGCTACTGCTTTGTATGGTTTATCTTGTCCCATTTTGGACTATCATTATAGTGTCAGCTTACATCAATTAAGTATAATTTCTAAATGCTCAATTTGTTCCAAAAGGCACTTGTAAGCCTGCCTCTGTTTTCAAGTCTGCACCAGCTGTTTTTACTTTTTTTTTTTTTTTGTCTTTTTTTCTTCTTGTAGAGATTGTGGGTGGGGGCGTCTCACTTTGTTGCCCAGGCTAGTTCTCGAACTCCCCACCTAAAACAATCCTCCCACCTCAGCCCCCCAAAGTTCTGGGATTACAGGTGTGAACCACCACACCTGGCCTGCACTAGCTTTTTGAAGCATGTTTTAATTTCTGGCAACAAGAGGTTTTGTTTTTTCCTGTCCTAGGTGGTAGAATCAACTAGGAACTATCATTCCTTCTGGTGAGGAAGCGCATTTTACACACACACACATGCACACACACGCACACGCACACACACACACACACAGAGATCCCAATTAAAGTGGTGGGTCAAATGTTGCTGAGCCATTTTTGTGGCATTTCTGGTTCACATAACATCATGCTGTTGAATCCTACTTTTCTTATACATTTTCATTGCCTCAAAAGACTATTATACTTCACTGGCATCAAACTTAACTAGATTTTCATGCCTCTTTGTCCTAACCCAGTTAGCCCAATACCAACAGGACAAATCTGCCAAACTATAGTCTGACAAAGTTGAGCTTACTGATGCCTTCTGATATAAAGTGGGTATTTGTCCCTGCCCAGATGTGATGTTGAATTGTAATCCTCAATGTTGGAGGTGGGGCCTGGTGGGAGCTCTGGATCATGAGGACAGAACCCTCAAGAATGGCTTGGGCCATCGCCTTGGTGATAAGTGAGCTCTTGCTCTGAGTTCACAGGTGATCTGGTGTTTTAAAAGTCTCTCTCTCTCTTTCTCTCTCTCTCCTGCTCTGGCCATGTGATGTGCCTGCTCCCACTTCGCCTTCCACCATGAGTAAAAGCTACCTGAGGCCTACCCAGAAGCATATGCCAGCACTGTGTTTCCTGTACAGGCTGCAGAATCATGAGCCAATTAAACCTATTTTCTTATGCATTACTCAGGCTCAGGTATTTCTTTATAGCACTGCAAGAACCACCTAAAACACATTCCAATGAGGGAAACTGAACACCAGAGGTATCTCAGGAAACAAAAAAGATAAATTTATAGAATTTTAGGGAAGGATGGGATTAGGTGAAATTTAAAGGAAGCAGTGTTTGATAAACTCAAAGCAGGACTATATGTATCCAATAGGGACTGTAGAACAGTCTCAGGATCCTGTTTCTTGAAAACTACAAAGTTACCATAGATGTGGAATGTTGTATTCAGGAGCCCCTTAATTGAGGCTGCTTCTTTGTATGAAAATGATGTAGATCCCCCCAAGCAAAAGTAGGGTGTTTCATTCTTACTGATGTAATTTCAAGCAGCAAGTTTTCCTAGAGTATATGATTTTAGAGAACAAAGTTTTTCAGTGAATTAGAAAGCAAACACTCAAAGAAGGGCCTTGCTATTATACTTTATAGTGTCAGCATATACTTAGTTATTTCCCATTAACTTTGCAGCAGGGTTTACCTGGGTTTGTTATCCCAGCTCAATTAATGACCAAGCAGCTATTTACAGTCTTACTCTGAACTAATTTTTACTTTCTCACTCTGAATTATCCTCAGTCTTGGAGGAAAAAAATATTGATTTAATGTCTTTCTTTCATGTGTGCCTAGTTTTCCTTACAACTCTGGTTAGAGAAAGCAGCAGCAATCCTTAACATATGAGATACAAGCCCCTGTGCCTGATAAGATAACCTTACAGTGCTTCAAGCAGCCATTGCTAATGCCACTTGAGTCCCTAATGATTTCTGATTGTCACTAGAAAACTACAGTATTTGCCTCAATCCCCTGCTCTCTTCCATTTCCTGCTCATGTATCAGAGCTACCCTAGTCTCAATGATGTATATAAAAAGAAGCCCAGTACTGTATCCATTGGTAATAAAGTAAAAGTATGAACTTAATTAAATAAAAAGGCTGTGAGGAAGCAAATACCAAAAGGCTTAAGGAGGTTATAATTGAATTCAAATATGGTAGCTATATAATAGATTATTAAATGTGGTAATGTTTAAAGAATAGTAAGCAGTTAACCATAAAGAACATATATAGATATAGATACCAAAAGAAAATTATTTCCCTGACAGTTTAAGCATATTTCTTTCATTGTGCTATTAAGCATCCAAAACCTATTTGCTAAGTTATTGTTTTTATTTTATTTATTTTTATTTTTTGAGACAGAGTCTTGCATTGTTGCCTGGGCTGGAGTCTAATGGCACAATCTTGGCTCACTGCAACCTCCGCCTCCAGGGTTCATGCAATTCTCCTGCCTCAGCTTCCTGAGTAGCTGGGATTACAGGCACACACCACCACACCCAGCTAATTTTTTGTATTTTTAGTAGGGACGGGGTTTCACTATATTGGCCAAACTGGTCTCAAACTCCTGACTTCCTGATCTGCTGCCTCAGCCTCCCAAGTTATTGTTATTTTAAAGCAATTATTTCCTACAGTATAATATGACTAAAAAGCCAATAATTGTCACATTTTATAATTGATAAAAGGATACAGGGAGATAATGTAAAATTCAATGTCTGGATTAGGAATTAAACATGAGTAATAATCATGTGTATCCAGACATTTCATATTTGAGCTTAACTATCCCTTGCCTCTCTTTTCTTTTTTCATTACCGTAATCCCTCTTTCCTTTTCCTGCCAGTCACTGATGGTTTGTACCTATTTCTACCATTTTATGCTTGCTTTGCATCAATGGTATTTCCACTCAAGCCAACTCTAGGAAAAGAGAGTTTGACAATTGCCTACTCCACTGATAACTCTAATCCATCATCCTCTTTTGTTATTCACCATTTTTTGAAAGTCATAATGTGCCAAGCATTATTCTAGGCATTAACTGAGGGCTAGAAAACAAAAAGTGCAGAAAAATGGGCAAGGGGGTACAATAGACCTGAAACATTGGAGAATCTCTATTCTCTTAGCTAAGATTGACATGGCACTTACCAGGTAAGTGCTTTTTATGTGTTAACTTATTTAATCCTTATGACAACCCAATCAATGAATTTGGAACTATTATTATCTCATTTTTATGATACAGAAACTGCAGCAGAGAGGTGTTAAGTGGTACAGCTGGTAAGTAGAAGAGCTAGACTTTTCTTCCATGATCACAGAGCTTACTTTACATCTTTTTTCTATTCTTCTGACTGCTACTCTGTCTTATTTTGTCTTCTCTTCCTCCTCATGTAACCCCTATTCTCATGGGGATGACCTCCCAAATTATCTTTGTGCAGCCCAAATTCCTATCACCTCTGCTTTACTATCCTTGTCATCTCTTAAACTCAAATTTTCTAGTGCTGAACATGTTATCCTTTTTGACCAACCAGCTCCCCTTCTCAGTTATCCTTTATCTCCTAGGGCAGAAAGCCTGAGGTCATACTTTGAATTTTTCTTCCTTTTCCTGAGATATTATATCTTGTCCGCTTAATTTAATCTAGCATTTGCCCCCCAACATCCCCCATCATGCATGCCCCGTTCTTGCAGGAGCTTCCTAGCCATCTCTCCAAAGCGAGTATCCCTCTCCCACAATCAATATTCTACTCAAGAATCTGCCATGATTTTCTAATGTCCTACCACAGGAAGGCAAAATGTTTCTCTGCTTGGCTTTCAAAGTCCTCCAGAAAGTAAACCAACCAACTCTGTTTATTCAACTTTATTTGCCAGTACTTCCTCAAAAATAATCTCCTTTTCCCTCTTTACCATTTTTCTCCCTCTCCTTTTGCAATAACTACTTTATTGCTGAATTCTATTAGCTCCCACCTTGACTATTCAAATAATCACTCAACGAATACCCTGCTTCCAGTTTGCCCTTTCATTCCTTCTTTTTTTAATTCATTCATTTATCCAACAAGATACAAATGCCAGGGGATATAAAGATGACTAATGCATAATTCAAATCTCAAGAAATTCAAATTTAACAGGAAGAATACAGATGCACTACTATCTATACATCAATTTATTTTAAGTGCTATAATAAAAGTAATAATAAAATCCAATGAAAATTCAAAGAAGGAAGCAATCAACTTGCTCACAAGAAATGGGGAAAACTTTCATGGAAAAGATAAAGTCTGATCACACTCTTTGAGGACTGTACCTGTGGACTACATTCCAGGGCAGAGTGTGAAAAGCACAAGTTAAGAGTAGGTGTATAAAAGACCATTACCTATTTGGGCTGGGCGTGGGGGCTCACGCCTGTAATCCCAGCACTTTGGGAGGCCGAGGTGGGCAGATCACTTGAGGTCAGGAGTTCGAGACCAGCCTGGCCAACATGGCAAAACCCCATCTGTACTAAAAATACAAAAATTAGACGGGCATGGTGGCACATGCCTGTAGTCCCAGCTACTCAGGAGGCTGGGGCATGAGAATCACTTGAACCAGGGAGGCAGAGGTTACAGTGAACCAAGATCACGCCACTGCACTCCAGCCTGGGCAACAGAGCAAGACTCTATCTCAAAAAAATAAAAAAAATAAAGACCATGACCTATTTGAAGAGTTTTGGTTCAATCTGGCTAATGTGTGTGGTGTGTGGAGAGAGTATGGGAAGAGTAGGAGAGGAAACTGGAGGATAAATGGAGATCATATTTTAAAAAGTTTTACATAATACATGAAGGAGGTTTTAGTTCATTCCCTAGGAAGCGGACAAGAGTCTTGGTGACTTTTAAGCAACTGAGGCAAAGGCTGTGGGGAAGAGGAGGCCAGATGACAGGATCAGATTTATGCATGAGAAAACATCCTGATGAACCATATAGAAAAATGGAGAGAGCAGTGACCCAGGCAGTAAGACAAAGTCCTGCTGGGGAGGTGAGAATAGGAAGACATGAATCTCAATGACAATTCAGGTCAAATGAACAGGGCTTGAAGGCTAGTAAAGTGTAGGGGGAGAAAGACAGGAAGTTTTTAACTTATGCTACTGAGTAAGGCAGTGATGCCTTTGAAAATAGAAGAAAATAAAGAGAAAGAAACAAGTTTGGCAGAGAAAGTTATTTTGATCTGTGACCTGCTGAAATGGGGGTGACCATCAGACATTAAATTCAGCATATGGTTGGAAATCTTCAGAAGGATAGGGCTTGAATAGATGGTGGAGGTCCAGGGAGAGGATGAGTTTTCCATTGGATGTAGCTCCCTTTATTCTGTTGTACTTACCAGGTGACTGTCTGATATTAGGATTGGGTTTTTAAATTGGATTTGGTATTTTTATTCACTTGGCCATTCTACTTCCAAGCCTTAACTTGATAAGCCCAAATTTCAGGTTACAGCCATTCTTTTCTGTGTTTAGGAATCTTGCAGAATCAAATAAGGGTTAATTGAACAGATAAAATGACATTCCTGAATTTGTAAATTTTAGTATCACCCCACTCCTCCAGGCCCTGCCTTAACAGCCAGCCAGTCTATCTTAAACATCATTTGTAAACTACAGGTATGAAAATCACAAAAAATTAGAAGTAGGTTTGTTTGAAGTTTATATGCAGAAAATGGATTTGAAAGCATATTCATAGTATAAATCACATTTAAGTAGCCAGGTGCGGTGGCTCACACCTGTAATCCCAGCACTTTGGGAGGCCAAGGTGGGCAGATCACTTGAGGTCAGGAGTTCAAGACAAGCCTGGCCAACATGGTGAAACCCCATCTCTACTAAAAATACAAAAATTGGCCAGGCGTGGTAGTGCACACCTGTAATCCCAGCTACTTGGGAGGCTGAGGCAGGAGAATCACTTGAACCCAGGAGGCAGAGATTGCAGTGAGCCGAGATCGCGCCACTGCACTCCAGCCTGGGCAACAGAGCAAGACTCCATCTCAAAAACAAATAAACAAAAACATTTAAGCTACACAGAAAGCAAATTATACAAATGCCTTAGTAAAAGGTCACCTGAGCAGAAAAAAATACGCCAAATACAAATGACCTCCTAGCTACTAAAGCAAGATAAACAGCCCTTCCTAGAAGCTTTATTATCCATGAATTGGTATTAGAAGTATGTAAGACAGTAATAAAACCACAGTTATAAAATATAGCTACCAGCAATTCATGGGAGCTTTAAACACAACTGCCTATGCAGTCAGGCAAATAAGGCAAAGCAGTGACGTGGGAGGCCCATAAGGCAGCAGGAACTAGATTAGGCAATGGAGGATTGAAAGTGCCTGCCCTATGAATGGGCAAAGCTACTACTTGCAGGAATGCTGGCCAAGTGTTAGCAGATATTCTGATTTCTTCTTTTTTTGAAGGGCCAGAAATACAAATTTTATGTCAAATTTCTACATTTTGAAAAACACCATGTGAGGTGGGCATGGTGGCTTATGCCTATAATCCCATCACTTTGGGAGGCTGAGGCAAAAGGATCTCTTGAGCCCAGGAGTTCCAGACCCGCCAGGGGAATATGGTGAAACTCTGTCTCTACAGAAAATTGTTTTAAAAATTAGTCAGGTGTGGTAACACACGCCTGTGGTCCCAGCTACTCAGGAGGCTAAGGTAGGATTGCTTTAGCCCAGGAGGTCGAGGCTGCAGTGAGCTGTGATTGTACCACTACATTCCAGCCTAGGTGACAGAGCAAAACCCTGTCTCAAAAAAAAAAAAAAAAAAAAAAGAAAGAAAAAAACATCATGTGGACCTTTGCTCCAATTGTTCCAAATTAGTAAGGTTTTGTTACATATCAGTTTAATCCATGTTAACATTTAATAGCTAACAGAGCTGAAAATATTGATTAGGTTTTAAGTTTGTAACGTTTAACATTAAATATGGTTTAGAAATAGACTTCTATTCCAGTAATAATCTTATATTTATATCTAAATGTTATCATAATTTCAATCTTAATGCTGACAAATTTTTCTAACAAATAAAAGATAAATGGACAGTTTTATTTTTCAATTTCAACAGAATGAAAAATGTGTTACAGAAAACAGTTTGATAAAATATGGGAACCCAATAAACAGTCACACAACCAATGAATGTGCCACCCCTACAAAATTAATTTGTATAGATGTTAATATACCTTTAAGTACTTGCTATTGTTCATAATTGAGTAGCATCTATTTTAAAACGTTGTCTGTAATTAGGTTTCATCCACATCTCTAGTTAAGTTCACCTTGACCTCATCGGTGATTTCGCTCTTTCCTCCACGAAGACCAGCCAAGTAAATCTGAGGCCTGGGCACCCCAGTGCTGTCTTCCCTCATGGACTGGGTGCTAGTGTCCTTTGGAGGGTACACTTGGGAACAATTTTCTCTTCTCAAGTGACTAAGATCAGTTTGTACTGAGTGAGTAACTTTCTGGCGCAAATTAGCCTAAAGAGAAAGAGAATACAGGAATTAACATTTCTCTAAAGAACAAATAACATAAAATATTATCAGATACCAGTTAATATCTGCCTATTTTTGTCTTCAATCCACAAGAAATTAATTCCATAACATAGCATTTTTTCTATAAAACATTGGAAAATCTAGAACATAATAGAAAATTAAATATCCCTTACCAAGACGTAGAAAAATATGTAAAATGTTGAAAATTGACCTCAAAAAACATACAGATTCAAAATTACAGTGAACTCAACCAGTTATTTATTAATATAATCTAATTCCTTCATTATTATACTTTGAGATTCATATAACTTGGATTTTTCCACTATACTTGTTTTCTTTTAACAAAAATATAAGATTTATACAGTATTATCTTTTAAAAATGGACTTCACCCTAGATTTTTAACATAAAAGAGTCTGATGCTTTCCATTTTGTATTTTACAGTATTCTACATTTTGCTTACTCCCTTTATAGATTATTAGTAAACATGAGGTTAAACAGATTACTCAGGCTGGGAAGCAAGGAGGAGCTTATAAAAAGAAGAATAAGGTTGCTGCACTTATAGTAAAAGCCAAGAAAAAACTCAAAAGGCATTATAGCATGTGAGTGAAGAAGGTGACACCTGGAATTAGAGGAAACATTTCAGAGTTTGAGATACTGCAGGTGACTGAGAACCGAAACTACTCCCCAATACCCAGGTTATTGTCCACATTAATATGACTTTACTATTCCATTGTCTTCATTAGCATGATTTTACCATTCCAAGAGACTCTTGCCTAAGCAAATAACTTGATTGCTCATTTCAGTAGTACCTGAGAGATGTGTCAACTCTTCAGTAGTAAGCATCAAAACACAGTTTCAGTCCTAAGAGTCTGCATCCCTTGCCTCAAAAAATCTTCTTGCTATTCCCACCAATGCTGGACTGCTTTTTCATGATCCTTACCCAATCCGATTCAAACCTCCATCCTACCCCCAGTCCACCTCAGTCATTGGAAGACCTGCCTTAGCAAACTTCAAATTCTCAATCAATTCTGACTTTGCAGTTCCTCTTCTGAGACACTGCCAAAGCACTGTTGAGGTGGTGTTTTCCCTTATGGCTGTAAGCAATAAACTCAGCTTTGTCTTATCCACAGGTTAGGTAGGTGACACTTGGGGAGCTGGCATTCAATATAATACAGTTCTAGGGAATAATAAGGCCCAAGGTGAGAGTCAGAATTAAGTGGAGATTGAGGAATGGGAAGAGAGGGCTCAGTCAGTATGAAGTTCAGACCCCTGAATACCCCATTCTCTTAACATTTCCAGTCCATACCTATGCTGTCACCTCTATCTCTCCTATCCTATCCAGCCATCACTTCCCTCCTCCTCTTTGCCTATTTGTATCTCAAAAGCAACATAAAATATCACCTATGTTAATTTAGTAGAATTTTCATTTCACTTCTGTTACACCACTTACAAGGAGGTACCACTTACAAGGAGGTACTGAAATATTTTTAATGTAACAGTATCACTTGCTAGAACAAAGTAGTGGGATATATATGTTACCCAATAAATCTAATGAACTCAAGTGAGTTTAGTAGATAATAGAAAATAATATGGGGGTTGGGCATTTCATGAACTACAGGAGAGTAACTGATAGGAAGGAATACTAATGGAACAATGATCTGGAAGATATATGGGGAAACTGATCCTTCCTCATGCCAGGGAACTGAAAAGCTGCCACCAGAGTGAGTAGCAAAGGAAATAATGTGGTCAGTGGGACTGAATATACAAATGGACTGAATATACAAATGGACAAAGGCTAGACCATATATGACAATAGAACTCTTTGACTTGCAGCCTGTACATCAACCAGTCAGGGAAGCCAGTCTCAACCTCTATAGCTGTAGCAGTTGACCCAGAATGTTGAAGACTTAGCCAACTTCTCCATTTTTTGGCCCCTTCTGCCCCAACTCAGGACCAACCAGAGAAACCTAGATATGCTCACCAAACCAATCTCATAAAATGCCCTGCTTCTAGTTAGCCTGCTTCCAGCTTTCTCATGTTAACAAACTACAATCAGAGAACATCTGAAGGCTTCCCCCTTTTCTGACTATAAAGCTTTCCCACTCCCCTGCATGCTTTGAGTCTACCAAACACAAGTGACAGTGTCTGACTCCCTTGCTACAGTAAGCTCTAAATAAATAGCCTTGCTTTGTTCTCATTTGGGTAGGCATTGTTTATTTCCACACCTGATTTCAGTTAAAGAGATGGATAAAATATACTAAAAAGGGGCTACAGACAAAATATTTTATTTTTTCCATACTATAAATATTTGTTGTTTAAAATGACAAGATACCATAAAGAGGGGATGGTGGGGGTAATTTCACTCAGTTGGACAGGGATGAGAGTTTCAAAGACAGGCTTTAAGGGTAGGTATCTATATTGTAATTAAGGTGACTGAGAATCAGAAGGATGAGAGTGCCCAGGGTCTGGAGATAATATGTTGTTGAGGGGAAAATATCTATGCTTTAATAGAAAAGGTCCAAAAAACAAACAAAAAAAAGAATGGTATACCTTAAGTGATTAAAGGAAGTTGGGAGTGCTTTAAATACTAGCACCAAGTTTTAAAACTGATGATAGACAGATAGATATATAGATATTATCATTGTTCTATATATGCTTAAAATTAGAAGACAATCTTATAATGTAAACCTAGCAAGTTATAAATTATATTTTTGTTAGCAAAGAACTCTGTATAAAACTCATTATTTTATATAAATAATTTAATTTACCAACTCTATGAGTAACAATAGATTAAAATTCCCCAACATATAAATAATTCTAGAAAGTATTGTTACAAACCAATTTTATAGCTTTTCTTCTTAATTCCCATTCATTCCACTCATATGATCTCACAATCGTTGGTGGCAGTATGTGTGTATTCGTCTGTGTGCTACTTTCACATTTTGTAATTGGTTTTATATAATGTTTGTCAGCATCTCTCATCTAAAGAAGTGGAGTTTTGTAGTTAGTGCTTGTAAAAAATAAACATTATTTACTGATAACTAAAATATTTAGCTAAAACTAACAAAACACTTAAAAAACAATAATTTTTGGACATGGAATATACTTGTAAATACCAATAAAGAAAATAAACACATAATTAATGAGCTGAATATAATTGTTTTTCTGGGAATTATGGCTTCGTGATTTTGTTAATGTAGGGGGTGTTTTTTTTTAACTTTTATTTTAGATTCAAGGGGGCACATGTGCAGGTTTGTTACAAGGGTATATTGCACAATGCTGAGATTCGAGGCAGGATTGAACCCATCACCCAGGTAGTGACCACAGTACCCACTAGTTCATTTTTCAGCCTATGCCCCCCTCCCACTCTTTCCACTGTTGCAGTCTCCAGTGTCTACTGGTCCCATCTTTATGTCCATGTGTACCCAATTTTTAGCTCCCACTTATAAATGATAACATGCAGTGTTTGGTTTTCTGTAGAACATGTATTTTGGAAGGAGAAAACATCCCTCATTCCCAAGTCAAATATCCCTCCCCACTTTGCACAACTGATAACATGAGTAAATACCTGTTGAAAATGGATAGAAATTGAAAATAGCTTTATTAGGTAAAAATCACATCTATTTGAACTATCAAAACCTCTTTAAGACATATGTTGAACTCAAGCTATGCATACATAGCAGGTTATTATCCAAGGTTTTTGCTTTGTTTTTAGTTGAATATACTGATTTTCTTTTGGGGAACCCAATATTAAGAATTCACTAATTCCAGGCTAAACAAGACATGATGGTGCTGGACATGACATTGTTGACGTTGTTGGAGGGAGTGGTAGAGGTTTAAGGTACTTAGGTCACAGTAAAAAGGAGGGAGAAGATATTCTTTCCAAACAACAGATAATCACTGAGTGTCTAACATTTGATATAATTTCTGACTATAAAATTATCTTATGATATATTTAGGTAGATTTTAAAAATGCTAAAAAGATAGTTAATAATACTGTACCATACAAGTAAATGGCAAGTAAATTAGACAGCAAGGACTACATGAAAAAGACAGAGATAAAACTCATTTCTGCAGATATTAAAGGTCACTGAAGAACAGGTGGGAATTAAATATCCAGAAAGACAGGAAAAAACAAGACCAGGTGTATAGGAAAAAATTATGCTTTAGTGGAAAACGAGGCATTATCCACATACAACATACCTTTCCAGTCGTCTGATTCTAGCCTTTCACTGTCCTTGGGGTATCTTACAACTCTGTAAGTTATAAGTGAGTGATAGCAAGACCAAATAATTTCTGTCTGTAGACATGCACAGTATATCCTGTCTGTAGACGTTCAACTGACTTCCCTTTCCCCATGTGGAAAAATCAGCATTGCCTCCATTTACACATTCATTTGAATATTCCTGATCTATAAATGTGTCTGTTCTTAGGGTTCTCTTTTGAACTGGTTATAACATCTACCTGGTCCCCTCATTGATTAATGAATAGATTACTCTTAACACATGTTGACTTTTATATCTGCTTATCTGCATGACAATAATTTTACCCATTTCTGAAAACTATCTTTTAACAAATAGAAGACTAGAGCATATAGAACAAGTATTTTAAAACCAGTATATAACTCACAATTTTTCTGACAGAGAGGTCATGGAGGGAATTAGTAGAAATAGAAGGATAAAAAGACATGTATGCCTCGAACACCAGTCCCCAAAATTTGGATTTCATCTTACAGACAAAAAACGGAAGAGTTTTGAATTCAGAGTAAAATGAATGGCATTTTCTAATTTGCAGAAAAATTATTAAAATTTTCTATTGTAAATTTTCCCCTCATAATTTTTCAAAGTAGTTGGCTCCTGCAATCATTTGTTCTAAATTAGAATTTTGTATAACATCTAATTAAGCAAAAAATTACATGTATTAAACTTAAGATAGCAACATTTATAATACTCATCAAAATGAATTATCAGCTCCAGGAACTCTACAATTTGAACAAATTTGAGAACTACTGACTTGGTAAACTTAATTTGGTGGTATTTTTTAATTTTTATGGGTACACAGTAGGTGTACATAATTATCAGGTTACATGAGAGATTTTGATACAGGCATACAATGTGTAATAATCACATCAGGTAAATGGGGTGTCCATCACCTCAAACAGTCATCATGTCTTGTTATGAATATTCCAATTGTACTCTTTCAGTTATTCTGAAATGTACAACAAATTACTGCTGACTGTACTCACCCTGTTGTGCTATAAAATACTAGATCTTACGCCTTTTATTTAACTATATTTTTGTACCCATTAACCATCCCCATTTCTCACTCCCCACAACTACCTTTACCAGCCCTCTGGTAACCATCATTCTGCTATCTCCATTTCAATTAGTTTAGTTTTTAGCTCCCACAAAGGAGCGAGGACATATGAAGTTTGTCTTTCTGTGCCTGGCTTATTTCACTGAAAATAATATTCTCCAGTTCCATCCGTTTTTGCAAATGACAGGATCTCCTTTTTTATAGCTGAATAGTACTCTATTATGTATATGTACCACATTTTCTTTATCCAGTTGTCTTTGATGGATACGTGGGTTGCTTCCAAATCTTGGCTACTGTGGATAGTGCTGTAATAAATATGGGAGTGCAGATATCTCCTTGATATACTGATTTCCTTTCTTTTGGGTATATACCTAGCAGTGGGATTGCAGGATCACATGGTATTTCTATATAGTTTTTTTAGGAACTTCTATACTGTTCTCCATAGTGGCTTACTAATTTACATTCCCACCAACAGTGTACTAGGGTTCCCTTTCTCCATATCCTCACCGGCATTCGTTATTGCCTGCCTTTTTGATATAAGCCATTTTAACTGGGGTGGGATGATATCTCATTATAGTTTTGATTTGCATTTCCCTGATGATCAGTGATGTTGAGCACCTTTTCATATATCTATTTGCCATTTGTATATCTTCTTTTGAGAAATGTCTATCCAGATCTTTTGCCCATTTTTCAGTTGGATTACTAGATTCTTTCCTAATTGAGTTGTTTGAGCTCCTTATATATTCTGGCTATTAGTCCCTTATCAGATGGATAGTTTGCAAATATTTTCTCCCATTCTGTGAGTTGTCTCTTCACTTTGTTGTTTTCTTTGCTGTGCAGAAGCTTTTTAACTTGATGTGATCACATTTGTCCATTTTTGCTTTGGTTGTCTGTGCTGGTGGGGAATGACCCAAGAAATCTTTGCCCAGTCCAATATCCTGGAGAGTTTCCCCAATGTTTTCCTGTAGTATTAATAGTTTCATAGTTTGAGGTCTCAGATTTAAGTCTTTAATCCACTTTGATTTGATTCTTGTATATGGCGAGAGATAGGGTCTAGTTTCATTCTTCTGCACATGGATATCCAGTTTTCCCAGCACCATTTATTGAAGAGACTGTCCTTTCCCCAACGTATATTCTTGGCACCTTTGTTTAAAATAAGTTCACAGTAGATGTATGGATTTATTTCTGGGTTATCTATTCTGTTCCATTGGTCTATGTGTCTTGTTTTTATGCCAGTACCATGCTATTTTGCTTACTATAGCTCTGTAGTATAATTTGAAGTTAGGTAATGTGATTCCTCCAGTTTTGTTCTTTTTGCTTAGGATGGCTTTGGCTATTCAGGGTCTTTTGTGGTTCCATATAAGTTGTAAGGTTATTTTTTCTATTTCTTACAGAATGTCATTGGTATTTTGATAAGGATTGCATTGAATCTGTAGATGCTTGAGTAGTATGAACATTTTAACAATATTAATTTTTCCAATCCATTAACATGTTGCTTTGTGTCCTCTTCAATTTCTTTTCTTTTTTTTTTTTTTTTTGAGAGGTTGTCTCACTCTGTCGCCCAGGCTGGAGTGCAGTGGCACAATCTCAGCTCACTGCAAGCTCCGCCTCCTGGGTTCATGCCATTCTCCTGCCTCAGCCTCCTGAGTAGCTGGGACAACAGGCACCTGCCACCACGCGTGGCTAATTTTTTTGTATTTTTAGTAGAGACGGGGTTTCACTGTGTTAGCCAGGATGGTTTCGATCTTCTGACCTTGTGATCCATCTGCCTCAGCCTCCCAAAGTGCTGGGATTACAGGTGTGAGCCACTGCGTTTTCAGCCAACCTCAGTTTCTTTCATCAATGTTTTATAGTTATCTTCATAGAGATCTTTCACTTCTTTGGTTAAGTTTATTCCTAGGTTTTTAATTTTATTTGTAGCTATTGAAAATGGGATTACTTTCTTGATTTCTTTCAGATTCTTTGCTTTTAGCATACAGAAATGCTACTGATTTTTGTATGTTGATTTCGTATTCTGCAACTTTACTGTATTTGTTTATCAGTTGTATTAGTTTTTTGGTGGAGTCTTAAGATTTTTCCAAATGTAAGATCATATCATCTGCAAACAAGCATAATTTAACTTCTTCCTTTCCGAGGTGGATGCCTTCATTTCTATTGTCTGATTGCTCTAGCTAGGAATTCCAGTACTATGTTAAATAACAGTGTTAAAAGTGGGCATATTTGTCTTGTTCCAGATCTCAGAGGAAAGGCTTTCATTTTTCCCGTTCGGTATGATACTACCTCTGGGTCTGCTGTATATGGCTTTTATTGTGTTGAGGTATATTCCTTCTATACCCAGTTTTTTTGAGGTTTTTTAATCATAGAATGATGTTGAATTTTATCAAATGCTTTTTCAGCATTTGATAAAGCATATGACCAATTAAAATGGTCATATGGTTTTTGTCCTTCATTCTGCTGACATGATGTATCACATTGATTTGCATATGTTGAACTATCCTTGCATCTATGGGATGAATCCCACTTGGTCATAATGAAAGACCTTTTTAATGTGTTGTTGAATTCAGTTTGTTAGTATTTTGTTAAGGATTTCACATCAATGTTCACCAGCAATACTGACCTCTAGTTTTCCTTTGTTGATGTGTCTTTGTCTGGTTTTGGTATCAGCATAATAATTGCCTTGTAGAATGAGTTTGGAAGTATTCCCTCTTCCTCTACTTTTTGAAAGAGTTTGAGTAGGACTGATATTCATCCTTCTTTAAATGTTTGGTAAAATTCAGCAGTGAAGCCACTGGGTCCCTGGCTTTTCTTTGCTGGGAGACCTTTTATTAAGGGTTTCATCTCCTTACTTGTTATTGATCTATTCAGGTTTTGTATTTCTTCATGGTTCAATTTTGGTAGGTTTGATGTGTCTATGAATTTATTTCTTCTGGGTTTTCCAATTGATTGGCATGTAGTTGCTAATAGTAGCCTCTAGTGGTCCTTTGAATTTTTGTGATATCAGTTGTAATGTCTCCTTTTTTATCTTTGATTTTCTTTGGGTCTTCTCTCATGTTTTCCTAGCCTGGCTAAAGTGTAACTATTGACTAACAATTTGTCTATTTTGTTTATCTTTTCTTAAAAAAAGTACCTTTTCATTTTATTGATCTTTTATATTTTTTCATTTCAATTTCATTTATTTCTGCTCTGATCTTTATTATTTCTTTTCATCTACTAATTTTGGCTGTGGTTTGCTCTTGCTTTTCTAGTTTTTTAAGATGCATGCTTGGGTTCTTTATTTGATGTCTTTCTACTGTTTTCATGTAGATAGTTATTGCTATAAGCTTCTCTCTTACTACTGCTTTTGTGTTTCCACTTTTATTGTTTCAAGAAATTTTTTAATTTCCTTCTTAATTCCTCTGTTGACCCACTGGTCATTAAGGAGCGTATTGTTTAATTTCCATGTGTTTATATGGTTTCCAAAGTTCCAGTCTGGGTGTGGTGGCTCACATCTGTAATCCCAGCACTTTGGGAGGCCGAAGTGGGTGGATCACTTGAGGTCAGGAGTTCAAGTCCAGCCCGGCCAACATGGTGAAACCCAGTCTCTACAAAAATACAAAAATTAGCTGACCATGGTGGTGTATGCCTGTAATCCCAGCTACTTGGGAGGCTGAGGCAGGAGAATCACTTGAACCCGGGAGGCAGAGGTTACAGTGAGCAGAGATCATGCCACTAAAGTCCAGGCTGGGCGACAGAGGGAGACTCCATAAAAAAAATAATAAAAAATAAAAAAATAAAATAATAAAGTTCCTCTTGTTATTGATTTTTAGGGTTTTTTGTTGTTTTGTTTTGTTTTTTTTTTTTTTTGAGACAGAGTCTCACTCTGTCACCCAGGCTGGAGTGCAGTGGCGCAATCTCAGCTCACTGTAGCCTCTGCCTCCCGGGTTCAAGCAATTCTCCTGCCTCAGCCTCCTGAGTAGCTAGGATTACAGGCATGCACCACCACACCTGGATATTTTTATATTTTTTTAGTAGAGACAGGGTTTCACCATGTTGGCCAGGCTGGTCTCAAACTCCTGACCTCATGATCTGCCTGCCTCGGCCTCCCAAAGTGCTGGGATTACAGCATGAGCCACCACACCCAGCCAATTTCTAGTTTTATTCCATTATGATTAGAGAAGCTACTGATATGATTTCAATTTTTTGATATTTTTAAGATTTCTTTTGTGGCCTAACATATGGTCTTATCCTTGAGACTGATCCATGTGCTAAGGAAAAGAATATGTATTCTGTCGCCTTTGAACAAAATGTACTGTAAGTATTTGGTCAATTTGGCCTACAGTGCAGATTAAGTCTGATGTTTCTTTGCTGGTTTTCTGTCCGGAAGATATATCCAATGCTGAAAGTGGGATGTTGAAGTCTCCAGCTATTATTGTATTGGGGTCTATTTCGCTCTTTAGCTCTAATATTTGTTTTATATGTCTGGATACTCCAGTGTTGGGTGCATATATATTAATAACTATTAAATCCTCTTGCTGAATTGATACTTTTATCATATAATGATCTTCTCTGTGTCTTTTTATAGTTTTTGTCTTAAAATCTATTTTATCTGATACAAGTATGGCCACTCCTGCTCTTTTTTGGTTTTCATTTGCATGGAATAACTTTTTTCATCCCTTCATTTTCAGTCTATGTTTGTCTTTATAGGTGAAGTGCATTTCTTGTAGGCAACAGATCATTGGGTCTTGTTTTTTTAAATCCATTCAGCTACTCTGTCTTTTGATTGGAGAATTGTTTAGTCCATTTAATTCAGTGTTATTATTGATAAGTATGGGTTTGTTATTGCCATTTTGTGATTTGCTTTCTGGTTGTTTTGTGGTCTTCTCTTTCTTCCTTCCTTCCTGTCTTCCTTTTTGTGAAAGTGATTTTCTTTGGTGGTATGTTTCAATTTCTTACTTTATATTTTTGTGTATCTATTGTAGGTTTTTAAATTCGAGGTTACCAAGAGGCTTGCAAGTAACATCTTATAACCCATTATTTTAAACTGATGAAAACTTAACTCTGATTGCAAAAACAAGCAAAGAAAAAACTGATAAAAACTCTACACTTTTTCATCCCCCAGCCAGCCACTGCCGCTTCTTAACTTTTTGTTGTTTCTATTTAAATCTTATTATACTATGTCTTTAAAAGTTGTTATAGTTACTATTTTTGATAGGTTATTCTTTTAGTCTTCCTACTCGAGATATGAATAGTTTACACACAACAATTACAGTGTTATAACATTTTGTATTTGTGTACTTACTATTAATGAGTTTTGTGCCTTCAGATGATTTGTTATTGCTTGTTAGTATCCTTTTCTTTCAGATTGAAGAACTCCCTTTAACTTTTCTTGCAGAACAGGTCTGGTGATGAAATCCCTCAGCTTTTGTTTGTCTGGGAAAGTCTTTATTTTTCCTTCATGTTTGAAGGATATTTTCATCAGATATATACCATTCTAGGATAAAAAATTTTTTTTTCCTTCAGCACTTTAAGTATGTCGTGCCATTCTCTCCTGGCCTATAAAGTTTCCACAGAGAAATCTGCTGCCAGATGTATTGGAGCTCCTTTATATGTTATTTCTTTCTTTTCTCTTGCTGCTTTTAGGATCCTTTCTTTATCCTTGACCTTTAGGAGTTTGATTATTAAATTTCTTGAGGTAGTATTTGGGTTAAATCTGCTTGACGTTTTATAACCTTCTTATACTTGAATTTTGATATTTTTCTCTAGGTTTGGGAAATTCTTTGTTAATATCTCTTTGAATAAACTTTCTACCCCTATCTCTTCTCTACCTTCTCAAGGTCAATAACTCTTAGATTTGTCCTTTTGAGGCTATTTTTTAGATCCTGTAAATGTGCCTCATTATTTTTTATTCTTTCTTCTTTTGACTCCTCTGACTATGTATTTTCAAAGAGCCTGTCTTCAAGCTCACCAACTGTTTCTTCTGCTTGGTCAAGTATTTATTGAGAGACTTTGATACATTCTTTGATTTGTCAGATTTTTCAGATCCAGAATTTCTTGTTTTTAATTATTTCAATCTCTTTGTTAAATTTATCTGATGGGATTCTCATTTCCTTCTCTGCATTATCTTGGATTTCATTGAGCTTCCTCAAAACAGCTATTTTGAATTCTCTGTCTGAAAGGCCAGGCCACATATCTCTGTCACTCCAGAATTGGTCCCTGGTGCCTTATTTAGTTTGTTTGGTGAGGTCATGTTTTCCTGGATGGTCTTGATGCTTCTGGATGTTTGTCAATGTCTGGGCGCTGACAAGTTAGGTATTTATTCTAATCTTAGCAATCTGGGTTTGTTTGTACCTGTCCTTGAGAAGGCTTTCCAAGTATTCAAAGGGAATTGAGTGTTGTGATCTATGACTTTGGTCATTGCAGCCTTATGTATATTAGGGGGCACCCCAAGCCCAGTAACACTGTGACCGTTGCAGACTCGCAGAGGTACTGCCTTGGTGGTCTTGGGTAAGATGTGGGAGAATTCCCTGGATTACTAGGCAGAGTCTCTTGTTCTCCTCCCTTACTTTCTGCCAAGCAAACAAAATCTCTCTCCCCATGTTGCGCCAACTGGAGTGGGAGGAGAGGTGATGCAAGCACCCCCTTGTACACCACCACTGGGGCTATGCTGGGTCACACCTGAAGCCAGCACAGTACTGGGTTTTGGTACTGTGGCAACTATTTTCTGGCTACTGCTGATGTTTATTCAAGGCTCAAGGGCTCTTTAGTCAGCAAGTGATAGATCCTGCCAGGACCGGGCCTCCCCTTTCAGGGAAGCGGAATTTTTTTTTTTTTTCTTTTGAGATGGAGTCTCGCTCTGTCGCCCAGGCTGGAGTGCAGTGGCACTATCTCGGCTCACTGCAAGCTCCGCCAGGGAAGCGGATTTCTTACTGGCCCAGGACAGATCTAGAAATGCCCTTCAGGAGCTAAGGCCCAGAATCAGGAACTATAGGAGTTTGATTTGTGCTTTATTATACTGTGACTGAGCTGGTACCCAAGTTGCAAGATAAAGCCGTTTTTACTATCCCTCTCCTTTCCTCAAGCAGAAAGAGTCTCTCCTTGTGGCCACCACAGCTATGAATGTGCTGGATCACACCTGAAGCCAGCATGTACTGGGTCTTGCCCAAAGCCCATGGTGACTGCTGCCTGGCTACCATTGATAATTATTCAAGACCCAAGGGCTCTTTGGTCAGCAGGTGGTGAATTCTGCCAAAACTGGGTCCTTGCCTTCAGGGCAATGGGTTCCCTTCTGGCCCAGGGTGGGTCTAGAAATGTCATCCACAAACTATGGTCTGGAATTGGGGCTTCAGGACTCTGCTTGGAGCTTTATTTTACTGTGGCTGAGCTGGTATCCAAATTGCAAGACAAAGTCCTCTGTACTCTTCCCTTTCCTCCCAGAACTCCAAGCTGCACTGCCTGGAGTTGGGAAAGGGGTAATGCAAGCACTCCCTTGTCTACCGTAGCTGGTGTCTCACTGGGTCGCATGCACCCAAGTCCACTGGTTCTGAGCACAGCATGGCACCAGGACTTGCCCAGGAACTGTAGTCTGTGTGGCCTAGACTGCCTTTCAAGTTTATCAGGACCCTAGTACACTATAGCCCATGATACTGGGGCTAGCCAGAACTCAGGTTCCAACTGCTGAGATGGACAATGCCCTTCTGGCTAGGGCTGGTCTAAATGCTCCCGCCATGGGCACTGGCCGAATTCTGCCCTGTACTGCTTTATGCTATGACAGGGCAGCACTGAATTCCAATGCAAAGTCCTAACAATCACTTTGCTCTCCCTCCACCAAGTACACAGATTCTCTATCTGTGTCACGTGGCCGCTACTGGGGCATGCGGGGAGGGGTAGTATAGGCAATTAAAGACTGTCTTTCCTACCCTCTTCAGTACCTCTTTCCTTGGTATGATGTTTAAAAAAGGTACTGTGATTGCTCTCCTGATTTTTAATTCTTTTATGAAGGTACTTTCTTGTGTAGATGCTTGTTTGATTTGATGTTCCTGTCGGGGGATGATCACTGGAGGGTTCTATTCTGCCATCTTGCTCTGCCTCTCAATCTGGTGGTAATTTGAAGGGTGAAACATACCTTTTTTTTTTTTTTGCCATAAGTAGCTTTGAGACTTTTTGTGGTAAGTGGCTATATCATAGCTCCAAAATTACACACACACACACACACACACACACACACACACACACATTTTCATTTATTCAAAGGAAATATATACACACATTTATAAAGAAATGGTACATTAAAAAGTCACATCATACTACCCAAAGTGATCCACAAATTCAACGCAATCCCTATCATAATACCAATGACATTCTTCAAGAAATAGAAAAACAATCCTAAAATTCATATGGAACCGCAAAAGAGCCAGACTAGTCAAGCAATCCTGAGCAAAGAGAACAAACCTGGAGGCATCACACTACCTGACTTCAAAATATGCTACAAAGCTATAGTAACCAAAAGAGCATGGTATTCGCATAAAAACACAGAGACTAATAGAATAGAATACAGAACCCAGAAATAAATCCACACATTTACAGCCAACTGATTTTCAACAAAGGTGCCAAAAGGACACACTGGAGAAAGGACAGTCTCCTCAATAAATGGTACTTGGAAAACTGGATATCCACATGCAGAAGAATGAAACTAGACCTCTATCTCTCACCATATGTAAAAATTGACTCAAAATGAAGACTTAAATATAAGAACCAAAATTATGAAACTACTGGAAGAAACTACTGGAAGAATGTTTCAGGGCATTGGTCTGGGCAAAGATCTTTTGGATAAGACCTCAAAAGCCCAGGCAACAAAAGCAAAAATAGACAAATGGGATTATATCAAACTAAAAAGCTTCTGCACAGCAAAAGAAACAATCAACAGAGAAAAGAGACAACCTACAGAATGGGAGAAAATATTTGCAAACTATCCATTAAGGGATGAATATCCAGAACTTACAAGGAACTCAGCTCAGCAAAAACAAAACAAAAACAACAAATAATCCAATTTTAAAATGGGCAAATGATCTGAAGAGACATTTCTTAGAATAAAATATACAAATGGCCAACAGGTATGTAAGAAAATGCTCAATGTCACTAATCATCAGGGAAATGCACAATCAGCTATCATCTCATTCCAGTTAAAATGCCTATTATAAAAAAGACAGAAAACAACAAATGCTGGTGAGGACGTAGAGAAAGGGAACTCTTTTTTTTTTTTTTTTTTTTTTTTTGAGATGGAGTCTCACTCTGTCACCCAGGCTGGAGTGCAGTGGTGCGATCTCGGCTCACTGCAAGCTTCGCCTCCTGGGTTCATGCCATTCTCCTGCCTCAGCCTCCCAAGTAGCTGGGACTACAGGCACCTGCCACCACACCTGGCTAATTTTTTGTATTTTTTAGTAGAGACGGGGTTTCACCATGTTAGCCAGGATGGTCTCAATCTCCTGACCTCATAATCTGCCCACCTCGGCCTCCCAAAGTGTTGGGATTACAGGCGTGAGCCACCGCGCCTGGCCCAGGAAAGGGAACTCATACACTTTTTATGGAAATGCAAGTTTGATGGGAATGCAAGCCATTATGGAAAATAGTATGAAGGCTCCTCAAAAAGACTAAAAATAGAAATACCATATGATCCAGTAATCCCACTGCTGGGCATATATCCAAAGGAAAGGAAATTAGTATGTCAAAGAGATATCTGCACTCCTATGTTTATCACAGTACTACTCACAATAGTCAAGATATGGAAACAACCTAAGTGTCCACCAACAGGAGAATAAAGAAAATATGGTATATTTACACAATAGAATATCATTCAACCATAAAAAAGAATGAAATCCTGTCATTTACAGCAACATGGATTGAACTGGAGGACATTATGTTAAATGAAATAAGCAAGGCACAGAAAGACAAATATCACATGTTTCACTCATGTAGGAGCTAAAAAAGTTGATCCCATAGATCATGCCCATATAAGTAGGGAGTAGAATAGTGGTTACCAGAGGCTGGGAAGGGAAGTGGATGGGGAGAGGTTAGCTAATGGGGACAAAATTACAGTTAGATAGGAGGAATAAGTTCTAGTGTTCTAGGGCACAGTAGGGCAACTATAGTTAACAAAAATTTATTTTATATTTCAAAATAGCCAGAGGAGAGGATTCTGAATGTTCCCAACACAAAGAAGTAGTAAACATTTGAGGTGATGGATATGCCAATTACCCTGATTTGATCATAATACATTGTATACATGTATCAAAATATTACATGTACCCCACAAATATATACATTTATTATGTATCAATAAAAATCTTTAAAAATTAAGGGCACATGAAAACTCAAGTTAAAAAGAGATTCTAAAGCCAGGCACAGTGGCGTGTGGCTGTAGTCCCAGCTAATTGGGAGGCCAAGGCAGGAGGATTGCTTGAAGCAGGAGTTTGAGGCTGCAGTGGGCTATGATCACACAAAACCAAACATCGCATGATCTCACTCATAAGTGGGAGTTGAATAATGAAAACACATGGACACAGGGAGGGGAACATCACATGCTGGTGCCTGTCAGGGGTTGGTGGACTAGGGGAGGGATAGCCTTAGGAGAAACACATAATGTAGATAACAGATTGATAGGTGCAGCAAACCACCATGGCACATGTATTCCTATTTAACAAACCTGCACGTTCTGCACATGTATCCCAGAACTTAAAGTATAGTAATAATAATAATAATAAAGAAAATCTAGAAGAAATGGATAAATTCCTAGACACATACACCCTCCCAAGACTGAACCAGGAAGAAGTTGGATCCTGAATAGACTAATAACGAGTTCTGAAATTGAGGCAGTTATAAATAGCCTACCAACCAAAAAAAGCCCAGGACCAGACAGATTTCCAGCTGAATTCTACCAGAGGTACAAGGAGAAACCGGTACCATTTCTTCTGATATTCTTCCAAACAATGGAAAAGGAAAGACTGCTCCCTAACTCATTTTTTGAGGCCAGTATCATACAGATACCAAAACCTGGCAGAGATACAACAACAAAAAACAACTGCAGGCCAATATCCCTGATGAACATTGATGCAAAAATCCTCAATGCAATCCTGATGCAAACTGAATCCAGCAGCTCATCAAAAAGCTTATCCACCATGATCAAGTCGGCTTCATCCCCAGGATTCAAGGCTGGTTCAGTATATGCAAATCGATAAACGTAATTCATCACATAAACAGAACAAACGACAAAAACCACATGATTATCTCAATATTGAATTCCGTAGAATTCAACATCTCTTCATGTTAAAAACTCTCAATCAACTAGGTATTGATGGAAGATACCTCAAAATAATAAGAGCCATTTATGACAAACCCACAGCCAATATACTGAATGGGCAAAAGCTAGAAGCATTCCCCTTGAAAACCAGCACAAGACAAGGATGCCCTCTCTCACCACTCCTATTCAACACGGTACTGGAAGTTCTGGACAGGGCAGTCAGGCAAGAGAAAGAAATAAAGGATATTCAAATAGAGAAGAAGTAAAACTGTCTGTTTCCAGATGACATGATCCTCTATCTAGAAAACCCCACTGTCTTAGCCCAAAAGCTTCTCAAGGTAATAAGCAACTTCAGCAAAGTCTCAGGATACAAAATCAATGTGCAAAAATCACAAGCATTCCTATACACCAACGACAGGCAAGCAGAGAGCCAAACCATGATATGAACTTCCATTCACAATTACCACAAAGAGAATAAAATACCTGGAAATACAGCTAACAAGGGAAGTGAAGGACCTCTTCAAGGAGAACTATAAACCACTGCTCAAGGAAATCAGAGAAGACACAAACGAATGGAAAAACATTCCATTCTCATGAATAGGAAGAATCAATATTGTGAAAATGGCCATACTGCCCATAGTAACTTATACCTTCAATGGCATTCCCATTAAACCACCATTGACATACTTCACAGATTAGAAAAACTACTTTAAAATTCATATGGAGCCAAAAAAGAGCCCATATAGTCAAGACAATCCTAAGCAAAAAGAACAGAGCGGAAGGCATCATGCTACCCAATTTCAAACTATACTGCAGCCTACAGTAACCAAAACAGCATGGTACTGGTACAAAAACAGACACATAGACCGATGGAACAGAATAGAGAACTCAGAAATAAAACTGCACACCTACAACCATATGATCTTTGACAACCAATGGGGAAAGGATGCCCTATTTAATAAATGGTGCTGGAAGAACTGGCTAGCCATATGCAGAAAATTGAAACTGGACCCCTTCCTTACACCTTATACAAAAATTAACTTAAGATGGATTAAAGACTTAAATGTAAAACCCAAAACTATTAAACTATAAAAACCCTAAAGGAAAATCTAGGCAATACCATTCAGGATATACACATGGGCAAATATTTCATGACAAAAATGTCAAAAGCAACAGCAACAAAAGCAAAAACTGATGAATGGGATCTAATTAAACTAAAGAGCTTCTGCGCAGCAAAATAAACTATCATCAGAGTGAACAGAGAGCCTACAGAATGGGAGAAAATTTTTACAATCTATCCATCTGATAAAGGTCTGATATCTAGAATCTATAAGGAACTTAAACAAATTTGCAAGAGAAAAACAAACAACTCCATTAAAAAGTGGGCAAAGGACATGAACAGACACTTATCAAAAGAAGACATTCATGCAACCAACAAACATATGAAAAAAAGCTCAATATCATTGATTAGAGAAACGCAAGTCAAAACCACAATGAGGTATCATCTCATGCCTGTCAGAATGGCGATTATTAAAAAGTGAAGAAACAACAGATGCTGGTGAGGCTGTGAAGAAATAGCAATGCTTTTATAGTTAGTGGGAGTGTAAATTAGTTCAACCATTGTGGAAGATAGTATGGTGATTCCTCAAAGACTTAGAACCAGAAATACCATTTGACTCAGCAATCCTATTACTGGGTATATACCCAAAGGAATATAAATTATTCTGTTATAAAGATACATGCATGTGTATGTTCACTGCAGCACTATTCACAATAGCAAAGACATGGAATCAATCTAAGTGCCCATCAATGGTTAACTGGATAAAGAAAATGTGGTACATATACACCATGGAATAATAAGCAGCTATAAAAAGGAATGAGATCATGTCCTTTGCGGGGACATGGATGGGGCTGGAAGGCATTATCCTCAACAAACTAACGCAGGAACAGCAAACCAAACACCACGTGTTCTCACTTATAAGTGGGAGCTGAACAATGAGAAAACATGGACACAGAGAGGAACAACACACAGTGGGGCTTGCTGGAGGGGCAAGGAGAAGGAGAGCATCAGGAAAAATAGCTAATGCATGCTGGGCTTAATACTTAGGTGATGGGTTGATAGGGGCAGCAAACCACCTCAGCACACATTTACCTGTGTAATAAACCTGCATGTCCTGCACATGTATCCTGGAACTTAAAATTTAAAACGTAATAATAAAATAAATTTTAAAAATAAAAAAGAAAGGGGAGATGAAAATGCAGCTATAACAGATGATGGATTACGCAAATGATAAGAAAGTGGCTGCCACTGAAGCCCTAAATGATGGTGAACCGTAGAAAGCCATTGACTTATTCACAGATGCCTTCAAGCTGAATCCTCTCTTGACCATTCTACATGCCAAAGAGAGCCAGTGTCTTCAACGAATTACAGAAGCCAAATGCTGCCATCTGATATTGTAACAGAGCCATTGAAATAAATCCTGATTCAGCCCAGGCTTACAAGTGGTGAGCCTTACAAGCGCTTTTCACACACAGACTTCTGGGCCACTGGGAAGAAGCAGCCCATGATCTTGCCCCTTGTCTGTAAATTGGATTACAAAGATGCTAGCACAATGCTGAAAGAAGTTCAACCTAGGGCCTAGAAAATTGCAGAACATCAGAGAAAGTATGAGCAAAACCATGAAGAGTGAGCGATCAAAGAAAAAATAGTTAAAAAGGCTCAGAAAAGAGCATGAGAGAGCCCAGAGGGATCAGGAACTCAGTAGGCTCTCTTTTCCAGCTGGCTTTCCTGTGGGAAGGCCTGTTAATGTTCATGAAGGAATGCCTGGAATGGCAGGAATGCCTGAACTCAATGACATTCTTAGTGATCCAGAGGTTCTTGCAGCCATACAGGGTCCAGAAGTTATGGTGGCCTTCTAGGATGTGGCCTACAACCCAGCAAGTATGTCAAAATACCAGTAAAATGGAAAGGTTACAAATCTCATTAGTAAATTGTCAGCCAAATTTGTAGGTCAAGCGTAATGCCCTTCTGATAAATAATGCCCTTGGTGAAGGAAACGCAACCTGGACCACCTAATGCATGTTGCAACAATACAAACCAGTGTACCTCTGACCTTCTCATCAAGAGAACTGGGGTGCTTTGAGAATAATCCCCACCCCTCTACCCCAAATGCAGCTGAAGCATTTTACAGTGGTTTGCCATTAGCGTATCCATTCAGATAATGTTTTCCTACTAGGAATTACAAACTTTAAACACTTTTTAAACCTTAAAAATATTCAAAACAAATTTTAAAAGTCTCTTGATTCTTTTTAAAAATTAGATATCAATAATAGCTTTGCATTGCAAAATGGAAACTCTTTGTGAGTAAACTAACAGACATAAATAACCTACAATCTAAAGAAGAAATGCTAAAGAGAATTAGAAAACATTCAGAACCGAACTATGATGAAAATAGCTATGTTTAAAAGTATGCCGCAGAAACATGGATGGAGCTGGAGGCCATTATCCTGAACAAATTAATGCCGGAACAGAAAACCAAATACCACATGTTCTCACTCATAAGTAGGAGCTAAACACTGGGTACTCATGGACATCAAGATGGCAACAACAGATACTGGGGGCTACTAGAGTGGGGAGAGAGAGAGGAGGGCAAGGGCTGAAAAACTGTTGGGTACTATGCTCACTACCTGGGTGACAAGATCAGTCATACCCCAAGCCTCGGCTTCATGCAATATACCCATGTAACAAACCTGCACTTTTGCACCCTGAATCTAAAATAAAGGTTGTAATCATTTTTAAAAAACTTATGTGACATACAACTCTCATAGTATAGTAAAAAGGAAATTTATTGCATTAAGTTAAAAAGAAAGGCTAAAAACTAATGAGCTAAGCATCTATCTTTAAAAGTTAGAAAACAGAATAAAATGAAGGAACTAGATAAAGGAAAATAATAAAGATCAGAAAAGAAAATATAAAATGAAAGCAGTCATGAAATAGGGTCAATAAAGTCAAATGCTGATTCTTTAAAAAGACTGAGAAACTAGTGCTCTGGCAAGATTAATCAAAATAAAAAGAGAGAAGACTCAAATAAACAATATCTGGAGTTTAAAAGACAGCATAAGATAATGTAGAGTTTAAACAAATAGTAAAAGGATATTGTGAAATCTTCATAAGTTTAAAAACTTAGATGATTTGAATAAATTCCTAGAAAAATGCAACTTATTGAATCTGATACAAAAGAAACAAACTACCTGGAAAAAATTCCTGTAATCACAAAAGTAGTTAAACTTATAGTTTAATTTAGCATAGTTATAATGTTTCCAACCAAAGAAACCCAGAGAGCTTTATCAGCATACATTACCAGATAATTCCAATTATACATAAATTCTTTCAGAGAAAAGAAAATATAAAACATTCATACTCATTTATAAGACATGTATAACTTTCACATCTAAACAACGGACAGCAAAAGAAAGGAAATGCATAGGTTAATTGCACTGAGGAATATAAATGTAAAACTTCTAAAGAAAAATTAAAAAGCTGAATTCAAGAATGTATTTTTTAAATAAATAAAATAAACTATACCAAGTTGGATTGAGCCCAGGAATGCAAAGTTGGCTTAATCTTAGAAATAATATAATTCACCACATTAGCAGATTAAAGGATAAAGGCCAAACGATCATCTCAAAAGACACAGAAATAGTATTTGATACAATTCAATAACTATTCATATAAAAAACTCTCAGCAAATGAGATTAGAGAGGAAACCCTTAACCTAATAAAACAAAATCCACAAAAAGCTACAATGAACACTGCAATTATGAAATATCAGAAATATTATTTGGGGGGATAAGAAGACAAAGTTGCCCAATTTCGCTACCTCTATTTGATACTATACTAGAGTTGCTTGTCAATGTAGTAAGATAAAAGTAAAGAGTATAATGACATCTACAGTCCTCCACAGTACGTACTGCAACATTAGCTAGTGCTCACTCTACTCTCTAATGGTGAAACAACAGACTACAGGAGACTGAACTGTATCTGCCTCTATTTCCTGTCTCAAATTCAACTTTTACTTACCAAAAAAAGAAAGAAAGAAAAAGCCAGGAAGAGTTTTTAATCCTTAAAAAATATCAATATAAAATTATAGCAAAAAAGGAACCAGAATGTAACACATCCTGAACAATTTGCAGCAGCAGCAGAAAAAGAAAAAGGTATTTCATTTAGTTGATTTGCTGTGGTTGTTGATTGTTCTCTAGTCTCACGATGATGGAAGTTGCACAGTTTTTCAATGGGACCTAGAAGCTGCTGGAGGTCCTCCTGGCAGCAACCCGATGCAAACCAAAAATCTGGAAGTCTTTTCACCACTCCAAGATCTGAGGGTGACATATTTTGGAAGGATCTGCAATTTTCCATCATAAGTGTGACAAAAACTGACAATCAGGAAGCTTATGTACTCAGTGACAGTAGCACGTTTATCTCCAAGAGACATTTTATTTGGAAGACATATGGGACCAACTTTTGCTGAAAGCACTGGTTCCCCTGTTGAAGTTTGCTAGGGATGACATCGGATTTGGCTCAATGAAAAGCTTCTCTTATTCGCCTGAAATTTCATGAAGCCTTCTCACCAAGTGTGCCCACACCAGAATTTCTAGGAAGAAACAGTTTCTTAATGTAATTTTCCCAAGTGGAACGACATATTGTATGGAATGTGTGAATTCTGACTGTTGGTACTTGTATATACTTTGGATTTCCCAGAGAATCTGGCAAGCAAACAGATTAAACCCTGGAAATTCTGATAGTGAGCTTGACCAAGCAGTTATGAGTCAGTCCTACATGAATGATGGCATCACTACAAAGGATGTCACTCATGAGAGTGGAAATAGTGACCTAATACTAGGTTCTGCCACACTGTTAAATCCTTGTGGGTATTTAATCAATGGAATGAAATAGGATGGAATTTACCAGACTATTCACATCACTCCAGAAACAGAATTTTTTACGTTGGCTTCAAAACCACCTTAAGTCAGACCTTCTGTGATGACCTGATTGGGAAAGTTGTGGAAGTCTTTCATGCAGGAAAAGTTTTTACCACTTTGCTTGTAAATCATAGTTTTAAATGTCACTCACTACCTTCTTTGCCCCTAGAATATGGAAGATTTTAAATGTCCTGATTGCTAGAGTACTATGTTCAATGATTACAATTTTGTTTTTACCAGTTTTGCTAAGAAGCAGCCAACAGCAGAGCTGATTAAGAAAAATGAAAAATGAGAACACACATAGAAGGGTGGTGGTTGCTTTCTAGAGACTGATACCCTAGGGCCATGCTTTCTGTAACCACCACCTTGCCATTGTAAAAAGCTCCACATGTACTATAGTTTAATCATTTTGAATTTTATGCATTAGTATATCAAAGAGCTACATACTATATCTTCCATGAATACTCTCTTCCTTGTTTAAGTATTCTGTACCACTCTTGCTGTGAAAATGGAGTGCTTGTAGAAAAAACAAACAAACCTTTTACTATATGATACTTCTTAACACTTGTGAAAGCAATTCAGCTTGGTTTACGCATAGTGTAATATTTCTCCAAGTACCACCCAAAATTCCCTACAGAACTTTCATCCTCATTAGATGCTGGCCTCAGCCTTACCACTGGGGACATTACATTGCTGCCAGAATTTTACATCTAATTTACCTCCATTTTCTAGATATTCTCTACTTATGTTATCAAAACCAGTTTCTACTTCATACAGATGCTTTCTGCATTAGCAATTAAAATTTTCCATCTATGAGTTGAGTCTTAAGAAAATGATTGCAATTGTTCATTTTGCATATTACGATTTTAACATTATCGCTCCCTGCATTTGCAGTCCTCTGATTTATTTCTTCACCATGATGCCCTCGCTCCCCACAACAACACTCACCTCCTGTAATAAAGCAATATCGCGTTAAAAAAAATACAAAGTCTAGGGGAAGGAATTATCATTTGCATATATTGTGATGGCCCACATTAAGAAAAAAAAACTAACAGACTCTAAATATCAATAGACTCTCAAATATCAATTATTAGAATTAGTAAGGGAGTTTATTAAGGTTGCTGAATATAAAATCAATATGCAGAAATTAAACTGCATTTCCATAATATAAGCAATAATGAACTAAAATTCAATCCTAAGCATCAACAGCATTTAAAATAGCAACAAAAAATATAAAGTCCCTACAAATAAATCTAACCAAAAAATGTGCAATTCTTTGATAGGAAATATTATAAAACTACATTGATGCTTTGGATAGGGAGACTCAATGTTGTAAAAATGTCTATTCTTCTCATACTAACCTACATATACAAGGCAATTTCAATCAGTATTCCTTCAAGGGTTTTTAATGGAACTTCATTATGTACTTCTCAAATTTATAAAAGTAAAGATTCTAGTACAGACAAGACTTTTCGGAGAAGAAAGAATGTGAAAACTTACTCTACCAGATATCAAGACTTATAAAGCTATTGAAGATATCAGTATAGGATTTTTTTTAAAATTGAATAACTGAACATAATAGAGAGTGCAAAACTAAGCCTGTGGTTATTGATAAGACACTGTAGATCAGTGAGGAAAGGAGAGACTATTAAACAAATGGTCTACGACAATTTCACTACAAATGGGAAAAAAATAAAATTGGATCTTTACCTCCCACCACAAACAAAAATAAAATCCAAGTGGACTAAAGGCTCTACATAATAGACAAAACATATTTCTTTTAAAAAAAGGTAAGAATATTTTCGTGATCTCAAAATACGTAAGAACTTCTTAAACAAGACATGAAGAAAAAATAATGACAAATTACACATTAAAATAAAAGACTTGTTCATCAAGAGACACCACAAAAAGAATGAAAACATAAGCTACAAACTAAGAAAACATATCTTCAAAACATATATTTAACAAAGAATTCATAAGCAAAATACAATTTTGAAAAAACACTTCCTGCAAATCACTAAGATAAAGAGAAATCAACTAACAGAAAATTGGGCAAAATGAGGTCATTTCACAGAAATATATTATTTAGGAATACATACATGAATGGCAAAAACTCAACTACTATTTTAGAAATAGGTAGAGAATAAAATATAACTAAATCCATCAAGTTTTATGAAGGCATAATTAATGAAACTACCATAGGAAAAAACACTATGCAAATGGTATTTTTATTGATGGGACAATCCAATATAATAAATATGTAAATTCCCCCACATATTATTTCATTAGTTTAATGCAATTCCAGTTAAAATTCCAGTAAGATTTTTTGGGGAAACTTAGCAAATTCATTAAGAAACTTACATGGAAAATTTTGAAAACTAAAAGGCAAAGAAGAGAGCTTCCTTATCAGATAATAAAATACATTTCAAAGCAATAGTAATTAAAGCAGTGTGGTATTAGGATAGAGATGATAAATAGACCAATGCAACAGAATAGAAGGCCTAGAAACAAACCTATTTCATATGAAAGTTGTTAATACAATAGAGGTGCACTGTATTTTGTGGGAAATACATTTACATTATTTAGTAAATCGTGTTAGGAAAACTGGCTTACTACATGAAGAAAAATAAAATTAGAATCCTTTATTATCTCCAAATAGACTAAAGATCTCAATGTAAAAAATAAATTGTGTGAAAGTTGTCAGAATAAAAATGTTGTCACTTGTGTTAAAAACTCTGACAAATAGAGCCAGGGACGGCCATGAAGGAAGGGCTCTTGTGGCAAATCGGCCATGAAGGAAGGGCTCTTGTGGCAAATCCCCAATAAAAATTATCACAAAAGACTCTCCAAAAAACACAATCCTGCACAAAGGCCACCACAACTTTACACAGAAAAAATATTTCTGTGATGACATCTGCCCAGCAACTGCCTGTCCAACTAAGCCAAGAATAATGATCTTTTTTTTTTTTTTTTTTTGAGACAAGAGTCTCGCTCTGTTGCCAGGCTGGAGTGGAGTGATGCAATCTCAGCTCACTGCAACCTCTGACTCCCTGGTTCAAGCGATTCTCCTGCCTCAGCCTCCCGAGTAGCTGGGAATACAGGCATGTGCCAAGACACCCAGCTAATTTTTGTATTTTTAGTAGAGACAGATTTTCACCATGTTGGCCAGGATGGTCTCGAACTCCTGACCTTGTGATCTACTCGCCTCAGCCTCCCAAAGTGCTGGGATTACAGGCGTGAGCCACCACGCCTGGTCAGGATAATTATCTTAAACAATTATGTAATCCTCCTAATTTTTCCCTTAACAGACTTTGTCTTTCTTTACCTCTCTTAATACACACATGGTTTACTATGGCAAGTGTATTCCCATTGCAGTGCCTGGTCCTGAACAAATATCATTTCCTTTTAGAGAGTATCTGTTATATAGATTGACAATTTAAAAAGAAGAAAATGGGCTGGATGTGGTGGCTCACACATTTAATCCCAGCACTTTGGGAGGTTGAGGCAAGAGGATTGCTTGAGCCTAGGAGTTCAAGACCAGCCTGAGCAACAAAGTGAGGCACCGTCTCTAGAAAAACTAAAACTAAAAAAAAAAAAAAAAAAAAAAAAAATTAGCCAGGCATGGTTGGTGCATGCCTGTGTGGTCTCAGCTACACAAAAGCTCAAGGCAAGAGGATTGCTTCAACCCAGGAGGTCAACACTGTAGTGAGCCATGTTCATGTCATTGCACTCCAGCCTGGGCTACAGAGTGAGCCTCTGTCTCAAAAAAATAAAAATAAAATAAAAATAAAATGTAAAGAATAATCCTAGGACAGAGGAGAATTTCTAAAATAAGATTTTAAAAAAAGCACAATCTGTAAAGGAAAAAATTAATAGATATGACTACATTAAAATTAAAGATGTGTCTTCAATGAAGGATTCAACTTACAAAGTTAACAGAGGTGTCAGGCTGGGAAAAGACATTTGCAACTTTTATAACTTATAAAGGATTAATATTTAGAATAGACAAGGAACTGCCAATCAACAACTTAAAAACAGAAACAGCAAATGGAAAAAAAAACGGCAAAAGTTATAAATACGCAATGTACAGAAGGGGAAACCTGAACAGATAAATAAGAAGAAATGCTAAACATCACTATCAGAAAAATGCACAATAAAGCAGTAATAAGGGCCTGGTGCAGTGGCTCACACCTGTAATCCCAGCACTTTGGGAGGCCAAGGCAGGTGGATCACAAGGTCAGGAGTTCAAGACCAGCTGGACCAAGATGGTGAAACCCCGTCTCTACTAAAAATACAAAAATTAGCCAGGCATGTTGGCAGACGCCTGTAATCCCAGCTACTCAGAAGGCTGAGGCAGAGAATTGCTTGAACCTGGGAGGTGGAGGTTGCAGTGAGCTGATATCACGCCACTGCACTCCAGCCTGGGCAACAGAGCAAGACTCCGTCTCAGAAAAAAAAACAAACAATAATAAGTACCATTTTAAATTCATCAAATTGGCAAATATTACAAACTGAGGTATTAACACGTCCTCGCAGGATTATGGGTAACTGACAAGCCTTATAATGAAGTTAAATTAGTACATTTTCAGAGTAACTTTTTAGTGGAAACAAAAATTGTAGGCCTACCTACTATTTGGCTCACATACAGAAAGGCACTGTAGACGAGACCAATCTCTCATCACAACAGTAGGAACCTAGGACTCTGCAGAATAGCTTCATTGGAAAGGGGAGCTGGAGTGCTACATCAACGATGTCATCACGATGTCAGAATAACACAATGTCAGAACACAGCACATCACGATGTCAGAATAGCAGCACCAACTGAGCTGTCCATGGTCCTGACTACCATACTTCCCCCCACCCTCCTCAGATGACTTAGTCCCTAGCTTGTTTCTGGTCTTCTTGCCTGTGTGTTCAGACCATCCTCTGTGCTCCTCTGTCACCAGCCCAACAGTCCTCTCACTACTTACTGCTTGGATCTCTGCTGGCCAGGTCAATGGCACAAAGCCCACCTGCTTTAGAGTTAAAATGTTGATAAAAATAGCAAACAAGTCCGGGCGTGGTGGCTCACGCCTGTAATCCCAGCACTTTGGGAGGCCAAGGTGGGTGGATCACCTGAGGTCAGGAGTTTGAGACCAGCCTTGCCAACATGGTGAAACCGTATCTCTACTAAAAATACAAAAATTAGCCAGGCGTGATGGTGTCCGCCTATAGTTCCAGCTACTCAGAAAGTTGAGACAGGAGAATTGCTTGAACCTGGGAGGCGGAAGTTGCAGTGAGCTGAGATCACACCACTGCACTCCAGCCTGGGCAACAGAGCAAGACTTGGTTAAAAAAAAAAAAAAAAAAAAAGGAAACAACAGACATTTTAAACCATGTATTTCAAAATGTTTTCATTTTAGTGAGTTTAAAAGAGAGGAATTCAACAAGAGACAGGAGAGAAAGAAAGACCACTTAAGAGATGAACAACAGGCTTGGCATGGTGGCTCGTGCCTATAATCCCAACACTTTGGGATGCCAAGGCGGGAGGATAACTTGAAGCCACAAGTTTGAGACCAGCCCGGGCAACATGGCGAGACCCCATCTCTACAAAAAAGTTTTTTAAAAAAATTAGCCAGGCATGGTGGCACCTGCCTGTAGTCCCAGCTACTTGGGAGACTGAGGCAAGACGATCCCTTGAACCCAGGAGTTGGAAGGTACAGTAAGCTATGATTGTGCCAGTGCTCTCCATCCTGGGTGACAGAGTGAGACCTTGCCTCTAAAAAGAACAAAAAAAGAGATGAACAACGAAAATGAGAGACAAAGAGGAAGAACATTAGAATATACGGCATTCAAATGTGAGTTCCAAACCGGTAGAGATTTTTATCTGTTTTGTTTCATGAAATCCCTTATGCCAAGAATAATTACTGACACACAATAAGTGGCTTACTAAATAAGATGAATGAATTAATCAATAGGCACAGACATACAAGAAACCCACCTTGAGATCCATTCTGTGGCCTTTCAGACTACTACAATTTAAACCTGTTAAATTGTTTTGCAGCTCTGAGTATAAGTTACTATCTGTGTTATCTGTGTTGAGCTCCTCCAATTTCAGATACAGAAATATACTGCAGCTTCAATTATTTATAAGTCAATGAAGTTGTTCTGATTCAGATTTTCCCCATTTCCTAATTCATCAATTTGACTCCATATCCTGTTTTCATTATTCTTTGATTCAATTAGTTTTCATCTTCAGATATGAATCCCTTTCAGACAACCTGTAAAGACCCTCATCTGACTCTCTCTGTGTGGACCTGGGAAGCATTCTACAACAAAATACAACTTTTAAATTAACTATATTTTTAAATGTCATAAATTCATAAAATATTGACCCTGCTTACCTGAGAATATGGAATAAATGTTTCAAACTGTTGATGAAGTTCCAATAGTTGAATTAACTCTGTATTTTTTTTGGCCTTTTCTCTAACTATGTCAATATAATGTTCAGGATTTTCTGCAAATGAATATGCAGCATCTTTACTATTGAATGTGTAATATTTTTCTTTATATTTTAAAATTCCAATTGCTGGATTTCCTGAAAATAAAAAAAGAATTAGATATGAAATGTCTTGATCACTTATGAAATATTGTTATTCTGGCTGGGCATGGTGGCTCACGCCTGTAATTCCAGCACTTTGGGAGGCCAAAGCAGGCAGACCACCTGAGGTCAGGAGTTCAAGACCAGCCTGACCAACAAG
Organism: Homo sapiens; assembly: GCF_000001405.40. Classification (NCBI taxonomy): domain Eukaryota; kingdom Metazoa; phylum Chordata; class Mammalia; order Primates; family Hominidae; genus Homo; species Homo sapiens. The sequence continues at coordinate 87,434,696 of NC_000006.12, read as the reverse complement.
GTGAAACCCCGTCTCTACTAAAAATACTAAAATTAGATGGGCGTGGTGGTGTGCACCTCTAATCCCAGCTACTCAGGGGGCTGAGGTAGGAGAATAGCTTGAACCTGGGAGGCGGAGGTTGCAGTGAGCTGAGATCGTGCCATTGCACTCTAGCCTAAGTGACAGAGCAAGACTGTCTCAAAAAAAAAAAAAAAGAAAAAGAAAAAGAAATATTGTTACTCTGTGTTTGTAACATACCATAGAGCCATTCCTCATCCACTCCATTTTTTTTTTTTTTTGAGACTGTGTCTCAAAAGATAAGTTGATAAGACTGCGTCTTATCAACCTGGCTGGAGTGCAGTGGCGCAGTCTCAGCTCACTGCAGCATCAACATCCCGGGCTCAAGAGATCCTCCTGCCTTACCCTCCCAGGTAGCTGGGACTACAGGCATGTGTCTCCCAACCTAGCTAACCTTTTTTGTAGAGATGGGGTTTCACCACATCACCCAGGCTGGTCTCGAACTCGTGGACTCAAGCGATCTGCTCACTTCGGCCTCCCGAAGTGCTGGGATTACAGGCATGAGCCACTGTTCCTGGCCCTTCCACTCCTTTTTTTTTTGAGACGAAGTCTTGCTCTGTCACCCAGGCTGGAGTCCAGTGGTGTGATCTCAGCTCACTACAACCTCTGCCTCCTGGATTCAAGCAGTTCTCCTGTCTCAGCCTCCTGAGTAGCTGGGATTACAGGTGTGCACCACCACACCCAGCTAATTTTTGTATTTTTAATAGAGACGGGGTTTCATCAAATTGGTCAGGCTGGTCTTGAACTCCTGACCTCAGGTGATCCACCCACCTTGGCCTCCCAAAGTGCTGGGATTACAAGCATGAGCCACCACGCCCAGCCCCTTCCACTCCATTTTTAACATATCAGTTATGCTTTTATTTTGCTAAAATGTTATAATTATCATTTTAATTTATACATTTTTAAATGATATGTGAAATACATACTAATTATATTTTTATGTTAAAGTATGATTTTAAACTGTATTTTATGTAAAAATACTTTCCACTATCCAGATATAATAATTGTAAAAATCTTTTATGAAAAGCCACTTACTCATCTGGTAGATTTTTCAAAGCTACTTCAACTAACTACTGCAAGGACTATGTTTAAAATAACCCAGTAAGAACTACAAAAATGGGACATCTTTTCCAAAACTCAAATTTGCATATTAGCAAATATTTTTCACTGTAAAAAGATACTACATAGACTATAGATAATTAAATATCCACATAGTTTGTGGAAGTTGTATTAGAAAGAGCAACACTGTCTTACTCATTTATTCTTTCATTTATCCAACAAATAGTTATTGACCATGTTCATGGTGCTAAGGCTATAGAAGATAACAAATTCCCTGCTCTCAAAAAATCACAAATATATCATAGGTCACAGAGTGACATGTGCTACATGAAAAAAATAATAAAGCAGGTTAAATACATAGTAAAAGGAAGAAGTGTGCAATTGATATTTTAAATTGAGTGATTAGGGAAGGCTGAATAAAATGAGGCAGCAAGGCGATTAGCAACCTGGGAGGCAGAGTTTTTCCAAGAGTGCAAAGGCTCTGAGGTGAAAGTGGGCTTCAACTGTTCAACAACAGCAAGAAAGCCAGTGCCACTGAAGTGGAGCAAACGAGGCAAAGCGTGGTAGGCAATGAAGTCAATGAAGTCATCGGAAAAGGATTCTGACTGGTAAGTGCCAGTGTTACCCTGGGATTTAAGGCATGTGGTCTCCACTCCTGAATGGAAGAAGGGAAGTTCTACAGAATTCATCTGAGGTAATGCAGGTTGCTGCTGCCCAGAAAATAATGAAGTAGAAATAATGTAGTAAGCAGAAATCGTCAGAATTCACTTATCCAGAGAGGAATATGAAACTCATGGCCCCAAAAGCTCTTCTACTTTTCTACTTCACCCTCTTTCTTCTTAGACCCAGAGTTGGGAGACCCTGGAAGGGACCATACAGACCTCCTGGTTGATCCTTTTCATTTTCTTGAGGAGAAACTGAGGTCCACAGAAGGTGTGAGATTTCATAAAGGTTACCTAGTTCACTAAGGACACAGACCAGGCTCTTCTGAACCCTAGCCCATAGCTTTTCCAACCATATCATTGCTTCCTCTGCCATCACCCCACATCCGTGTTTCTCCTTTCCCTTCTTATTTGTGTGAAACAGGGAAGGAAGGAAGGAATGGAGAGGGGGAGGCAGGAGGGGAGGGAGAGAGGGAGGGAGGAGAAAGAAAAGGAAACTATCTACATTCCATTGCATTTTACTTCTGCATGGCTCTTGATTGTTTTCTCCCCAGTATCAGTGACCCTCACTGGGCCTCAGAATATTACTTTCAACTTCCCACAGTAAATATTTTGTTATTCCCATTATCAAAAATGTAATAACATTTTTTAAATGAGCCAATTGTGTGTTCTCTCTAGCCTGTATACCCACAATCCCAATAGTTATTTTTAATGAAAAAATACCCAATTGTGAAACATAACAAAAGAAATAAAGAAAAAAATAATGAAGAAAGAAGAAAAATAAGGTTAATGGCGTAAAGTAAATTAAGACACAATCTTGTCACACTGTTTTCATTCTAGCCCTGGCAGGCTTTTTCTTATTCACAATTCACACAGCACTTTTTGGATGATAATTTCTTTCATCTCTATCTCTGATTTATTCTTTATTTTGGAGAAGCTCTAATAATATATACATCATAGAGAAATTTTACTTGATATTAGCCATTTCCTTATAGGCGTCTAACAGAGAAATCCTATCTATGCCAGTGAAATATAACTGCAAAGTAACAAAGAATATTTTTTAACAAACATGTCAAATAAGTGTTGCTCTTTCAGTAATTACTTTGGAAGATATATTTTTAGTAATGTTGTGTAACATTTCTTTTGTTTTATTTTTGAGACAGTCTCACTTTGTTGCCCAGCTGAAGTGCAGTGGAGTTATCTCAGCTCGCTGCAATCTCTGCCTCCCGGGTTCAAGTGATTCTCCTGCCTCAGCCTCCCAAGTAGCTGGGACTACAGGCGTGTGCCACCATGCCTGGCTAATTTTTGTATTTTTAGTAAAGACAGGGTTTCGACATGTTGGCCAGGCTGATCTCCAACTCCTGACCTCAAGTGATCCACCCGCCCTGACCTCCCAAAGTGCTGGAATTATAGGCGTGAGCCACTGCATGCAGCCAATGTCGTGTAACATTTCTAGAATTCTTCATTGGCCATATGAGTCATCCCCTTTCAATGGTACTGCAGCATCCATATTTCATAACACATATACACTTTCCATTACTAATCACTTATAATTTCTTGCTTATGTCAGTCTACCAGAGCACCTCCAAAATGAAGACTTTGTCTGGATCATCTTTGTAGATCCTTTGTTAGTTCACCATTAGATTCCATAAAGTTTTTAAAGTGAATATTCAAGTGACAATGACAGAACTCCATATAAAGAAAAAATCGGGGAAAGGAGAGCAGTCTCATTTCCAATGATATACCTGGAAGGAGAAGACCATCTGTTGCAGCAAACGTGTAAGCACAAAATCCCCGATATTGAATTAACAGTTTATCAAAATTTGCTGTTGTTTCTGGGAAAAGCCATTCTAGTTTTCTGAAATCTGCCACATTTACTCTATCTTCTAAAATGAAGGAGAAGAAGAAAAGCTTTAATTCAGTGAGAAGGTTAAATTTCCAAAATAAATCAGCAGTAGCTCATTCTAAACATTACCTTTTTATTGCTTTGTACTTTTCCCGATGGGCAAAAACTTGATATTCACAAAACCAGATTTATGAGGAAGTCTATTCAAGCAAAGAAGTACAAATGACCTCAGTGACATATAACGTCACGTAAGTTTCTGGGGCAAACTTGGAGGTAGGATTTTGCTCCAGAATGAAGAACAGAAAGGAGAGGCCATTTCTGACAAGCATGCTCTGCTGCTGAGAGAAAAGCTGACTGGGGCACTTCCGAAAGTGTGTGGTGCTTCCTGCTGCTGCAGAGTAAATAACCCAAGGAGTTGAGCAGAATAGACTGGCTGCTATGTGACCCAGAAAGAGATATATTGACCTCATTCAATATAGTGTTGTTCTTAATAATATGCTAGGTGGCAAAATATGTTTAATATGATGCTTATAAACTAGGACTATTGCTTCTTGAAACAACAGAGAAGGTTCTGAGCAGAAAGTCAAGAAAATGTTACCTGATTTTGATAACAAGGTGTGTAATTTTTGTTCTTTATATTTTTAAAAATTCTTCCTATGTTGGTTAGCTTACCTATTTACATTTGATAAGCAAACTGAATAAATTTTTACACAAATAATACCACGTATTTATAAAACATTGTTCCTGAAGTTTCTTAGCTTTCACAATCTCACGTACACTTCTGTGCCTGGTTCTAAACCCAAAAAGCAGGCACCACAAACGATCTTGTGGCTACCACTAAAAGTAAATGCATAATTTAGAGAAAATAAATCCTCTCTCTTTTTTCCTGATATGCCTGAAAGCCTCTAACAATGACAATATGTGGCAGGTGTAAATGAAATTCTTTTAGAACAACACTGGCTTGACCAATTCAATGGAGTGGTAATTTAATAGTGTTCTAGTGAATAAAAAGTTCTGACGTATGGTAGAAAATGACACATCTAAATCTAAGAAGTTGCAGGTAAACAGTCTTGCCAATATGGTTAGCTTAATATACACTGTTGGAGATACTTTAACTTTTCAATTTCATTTAATATTTGCTTACATATGCTGCTTTAATGAAATGAAATGAGCAATAAAAAACTTGAACTGAAAGGATATTTTTTAGTTTCTGGTTTAGTTTTCAGTTTTTATGAATTCTAATAGTTTGGGAAATGACTGCTATATTTTTATTTTTCATCTTTAAAAAATAGAATTTGAAAAGAAAATTCATAGAGTAAATTATTAATTTCAGTTTCTGAAAAAACTCTCTTTTTATGCAACATCAACATCTCAAGTCCCAAGCTCTTTTTTGGCATTCCTCATAAATGTTAAAGTATCTTTAGCTAAGATAGAAGGGTCTAAAATGGTTAAAAGTTTATTGATAAAGATTGTTTTTCTGTAAGAATCAATGCATCTTCTAAAGGACCTAAATAAGCTCAATTAATTTTACAGGGATAACATTTATTGGTTTGTAAATTCCCAACTTGAATCTGAGGTAGATATATAACAAATAACATTCTAAAGAAATGGAGCTTTATTTGCAACAAAATAGCAATGATTAATATTCTTTTCTCCAACAAATCAATAATAAAATTACTAGGACTGCAATAGAAACACATCTGCACAAAAAATGATTGTTAACCAAAACATGAACGATAACACTACGAATGGTTATTGCTGGACAGTAAGTTATTCAGTTTACATTTTTTCTGTTTTCCACATCTCCTCTCATAAACATTAGTGCTTTTTTTTTTTTTTTCTTTTTGAGATGGAGTCTCACTCTGTCACCCAGGCTAGAGTGCAATGGCACAATCTTGGCTCACTGCAACCTCTGACCCGCTAGGTTCAAGTGATTCTCCTGCCTTAGCCTCCCCAGTAGCTGGGATTACAGGCGCCCACCACCATGCCCGGCTAATTTTTGTATTTTTAGTAGAGACGGAGTTTTGCCATGTCGAACTCCTGGCCTCAGGTGATCCACCCGCCTCGGCCCCCCAAAGTGCTGGGATTACAGGCGTGAGCCACCACACCCGGCCCTCATTAGTACTTTATAATCAAGAAAAATGTTTAATGCTTTATCAGAAAGATATGAAATTTTTAGAACAAAAGAGTGACTTTATTCTAGAGGTAATTTTAAAAAGAAGAGGAAATAATGGATGATTTTCATTACCCATGTGTTCTTTCATTCTACACACATCAGTTTTCACAGTCGCTCCATTAAGATGACATTGCATCACTCTCTCAGGAAAGTATAGTTCGTGAGCACCCAAGAATGGCTGAATGTGAGTGAATAAATTACTGAGGACACCAACCACAATAGTTTCGTCTTGCAAGCTGGTCCACAGAGTAGAAAGTGCAATGAAGATAGGCTGAGGAAGAGAAAAAAAATATTCAAAATGCAACTGTGTAATAAAATTATAAATCACTGTACTCTTTAAGATAAATACAATTGTCATTTGTAAAGAAGTTAATTCTCCCTAAGCAAAAGTCTTACGAACTTAGACAGTAGACTTTAGATAGACATTTAACTCATAAATTATGAGAAAATAAACTTGCATTTTATTTCAAAGCATTTTATTTTAGTACGATTATTATAAAGTTAGTTTACTTTAAAAAGCCAAACACATGTGATCACCTAAGAAAGATTTATGGACTCTTCACCTCAAAAAACCAAGGGAAAAATGTCTTAAGAAAAAAAAAAAAATACGGCCAGGCACAGTAGCTCACACCTGTAATCCCAGCATTTTGGGAGGCCAAGGTGGGCGGATCACCTGAGGGCAGGAGTTCAAGACCAGCCTGGCCAACATGGCAAAACCCCGTCTCTACTAAAAATACAAAAATTAGCCAGGCGTGGTGGTGGGCACCTACAATCCCAGCTACCCGGGAGGCTGAGGCAGGAGAATCGCTTGAACCCGGGAGGCGGAGGTTGCAGTGAGTTGAGATCAGGCCATTGCACTCCAGCCTGGGCAAAAAGAGCAAAACTACTTCTCAAAAAAAAAAAAAAAAAAAAAAGGAGGGTGGAGCAAGGTGGCAAAATAGAAAGTTCCCCCCACGCACCCTGCAAGGACACCAAGTTAACACCTATTTATACAGAAAAAAACACCTTCATAAGTACCAAAAATCAGATGCTGAAGATGTGTTTAGAGGAGAATGAACACAAAAGTGTCACTGAAGACCATTTTTTGTTTGTTTTCCTGACTGATCATCTAATAAAATATAACAATATTAAGAAAGTAAAAAATAAATTAAAAAGCTAAATATGACTCACTATAATTAGATTTTTTCTGGCCAAATCATTGCAAAAGAACCTGGAAAGTATAGAGATATATCTTGGGCCATGTTTTGTGAGCTGCAAGTTAAATATTTGAGGCCAGTGAGATATGTTTCTTATTCCTATTAAAGGTCACTGACTTATAGAACAAATGAAAAAATCAATAAGGCCCCACATCTAAGTTAAACAATTTAGCCTTTTGTTTCTTGGTTTTTAAACCAAATACTGGGGATGACTGCAGAAAGTTATTACAGCCTCATATCCTCTATAATAATACTACATATAGGCTGGGCGCAGTGGCTCATGCCTGTAATCCCAGAACTTTGGGAGGCCGAGGCGGGCAGATCACGAGGTCAGGAGATCAAGACCATCCTGGCTAACACAGTGAAATCCTGTCCCTACTAAAAATGCAAAAAAAATTAGCTGGGCATGGTGGCGGGCGCCTGTAGTCCCAGCTACTCGGGAGGCTGAGCTAGGAGAATGGCGTGAACCCAGGAGGCGGAGCTTGCAGTGAGCCGAGATTGCACCACTGCACTCCAGCCTGGGCGACAAAGCGAGACTCCGTCTTGAAGTAAATAAATAAATAAATAAAAATAATACTGCACATACATTTTATACCTCCTTATCCAGATAAGGTTTGCCAGGTTTGTCCATAAAATGGTGCAGATAATCAGAAACTCAATGTAAGTGCAGGCCTGGTAAACAAAGTGATTATTATCTGTCTTTTCAGAAAGGTCACAAGTTACATCATCTCTGTACTGGAGGCAATTTCTGACCAGCTACTATGAATACATTTTCAACCACAGTACAATGATTATTTCTGTTGTCACAGCCAATACTGATATGGTTATCATACTATACAGTTGCAGTTCCTTTAGTAGCAGTTGCTTATGTGGGGGAATTCTCTCATCCAACTTATAGCACACTATTACGGCAAAGTAACCATAAAGAACAGGATCAATTTATACAAAACATTATATTTTTAGAAATTAAATATAATTATAATGACTTGCGATCCAATATTATAGGGCTCAAAAGGAAATTCACCTTAAGGTCAAAGTTTATGACAAATACTTACAAAGACTTGTGATGTTGGGACCGCTATCTTTGATTTTATGGTCATTTTTAGTTGTTCCAGATGGGCTCCTAACTGTTTTGTCATCATTTCCACTTCTTGAGCACCAGTAATTATATCTGACTGTGAAAACAACATAATTTGCATTAATATTTTTATAATTCTACTATAAAAATCATATGTGTTTCAGACCATACCTGCTCCCCACATCCTCTGAAAGTAGGCTCAATGACAGCAGGAAGTCTGTTCTCCGCAAGATCCTCAACACCTAGAACAGTACCAGCATATGTATGGGGCTCCCAAGATATTTGTGAGATGGATGAATCTTTTGAAATACAATAGGTATAATTTTTCTTAAATGTATACAGGTATTCTTAGATTTAAATATAATTGCATTCTTGAGAAATGGATCCTCAAGAATCCGTTTTTGTATAGCTGTTATTTTCCTATTCCTCAATGATAAAATTAATTAGGGGTTCCTCTGAAAATTATGTTGATAACAAGATTTAATAAAATCACATTGAGAAAAACCTGTTAGGAGTGAGCCAGCAGGGCACTGCAGGTTGGCAAGCTAGTGAGATCTCACCTGTGATGTATGCCATGTGGTTTAGGGGATGCCAGAATCCTTGTACTGAGCAGGGGATATTCTTGAAGACCCTGTCATAGAGTTCATCATTGAAATGACTCACAAGGCAATGTGAATTGGAAGATGAGGTTGAGTACAAGTTTACAATATTGTTTTCTTGATTTGAAGGGACCTAAGGAAGTTTGCTAGGGTTAAAGACTTGATTACTATGAATGCAGAACTGAAATGAACTGGAAAACCATTTGACGAAGTAAACTATGGATCTTGACACCTTTTGTACTTTCTGAAACTTCATTATCGTCTGGGGGAAGTACATATATTAACTGTATATTTTCTATAGTAAGGTCCTGATAGATATCAAGCCATGTAACTGAAAGATGGAGAAACACAAAGTTTTCAGTTTTTATTTTCATGCCTTCAATTTTACGGTGATCTTTGAGCCTTTAATCGCCTGTCTTTACATAATAAGCATACTTGAAATACTTCTTGGGTTTCAATGATCACACATAATAAGTTAAAGTACCTTGTAAACCATTTATTTCCTTCTGACTTTTGACTATCTAAAGGATGAAGTAGTATTTATATGTTAGCTATATTTGTGCCATTGTAAGCTATACTGTAGCTATTTATTATGCAAGATCTAAAAGATATATTTGACTTTATGATAACTAAGACATGCTTCATGTATCCTAAAGTTTTTGGACAACAGTAAACTGAAAGGTTATTAAAGGTAGTGAACTGGTTTGTGATCCTTCTAAGGAGATGATATAGAAAAATACGGTTCTTTGTAAGAATTTGTATCTGTCTTAAAAGAAAATTTGTCTTAATATTCTTTTCTTCTTATAACAAGAGTGATTATTTTTCAAGAAACTAAAAGTTTCACGTGAATGCTTGTTGGAAGGCATTTTTGATTTAAAACCTTCTGAGGCTTATAAAATACTATCTGTTAAGTTTTAGGAGAATTCATTTTCCCATATCAGATTAAATCTTCTCAGAATAAATGCTTTCAGTAGCAAGAACAGTTTTAAAAGTTGATGACAGGATAAGCATTTGGGATAGTATTCTATTAACATATTTCTAAGTACTTGTTCACTGTGGAAATGTGTACTTGATTAAAACATATATGGCTATGGAATCTGCTTTTGCAGTTCAGGATATACAGGTTTGTGTGTATTTAGCTTATTGTAAAGCCCTTACCTTAAAATAAGGATTAAAATTACATTTAAATAGATCACTGAATGTTACTCTTTGTGAAACTGAACTTTTTGTATGACACAAACATTATAAATCAACACTTGGGAAACTTTAACTTTCTTAATCTATTGATACAAGGAATAAAGTATGAAAAATTAAACAGAAAAAAGTCGCATTGAAGAATGCAGAAAATCTTAAAAGTCAGAGCATTGAAAGAAAAACAATATATTTGATACAACAATCATGGTCTGAAAATAAGTTGCTAAACACTGAATTTGAAATAATTATATTTGGCCAGGCACGGTGGCTCACGCCTGTAATCCCAGCACTTTGGGAGGCTGAGGTAGGCGGATCATGAGGTCAGGAGATCGAGACCATCCTGGCTAACACGGTGAAACCCCATCTCCACTAAAAATAAAAAAATTAGCTGGGCGTGGTGGCACCTGCCTATGTCCCAGCTACTCGGGAGGCTGAGGCAGGAGAATCACTTGAACTCGGGAGGCGGAGGTTGCAGTGAGCCAAGATCGAGCCACTGCACTCCAGCTTGGGCAACAGAGCGAGACTCTGTCCCAAAAAAATAAAAAAAAATAATTATATTTATTCTTACTATGTGCTAAGCACCACATTAAATACTTACAAATACAAAAAGGGATAAGTACAAATGAGAAAATCAAAGAATAGTAAGGTAAGTAAATTGTCTAAGTATATGCAGCTAATAAGGGGTAGCAATCTTGGTGGATCCCAAACCATCTGAGCCCACAGCCCAGCTCTTAACCATTATACTGTGTTGCCCAAGATGTCACCAGAAATGGTTGTGGTGTGGGTTTATCAGTATAGCATAAAAGAATGACATCTATTTGAAGAGAAAAAGGTGCATCTGAATTCTCAGACATCTGTATGTAGCCTAATTATATGCTTTCTAGACTCTTTTAAATGACAAAAATAATTACTTCATGAGTACTATCAACTATTATCATTGTATTACAACTAACAAATTTTTATTCATAAATGTAACGTGTATCCTGTTTAATTTTACCCATACTGCTGTTTAAGCTTTACTCCTCCTCCTGCTTTATTCCTCCATACACTATTATCTATTATATCAAATAGGTCTCTTGTCTACCCTCATAGAGTTTTTTCCCCCTTGCTTGTTAAGTTTTGTTTTAGGAATCAATACGAAAATGCAGTCTTTAAAGTCTTTTAAGATTTATGCAACAGCAACAAGAAACAGGAATACATTTGCATACGTTCTCCAAAATAAAAGTTGCATTCGACATGCAATACTTATTAAAACCTACAATTAAAAATATCCTAAGGCTGGGCCGGGCGCGGTGGCTCACGCCTGTAATCCCAGCACTTTGGGAGGCGGAGGCGGGTGGATCACGAGGTCAAGAGATAAGAGACCTTCCTAGCTAACACGGTGAAACCCCATCTCTACTAAGAGTACAAAAAATTAGCCGGACGTGGTGGCGGGCGCCTGTAGTCCCAGCTACTCGAGAGGCTGAGGCAGGAGAATGGCGTGAACCCGGGAGGCGGAGCTTGCAGTGAGCGGAGATCACGCCACTGCACCCCAGCCTGGGCGACAGAGCGAGACTCCGTCTCAAAAAAAAAAAAGAAAAATAAAAAAATAAAAATAAAAAAATATTCTAAGGCTGGGCGCAGTGGCTCACGCCTGTAATCCCAGCACTTTGGGAGGCTGAGGCAGGTGGATCACTTGAGGCCAGGAGTTCGAGACCAGGCTGGCCAAGATGGTGAAACCCCGTCTCTACTAAAAATACAAAAAAATTAGCCAGGCGTGGTGGCGCGTGTCTGTAGTCCCAGCTACCAAGAAGGCTGAGGTAGAAGAATCGCTTGAACCCTGGAGACAGAGGTAAACCGAGATTGCACCACCGCACTCCAGCCTGGGTGACAGAGCGAGACCCTGTCTGAAAAAGAAAAAAAATACTCTAGACCCCTCCCCCAAGCTGTAGTTGCAGGATCCATTCAGAGTAGGCACACAGAGCTTCTTGCTTTTTTTCTAATAATGTCCTAGAAATTACTCTACTTACATTTTACTAAAAAGAATTTATTCACAATCATCTGGAGTTGTTTTTTTGTTTGTTTTGTTTTTTTTTTTTTGAGACAGAGTCTCACTCTGTGGCCCAGGCTAGAGTGCAGTGGTGCAATCTCAGCTCACTGCAGCCTCCACCCTCCGCGTTCAAGCGATTCTCCTGCCTCAGCCTCCCAAGTAGCTGGGATTACAGGTGCCTGCCACTGCACCGGGCTAATTTTTTGTATTTTTAGTAGAGACGGGGTTTCACCATCTTGGTCAGGCTGGTCTTGAACTCCTGACCTCATGATCAACCTGCCTCGGCCTCCCAAAGTGCTGGGATTACAGGCGTGAGCCACCGCACCCGGCCTTTTTTTTTTTTTTTTTTCGAGATGGAGTTTCGCTCTCGTTGTCCAAGCTGGAGTGCAATGGTGTGATCTTGGCTCATTGCAACCTCTGCCTCCCGGATTCAAGAAATTCTCCTGCCTCAGCCTCTCGAGTAGCTGGGATTACAGGCTCGCACCACCATGCCTGGCTAATTTTTTGTACTTTTAGTAGAAATGGGGTTTCACCATGTTAGCCAGGCTGGTCTTGAACTCCTGACCTCAGGTGATCCGCCTGCCTCGGCCTCCCAAAGTGCTGGGATTACAGGTGTGAGCCACCACGCCCGGCCCATCTAGAGTTTTTAATTATAATATTAGTCCTCTAAAAATGCTATCACTTAAAAAAATTTTATCATAACATTCAAATGTTTGGCAAAAGCATGTGATCCCAGCATGTTTCTTTGTCTTCTTCCCCTTCCCCCTACCTTTTAAACACTTTTTATAAGTTCCTCATACTTTCTTCCACGGACAATTTTCAACAAGTCTAGTCAAACTTATAGAAGCAGAAATTAGAATGGAATCTCTGATGTTTAATGTTCTTATTACAACAGAAATAAAATATAATAAAACAAGCACAAATTCCACCTAACTGATTTTTTTACTTGCCTTATCAAGAAAAATCAAGAAGCCCTGTGTTGTGTGTCTGTGAATGGGCCCTGCAAAAATAGCTTGGGGGGAAATAACTCTACAAAAATCTTGACTTACAGGTTTTAACAAATGTGCTGTCAAACGCAGCTCTTACTTGCACAATAACATGCAGCTTTCCCTCTTTGGTGTCTGCCTTGCACTTTAAAAGCCCATGGAAGATGGAATTTTATTCTCTCAGTTAAGAGTCAACAAAACTACGATCATCACTCCCTTTTCTTTTCTAGAATATTTCAATGTGTTCACTGCAGAAGATAAAGGCCTGATTAAAACAAAATAATTCACTATCTTACCCAGGCTATATATTGGATTTTTTTTTTCTTTTTGAGACAGTGTCTCACTCTGTCGCCCAGGCTGGAATGCAGTGGCACGATCTCAGCTCACTGCAACCTCTGTCTCCTGGGTTCAAGCGATTCTCCTGCCTCAGTCTCCTGAATAGCTGGGATTACAGGCACCCACCACTATGCCCGGCTAATTTTTGTATTTTTAGTAGAGACGGGGTTTCACCATGTTGGCCAGGCTGGTCTCGAACTTCTGACCTCAGGTGATCTGCCTGCCTCAGCCTCCCAAAGTGCTGGGATTATAGGCGTGAGCCACCACGCTCGGCCTATATTGGATTTTTAAAATGTTCACATAAACTGAAACTTTGATGAGAGAATTTTTAAAAATCAAAATTGCTACTTTAAAATTTTTAATTAGTTCAAATAATGTGACTTTAAAACGAATATTCATAGATTTTAATATAGGAAAAATCTTGGCTAATTTTAAATTGATGCAGTTTATAATCTAGAGATAATACTGATTAAACCAATATCCATTTCATAATAATCAACCTTAATTGTCACTAAGACTGATGGGGAAGGACTGAATAGTTTAAAAACAAAACAAAACAAAACAAAAAAGACTGTTTGAGCAGAGAATCAGAAAGTTAAGAAAACTCATCCTGATCCTGACTAAAGTCAGTACAAAACAGCCATAAAGAGTGCTTGGATAAGAAAATTAACTTTCTCAACAACGTGAGCAGCAAGGAGCTTGGAAATGAGATACTGTATGGAAAAATAAAAGCTCTTCAGCTTGTTCCACTAGACAAATGAAATCACAGCTGTTCAGCTAAGGCCCTAACAATGATGATGATGATAATCATAAACAACATCATCATCACTTTATTGAGCCGTTGCACCAGGCACTATGCCGCCTTATTTACATGGTGAAGACTATGAATAACCCCATTTTACAGATACGGAAACCAAGGCACAGGGAAGTTAAGCAGCTTCCTTACGGACACAGATTTAGTAAGTGGCAAAGTCATGATTAGAATTCATGTAGTCTGGTTGCAAAGACCACACTCATCATTTCTACATTTTACTCACTGTCCTCTCCAGCTGTGAGAAGTAGAACGCCAATGAGAATTTAAGACTTAGTTGGTGGATTCATGATTGCAAGCTATGAGAAGATTCTATATAATGAATGACATCTTCTGCAACATCCTTACAGTTGTGTGACAGTTTCTCAAGGTTCTTTCTTATAATATCACCTCTGAATACAGGTGACAAATGTGAATGTGAAGTTCTACTCCTGTGGACTCACATGCACTTCAAAATAAATTGATTACAAAATCCCCTTAGTAGCTGACTAGTTAACATAAGGCTGATAGCCACAAGGTAATGTAAAGGGAAATATCCACCCCAAGAGTGTGACTTGGTTTTTATTATTATTTATTTATTTATTCTTTTTAGAGATGGGGTCTTCCTTGGCTACCCAAGCTGGAGTGCAGTGGCATAGCCAAAGCTTACTGTATCCTCAAGCTCCTGGGCTCAAGCAATTCTCCTACCTTAGCCTCCCAAGTAGCTGGGATTACAGGTTAGTACCACCATGCTTGGCTAATTTTATTTTTTGTAGAGACAGGGTCTTGTAATGTTGCCCAGGCTGGTCTTGAATTCTTGGCCTCAAGCAGTTCTCTAACCTCAGCCTCCCAGCTAGGATCCTTCCTCCTGAAGACAATTAGATAGGCTAGTTGTGAGGACAACCCCTAGTTTGAATGAAGTCATGTCATCAGAACAGCTAGGTAAGGAGAGAGGACAGACCAAGTGCATCCAATAGAAGGACCAAGTCATTACAATGCAAGTTAAAAAGAAGAGGTGGTCAGAATACATCCTATTCTATCCCTCAAGAAATTAGCATTCACTCATACAAAAGACAGTTCCACTAACCGAGAATCTCATAGTTACTGGAAAACAGAGGTTGTGTAAAAGTAAACGGTGACAAGTGGGAACATAACCTGCCATCATGCAGTAATTAACAGACTGTGTTTCTTACAACCCTAGAGTGTCAAGGGGATATCCCTTAGTGAAAAGGTCCTCCAGTCCCTTTATGTAGATATCTGTTTTATATTTGTAAGATTCTGAGTAAGTTTCTATCTGACAGAAAGGTCACTGCTACTTTTTAAAAAGTTTATAACCACCACTTTACCATATTTTTCAACTCTCTAGGGATACTGTTTGGCTTGTTCATTAGATCTAAAAACACCAGATATAAAAATCTTATCTGGCTAGGTATGGTGGCTTATGCCTGTTACCCCAGCACTTTGGGAAGCTGAGGCAGGAGGATTGCTTGAGGCCAGATGTTCAAGACCAGCCTGGACAACATAGCAAGACTCCAATCTATATTTAAAAAAAAAACAAAAAAAAAAACAAACGTTTTTTTGAGTCAGGGTCAGGGTCTCCCTCTGTCAGAGTGCAGTGGTGTGATCTTGGCTCACTGCAACCTCTGCCTCCTGGGCTCAAGTGATCCTCCCACCTCAGCCTCTTGAGTAGCTGGGAATACAGGCACATGTCACTGTGCCCGGCTAAGTTTTGTACTTTTTGTAGAGATGGGGTTTTGCCATGTTGGCCAGGCTGATTTTGAACTCTTGGGCTCAAGCGATCTGTCCACCTTTGCCTCCCAAAGTGCTAGGATTACAGACATGAGCCACTCTGCCTGGCCTACAAAAAACCTTTAAAAAAATATTTTGTACCAGTTGTTACAGTGAGAACAAATAATTACACAAAAATTATTTGAAAGGCAACTACCTGCCAAACAATGTTACATACTTGCTCTGAACTAAAATAAACATAGTATTACTTACATATACACCACTGTTTAACTACAGCATGCTAACAATCATATTATCAAGTACCAATGAAAAAATACAAATTCAACTTCTACCAAAATATTTTCATTAAAATCAAAACCCAACTTTTCTGTTTCTATTTTGATTCCTAACTCTACCAAAGCAATATAAACCGAGCAGTTACTGAGGTTTTCTCCTTAATTAGTGACCTGGTTCTACCTGATGTGGCCTTATATAAAGAGATTGCATTATATAGAAAAGGTCAGGTCTTATGAACTTAACTCACCAAAATGATCTGAAGGAAGACCTCATATTGTCGTATATTATATAGCGCTTCTTTTAACATATATGGCTGAAGTTCAGCCCTCATGAGTGGGTCGTTGGCTGCCTTCTCAAGGATGGCTGTGTAGCGGTATACCTGGCTCCGGGCAGTCTCAAGCTGGTAATCAATATGCTGCATGGTGGCTGGGATTGCTACATGGAGAACAGCTGGCACTGTTTGTAAGAGTATGAAAAGGCAGCCATAAAGGAGACTAAAAACAATTAAGGAGAAGAAGCCTAGAAAGTAGTTACATTTTAAACATTAAGTTAGGGTTTTTCTCCCCAATCAAATTAGTAATAATGAGGCATGTGTTTCCTGGGTCCCACAACATAAAGAAAATCTAGGCCGGGGGTGGTGGCTCACACCTGTAATCCTAGCACTTTGGGAGGCCGAGGCGGGCGGATCACGAGGTCAAGAGATTGAGACCATCCTGGCCAACATGGTGAAACCCCGTCTCTACTAAAAACACAAAAATTAGCTGAGCGTGGTGGCGCATGCCTGTAATCCCAGCACAGGAGAATCACTTGAACCCGGGAGGCGGAGGTTGCAGTAAGCCGAGATCGCGCCACTGCACTCCAATCTGGGCGACAAGAACGAAACTCCATCTCAAAAAAAAAAAAAAAAAGAATCTAAAACAAGTTCAAACAAAAGATATTAACAGAATGATAACCCAGTTACAGTAGGTCAGCTTTTGCCACTAAATATAGAAGAGTTCAGAGAATAGGCAGAGTTTGGTATTATGTGTTGTTAACCATGTGCTTCCAGAAAAGCCACTGACCCTTCCTTTTGTATATCTTCTTTTCTAGTTATTAAAAAAAAAAAAAAAAGGAACGTTTGTTAAGAAACTCATCTGGATGGTGAAAAATGACAGAATAGTCTAGCAAGGGAGGGTCATTTATGAAAATGGAAATTTGACTTTTTAGAACAGTTTTTAAAATAGAAAAAATTACCCTTTTATACTAGATTAGTGATTTGGTGAAAGACACTAACACCTTATCAGTGGGCCTACAGGAGTACCAAATTTCATAAGGAAGTTACTTCTACTGGTAGGTACTTCATTAAATATTTCATAAGTACTTTCAAACTTATAAAGAATGCATTAAGTATATAACCACAAAGTAAATGCCCCCGAATTTAGAGATTTGAAATATCTCCTCGTGGATCTTTTCATTCCATTAACTGCACCAGGAACTGTTTTCAGGAAGATTTTTATTTTTTAAATAACTAAATTGTACTCCCTTTTGGTTACGGACTTGCAGTAATGAACACAAAGCCCTGCTGAACTGGGAGGTTAGCTTTGAGCAGGACCCTTCATTGCTTTCACTGATTCACTTTCTCCTACTAGCTTCATGGTACATAAAATGTAAAGTCTTGCCCCAGCAAAAGTAAAAATCACTACACATTATAAACAGTAGTTATTCTTAAGGAAACAGTAAAAAATGCAAATCTTAAATTTAAGAATGCCAGTGGTGTGTTGTTTATTATTTTCCTCACTGTGCAAGTTAAATTTTAAACATACATAACCTTTAGAATTAATCTAATGATATACCTACAATCATCAATGCCTTCTCCTCCTTTTCCACAGTCTCTGTTAAATAAACGAATTCCAGTAACAATCATGGTGAGTTCTTTCAGCTGGCGTTCTTTGTCCTTCTTAGAAAGAGTTAGAAATGTCCCAAGCTCTGCCTGAGGAAAAACACTCTGTAGAGCAGCTAAAATAAACCAGAAAAAAAAAAAAGGAAAACAAAATGATAGAATAAAGATATCAGACGTTAAATAACGTTTTTCTTTAGCAGCAAGTTAAGGGTCTGAGTTACTTATATGATTCTTTAAATTACTGATACCTGATTATAGGATACATAATAAAACTTATCACGCATCAAAGCTGGATTACTGAGAGTTATGCCATTGCCTCATGTCCATTTTTAATAATTAAGCATCCAGCAGTAACTTTTTGGCAATGGGCATGAAAACAAGCTTTCTAATTAGGGATCTGAGCCAAAAAATGGATGCTTTAAAATAATTATGGAAGAAAGCCATAGGAGAGCTAGACATTTTTCCTATTCCTCATTTTAAAGGATGAAAGAGGGCAAAGACTTCCTAAGGATAAAATGGTGCCCCATTCCATCACCCATTTTAAATGACAGACTCAATTTCTTTCATCAATATGAAATATCCGTTTTCAGCTTTTCCATTTACTCAATCAGCCTGGTACCCTCAATCCTACTATCAATGTTTCTCTAATGGGGTGTAATAGGTGCCTAGATATGTACAGCTCTAGGAAAATTAGCAATATTTCACTTTCTAGAGGTGCTACTTGAGTTTTAGAATGGATACACAGTGTAAAAGGAGACTGGGTACATTTTAACTCATTTGTGCTGATTTTTTTTTTTTTTTCAGATAAAAAGGGAACTTCAATCTTTAACACTTCTAATTTAACATGTTTTATAAAATACAATGACCATATATTTTCACTTATGAAATGGAAATTGGTTATACTTTTTACCTGTTACCTCTCTGACAGTCTTGATGTCTGTAGGGGATCCAAGGCCAGAGCGGAGTAACACATAGCTGATAATCTTCCGGTAGAGGCTTTCCAATTCTTCTTTAGCACATGCTCTGTTATCTGTAATTTCTCGGGTAACAGAGCCTAATCTAGACTCTAGGACCCGGTGATGTTCTTCGAGAAATTCCACTAAAATTGCCAAATAACAATGTTCTATATATTTAATTTTTAGAATTCTTCTTACGTAAGAACTAGAGAAAAACTGGATTGGATATGGCAATTCTACTTCAGGAAAACAAGTAATTTCTTAAGCTGTAATAATGAAATAAAAAACAGTGGCCAGCATGTAGCCTCAAGACAAAAATCCAGGAGGGAAGATTTATTACAGTGACTTAAATGGAATACTTTGTCAAAACACCTAAGACTTTAAACAGCCAAACTAAACAGGAGATATCAGAAAAGGCTAAAACCTCCCAATTAAGCAGAAAATAAAGAAGACCATTTCTACAAAATATATATTATATATTTTAATTTTAATACTATATGAAAAAATAAATATATACATATTATATATTTATGCTATATGTAAGCACATGTAGTATACTATACATAAGCATATATAGTAGCAGAAATATATATGTAGTATATATGTTCCTTTCGGTTACGTGTATTTTTATTTCAGTTCTAGATAAATTTCCTCTGAAAAGCATTATTGATAATACGATGTTGCATCGAGAACTGTATCCCTCCTCATTCCTCCTGTGATATGCTGAGGGACAGGCTTCACTTTGGCAGGACACTATGTTCCCTGAGTTGTTGCAAGTACAATTCTGCAATGACTCTATAAGACAACCCATATTACTATTACAAGGTCAATAATTAACATATCCACCACGCACAGTTTATACCTATACCCTTGCCACAAAACCAACTGAGAACTTTTTGCAAATTAAAAATATGTTTAAATAACAAATTTAAAAATCTATAGGTTAAATTTTATCAATTATATGACTATTTCTTGCTTTAAAATTTCACTATTAAGCAAAAACGCAAGATATATACTTTTACATAGGTAGCATAACTGAAACTAACAAAGAGAAACATCACCAAATTGTTAATAATGATTGTACTATACAGTAGAGGTAGAGGTAGTCCATAGAGAAATAGACTTGTTTTATATAGCAGGTGCAGAGGCAGTCCATAGAGAATTACATTTTCCTTTTTCTTTTGTTTCCAACTTGTCTTTGATGTATGCATTAAATTATTTACATAATGAGCCAGGCATGGTGGCTCACACTGATAATCCCAGCACTTTGGGAGTCTAAGGCGTAGACAGATCGCTTGAGGCCTGGATTTCGACACCAGCCTGGGCAACATGGTGAAATCCCGTCTCTACTAAGAATACAAAAATTAGCTGGGCATGGTGGCACACACCTATAGTCCCAGCTACTCGGGTGGCTGAGGTGGGAGAATTGCTTCAACATGGGAGTCAGAGGTTGCAGTGATCTGTGGATCGTGCCACTGCACTCCTGCCTGGGTGACAGAGCAAGACTCTGTCTCAAAAAAAATTTACATATTGAAACGTTTTCTAAACTTAAACTCCCCATCGTTCATTTTTGAATAGTTACATAATTTAGGTAATTATAATGAGATAATAACATAAACCAGGAACAAGAAAATCTATAAATTAAAAACTTTTAACTTCAATGGGCTGAATTCCTAATTATTATGTATTAGTGCCACTGGAAACAATAATTATGAGCACAATAATTGGAATTCACTTTTAACACTCACAAAGGCCAATGGTTTTTTTTCATTTAGCATTTCTAACGTTGTATTCCTCAAAGTTGATTGCCAAAAATTAAATTGTTAAATTGATTAAACAATTAAATTCATTGTCAACCAAATGAAGCCCTTCTTAGCTGAAACACAGTATGAAATTTTTTAAGTATAAAAATAGGTAGTATACATTACCTCGATTCGTATAATTCATATCGAAGTAGACTTGCATCTTAATAGTGTCCAGGGATGGATTTTTAGTATCCAATAGCCGAGTCATACAAAGCTAGAAAAGAATGTCCCATGAATACTTCTAGTTATAGTTTTTGAGACAGTCAAGTATTTCCTAAAGTTATTTTCAAAAATAAAGGGAAAAGCAGTGGTTCCTGATATTGATTCACCAATAACCCCTTTTATTTTTTTTTTCTCCTTGAGGACTTCAGGCTTTATAGTTTATTTAACCAATAACTTTTTTTATTTTTATAGATTTAGGGGGTACAAGTGT
Source organism: Homo sapiens (assembly GCF_000001405.40). Taxonomy (NCBI): domain Eukaryota; kingdom Metazoa; phylum Chordata; class Mammalia; order Primates; family Hominidae; genus Homo; species Homo sapiens. The sequence continues at coordinate 87,413,590 of NC_000006.12, read as the reverse complement.
CATTTTGTTACATGGATATATTGCGTGTAGTGGTGAAGCCTGGGCTTTTAGGGTAGCTAACACCTGAATAGTGGACATTGTACCCATTAAGTGATTTCTTATCCCTCGCTCCCCTCTCACCCTCCCAAGTCTTCAATGTCTACTGTTCCACTCTCTATGTCCCTGGGTACATATTATTGAGCTCCCACTTATAAGTGAGAACATGTGGTATTTTACTTTCTGAGTTATTTCACTTAAGATAGTAGCCTCCAGTTCCATCCATGTTGCCACAAGACATGATTTCATTATTTTTTATGGCTCAATAAAACTCCATTGTGTGTATGTGTGTATACATTTTCTTTATCCAATCATCTGTTGATGGACACTTAGGTTGATTCCATATCTTTACTACCAATAACATTTGTTAAGTAATAAGTTATTTCCCTTGAGTTAACCAATAATCATCATGCCAGGTGGCTAGTAGTCTAGTTGAAGGCAAGAAACCTGATGTTTTGGTTAGTTTGAGCAGTCTAAATGTGGGTAAATGTTCCACAAAGCTTATATTCCAGTCTAAAACTCTTCTAGAGTTCCTCATTACTATTTATTTGTGCCTTGAACAACACTCCTCATTTTATTTTATAAAAAGCTGCTGCAGCTGGTGCAGTGGCTCACACCCGTAATCCCAGCATTTTGGGAGGCAGAGGTGGGCAGATCACCCGATGTCAGGAGTTCGAGACCAGCCTGGTCAACATGGTGAAACCCGTCTCTACTAAAAATACAACAATTAGCCAGGCATGGTGGCACACACCTGTAGTCCCAGCTACTCGGGAGGCTGAGACAGGAGAATCGCTTGAGAACCCGGGAGGTGGACATGGCAATGAGCCAAGATCATGCCACCGCACCCCAGCTTGGGGGACAGAGCGAGACTCTGTCTCAAAAAATAAAATATAATTAAATTAAATTAAATTAAAATTAAAAAGCTGCTGCAACCACCCCCCTCTCTTCACAAAATTTCTCTGGTTCTACCCTTGATATTTCTTCTCCTGGTCTGTTTTCTCCTATGAGCCCCCACATAGATGGCTCATTCCCCTTCTCTGCCTTGCCTCTTTATATTGAATATCAACCTCAGTTTTTCTTTCCTTCTCTCATCTCTACTGGTCACCTCCCTCCCCCACTTCCTTCACTGCTCACTCTGTAGGCTGAATATACTGCAGCTGGCAGGCACTTGGCAGCATCACTCTCAACCCATCTCCCTGAGCACCAGCCCTGCTTTCCTGGGAGGAGGGAGGGGAGAATGCAAGACTGAGGATTGGACACTATGTCTTTGCAGAAGCCTGTGCACCTGGATCCCTCCACATACAGAAGTACTGTTCTAAAATGCACACTTAAAAAAATAGCTCATCCACATGATTTTTAGTTGAGAAAAAAATTGTCACTTGAATATAACATATGTTGTTAGTTTATGTACCTGTCGTACTAAAAGTATATTGGCTTGATTCTTTCCAACTTAGTTGAGTTGGGGAATTGGGGGGAATGGAAAACTCTTCTTGGGTCATGACAAGGAGAACAACTTATTTTCTGCCCCTCCTGGATTCTCTTCCACGGCTTTCCAATAAAATTTCTGACTGCCACAATCACTTCCCCTATTGCTAAGAACAAGCTTTATACCATCTTTTCTCTGCATCCTCACCAATATCTGTTATGTTTTTACTTTTTAAAGATATTCTAACTGGTGTAAGATTGTATCTCATTGTCAGAATAGAAAATCCAGACACAAAGCCACATACCTGCAGTCAGGTGATCTTTGACAAAGTCAACAGAAACATACACTGGAGAAATGACATCCTATTCAATAAATGGTGCTGGGAAAATTGGATTACCATATGCAGAAGAATGAAACCCATCCCAATGTCTCACCATATACAAAAATTAACAACTCAAGATTGATTAAAGACTTAAATGTAAGACCTGAAACTATAAAAATAACAGAAAAAAACCTAGGGGGCTGGGCATTGGCCTACGCAAAGAATTCATGACTTAAAAGTAAATGCAACAGAAATAGACAAATTGGATTTAAATAAACTAAAAAGCTTCTACACATCAAAATGAATAATCAACAGAGTGAAAAGACAGCCTGCAGAATGGGAGAAAATATGTACAAACTATGCATCTGACAAAGGACTAATATTCAGGATCTACGAGGAACTCAAACAACTCGACAACAACAAATAACCCCATTATAAAGTGGGCAAAGGCCATGAATAGATATTTTTCAAAAGAAGACATACAAATCGCCAAAAAGCATGAAAAAAATGCTCAACATCACTCAGCATTAGAGAAATGCAAATTAATTTAGTTCTATTTAACTTCACAGTATATGACGAACTAGTTAATGTTTGCAATGTAAGACATTAGTAACAAGGTTTCACTAAAATACTGTAGCAGATGCTGCTACCTGCCCAATTTCCCTGCCCTTCCTTCCTTACTAACAGAGCCTCAATTTGGATTGGGGCAAGGATTTATTCATCTAAGAAAGAAAAAAGAAGTGAAATGTCCCTGGGTCACTTACAATATCATTCTGGTCAATAAATGTTAAGTAGATGGGAGGGATTCTGGGAAAATTATTATTTTCTGGATAGAAGGTGATAGACCCAATTGGCACACATATTTTGCCCTTTGTCTTTCCCCCTTCTTTCTGCCTAGAGGCAGGGTAGCTATCTTTTGACCACCAGATGACCATATTGCAAGGATGGTGTGCCCCAGGAAGCCAGGAAGAATGGTCTATGTCTCTCCAGATTTTGTGTTATGAGAAAAATATCTCGTGTATACTACTATTTTGTGGGCTTTTGTTTCATGCAGCTGAAGGCAATAATGACTAATACAAATATTGTATTTACAACTGAGAATAAGTAATTGCAAATTTGAGGACTGTTGGGTAATCACCTTAACAAGATTCTGCACATCACTTTTCATGAGGGTTCTATCCATGTTAAAGCCATTACTTGGATCCAGGACAACAGCTTTCACCTAGAAAAAAGTAGGAACGAGTCCATTAACTAGGAAAGAATCCATTAAGCAATTTTATTTCATATTATTAGCTTAATATGTTTCCATTTTTTAAACAACTACCTCTTGATTACGTTGGGGTTGGTTTTCCAACTATTCTTCTTATTACTGAACTCATCAGTACCCTTGTTAGAGGTTGAAAAAAGGAAGCAACAAACATCAAACTTGAATATGGTGCTAGAAAAGTTATATGGGGAAATAAGTTGAAAGCAATGGCTAGGTTTTCAATTGGGAAACTATGGCATATTTTATTGTATTTTTATTGTGTATTGTTAACCAAAAGCAAGAACAGAGAAACCACAGCAATGAGTAATTTTTAACAACGGCAAACAAAAATACACGTCAAAAAATTCCCACACAGGAGAACATTATTGATGTTTCCAAAACTCATCAAGGTCTTCTAAATGTCTCTATAAATCTAGAACTCACATGCTCTATAAACTTTTTAAAAATGTTTTCACAAATTTGTCCAATTATCTCGTTATGCTTCAACTGAAAAACATTTATGAAAGCCTCACAGAATTTAAAGGGGAAAATGGACACCACATCTTAAAAAACCTCTTAATAAAACAGTAATCACAAAAATATTTCTTCTTACCATAAAAGCAATCAGAGTTTCAGAAACAATCTCTCCATGGGCTGCACATTCTTGTCCTATTTCTCGTATAATACTCCTTATAACACTTTCGGCCTGAGTTGGAGGCATTCTGGCTAAATAAAACAACAATTTTTTTTAAAAAAACCGTGGTTTTATGCAAATTTATTTTTTTCCTCTTTTGATTTCTGCAATATTGTATTTGTAAACAGTCATAATATCATCTATTAGCTTATTAGCATTTTTATTAGTATCTAGGCCTCTCCTGTTTTTCATTATTTTTAAAAATGAAGGACTTTATTGAAGACAGACAACGATTGGGATTTCAAATAATTGAAACATTTGATAAATAACATTTTCAATTATTTAAATTATGGTCACTAAACATATATTCCTATCATGATATTCTTAATTAAAAAAAAAAAAAAAGGCTAAGCAGGCTGGGCGCGATGGCTCACGCCTGTAATCCCAGCACTTTGGGAGGCCAAGGCAGGCAGATCACCTGAGGTCGGGAGTTCGAGACCAGCCTGACCAACTCAGAGAAACCCCGTCTCTACTAAAAATACAAAATTAGCCGGGAGTGGTGGCACACGCCTGTAATCCCAGCTACTTGGGAGGCTGAGGCAGGAGAATCGTTTGAACCCGGGAGGCGGAGGTTGCGGTGCCATTGCACTCCAGCCTGGGCAACAAGAGCGAAACTGTGTCTCAGGAAAAAAAAAAAAAGGCTAAGCAGTATTTGTAGGGGAGGGAGGTAAAATTAATGAGAAACCCAAGAGTACAGCTTTAAAAGGAGAAATGCTTATTCCACCACATTCATTAAATGACCCTTCAGAACTGTACTAGAATCTTGGAAAACAATTCTTGCTCAGATCATTAAAATGATCTTTTCCGCACATCTAAAATAGAGTTCAGACTCTCGATAAAAAAAAGCATTTACTATAAGGAAAAAGTGGTAGGTTTTGATCGAGTTTTCTGATTTTCCTGAATATCAGTAACTAAGCACAATGGAAGTTGGCATGTAGAGTATAACAAAGGCAATATCAGGTAGATAAAGCCAACTCCTCAGCATTATTAGCTTTCCAATGGATGAGTACGAAGCACTAGGCATTTTGTCCAGTGAAACCAGATTGCCTGGATTCCATGGTGACCCGACCACTGTCCAGCTGTGAGACCTTGGGCACTTGCTTCACTTCTTTCCAGAGGTGTGAGGACTAAATTAGTCCTGTTTTTAGTGGTTACAACAGTGCGCGGCTTAAGGGAATCGCTTAAAACAGCTTATAATCAGTACTCCAAGATCACAGGCAGCGCATGCGCAAGTGCCAGTCAGTGGGAGAGTCCGTCGCGCTCCGGATCTGTGTGCGCGCTCCGGATCTGTGTGCGCGCTCCGGATCTGTGTGCGCGCTCCGGATCTGTGTGCGCGCTCCGGATCTGTGTGCGCGCTCCGGATCTGTGTGCGCGCTCCGGATCTGTGTGCGCGCTCCGGATCTGTGTGCGCATGCGCGCCGCTGCCGGGTCGCTAGGGACGCGGCTCAGCACCTTCCCTGCACCCACCCTCCAATTACTAAGTCTCCCGAGGTCCGGCTTCTGGGGTAGCCAGTGGAGCGAAACAGAAGCGGGAGGCCTCAGGCACCCGCGCAAAGGCTAGAGGGCAGCCCTGCAGCCCTGGGGTGGCGCCTCCGGCAGGAATGGACCGCTGTTCCAGCTCTGCGGCGGCGCAGCCTAAAGGATCGAGACTGAGAGCTAAGTCTCGACGAGGCAGGACGCGGTCCTCCAGCCGCCCGAGCTCCGCCAGCCGCCCCAAGCTCGCCGCCTGGCGGGGTACGCCTCCGGGTCAAGGGCGCGGAGCCCCGAGTAGGCTGACCTGGATCGGAATCGACAGCAGGAGCCGTGTCTGTCTGCTTCTGTCCTGGGGCCCTCACCGCGACGGTCGGAGCAGTTGGGCGCTCGCAGCCACCGCCGCGTAACCATGGAGATGGAAGGCTCCGGACCAGAGGGGGCGGGGCCAGGTGGGGGTGGGGCGGGGTCCCACTTTGAGGGTCTTTCCCCCAAAAGATGGGCTGGAAAAACTTTAAAAACAAAGGAATTTCAGGCAGAGACATCTTAACCTCCGTGGTTAAGACTGTGAAACACAAGTTCTCGTAAATAAGGATATTAACTTGCTAGCGTGGGAATGATGAGGCGGCTTTGAAAGCGGGGTGGGGGAGAGGGAGGAGCCAGTTGGAGAGGCTGGGAAAACGGAAGGGCTGTATCCTGGGCAAATAGAGTTCTTGTAAAAGTATCTAGTTTTAAAAAACAAAAGTAAAAAGTATCGAGGTTTTATTTCATGTCCCGTTGTTCAAAGGAAGTCTGTAACAGAACGCTCCAAGATGCCCGAAGAGAAAACTGCTCATTCAAGAAGCACATGATAAGAACACATTAGTGTCCGAGTCAAAATAATGAGGTTTTATCCCTTAACGATAATATCGTTAGGCCCACCTTCAGACGTGAAAGTGTGAAAAAGGATTAAATACTCATTAGAAGGAGAGCATCAAACAACAAGGTTTTATTTTTAAACAGTAATTTTTCTCAAACTGCAAACAAATATGCAGAATATGCTTTGCTTAAGGACATTCCCTGATTACTAGGAAATGAATCAACACAAAAACTCAAGAATATACATCATAATATAACACAATTTTATTTCCGCCTTCTAGAAAATGTTCCCGGAATGTGGAAGAAGCTTGTGTAAAAATAGATGTTCAGAGTAACAAGATTTATAATAGCACAGCCTTAGAAATCTAAACACGTTATTTAAGTAAAATATCAGGCAGGTATTTAAAATTATGTTAACAAAAACCTTGTGTTTGTCTTATATTTGTTAAAAGCCAAATGCGAAATTTTTATATAATATGACTTAAACTATATTGACATACATATAATGCACAAAAAGTGTAGGTCAGTTTTTCAAAATCACAGCAAGCAATTAGATCTAAGGATGGAATTATAGGTAAATTACTTTTATTTCTTTATACTTTTCTGTTTTTTCTAGATTTTTCCATAATGAGTATATATTGTCTTATGATCTATAAAACAAAATTTAAAAATACAAGGGAGATGAGACTGGCTATTTGTAGAGAATGAACCCAATTTAGATATACAAATATACTGTAAGTATACAAGGTAAAGCAACCAAAGGACGGTGAGATAGCAAAATTTTAACAGTGGTTGTAACTTTGTAATGGCTTATGGCTGATTTGTCTTCTTTATACTTTAAGATAGCTACCAAAATGTCTTCCATGAGCATATATTATATATTAGAATATTAAATATCTTTTAAGATGGTAAGAATAATACCATCATATTAAGTATAGTTTTAAACTAATGGGCAAATCCTGGCACAAATACTCCCTGAAGTATGTTTGATACTGTTAATTCCTACTTAATGTCAATGTTTTCTTCTCTTTCTGTTACTAATTTAACCCTGTGTTGGGAATGACAGTGTTCTCTTTTAAAAAAAAAAATCTCTCAACCTCTTTCTCAGTGAGAGTGGCCTGTGACATGGTCTAGCCAATGAGATGTAAGTGTAATCACTGGATGAGGTGTCAGGGAAAGCACTTCCATTTTATGTCTATTGCCTTTCCTTTTCTTTCTACTTGAAATGAGAATATGCTGGCTGAAGCTCCAGCAGCCTTGCTGTGAACATAAACATGAGGGTCACATCTTAAGGATGGTGGAACAAAAATGAAAAAGGAACCTGAGTTCCTGGTAACGTCATGGAACAGCCCTATCAGCTTCTTGACTGGCTATCTCCAGACTTTGCATGAGAGAAGATAAACTCCTATTTTATTAAGCTACTATTATTTGGGTTTTTTGCTACATTCAGCCAAACTGAATCCCTGACTGCTACAATGGGTATGACTTTGGAAGTATTATTTAGCGTTTTGTGCTACATTGAATTATTCTCCCTAATCCTTCATGCCTCTTAGCATCCACACCTTTGCCATGGACTTTGGTGGAGTATACTTCCCCAATCCTTGATTTTGAATTTAGCCATGTGACTTGCTTTGGCCAATAGGTTGTGGTGAAGCAACGGTGTGCCAAATCAGATCCAAGATCTTAAAGAGACCCCATATTTCTGCTTTCTCTCTTGTGCCTGTATCATTGCCATGAGAAGTACATACAAAGCAAGCTCTTTGGTCCCAGAATCACATGCATATGGCACAGAATTGCCTGAACCGATCTTTTAGTAAGATGCAGAGATGCCCAACTAGGGCCCAGCCTAGATCAGCCAAACTCCAGTCAACCTGTAGATGTGTGATAATGAATGAGTATTGTTTTAAACCGCTGAGTTTTTGAGTGGCTTATTATACAGTATAAGTGTGGAAAGAGTTCATTTATAAACCTTTCAGTGATTTAAATTTCTCATTTATAAAACAAAACAATGGTATCTATCTCGTGGAGTTGTGAGAGTAAAATGAGATAGCCGTCATGAAGCACTTAGCACAGCATCTGACATAGATAAAAGGATTCATAAATTTTAGAAACTAGTATTTTATGACCTTTATCATGGTTATTATTGACAACATCAACTATGACAATATATTTTATACTCCCATGGTTTATTGGACTTCTAGTCTTTGTAGAACTATTTGTTCCTAGTTTTAACACGGCAGCAATGGCATTTAATTAAAAAACACGGAGGAACCAGAGTGCATCCAGAGAATAAGAAAAATTTTGTCAGAATAAGATAGAGAGAACTGGATATATTTACCTTGAGAAAAAGAAGGCATGAGAACTCTTCTCAGTTTTGTTAAAAGAGAAACCAAGTTTTATGTTGTTTCAAAACACCAGATTACAAATCTACATAAAACAGTCTTAAAATAGAATTGTGATGGAAGTCATCCTAGAAGAAGTGAAACCCATTTTATCAAATGTTTTTTATCTAAAAGCTAAAAGATTGCCTTTAAGAATATTGTAGAATTAATTTCTTCTGATTAAGTATCTTTAATATGTCACAAACTGTTCAACATTTAAAGAGAGAATTATATATTTTTCCTTTTCCTCAGGCTTTAAGAAGTTTTAAGCTCAAATGAGTTGAGCTTCTTAGCATGTTTAATAATTTTTTATTGAGCCGGGCACGGTGGCTCACGCCTGTAATCCCAGCACTTCGGGAGGCCAAGGTGGGTGGATCGCCTGAGGTCAGGAGTTTGAGACCAACCTGGCCAACATAGTTAAACGCCGTCTCCACTAAAAATACAAAAAATTAGCTGGGCACGGTGGCGGGCGCCTGTAATCCCAGCTGCTCGGGAGGCTGAGGCAGGAGAATTGCTTGAAGCTGGGAGGCGGAGGTTACAGTGAGCCGAGAGATCGCTCCATTGCACTCCAGCTTGGGCAACAAGAGCGAAACTCCGTCTCAAAAACAAACAACAACAACAAAAAATAATAATAATTTTTTATTGAATACTGGACGTTGTGAATTGCATCCTTGTTCAGTGTCTGAATTGTCCCCCTTTAGGAAGGGTTGTGCTGTTTTTTTCAGCCAGTTATTTGTGGATGAGTTTGATTCATTTGTGGACTGTTTTTAAGCTTTATTAGGGTAGGTCTAGAGTAGTCTTCATTCCAGAAATAATTTGACCTTACTACTAATTAATAACTGCTCAGAGGTCTTCAATGAATTCCTTGGTTTTCACTGAGGACTCTTCACTCTGGCTGGTCAGAGCTCAAATGTCTTCTCATCCTCTGTGAGCTCTAAGAATTATTTAGCTTATACTCCCTGGTCATTCTGTGCTCGACTGTGTGGATTGTCAATCCATACATGAACAGCCAAGTACTTAGCAAAGTCTCAGATTTATGAATTCTATTTATTTATTTGTATAGCTTCATCCCTTCCAAAACTTTGCCCTTCAATTTCCACATCTGTGAACTCTGATCTCTGTCTCCTCAACTCAATAAAGTCCCTAGGCAGTGGGTTTACCTTTCTATGCCCAGGATCTGGAAACTGCCTCCAGGCAGAAATTTGGGGGCAATAATAGCAAACAGTTGTTTTATATATTTTGCCCAGTTTTCTAGTTGTTTGTGGTAGGAAGTTAAGTCCAGTCCTTGTTATTCCATCATGGTCAGAAGTGGAACCTTGGGTAACCTTGGAGAGAGGCTAATAGGAAATAACCATCTGGGAGGGTAGAAGAGTGGGTGGGCTTACTAGAAACTTTCAGTAACTTTCAGTAATTACTGAGAAGTAATGAATGTGCATCTGAGTGTCAGGATCATGAATTTAAAGTGAAAGCATTTTGCCATGTTAAGTGATTTTCTTTGGAAATTATTCAGCAGCTCAGGAGCAAGCATGATCTTGAAGAATGGTTGGCTTGACCAGGAACTAGCGTATTGCCAGACTAGCATTATCATGCTAGACCATGCATTTAAACCAATGTAGAGCAACAAAAGCAATTTACTAGTTTTTTTGTTTGTTTGTTTGTTGTGAGACAGAGTCTCACTCTGTCACCCAGGCTAGCATGCAGTGGCACAATCTCAGCTCACTGCAACCTCCACCTCCTAGGTTCAAGTGATTCTCTTGCCTCAGCCTCCTGAGTAGCTGGGACTAAAGGCATGTGCCACCATGCCCAGCTAATTTTTGTATTTTTTGTAGAGACAGGGTTTCACCATGTTGGCCAGGCTGGTCTTGAACTCCTAACCTCAAGTGATCTGCCCGCCTTGGCCTCCCAAAGTGCTGGGATTACAGGCATGAGCCACCGGCCCAGCCAGCAGTTCTTTAGATATTGTGAAGATCTAAGCTAAATTTTTCAGTTGCTAACAAAGATAGATAATTAACATTTGAAAGAGTACTTTGGAGCTTACAAAGCTATTTCACAGATAGATAACTCATCTGTTCCTTAAAACAGCCTCATGAGAGTGAACATTATTATTTCACTTTACAGATATAGAAATCAATATTCAGAGAGCAAGAGACTAGTCTAAGACTGCAAAGCTACTAAGTTACGGAGCCATCTTAAGTCTTATTGCTCTTATAAGTACTTAAAATGAGGGGAATTCTTTTAAGCTTCTGAAAATTCTAGACTCTTTTTCCCAAAAAATTCATAGAGCCCCTAATTTTATATATAATTTCAGATAATATACAGATTCCCTGAAGTTCATGCAAGTGGCAGTGTACTCTTGGTTTAAAATTTCTAATTTTTTCAGCACTGTAAGACAGGGTGGGAAAAAAAAATTTCTAGTTTTTAACTTGCATCTAGATAGTAGTTACATGGCTATTCACTTTATAATTTTTTAACTGTATAGATATATACATATATACACATATACATACATATATGTACATATATACACATACACGTATGTATATGTACATATATACACATATACACATACACGTATGTATATGTACATATATACACATATACACATACGTATATATACATATGTATTTATACACATATGTATATATGTATATATAAATATATATGTTACACTGACTTTTCTGTATATGTTTTATAATAAAAAATAAAGGCTCAATAATATAGAACTTCTCTACTTTTAGTTGTGCTTTGTGGATGTTAAGCATTAAAACAGAGCTGTATTCCTAAAAAATCCTCAAAAGTTAAAAAAATATATATTGTGTTATTCACTTTGTTTTCATTGTCTTTCTCCATTATTATCCATGTGCTTCACAACAGCTCTCCTTTTTTAAAAAAAACACAACCTGTATATTACATGTAGGGCATCGATTTTGAAACTGTGAAAGTCAGAGTCCTGGAATTAGCTGACAATCTCCTTTTCCAGTTTATCTTTCCTTCTCCACAAAAAGGCTTGATAACGGAGAGGGAAGTTGAGATTTCAGGTCAATAATGAGAAAGAAATTATGGAACAAGTAAGACAATGCAAGTCACCCTTATTTCCGTTTCTCTTAGGATAAGCATGAGCTATTTTCTTGTACTTTCCCATATCCTTTTAGTCAGGAGGATCACAAGATTATTCCTTAACCATCTTCTTCATGGAGATTCTTTTTCAAATGTTATTTACATGGGCACAGATACAAAAAGGCAGAAAAAAAAGCAGATAGTTTCGTTTCCTGATACAAACATAGCATAGCTTCTTGAGTTCAAGGGTCCTGTCTAACCCTTAAAAATCTACTTTTCTTTGTAATTATCAAGAATATTTTGGCCGGGAGCTGTGGCTCACGCCTGTAATCCCAGCACTTCGGGAGGCTGAGGCGGGTGGATCACGAGGTCAGGAGATCGAGACCATCCTGGCTAACATGGTGAAACCCCGTCTCTACTAAAAATACAAAAAATTAGCTGGGCGTGGTGGCAGGCACCTGTAGTCCCAGCTACTCGGGAGGCTGAGGCAGGAGAACGGCGTGAACCCGGGAGGCGGAGCTTGCAGTGAGCCGAGATCGCGCCACTGCAGTCCAGCCTGGGCGAAAGAGCCAGACTCTGTCTCAAAAAAAAAAACAAAAAAAGAATCCTTTTCTTTTTTTCTTCTCTTTTTTAAGAGACAGATTCTTTCTCTGTTGCCCAGGCTGGAGTGCAGTGGTGTGATCATAGCTCACTGCAGCCTTGAACTCCTGGGCTCAAGGGATCCCCCTGCCTCAGCCTCCTGAGTAGCTGGGACTACATGTATGCACCACCACACCTGGTGAATTTTTAAATTTTTTTGTAGAGACAAAGTCTTGCTACATTGCTCAGGCCGATCTCCAACTCCTCGGCTCAAATGATCCTCCCACCTTGACCTCTCAAAGTGCTGGGGATTATAGGCATGAGCCACAGCACCTGGCCAAGAATCTTTAAAGGTAAGATGAATGACGAAAGAAAGCCTTAATTCTTCATTTTCCATCTCTTTCTCCATCGCATGAATCAGTCAGTGGAGAAATAAGGGACCTTAGCATCAGATTTTCACCACTTAAATCAGGGAGGGTAATTGAGGCATTTAAGGAAGATAAACAAGCATAGGGCTTTTTTATATATTACAAAAGAAGTCAAAATTATAAGAGCACAAAAATGAAAAAAAAAGAATCAGTGAATTCTGTTATAATCATCAAGCTTCTATAAAAAGTGGGGGCAATAGTGGTTCTTCTTTCTTAGAATTATAAACCAGGTGCAACTTCATACACATACCACATGGTCTTAATTAGGAAAACAGGATTCAAAGCATCAAAATCTTTGCTACTGTAGCATGTGTGGCAATGATTCTCAACTCTAGAGAGTGAAGGACAGCATATCAGCCATGCATTGGCAGCCCACCATGAGCAACTCTGATATGTGCTACTGATCTATTTTGTATATGTGGAAAATGTCGCTGTGTAGCTTTTCTTAAAGGTGAATATCTCCCTGTCTTTTGCTCACCCACCCTCGCACCCATCTACCCAATCCTTAACTAATGACCAAGTCTTTATTAACTTCTCTTGAACCAACTTGCTTTCTCCATTCCCACTTCTCCCACGTTCATTAAAGCAACTGTCTTTGCTTGCTTAGATGACTGCAATGAAGAACTAATTGAGCTCCCTGCCTCTCCAGTTTTGTACTCCCCCAATTATTTGCCTAAACTTATCTTTCAAAAATAGAAATCTGATCATGTCATTCCCTGCTCAACACCTTGTAAAGGTTTCTCAATGGTCTTTGGGTAACTCCAGACTCCTTGGCATGGTATACGAAGCCGTTAATGTCAACCTCAGCTTTCACAACTGCCTCTCCTCTCCTGACAGACTGCACTGTTGCCATTCTCTGGCCATGTTGCATTAACTTCCATTTTTTTCTGGGCTCCAGACCTTTGCCTAGAGGTTACTCCCTCTATCTCTGAATGTCCCCTTTCCTCTTCATCTGATTAATTCCTCCATGTCTTCAGAAGCCATCTCTCCTATGAAACTTTCTCTGACCGGCGATACTGGGTTTAGGGTCCTAAACCTTCACCTCTAACTAGTTCCAAAACATTTCCACCACTGCAAAAAGAAACTTCATACTTATCAAGCAGTAACTCCCCATTTCTCCATTCCCCCACTGCTTACACCTGACAAAGCTCTCAATACTCTATGGAAGTCTATTTTCCTGTCTGTCTCTCCCACTAGACCATAGCTCTTTGAAGACAGGGAGCATACCTTGTTGAGTTCCCCACACCTAAGAAGAGAGCCTGGGATGTAATAGTCACAGTTGACCATCTGGGTTAAAGAGGTGAGTATAGAAGTGAGTAGGTTAAAAAAGAGGGTGGGGGGAGATTTTTAAACATCTTTAAATTAATGTCTTTACTAAAGGGTTAGAATGATTTCAGAAGGAAATTACAATTTTGAAGGGAAAGGAAAAGACATTGAAATTACAGGTTTCAGAAGAAGAGCTTCCTCTGACTCCAGCTTTGGCTCTCCTGCCTTGGGATCCCCAACCCACCCCCAAGCACCCTTGTATGCATTCCTCAGGAAGAGGGATGTTGTTCTCAGTGTTTTCCTCTTCCATCCGTGCCTCAAACTAGGCAGCTTCCAATGGTGCCCTGGGCTTCAGAAGGTGGCCACTGAGCTGACCTCTAGGCTTGCAGGCTTCCTAGGAGAGCAGGTAGTGGAGGTGGGTATGGGGGATGGTGACTGGGCTCCAGTTTGAATTTCATCTTTATGATTCCCTCCCACTATGGGAAGCATTACGGCATGAATCCCAACGACGAAGTTTAATTTGGGACAGTCTAAACCCTTATTAAAGTCATACTATTTTCTCAATCATCAAGAAAACTGCCTTTCTCTGTAGTCCATAAGTCCTCAATTTTGTGAGGAGGAATTTTTTTTTTTTTTTTTTTTGAAACAGAGTCTCACTCTGTTGCCCAGGCTGGAGTGGAGTGGTACAATCTCACTGCAACCTCCACCTCCCAGGTTACAGTGATTCTTGTGTCTCAGCCTCCCAAGTAGCTGGGATTACAGGCACATGCCACCATGCCCGGCTAATTGTTGTATTTTCAGTAGAGACAGGGTTTCACCATATTGCCCAGGCTGGTCTCAAACTCCTGGCCTCAAGTGATCCCCCACCTCGCCCTCCCAAAGTGCTGAGATTATAGGCATGAGCCACCATGCACAGCTAAGAAGGAATTTTTTGGATCTCCTTCCACCTTTGCTGAAATTCTAAAAAAGCTGCATTCCACTTTTAGCAGCTGTTTTCTTATGGCTGAATAAATGCCAGAGATGCCATCAGATTACTTTAATTCAACTGTCTCTCAGTTGACGAGGGCTGAACTGTCAGTTTCCTCTTGGCACAATGCAAGTAGAAAGATAGTAATAAGTGGCTGGGAGCAGTGGCTCATGCCTGTAATCCCAGCACTTTGGGAGGCCTAGGTGGGTGGATCACGTGAGGTCAGGAGTTCGAGACCAACCCGGCCAACGTACAGAAACCCCATCTCTACTAAAAATACAAAAATTAGCCAGGCATGGTGGCACTTGCCTGTAATCCCAGCTATTCAGGAGGCTGAGGCAGGAGAATCACTTGAACCTGGGAAGCGGAGGTTGGGGTGAGCCAAGATCACGCCATTGCACTCCAGCCTGGGAGACAGAGTGCAAGACTCCATCTCAAAAAAAGAAAAGAAAAGAAAAAGAAAGAAAGATAGTAATAACTCACCTGAATTTCTCGTCAGCACTTCAGGATCATGATCTCTAACACTCATCTTCTCTCTGTCACACTCAGGGTTGGGGTGCAGCCCCAGCTGAGGTCTGAGGACAGTGGGTGGATGTGGGGCAGGGAGCTGGAAGAACACTGGAGAGACAGCAGGTAAATGAGACATGGCTTTATTCAGCAGCCCCTTCACAGGGTCAGTGTTACATTTATACACTACACAAACACTAGTGGCTGAGAGCCAGGTGGGGAGCTGCTCTATGTTATGCCTACATGGCTGTGACTATATAAGACACAGGACTGTGCACTTGCACCCCAATCCCGCTGAGATGTCTAGGCTGTTTACCTCGGCCTATTCCTGCTACCCTATGCCTGCTTGGCTACAGCACAGCCATGTTCCTTACACTCTCCAAACCTGTCCCACTCTCTGCATTCTTTATGGGATGAATTGGCATTGATTTAATAGCTGGCTCAAACCTGATCCCACTTCCCCCACTCCCTCTCCCCTCACACTCAGACCTGTCACTAAGCCTGTCCAGCCCTTCTCAGCAAGTCTCACATCCATTTCCTTCCCTAATTACTAATGCTCTCACTCAGGCAGGTTATGGGAATCTCCTAACTGTATTATCTGCTTCCAGGCTGGGGCACTCCCACAGGCAAAGCTGATAATATTACTGCCTGTGTACTGCCCTTTCTGCAGACCACAGAAGGCCCTGCAGAAGAAAATTCAGTCCTCCTCAATGGGATGCAAGACCCTCCTGCAACTGGCCTCTGTTTATCTCTAAACCTGCACTGTTCAATATGGTAGCCACTAACTGATGAAACTATTTAAATTTAAATTAGCTAGAATTAAATGAAAGTTAATATTCAATTCTTCAGTTGTACTGGCCAAATGTGGCTAGAGGCTACCGTATTGGACAGTGACAATATAGAACATTTCCATCATTGTAGAAAATTCTGTTGGATACTTACCTTACCCCTACTGCACCTGAACTCAAATTTTCAAATGATCCGCACCTTTGAGCATACTGTGCTTTAGCTGAGGCAACCTCCTTTAATTGGATTACTTACCTTGCCAACGATGCCCTTCAAAACACAGATCAAATGTCATCCTATTCAGAGAAGCCTTTCCAGCCAAGCCTCCCACTCTTGTGCAAGTGATCACTTCCTCATTTGGACGCCCATTGCACTCTCTGCAGACTTCTACCATAGCGCCCCTAACACTCCATGTCACCTAGTGTTCATGTCTGTTTCCCTTTACTACAGTGTGAGCCTGGGCTGGGGTCAGGAACCCAATCTTATTCATTTTTCTAGCCCCAGCTCTAGACTAATGCCTGACATATAGGATATGCTAAGAACTAATTTTGTGAATGAATAAATATTACCAATAAATATTCTAAGGTCAAGATTTTATCAGACTTCAGAAACAAGAGAATGCCCCAATTTAAATGCCTCACTGACAGGTAAAAACTTTGAAGAGGAAATATATTTCCAGAATGATCATCGAAATACTGGATATGCTCTTTTAAGTCGCAATGTCATGCTAGAGTTGTGTTCCATTTACAACTAACCCACGAGAGGCATGACAATTGGAGTGGATAATTGAGATGGTTTGACAGGTATAGCGAGGTGTGGCTGACTGCACACGAAGGAAATTCCAGCTTCAGCAATTATTAGATACACACCTACGACATTAAAAGCATGAAGATTTGGCTAGTCAATTCAAATATTAAGTGTCTAGGCTTAAAAATATTTTATTGGGACATTTTCCATTATAAAAATAAGACATGCTCTTTATGAAAATTTGGGAGTACAAATCTGCCACCCATAGATTCATTAACAAAGGATTAATGTTGTTAACATGTTCATGTAATGACTCACCTTATCTACATTCTTACCATATCTTATGTTACTCCTTTACAGTCAACATTACAACACAGACATTTTTATATCTTATTATGGGCTGTATTTTTAATAGCTGTATAATATGCAATTGAGTGGATGTGTCATAATTTACTGAAGTATTCCCACTATTATGTAGTATATTTTCAAGTTTTCACCATTATAAATAACAGTGGAGTTATTTGAGTATAAGAATTTTTTGTATCGCATGTAATTTATTCAGATTCCCAGATGTGAAATATCTGAGTTTTTAAATATCTGCTTCATTTGCTACTTTATTCCTAGTACCTAGAACAATGCCTATCCCATGGTAGGTATTTTATTAATAATTGTTTAATGAATATGAGATGTTAATTAAGTGGAAAAAAGCTGGCTTGATATGTAGACACCAAAAGCATGTCATAGGCATGTCTTGTGACAGGTTCCAGGGAAGACTTTGTCCCCACTTTTAAAAAAATTAATAAATTTTATTTTTTAGAGCAATTTTAGGTTCACAGCAGTATTGAGTAGAAAGTACAAAGTTCCCGTCTATCCCTATCCCCACACACCTAACCTCCCTGGCTACTGACATCCTGCACCACGGTGGCACATGTTATAATTGATGAACCCATCATTATCACCTGAAGTCCATAGTTTAGGATTCACTCTTGGTGCCGTGGAATCTATGGGTTGGGACAAATGTATAAGGACAGGTATCCACCATTACAGTATCATACAGAATAGTTTTACTGTTATAAAAATGCTCTGTGCTCTATCATCCCTCCCTTCCCCCAACCCCTGGCAACCACTGATCTTTTTACTGGAGTACAATTGTTGAACCACATGGTAAGACTATGTTTAGTTTTGTAAGAAACTGCCAAACTGCTTTCCAAAGTGGCTATACCATTCTGCATTCCCACATGTCAGCAGAGAAAAGAATTCCAATTTCTTCACGTCCTTGGCAGCATTTGTTGTTGTAAATGTATTGTTTTGGCCATCCTAATAGGTGTGTAGTAGTATGTTATTGTTATTTTAATTTGCAATTCCCTAATGACATATGATGTTGAACACCTTTTCATATGCTTAATTGCCATCTATATATCTCCTTTAGTGAGATATCTGTTGAAATTTTTTGCTCATTTTAAAAGTTGGGTTTTTTGTTTCATATTGTTTAGTTTTAAGGGTTCTTTGTATGATGTGGTTAACAGTCCTTTATCACATATGTGTTTTGCAAAAATGTTATCCAAGTCTGTGGCTTGTGTTTTCATTCCCTTAACAAGGTATTTTGCAGTGCAGAAGTTTTCAATTTTCATGAAGCCCAACCTATCCATTTTTTCTTTTATGGATGATGCTTTTGGTATTCTATTAAAAAATCATCATCAAATTCAAGGTCATCTAGTTTTTTTCTGTTATATCCTATAGGTTTTATAATTTTGTGTTTTACATTTAGGTCTGTTATCATTTTGAGTTAATTTTTGTGAAGGCTATAGAGTTTGTGTCTTCATTTTTTTTTCTTTTTTTCTTTTTTGCTTCTGGATGTCCTGTTGTGCCAGCACCTTTTGTTGAAAATATTATCTTTTCTCCTTTGGATTGCCTTTGCACCTTTTTCAAAAGAATTGACTATGTCTGTGTGGGTCTATTTCTGGACTCCTTATTCTGTTCCACTGATCTATTTATTTATTCTTTGGCTTATACCACACTGTCTGGTAGCTTTTCAGTAAGCCTTGAAGTCAGGTAGTATCAGTCAGTACATTTACTTTTCATGTCTTTTCCCTCTTTTACTGTTCTAATTAAAACTTCCAGTTCAATTTTGAATAGTAGCAGTAGTAATACTCAGTTCCACTAGCTTAAAATAAATGCTTGCATTACCCCTTTAAGTATGATGTTTGCTGAAAATGAAAAAATAAATATCATTTTTCTGGTTAAGGACATCCCTTGCTCTTTCTTTCTTTCTTTTTTTTTTTTTTTTTTTTTTGAGACAGAATCTCACTTTGTTGCCAGGCTGGAGTGCAGTGGCATGATCTCGGCTCACTGCAACCTCTGCCTCCCGGGTTCAAGCAATTCTCCTGCCTCAGCCTCCCAAGTAGCTGGGACTAAAGGCATGTGCCACCACACCTGGCTAATTTTTTGTATTTTTAGTAGAGATGGGGTTTCATCGTGTTAGCCAGGATGGTCTCATCTCCTGACCTCGTGATCCGCCCACCTCAGCCTCCCAAAGTGCTGGGATTACAGGCATGAGGTACCACGCCCAGCTGAAAATTTTCATTTTAACAAGCATTCCAGGTTATTCTAGTTCAGGTGGTCCAGGGGTACACACTTTGCAAAAGTAGCTAATCTAAAATACCATGTGCAGCAAGCACTTTTCCATTTTTCAATATTATGTACAAATTCTGTCTTTGATTCTGATGGACAATGATACATGTGTGCATTAGGCATTTAAAAAAATAGGTTATCCCTGTCAGCAACTTAGTAATAAAAATGACTTGAAGTACCAAAAATGAGAGCATAGTTTATTGATACTTATAAAATTTGTAATCAATATCAGTGTTGCAGACTAATTTTTATGATCTGATTGTAATTTAGTCACATGTGATTGAAATCTGCAGTGGCCCAGATTTGCTCTATTTGTAGACTTTCTCCCACAGTACCCCAGAACAGAGGATTCTAGCAAACCTCAGATCGATAAGGAGTAACAGGATGGGACAATGGGTCGAACTGGCCAGAATGGAGCTGAGATTACCAGCTGTAGAATTTAAGCAGGTCCACTTGACGGAAAAAGAGAGACTAACTGGAGCTACTACTTATTTCTGATATTGAATGAAATGAAGCTGATGTCTGTGGAGTCTAAATATCAAGGAATGGTAAAATGAAAAGGTTCCTGGTGGGTTATCCATGCCATTACTAAAGTTCTAGCATAATTTTGTAGTAGTTAGAAGCCCAGATTGTGATGTCTATAGCATGTATGAACGAGGTACTGTTAAAGCTGAATGCCAATCTTTATGAGAGAAGTTGAGGGAACATGTACTGCCAAGGATCTGACCTTCACTCCCAGAATAATAATCAGATTGTCACCCTCAAGAGGTAAGCATAGTTCCTAAGAAGGAAGAAAGTTCCTTCTGCTGCATTAATGTCATCTTTCATACAAAAATCAATGTGAAGAACTGCCTCCATGTTCAGCCTCAATGACATACAGTATGTGACAATTACTCAAGTGACTTAAGTGATTTCCTATACAGACCACAGTGCCACTTTTCTTACATATATGTAAGGGAGCCACCTACTGTCAAAACAGGATATTACAGCTACAAATTCTCCCACTGCCCACCCCCAACTATACAACTGCATAAACTTAGCTGCAATAATTTAGATGAGAATTTTGCAGAATTCAAGAAACTGACGTAAAATAATTTTGGGGGTGGGAAGGAATAATCCACACTTCCCTGTGTCCTTTACAAGTTGGAAAATATTCATTAAGCACTTACCTGTTACGCATTGCAAGTCTCAAAGAGAATCCTGGTATGCTGGAATTAGTAAGGCAGTTTGTAGTAACAAATGCCCCTGCCAATTTCCTTCTTAGTATTTTTGGTAATGCTATTTCTTCCTGAACGTGTCTTTGCCTGTCTCAAGCTTACCTAGCCTGCAAACTCAGCTAAGTCTTACCTCCCCCATGAAGACTCTGCATATCTCCAGCCTGTTGCAGCCTCTCCTGCTTGGATCTCTGTTGCTTTGCTTCATCCCGGAGGCACACTCCTGTGGGCACTTCCTCATACATACACTGCTTCATGGTGATAGATAGCAATAGTTAGCATTTACCATATGTCAACACTGTTGGACCATTTTCCTTCTATTCACTTATTTAATTATCATATTAACTCAATGAGGTGATTACTGTTATAATCCCCATTTTTAAAAAGAAGAAACTGAGGCCTAGAGAGATTTAAAAAAAAACTTGCTCAAGGTCCTTAAGGTTATTAAACAGTAGTGTCAAGATTTAAACCCACGTATCTGCATTTCCAACTTACTTGTAAGCACTTGGTGGACGAGAACTATGTTCTAAAATTCTTTTGAAGTTCCCACATTGCCTAGCCTAGTGCTATGATCTTAGGGACTGATGTCCATAGTTTTACTACAGTTTACTAATTTTCCAGGAAATCAGAAGACCCGAGGAAGAAGGTAGTTTCCCCCCCATTAATCAGGCTGATAAAAAAGAAGTTTGGCAAGGTACTATAGCAATAATAGGGAACTTGTGTTAACCATGTACTATAAGCCTGGCACTGTGCTAAGCATTTTTATATATTATTTAATTCTTACAAGAAGCCTTTTCAGAGAAGTACTATTATATATATCTTATAGATGAGAACGCTAAACACAGAGAGGTGAAGTAACTTGCCTAAGGTCCCACAGATTCTAGCCTATGTCTAACCTATATGCTATCATCTTGCACCTACTGTGTAAGAATACTTATTTACAGCCGGGCACGGTGGCTCACGCCTGTAATCCCAGCACTTTGGGAGGCCGAGGTGGGCAGATCACCTGAGGTCAGGAGTTCGAGACCAGCCTGACCAACATGGAGAAACCCAGTCTTTACTAAAAATACAAAATTAGCCAGGCGTGGTGGTGCATGCCTGTAATCCCAGCTACTCAGGAGGCTGAGGCAGGAGAATCACCTGAAGCCGGGAGGTGGAGGTTGCGGTGAGCTGAGATCGCGCCATTGCACTCCAGCCTGGGCAACAAGAACAAAAGTCCGTCACAAACAAACAAACAAACAAACAGCTTATTTACAAGGGGATTTAGAAATTGCAGTGAATACACCATGAGGAAGATGGCCTTCTCTCATAGAACAATGACTCCTAATTTTGTAGGATTGGTACAGGAGGGCGAAGGTTCACAGAAGGATTGCATATTCTCAACTATTGATGTCTCTTTCCCTTGGGGATCTCATGAGTTACTGCTGCCATCACAGAACTGACCTCATGGGGGCAATGCTCCCAAACCCACAGCAACCCTGAGGCAAGGCTGGAACATTTACTAACGTCCAGGGTAATAGGACAAGTACATAACATAGAGCACCACAATCTGGTTACAAGATGTGGCTCGCTCTCCAAGGCTTGAACAAAATAAATTTTTTGACCCTCCTTCCTGCAGTGGCTCCATTCTTATGTTTGTGACAGAAGAGCAATCACCTGGCACCTTTCTCTTCAAAGTCAAGCCCCTAGAGAGCCGGGTGCAGGAGGAGGTGGAAGTTTCCAGTGGTGTGAGAATTTCTATTTCCTTTATCAAGGCCTGGAACTTGTACATATGATGGACATTGTAGATGACCACTCTCTTGGGTAGATGCCTTCCCCTTCAGCTACTAGCTCCAGGAATGAGACCTGCTCCTAAGCCTTGCTCCTTGCTATGGTCTGAATGTTTGCGTCTTCCCAAAATGCACATGTTGAAACCTAATCCCCAAGGTGATGGTTTTAGGAAGTAGGGTCTTTGGGAGATGATTAGGTCAGGACGGCTGAGCCTTCATGAATGGGATTGGTACCCTTATAAAAGAGACCCCAGGCTGGGCACAGTGGCTCACACTTGTAATCCCAGCACTTTGGGAGGCTGAGGCAGGGGGATCACTTGAGGTCAGGAGTTCAAGACCAGCCTGGCCAACATGGTGAAACCCTGTCTCTACTAAAAAATACAAAAATTAGCTGGACGTGGTGGTGGGTGCCTGTAGTCCCAGCTACTTGGGAGGCTGAGGCAGGAGAATCCCTTGAACCCAGGGGGTAGAGGTTGCAGTGAGCCGAGATCATGCCACTGCACTCCAGCCTGGGTGACAGAGTGAGACTCCATCTCCAAATAAATAAATAAAAGAGGCCCCAGAGCTGTCTTGCCCCTTCTACCATGTGAAGACACAGCAAGAAGAAGCCATCTATGAATCAGAAAGTGGGCCCTCATCAGACACCAAATCGGTGCCTCGATCTTAAACTTCTCCAGAACTGTAAGAAATACATTTCTGTTCTTTATAAGCTACTCAGTTTATGTTACTTTGTTATAGCAGCTGAAACAGATTAAGACATACCTCAAATGGACACCATAATGTCTAACTAGTCCATATAACATATTTACATGTACAATAATAGGTACAAGTAATAGCTGTCCGCAAACCAACTCCTTTGGTCAGGGTATCGAGAGATGAAAGGAATCACTGCACCCAGATGTCTAAGAGTTCAAAAGAAGCCAATAAGATGAAGGGGCTCTCACTAGGCGCTCATCCTGACAATGCCATATGCATGTGCACATGGGCCTGTGAGTGTGGATGAGAAAGGTGGTACACGCATTTTTGTTTCAAGATACTGCCTTTTGGGGTGCTAGTGACTGGGAGATCACTGGGAAGACTGCATGTGGAGACAAAGTGGAGGACAGTGCCTTCGGGATCACTTCTGCTGGTGCTGCCTCCAAACCTGTCTGCCTACTGGTGCCAAGAGCCTGACTACCTTGCGGAGACCCAGACCCATGCTTGTAGGAGCTCAAAGGCTATTCACTGATGTATATTAAGTGCTTGATTGATGTTTTTATTTTTATTTTAAAAAATAAACTATTTCTTTATCAGGCAACAATGCTTTACCTAGAAATTTCTTTTCTGGAGCTTGCCTTGGGTATCAGTTTGGTCTTTGCCCTCTACTGAACCCTCAGCTCAGCTAGCCTTAAAATATAAAGATTCTTACATGCTCCAGCAATTTCTTCTGATATGGCACACACCAAAAGTAGAAGACATTGTAGGGTCAGTGGTCATTGGTGAGAAGAGATGAAACAGTTTGTTCCACTTGAAAAATATTTCCTTTCTGATCACTTAAATGTGCCAATCATAAACATGGATATCAGTGATATCTCCAAATAGAGTAACATTCCATAAACCAGCCCCTGCCTGTTTCTGTATGGCTTGCAAGCTAAGGATGATTTTTTAAAATTATTAAATAGTTAAACAAAATTGAAAGAACAATAATATTTTATGAAATGTGAAAGTTACATGAAATCCAAATTTCAAAATCTATAATAAAGTTTTATTGGAACACAGTCATGCTCCTTCCTGTATGTATCATCTCAGGCTGCCTTTGCTCTATAATGGCAGAATTGAGTAGTTTTGACAAAGACTGTGTGGCCCACAAACCCTAAAATACTTCCTATTTGTCCTTTACAGAAAAAGTTTGCCGACCCCTGACATAGTGTAACAGACTCTCTTATGTTGATGCATATTCCATGTCTTTATCCTTTTCTCAAATGATCTCAGTGGTCTTATTTTACAGATGTAGAAATGAAAAGCTCAAAAAGGGTATAAATAGTCTGAATGATACAGAGCCTGAACTGAAGCCCTTGGCCAGATTACTTCAGCTCACTTAGCTTTAGCTACATCACTTATCAAAAAAAAAAAAAAAAAATAGTGTTGACCTCATACAGTTGTGGTAGAGATGAAAAGAAATAAGACTAAGGGGCTTAGTGCTGTGTATGGCATGCCATAAGTGCTCACTAAACATAGCTATTTTTATTAACTAATAATATTATTACTATTAAAACTCAGATCTTCTGTTTCAGCCCAGTACCCTTTTCACTACACTAAATAGCACACCTCTTTCCCACACTGAAGTAAAAAAACAGGAACAGGTTATAGAATCACTGATTTTAAAATATTATTGGTGTTTTAACAAGACTAAACGTGGTTTTCACTCACTCCCCAGACATCTGATCCACTCAGATCCTCAAGTTTCTACCAAGATGACATCAAAATGGCCACAGATGATCCTTTTGGAGATGGATATCCCTTACTTAGGAAGGCCTTATAGCCATTTTATCTCTTCTGCTCTGTAAAATGAAGATAAGAATGTTCATCCTGTGTAACTGAAAGCTCAAATAAGATGACAGATATGAAGGCTCTTTAAAAGTGAAGTGACACCGGGCGCGGTGGCTCACGCCTGTAATCCCAGCACTTTGGGAGGCCAAGGCGGTTGGATCATGAGGTCAGGAGATGGAGACCATCCTGGCTAACAAGGTGAAACCCCGTCTCTACTGAAAATACAAAAAATTAGCCAGGAGTGGTAGCGGGCACCTGTAGTCCCAGCTACTCGGGAGGCTGAGGCAGGAGAATGGTGTGAACCTGGGAGGCGGAGCTTGCAGTGAGCCGAGATTGCGCCACAGCACTCTAGCCTGGGCAACAGAGCGAGACTCTGTCTCAAAAAAAAAATAAATAAAATAAAAATATAAAAAATAACAGTGAAGTGTCCTTGCAGTAAAATTATATATGTAGAAAGCCTTTTGCAAAAGTAGATAATTCCTAAGATCATTATTCGTTCATAGGCTGTTAAGAGTCTTATCACCATGTGAATCACGGCCTAAATAAAACCTTTAGGTTCTCTTTATTCTACGAATCCTTGCTTTGTAGAGGAGCAAGCAGTATTCAGCTCAAAACGGTAGAGAATGTGCCAGTGATGGAATATGGGAGAAAGCTGTCAGAGAGGGAAGTGAACAAATGAGAAACCTTGGGAAGCTTCCTGCTAGCTGTATGCCTGAGCATTGCCACCCCCATGTCTCTCTCCTATGAGGCCTCTCTGCGGCCCTCCAGCTGCCTTCCTTTCTTGCCCATTTCCCTTTTTCCTTTTGTCTTTCCTATTTCCTTCTTCCATCTTCCTGCCCCCACTGCACCCTTCTTTTCCTCCCTCACTTTGGCCTGAAGAATATTACAAGTTGAGCATCCTTATGCCAAAAGTCAAAGCAAAGGCCCACTACATAGTTTATTCAGCATCCCCAAAGGAAAAAAGACCTTCCCAGCCACCTTCAGCTGCAATATATCTTTTCTGCGCATACCAGATATGTATGTCATATTTTTAATAAGTAGTTATGTATAAATAAGTATATGAAAATGACTATCAGCAGCGTATAATTTTTTTTTTTTTTTTTTTTGAGACAGAATCTCACTCTGTCGCCCAGGCTGGAGTGCAATGGTGTGATCTCCACTCACTGCAACCTCTGCCTCCTGTGTTCAAGCAACTCCCCTGCCTCAGCCTCTCATCGTAGCTGGGATTACAGGTGTGCACCACCGGACCCAGCTAATTTTTATAATTTTAGTAGAGATGGGGTTTCGCTATGTTGGCTTCAAACTCCTGGTCTCAAGCAATCCACCTGCCTTGGCCTCCCAAAGTGCTGGATTATAGGCATGAGCCACCGTGCCCGGCCTGAGCATATAATTTCAGAGTCAGAAATGATGGTGATGCCAAACAACCACAGGTTGTCCAATGGTTGGCTGAGATAGTGATGCTTTTCCTTTCTGATGGCTCAATGTATACAAACTTTGTTTCATGCACAAAATTATTTAAAATATTGACAAAATTACCTTCAGCATATGTGTATAAGGTATATATGAAACATAAATAAATTTTGTGTTTAGACTTGGGTCCCATCCCCAAGATATCTCATTATTATATGCAAATATTCCAAAAGCCAAAAAAATCTGAAATCTGAAACACTTCTTTGGATAAGGTATATTCAACCTGAATTTATTATAGTTTCTATATGGATAAAACATTTCTGTTCCATGTCCTTAATGTCATATTATTCTTCTACTCATGTAAATTGTTTCATGTTACTTGAGAAGAAATAATTAAATAAAAAGGACTATTATTTGCAAAGCTTTTTCATATATTATTTCATTAATCTTTCAGTTCTCTCAAACATTTGAAAACAGTTCCAAATTACAATAATGGACAAAATAACAAAAAGCTTTCATTCTCCCCGCCCCCTGCTTTTTTTTCTTAATAGGCAAGTATCTCTTCACTGAACAAAGAGCTTCCTGCATTGTGGATATGCAGTATCACTTGGTTGATTTAGTTCTCTATTTCTGATTTTACTGTGGACATCTCTCTGGTCCATTTTGAAGGTGTTCGTGATCATGTTGCCTGGCAAATAAATTCCTAATTCTTTGTTTGTTTGTTTGTTTGTTTGTTTGTTTGTTTTTAAGAGATAGGGTCTGGCTCTGTCCTCCAGGCTGGAGTGCAGTGGCTAGACCATGGCTCACTGCAGCCTTGAGCTCCTGGGCTCAAGCGATCTTTCCACTTTGGCTTCCCAAGTTGCTGGGATTACAGGCATGAACCACAGTGCTAGGCCTGTTTCCTAATTCTCTAGCATGGTATTGGAGAGCCTCCATGATTAACCCCTGACCTCTCTTTCCAGTTTTATTTCTCATGGCCCCCTTTTATGTATCATTCTAAATTACATTTTCCTAACTGTACACTTCCTCATATATTTCTCTCTGCTTAGATTACCCCCATCTTCTCACCAAATCTGTCCGTTGAAACTGGACTGGTCCTTCAAGTCCCAGGTCAAAACTAGCCATTATGTTTCTCTGAACTCACACAGTCCTTTGTTAATACCTTTATTGGGGCATTCCCCAATTTGGCATTGTGCTGTTATTATTATTATTTTTTAATTTTCTAGTAAGTGCTTTTATTTGCCACCACACATAATGCTACAGTGGGCATCCTGTATGCATACTTTTATGTATCCTTGCTAGTATTGTACAAAACAGATTCCTAGATGTGGAATTGTTAAGTCAAGAGACAGGTTAAGATTTTTTTTTTCTCTGTTCTTTCTTTTTTTTTTTTTTTTTACTTTGCTTTAAGTTCTGGGATACATGTGCAGAACGTGCAGGTTTGTTACAGAGGTATACATGTGCCATGGTGCTGTTATTGTTATTGTTTATGAACCTATCATCTCCTACTACTGTCTGATATGTCTCTGTAGGCCCCATGACCCTAGCAAAATGACTACACATAGTAGGTTTTTCCATGAATGCTTAAGAGATGACTGAGCCTACTGTCTCCAGCCTAACTTCCCTATTTAAGAGCTGAAAAAATCAGATTTTTTAAAAGTTTCATTCCATTTAAGAGTTAAACCATTTTTCTTATTTAGTGCCAGATTTTACCTTAGCATATATGACATGATGTTGGATACACCACAGTTCCATTTCTTTACCTACAAATCATAGTTCTGGGAAAATGAGAAATGTCTGCTGTAGGCACTTATTCAAGTACTGCAGTCATGTGCGGACTAGGCAAACATGACTCGGAATCTGACGCTGACCTAGGACAGCTTCAGGCTTTACATGACCTAACACACGACCTTAAGGCTGGCTTTCCATTTAAATGCCAGTAGTCCAAAAACACTTTAAACTATTTATTTCTCTGCAGTGGGTCATAAAACCTGACATTAATGTTATAGAAAAAAATTACATTTGAATTCATTTGTAGCTGAAAGAGAATATGGTTGGTGGTATTTTTAGGAAGAGCTCTTCTCTCAAAGAAAATAGGAATAGGTTATATAATCATTGATTTTAAAATGTTTTTGTTATTGGTGCTAAGATGCCTTAGATCGAGACATCTCATCGATTAGTGTTGCCAAGTGACATCACACGGGCCACTCTTGGTCCTTCAGGAGATAGGTATAACTCAGGGAAAAAAAGCAGTATATTTTCAGCTCATATTTTTTAGCAACATACGAAGTTCATTTTGTTAAAATTCAAAAGCCATTTCCCCTTATGGCTACTGTTTCTTCCTTTTTCAGGTTCAGAAAATTTCCCCCAAACTCAGGCTTTTTCATATTCCTGTTAAAGATTGTTATAACCTCTCCTTATGACCTTTTATAAAATTGCAATCCTTCATTCCTCTGATAGGACTTTTTATATTTAAATGGAAAGAAATTTATCTGGTAGCCAAAATGCTAAATGGAATTTATGTAAAAGAGAGATCAGCGAAGCAAGCCAAGTGTGGCCTTGGCCCTGGGATTACATGTGCAGATGTGTCCATGGTTGAGGAGAATAGCTTTGTCATCTTTCCTATCTACTCAATCACCTTTCCCTCTGCAGGGAAACTCAAAGTGTCCTGATAGTACTCCTGGTGCTATATAAGCACAAATGCAAGTGTGATAGTTGTTAGAATCAAAATGGAATTGCTAAAGTTAAGAAAACCATGACAAATAGAGCCGGGAAGGCCACAAAGAGAGGGTTCTCATCCGTGTATGTCTGGTAACAAAAACTGTCACAAAAAACTGCAAAACCCACAACCTTGCACAAAGGCCATTGCCACCTTATATAAAAAGTACCTCTGCAAGGACACCTGTCCCACTACTGCCTGTCCAACCTCAGGCTGGCATCACCCCTATTGTTGATCTTTGTAGCCACGGATAATTATTTCAAAACAATGATGTAATCTTCCTCATTTTTTCCCTTTAAAAACCTTTGTCTTTACCTCCCTGAACACACACATAGTTTACTATGGCATGCATACTGACATTGCAATGCTCTATCTTTAAATAAATATCCTTTCTTTTAGAGAGTCTGTCTCTGGTTATTATTTAGGCTGACACAGTATTCCTAAAATAGGGTCCCTGATGCTATCCTTTTAAGTAAAAATGAGGGTAAGTTTTCAATAAATATTCCTCAAGCTGAGTTCCGGTTTTTCAGGAGGGATGAAGCATAGGTTAAATCTCAGAAGTACCACCTGTGAGTAAAATAGGTTGATTGACTATTCATTAAAAACCATGCCTGAGGTCTTCCTTTTCTTCAGTTGCAGCCTTTCAACACCCATTGCTCTACCTGATCCCTCTCAACTCTTGCCCTCCCTTTGCATAGGTAAATAGCCAGATGCACATTTAAGTTTTATCACAGCATGAGGGGCATTTTTGATGAAAATCATATGTTTGAAATAATTTAGAAGCTCACCTAATAGAGTTTGCTGGAGATTTTTAGAGCTGTAACACCAAACTGTTCCTTCCAGGTGCTCCATATCATCACTCACTGTTTTTATCAATGAATAGTTTTAGGTTTTCAAGGCCAGTCAGTTTCTCTGAGGCACTCTGTCTGTAATTCTTGCAGTTGCACACCAGAGTAGTGGAGCCTGACAGAGAACAGCAGTTTGTATAGTTTTTTTCTTTTTTTTGTTGAGATAAAGTCTCACTCTTGTTGCCCAGCCTGGAGTGCAGTGGCACAATCTTGGCTCACTGCAACCTCCACCTCCCGGGTTCAAGCCATTATCCTGCCTCAGCCTCCTGGGGAGCTGGGACTGTAGGCGCCCGCCACCACATCTGGCTAATTTTTGTATTTTTAGTAGAGATGGGGTTTTGCCATGTTGGCCAGGCTGGTCTCGAACTCCTGACCTCCAGTGATCCACCCTTGTTGGCCTCCCAAAGTGCTGGGATTACCACCGTGAGCCACCGTGCCCAGCCTCGTATAGATTTCTTATTCTTATTACAGAGATTCTTAAACTTTCTTGGTTCCCAGCATCTTTAGTGTTTCAGTAGTTTTTTTCATGGAAACTCTAGGCCAAAAGAAGTACCTAATTGTTCTGGACCTAGGCCAAAGCAAGTGCCTAATGGGTCTAAACAATTTAATAACGGCAGTTTGCATGGTAGCTGGCAAATGTCACTGTGTTTCCCTTGAAATTTAAAAATGTCCGGCTGCCTCCCTGTGAGTTCACTACAGTGCCCTGGGGCAACTGGTGTAGCGTTCAGGAGCACCATCTTTATGTTTTAGGGCAGTTAGCAAACATTCCTATTCTAATTCATATATGATGTCCTTATGAAAAATAAAAATTGCTATGATTTCACGTCTCTCTAGAAAATAAAACGGTGACATATGTCAACATGGATAGATCAAAATGCAATGTTAGGTAAAAAAAAGGCAAGTTGCAGAATAACGTGTAGAAAAGAATAGCTTTTATTTAAAATTTATATCTTATTTATGCTGGAAGGTTGCACACTCTCTCTAGGAGAGTGGTTATCTCTATGGAGGAGAAAGAATGGGACTGGAAGAATAAAGAAGACCTACATTTTATCTGCACCATTTTAGATGTGTTATTAAAATATGCAAGGCAAACATGAACAAATGTTGATATTTGTTAATTCTGGGTGGTGAGCCATAGGTGTTTCTCATACTAGTCTTTGGACTTTCCTATATTAAAAAATTTTTTTAACCCAGAAAGTATTGAGCAAGAGCTAAAATGGTAGATCAAGTATTGGTTTTCTTTTCTACATATGATCAACCCTTATAAGATATTTAATTTAGTTTGGGGTCATAAAATAATTCTGAATTTTTTTCTGGGGTCAGAAATAGCCAGATAATGAACTACACACTATGTGTTCAAAAACCCCAGCTGCTGTGTTTTACAAAACCAGCTGCTTGCTAATCCTAATAAGGTGTAACTTTTGCAACTAATTAGTTCTAAAAGGCCGATTTAGATTTACATTCAGATTCAACACATTATCATGTTGAAGAAGAGACCACATCGTGTAGGTTTTTTAAAAATTTCAGTACAGGTGGGTGCAGTGGCTCACGCCTGTAATACCAGCACATTGGGAGGCTGAGGTGGGCAGATCACCTGAGGTCAGGAGTTCGAGACCACCCTGGCCAACATGGTGAAACCCCGTCTCTACTAAAAATACAAAAATTATCCGGGTGTGGTGGCACGCGCCTGTAATCCCAGCTACTTGGGAGTCTGAGGCAGGAGAATCGCTTGAACCCGGGGGGTTGAGGTTGCAGTGAGCCAAGATCGTGCCTTTGTACTCCAGCCTGGGTGATAGAGCGAGACTCCATTAAAAAAAAAAATTCAGTATCTTATATGTGGTAGGTATTCAATGAATACCTTTGGAATTAGTAAAATTAATTTATCTTAGCATTTTCTGAAAAATTAACAATAAAAAACCATTAAGCCACAGCTTTGTGGCAGCTTTATAATGTGGCTTGTAATTTTTATTATTTTTTAAATGTTATTTTAATTTTAAACTATCATATATTCATATGGTTCAAAATTAAAAGGTTTAAATTGATATGCCATGAAAAATAAGACTCCATTTAACCCTCAATCTCCAGCCACTCAGTTCTCTGAGAGGTAACCAAAGTGACCAGTTTTTGTGCCTATGTTTAGAAAAGAGGCATTATATATACATATACCTATACATATATTTTATATATATTATATATATGCACATTAATATATATACATAAACAAATATACAAATTTGTTTTTCAAATAGTAAATACATGTCATATTCACGGCTCTAAATACCGTCTACGGATGACGTTGATTAGACAATCATTTGGATGTCTAATAAATATTTCAAATAAGCTCCACCTGTAGCTTGCGCATTCAGTTGATAGCAACCCCGGCCTTCGGGTTGTTCAGGCGCCCTTGACTCCTGTCTTTCTTTCACGCTAACATCTAGTCTGTCAGGAAAGTCTGTTGATGACTTTGAAACATTTCCAGAATCTGACCACTGCTCACCACCTCCTCTCCTGTCACCTAGTCCTGGCCACCAGCATCTCTCACAGGGACCACTGCCTCACCACACTCTCTACTTCCACCTTGTCTCTCACAGTCTGTTCTCCACCAAGCAGAGAGATCCTTTTAAATTGTAAGTCATAAATGCCACTCCTCTCAAAACCCTACAATAGGCCCAGTGCAGTGGCTCACACCTGTAATCCTAGCACTTTGGGAGGCCGAGGCAGGTGGAACGCTTGAGCCCAGGAGTTAGAGACCAGCCTGGGCAACATGGCGAAACCGTCTCTACAAAAAATACAAAAATTAGCCGGGCATGATGGCGCCTGCCTATAGTCCCTGCTGAGGTGGGAGGATGCCTTAAGCCTGGGAGGTGGAAGTTGCAGTGAGCCGAGATCGCACCACTGCACACCAGCCTGGGCGACAGGGCAAGACCCTGCTTCAAAAACAAAAAGTAGGCCGGGCACAGTGGCTCACGCCTGTAATCCCAGCACTTTGGGAGGCCGAGGTTGGTGGATTGCTTGAGCCTGGGAGTTTAAGACCAGCCCAGCCAACATGGCAAAACCCTGTCTCTACTAAAAATACAAAAAATTAGCCTGGTGTGGTGGTGTGTGCCTGTAGTCCCAGCTACTCGGGAGGCTGAGGCACGAGAATCGCTTGAGCCCGAGAGGCGGAGGTTGCAGTAAGCCAAGATGGCACTACTGCACTCCAGCCTGGTGAGGTGACAGAGCGAAACTCTGCCTCAAAAACAAACAAACAAACAAAACAAGCAAAACCCTATAATTGTTTGCTTTTACTCAGAATACACTTCAAAGTCCTGCACTGATGAAGTCCTGCATGTAGGCCCTGCATTGATCTGCCTGCTTTATCTTCCTTACCTTCATGCTCTTTCTGGCTCACTCTGCTCTGCTTTGCTGGCCTCTTCTGTTCCCTGCATTCACCAGACACACTCTTGCCTTAGGACCTTTTCTAGCTCTCTCTGCCTGCAACTCTCTTCTCCCAGATCCTCTTTTGGCTAACTCTCTCATCTCCTTCAAGTCTTTGTTCAAATCTTGCCTTCTGAGGCCCAACCTGACCACACTTTTTTTTTTTTTTTTTTTTTTTTGAAATGGAATCTTGCCCTGTCACCAGGCTGGAGTGCAGTGGGGCAATCTCAGCTCACTGCAACATCCGCCTCCCGGGTTCAAGTGATTCACCTGCCTCAGCCTCCCGAGTAGCTGGGACTACAGGCGCATGCCACCATGCCCAGCTAATTTTTGTATTTTTAGTAGAGACGGGGTTTCACCATGTTGGCCAGGATGGTCTCGATCTCTTTACCTTATGATCTGCCTGCCTTGGCCTCCCAAAGTGCTGGCATTACAGGCGTGAGCCACCACACCCGGCCGACCACAATATTTAATAGTGTCTTTTCCCCACAGGCAGCCCCTGGATCTCCCATGGCCTGCTCTACTTTTTCTTTTAATCATAGAACTTACCAGTTTCCAATATACTATATATTGTGCATGTTTGTTGTTTATTGACCATCTCCCTTAACAAAGTGTAAGCTCCACTATGGTTGAGACCTTTGACTACTTTACTTATAGATTTATCCCAAGTGTCTAGTGTGATGCTTGACACATAGCAGATGCTCAAAAGTATTTGTTGGATATGTGAATAAATAAATTATACTCTGCATATTGTTTTGTGTCTTGTTTTCACTTAATGATATATTTATTCACATGAGGTATCTTGAAAATCTTGGAAATTTCTTATTAGCACATTGTCTTCATCTATTTAGTGCTGCTATAACAGACTACCTGAGGCTGGGTAATTTATTTTAAAAAAGAGGTTCCTTTGGCTTACAATTGTGGTAGCTGGAAAGTTCAAGATTGGGCAGCTGCATCTGGTGAGGGCCTCGTGCTGCTTCAACTTGTGGCAGAAAGTGGAAGAAGAGTGGGCATGGGCAAAGAGATCGCATGGTGAGAGAGGAAGCAGAAGACAGAAACCAAACTGAGGAAGCCAGACTTTTAACAACCTGCTCTCTCTGGTATTAATCAATTCCCGGGAGAGGAAGAGCTCACTCATTCCCATGGGAGGGTATTAATCTATTTTTGGGAGTCCTTCCCCATGACCCAAATACCTCCTACTAGTCCCCGCCCCTCAACACCCTCACACTGGGAATCAAATTTTTTCTTTCTCTTTCTCTTTCTTTCCTTTCTTTCTTTCTCTCTCTCTCTCTTTCTCTATCTCTCTCTCTCTCTTTTCAAGGTCTGGCTCTGCTGGAAGTGCACTGGCGTGATCTTGGCTGCCTGCAACCTCCATCTTCCAGGCTTAAGCCATCCTCCCAACTCAGCCTCCCAAGTAGATGGGACTACAGGCACGTGCCACCACCCCAGCTAATTTTTGTATTTTTTTGTAGAGATGGGGTTTCGCCATGTTGCCCAGGCTGTTCTCAAACACCTGAGCTCAAGTGATCTGCCTGCCTCGGCCTCCCAAAGTGTTAGGGCTACGGATCTGAGCCACCGTGCCCGGCCTGGGGATCAAATTTCAATATGAATGTTGAAGGGGACAAACCACATCCAAACCATAGTACACATACTTTTTTTTCTCCTTTCTTTTTTTTTTTTTGTAGAGACAGGATATCCCTATGTTAGTCAGGCTGGTCTTCTCAAAGTCCTGGGCTCAAGCAATCCTCCCAGCCTTCCAAAGTGCTGGGATCATAGGCATGAGCCATTGTACCCAGCCCATTCTCTTTTTTTAATAGAAGCTTATTATTCCACTGGAAAGCTGTATCATAATTTATGTAACCAGTTATATTTAGATTGTTTGGTCCTTTTTTTTTTTTAACAGATAATACCATAATGACAATCTAGTCCATATGTTATTCTGCATGTACAAGAGTATCTGTAGGATAAATTCCCGGAAGTGGAATTTCTGGGGCAAAAGATATATATATGCCAAAGATATTGCCAAATTGAATTCCATACTTTCACCAAGACAGTTTTATAATTTTATTATTTTTGCCAGTCTCATAGATTTTAAAAAGTCTTCTCAGTGTAGTTTTAATTTGCATTTATTTTGAGTGATTGAAAAATCTTTCCTATATTTCAATGATGTTTAGTTATTTTTATATTTTCTATGTAAAATTTTAATCTACTTTCCTATAGTGTTGTTAATCTATTTCTTATTGATGCTTAAGAGTTCCTTATATAGTCAAGAAATAAGTCCTTTGTCTGTGATAGGAGACGCAAATATTTTTCTCAGGTTTGTGGTTTATCTTTTGACCTTGCCTGTAGTTTTTCTTTCTTTTTTCTGTTTTTAAAAAATTTCTTTTACAGCAATATTCCACCGAAGCCTATGATTTTTGACCTAGAAGCTTTAAACAAATTTTTATGAAGTTGAAGTCATCAATTTTTTATTAATACTGTTTCACCCCTGGGTTTTGTGTTAAAAATAGAAGGTCTTCCTCAATCTGATTTATGTAAAAATTCTTACATGACTTCTTTTCATACTTTTGCAGTTTTATTTTTACTTGTAAACTTTGATCTACTTGGAATATATTTTGATGTATTATAAGAGAGGATTCAATAATATTTCACCTCAATAACTCTCCAGTTGCCTTCAAACCATTAACTGAATGTCATGTTTTTTTCCACTACTTTGAAATGCCATTATATTAGTTTGTTTTCTGTTGCTTATAACAGAATACCTCAAACTAGAAGTCCAAGGTTGAGGGGCCACAGCAGGTGAGAGCCTTCTTGCGGGTTGGGGGGGGTTCTCTACAGATCCCAGGTGGTACAGGGCTTCACAATAGGAAGTGGGCTGAATGTGCTGACTATGCTAGCTCAGATCATTCTTCCTGTCCTTTTTTTTTTTTTTTTTTGAGATGGAGTGTCATTCTGTCACCCAGACTGGAGTGCAGTGGGGCGATCTCAGCTCACTGCAACCTCCACCTCCTCAGTTCAAGCGATTCTCCTGCCTCAGCCTCCCAAGTAGCTGGCATTACAGGTGTGGTCACCATGCCCAGTTAATTTTTGT
Source organism: Homo sapiens (assembly GCF_000001405.40). Taxonomy (NCBI): domain Eukaryota; kingdom Metazoa; phylum Chordata; class Mammalia; order Primates; family Hominidae; genus Homo; species Homo sapiens. The sequence continues at coordinate 87,377,192 of NC_000006.12, read as the reverse complement.
ATATTTAGTAGAGACGGGGTTTCTCTATGTTGGCCAGGCTGATATCAAACTCCTGACCTCAAGTGATCCACCCGCCTCAGCCTCTCAAAGTTCTGGTATTACAAATGTGAGCCACCGTGCCCAGCCCCAATCTCCTCTTAAAGGCCTCACCCTTCAATGCTATCACATTGGGGATTAAGTTGCCAACACATGAAATCTGAGGGACACATACAAACCACAGCAGCGATCTTTGTCATATACTAAATTAACAAATGCATAAGTGCATTGGTATCTGTTTCTGGAAATTCTATTCTGTGCCACTGATTCTTGTGTCTGTATATTCATGCCCCACAACTACTGCTTCCATTTCTATTGGTCTATAGTGAAAAGGCTAGTGCTCTATCATTGCATTTATTGTCAGAATGTCTCCAGATATCCTTGCTGCTTATTTTTTAACCTGAAATTTATAATGAGCTAGTTTAGTACCTTGCAAACAATAATATCTATACCAAAACCAAGATAGAGACAAAGACTAAGACCAACGACAGCAACAACCACAATGCTGTGGTATTTTGTGGGCTACTATTATATTCATACTCTTCAGCTGCAATCTTAGCTATTGCTTTTAGCATATTTTAATCACGAAAAACAAGGTCTATTTCTGTTTTGTCTCTGAATCAATCCCTTCCTTCCTTCCTTCCTGACTCCTTCCCTCCCTCCCTTTCTTTCTTTTTTTCTTTCTCCCAGGCTGGAATGCAGTGGCAGTCTGGGCTCACTGCAACCTCCACATCCTGGGTTCAAGTGATTCGCCTGTCTCAGCCTCCCAAGTAGCTGGGATTACAGGCCCGGGCCACCATGCCCAGCTAAGTTTTGTATTTTTAGTAGAGATGGGGTTTCGCCATGTTGGCCAGGCTGGTCTTGAACTCCTGTCCTCAAGCAATCCACCTGCATTGGCCTCCCAAAGTGCTGGGATTACAGGTGTGAGCCACCATGCCCAGCCAATTCTTTCTTTCTTTCTTTCTTGAGACAGTGTCTCGCTCTGTCCCCCAAACTGGAGTTCAGTGGAAGGACCTCAGCTCACTGCAACCTCCCCTGCCTGAACTCAAGCCATCCTCCCACCTCAGCCTCCCCAGTAGCTGGGACTAGAGGCGCTTGCCACCACAGGCTAGTTTTTTTTTTTTTTTTTGGTAGAATCAGGGTTTTGTCATGTTGCTCAGGCTGGTCTCAAACTCCTAGGCTCAGGCAATCCAGCTGCCTTAGCCTCCCAAAGTGCTGGGATTACAGGTATAAATGACCACAACCCAGCCCGAATTAATTCTTTCTGAATCAACTTCTGGTTGTGGCTGCTATCTTAGTTTCACCTCCATCATTGGTTTGGACTGTTGTTCTGGGTTCTGTGCTTCAGCAATCCTGATATCCTTCTATTCACTTTTTTCCTTCTCAGTTCATGCTATAGCATAATTTAAAGCAGTTTGTTCAAAATCATAATTATAAAGGACTTACCAGAATATACCTTTCATTCACTTCTTTTAGATAGAATTCTTATATTCTTGAAACAATCTTTCAGTCATTTCAATTCAAACTGTAGTTTGTGATTCTAACCTTTACATTTTTAAGTATGCTTTCCACTTGAGTTCTTTAAGATTTGGACAAACGACTGGTTTCTATGCAACCACGCAGGTGAAGGGCATGTTCTATCTTGCAGCTTTCCATTCCTTAGCAATGTGCTTCCATCTGCAGTCAATAAATATACTCCACAGGGAAGAAGAGAAAAACATGAATTGAGTAAAAGAATTCTTACATGAAATGTCAGCAGGCATTTTATAAGATTAATTTTTTAAGCTAAAATAAAATTTCTACCCACCATTGACTAAATATATTTTAAAGCCTACAAGCATAGATAGACTATAATTCACAGACATCTACATGAATATATTAAAGACTGAAGAAACCAAATATGATAAAATTGGCACATTAAAAAATTAGAATAAAGGCCTGTAGAATCTGCATGAGAAATGCAGAACTATATCTGTCTTGTGGGGATGAAAAATAATAACCAACAGTTGGTGTACAGATGCTCCTTGACTTATGGCGGGATCAAGTCCTGATAAATTCATTATAAGTTGAAATTATTGTAAGTTAAAAATGCATTTAATACCTAATCCACTGAACATCACAGCTCAGCCTAGCCTACCTTGAATGTGCTCAGAACACTTCCATTAGCCTGCAGTTGGGCAAAATCCTCTAACACAAAGCCTATTTTGTAATAAAGTAATTTTTTGAATTAGTTTATTGAATATTTATTGAATATTTTACTGAAAGTTAAGAACAAAATGGTTGTATGAGTTCTATGGAATGCATATTGCCTTTTCACCATTGTAAAGTTTAAAGATCTTAGTGTGAACAACTGTTAAGTCAGGTACACTGCTGAGCTTTCTACTGAATCCATGTCATGACCCTGTGGACCAGGTGCAATTATTATCCTCATTTTGTAAGTGAAGAAACCTGAGGCTTAATAAGCAATTTGTTGAAAGCCAGCCACTTACCAACTGGTAGACCAAGATTCACATGTAAGCAGCCCAATCCCAGGCCACTATACTGCTACTATGCAGAAATGAAGAGCTAAAATGGGAGTGTATGAAGGATTTCTTCCTGTATGGTGCAATTATGAATTTTTTTTTCTTTTGAGATGGAGTTTCACTCGTCACCCAGGCTGGAGTGCAATGGCGCGATCTTGGCTCACTGTAACCTCCACTTCCCAGGTTCAAGCTATTCTCCCACCCCAGTCTCCAGAGTAGCTGATATTACAAGCATGTACCACCACACCCGGCTAACTTTTGTATTTTTAGTAAAGACGGGGTTTCACCATGTTGGCCAGGCTGGTCTTGAACTCCTGACCTCAGGTGATCCACCCACCTCGGCCTCCCAAAGTGCTGGGATTACAGGTGTGAGCCAGCACTTCCAGCCTATGAATGATTTTTTGAAATCAGCTTTATTAGGTTTAATAGACATAAAATTCACCAATATTGAGTACACAATTAGATGCATCTCAAAAGTATACAGTAGTGTAATCATCACTGAAGTCATAATATAGAACATTTCCGTCATCCCAGAAGATTCCCATGCCCCTTCACAGTCGGCTTCTCTCCCATACTCTCTGACTCTTGGCAACGACTCATTGATCTCTTTTCTGTCATGAGAGTTTTGCATCTTTTAAAATTTTATATAAATTGAGTTATATGGTAGTAGTTTTTTGAGGATGAATTTTTAAATTTACATAATGCTTTTGAGGTTTATGATGTTGTCACATGTATGTTATTGACTTTTAAAAAAGAGACAGGGTCTTGCTCTGTTGCCCAGGTTGCAGTGCAGTGGCACAATCATAGCTCTTACTGCAGCCTCAAACTCCTGGGCTCAAGCAACTCTCCTGCCTCAGCCTCCCAAGTAGCTAGGACTACAGGCATGCACCACCATATCTGGCTAATTTGTAGAAATTATTTTTTTTTAGTAGAGATAGGGTCTCACTCTATTGCCAAGGCTGGTCATAACTCCTGGCCACAAGCAATCCTCCAGACTCGGCCTGTTATTCTTTTTTATTGTTGAGTAATATTCCATTGCATGGGCGTGCCACAATTTATTCACCAACTGATGAACATCTGGGCTGTTTCCAATTTGGGACAATTATAAATAAGGCTGCTATGAACATTTGTATACAAGTCCTTGTATGGATATATGTTTTAATTTCTCTTGAGTAAAATCATACTAGAAATATGACTTCTAGATTATATGACAAGCAATAGAAAATGACTTTGTAGGTGAAAATGAGGATGGTATGCAAATAATTGCCTTTTGTTAACTGATCCCATGGGCCTACAAAACCATATTAATATAAAAGGATATCTTTTATTTCAGTTAATTATTTCAATGATCACCTTTTTTATTTCTTTCATTTATTTGTAATTAAAGGATACTAAATTATTTTTTAATTATCCAGAAATCAAGGGATAAAAATGCAAAACAAAATGTCAAATTTCTTTTTTTTTTTTTTGAGACGGAGACTCACTCTGTCGCCCAGGCTGGAGTGCAGTGGCACGATCTCGGCTCACTGCAAGCTCCGCCTCCTGGGTTCATGCCATTCTCCTGCCTCAGCCTCCTGAGTAGCTGGGACTACAGGCGCCCACCACCACGCCTGGCTAATTTTTTGTGTTTTTAGTAGAGACGGGTTTTAACCGTGTTACCCAGGATGGTCTCAATCTCCTGACCTTGTGATCTGCCTGCCTCGGCCTCCCAAAGTGCTGGAATTACAGGCATGAGCCACCGTGCCTCACCAAAATGTCAAATTTCTGGGTAGACCTTGACCCTCTTGAGATCCCTGGAACTGGTGACCACAACTTTAGGATTTTTTTATTTATATCTCCCAAGGCCCTTCCCAAAGAGTCTGGAGTTGTCTTTACACTCCAAAGAACCCAGAGACAGTATTTTGTCAGGTACAAACCTATTGTCCTGAACCAATAGAGGAAACAACCATTATCCTGACCATCTGAAATCTTGAGAAGAACAAACATGTGAGAACTAGGAAAATTTGTCTTTGACACTGTAGAATACACTTTGTATGCTGAAATCAAATTTTCAATCAAGCCATTCCTTCACTAATGTGGAGAGGACTTAGCACTAAGGAAGAATATCAGTTAGGCTAGAAGGCCACTGATTCTAAGTGTTGACACCCACCAGTATAGTATAATATCAATTATTAAGTGGTGCTACATGCCCATTATTGTTTTTTCTCCAGCCCTCAAACATAATGATATGGTTTGGCTCTGTGTTCCCACCCAAATATCACCTTGAACTGTAAAAATCCCCACATGGTCGTAGGAGGGACCCAGTGGTAGGTAACTGAATCATAGGGGCAGATTTTTCCCATGCTGTTCTTATGATAGTGAATAAGTCTCATAAGATCTGATAGTTTTATGAAGGAGAGTTCCCCTGCACATGCCCTTTTTTCTGCCATCATGTAAAGACATGCCTTTGCTTCTCCTTTGCCTTCCACTATGATTGTGAGGCCTCCTCAGCCATGTGGAACTGTGAGTCCAGTAAACCTCTTTCCTTTATAAATTACCCAGTCTCAGGTATGTCTTTATTAGCAGTGTGAGAACAGACTAATACTCATAACAAGTGTGTTCACTGTCTTTCTATCCACTTCACTGAGTTCTCTAACTGTAAGGGCTACTCCTTATTTTATGTACCATGAACACAAGCATCTTCACCTGACATATGGTAGTTTGCTTCTTGATGCATGTTGAATAAACAAAATCAATAATTAATATCTCATACATCTAATTAAAAGCTGCAACATAAAATTAAAAACTATAATTTAATTAAGAATGACATGTATAGAATTACCTAATTCTATTATGTAACTAAATAATAGTCTTTAAAATAGACAAATGATACAAATAGCACCACTTGGGGACACTGAGTTGGGGTGAGGGGATGAGGTATACCTGTGCAGCATACAGTGGTATATCAAGAATACTGTCTGGCCTTGGGGTTCAGTTTGGGTCCTCAGCAGAGGAAGTCCTTTATGGTCTTAAAGTCCAAAAAGTAGGTAAGATGGAAAGTTCCTAAGGTAAATAAGAAATACCACATATGGTTAAGAGTAAGGCAGACAGATGGGCTTGAATTCTGACTTTGCTACTTCCCAGCTTACTGAGCTTAGGGAAAAACATTTAGCCTCTTTGTTCCTTAGTTTCTTTATCTGTTCAACGGGGGTTATAATTGTACTCATGTCATACAGTTGTTGCAAGGATTAAATGAGTTAATATAGTATATGATAAATACCTAGAGTGCTTTGTCCATGTAAGTACAGAATACATGTTAGCTTTTACAATATATACAGAATAATATAGAGCTAGAAGTACAGTAGGATATTTGGGGATGGTATCCATCATTTTCCAGCTGTGTGACCCTAGGTAAGTTAATCTTGATAAACTTTAATTTCCTCCTGTATAAAGTGAGAATAATTAATTCTTACCTCTGAGGATTGTTGACAGAATTGCAGACAATGTGTATAAAGCCAGTGCCTGATGTGAAGCATTCAACAAATAGGAGCTATATTGTCCCCTTTTTTATCCCTAAGAATGTAAAATTTAAGACCTAACATGCAGTTGCTCTATATTAAGGGATACTTTTAACTTTATTCAACTCAATATAAAAGTGTTTCTATTTAGAACTAACTAGAGAAAAAAGAATAATTTTCAATCCTGCAATTTAAACTCAGTTGGAAATAGTTGGTTCTGCAATTTTCAAACAGAGTGGCAGAAAATGGAACCAGGCAGAATACTACCCTCAAGTGCCTGAATGCCTTTATCTGGTGGCTGTGATGCAGAGGTTGAATAATGCAGGTGGAGCATTCACATGCTGTCTGGCTTACTATTAGCAGACAACAAATGGCAGTGCTTTTTTTTCCTTCCTTTTCTAAGTGATCCCAGCCAAGCACAAATAAAATTTTATTAGAAGTAGCAGAGTGTCTAAATCCTCAATCTGTAAATGAACCTAATTTTTGCCAAATAGTGTCTACATGATGTCAGTGGAAATAAGGCCCCTAAAGCTAAAATATGCAAGCTTTATTTTTATTTTTTTGAGACAGGGTCTCATTCTGTTGCTAGTGTGGTTTGGCTGTGTCCCCACCCAAATCTCATCTTGAATTGTAGTTCCCATTAATTCCCACATGTTGTGGGAGGGATAATTGAATCATGGGGGCCGTTTCCCCCATACTATTCTCATGGTAGTGAATAAGTCTCACAAGATCTGAGGGTTTTATAAGGGAAACCCCTTTTACTTGGTTCTCAATTCTCTCTTGTCTGCTGCCATGTAAGATGTGCTTTTTGCCTTTCACCTTCCACCATGATTGTGAGGTCTCCCAGCTAGGTGGAACTGTGAGTCAATTAAATCTCTTTTTCTTTATAAATTATCATCTCAGGTAAGTCTTTATCAACAGCATGAAAATGGACTAATACAGTATATTGGTACTAGGTACTGGGGTACTGCTGTAAAGATACCCAAAAATATTGAAACAACTTTGGAACTGGGGAACAGGCAGAGGTTGGAACAGTTTGGAGGGCTCAGAGGAAGATAGGAAAATGTGGGAATGTTTGGAACTTCCTAGACAGTTGTTGAATGGCTTTAATCAAAATGCTGATAATGATATGGACAATGAAATCCAGGGTGAGATGGTCTCAAATAGAGATAAGGAACTTGTTGGGAACTGGAGTAAAACTATGTTTTAGCAAAGAGACTGGTGGCATTGTGCCCCTGCCCTAGAGATCTGTGGAACTTTGAACTTGAGGGAGATGATTTAGGGTATCTGGTGGAATTTCTAAGCAGCAAAGCATTAAAGAGGTGACTTGGGTGCTGTTAAACGCATTCAGTTTTAAAAGGGAAATACAGCATAAAAGTCTGGAAAATTTGCAGCCTGATAATGAGATAGAAAAGAAAACCCATTTTCTGAGAAGAAATTCAAGCCTGCTGCATAAATTTGCATAAATAACAAGGAATCAAATGTTAATCTCCAAGACAATGGGGAAAATGCCTGCAGGGCATGTCTCCGGAGATCTTTGTGGAGCCCCTCCCATCACAGGCCCGGAGTTCTAGGAGGAATAAATGGTTTTGTGGTCTGGGCCCAGGGATCCCCCTGCTTTGTGCAGCCTAGGGCCTTGGTGCCCTGCTTCCCAGCCACTCCAGCCATGGCTAAAAGGGGCCAAGGTATACCTTAGGGCATGGCTTCAGAGGATGCAAGCCCCAAGCCCTGGCAGCTTTCACATGGTGTTGAGTCTGCAGGTGCACAGAAATCAAGAATTGAGGTTTGGGAACCTTCACCTAGATTTCAGAGGATGTATGGAAACGCCTGGATGTCCAGGCAGAAGTTTGCTGCAGGGGCAGGGCCCTCATGGAGAACCTCTGCTAGGGCAGTGCAGAAGGGAAATGTGGAGTTGAAGCCCCCATACACAGAGTCCCCACTGGGGCACTGCCCAGTGGAGCTGTGAGAAGAGGGCCACATCCTCCAGACCCCAGAATGGTAAATCCACAGACAGCTTGCACTGTGAACCTGGAAAAGCTGCAGACACTCAACATCAGCCTATGAAAGCAGCCAGGAGGGGGGCTATACCCTGCAAAGCCACAGGGGCTGAACTGCCGAAGGCCATGGGAGCTCACCTCTTATATCAGTGTGACCTGGATGTGAGACATGGAGTCAAAGATGATTTTGGAGCTTTAAGATTTGACTGCCCTGCTGGATTATGGACTTGCATGGAGCCTAAGGCCCCTTTATTTTGGCCAATTTCTCCCATTTGGAATGGCTGTATTTACCCAATGCCTGTACCCCCACTGTATCTAGGAATTAACTAACTTGCTTCTGATTTTATGGGCTCATAGGCAGAACGGACTTGCCTTGTCTCAGATGAGACTTTGGACTGTGGACTTTTGAGTTAATGCTGAAATAAGACTTTGGGGGACTGTTGGGAAGGCATGATTGGTTTTGAAATGTGAGGACATGAGATTTGGGAGGGGCCAGGGGCAGAATGATATGGTTTGGCTGTGTCCCCACCCAAGTCTCATCTTGAATTGTAGCTCCCATAATTCCCACATATTGTGGGAGGAACTTGGTGGGAGATAATTGAACCATGGGGGCGGTTTCCCCTATACTGTTCTCGTGGTAGTGAATAAGTCTCACGAGATCTGATCGTTTTATAAGGGAAACCCCTTTTACTTGGTTCCCAATTCTCTCTTATCTGCTGCCATATAAGATGTGCCTTTTGCCTTCCGCTATGATTGTAAGGCCTCCCCAGCCACGTGGAACTGTGAGTACATGAAACCTCTTTTTCTTTATAAATTACCCACTCTTTGGTATGTCTTTATCAGCAGTGTGAAAACAGACTAATACAGTTGTCCAAGCTGGAGTGCAGTGGCAGGATCATGGCTCACCGCAGCCTCAACCTCCCAGGCTCAATCAATCTTCCCACCTCAGCCTCTTGAGTAGCTGGAACTACAGGTGCGCACCACCACACTCAGCTAGTTTTTGTACTTTTTGTAAAGACGGGGTTTCACCATGTTGCCCAGGCTAGTCTTGAACTCCTGGGCTCAAGCGATCTGCCCACCTCAGCCTCCTAAAGCACTGGGATTACAGGCGTGAGCCACCATGGCTGGCCTAAAACACACAAGCTTTAAATAAATCAGATGAAATCAGAGTTGGAGAAAGAAACCATCAGAGTGACTTCTTGGTAACATAAAAGTCCAGTGATTACTAAACTGCCCAACTCCTTGTGCTTTGTGACTAGGATGGAGGCTTCTCCATCTGTCCGAGTGATGCTATACATCTGTTTCGTAGTGCGCAAGTTCCTTTACTCCAAAAAGTTCATGTCTTGGTAGCATAAATTCCAGAAAATTAAACTGCAATGATTTCTTAGAGTCCTCAGTCTTAGAGGCCTTCCCAGTTGGCCTCCAGGAGTTAACACAGCTTCCTAATTACCAGAAACCATGTGAACTGCATGCACTCTTACTGTACAGGTAGCATCTAAGACAACTAAGAAAAATGGACTTCTTTAAGTTCTCTTTAAAGTAACTCTCTAAAATGCTTACAACTTTAATAATTTATATGGGGCATAGTATCTAAGATCTATAAAGGCCTCTCTAGGTATTGTACTCAAAGGAAACAGTATCCGGAGAGTTACTGTTCTCTTCTCAAATTATGCTAAAAATTGGTTCACTCAGGGAATCTTTTAAAAAATAGTCTGACTTAATCTCTGTCTCAGTCAAGTTTCAGTAGAAAACCAGGCGTGAGGGTCCCAATGAGAATTCAGAAACATAACTCACTTTCAATTTTCACTTGACTTTGCTATTCTCATCTTGCCACAGGCAATTAGTCTCTCTCCAGAACCCTGAGGGCAAATCTGTCCTTCCTGACATTAGGATGGTGGGAGGGAGCTACAGAGTGTACCCCTCCACACATTCACCCGTGGGGCTTGACATCAGGAGAGTACATCCAGTATGTTCAGAGAAGGGCGTCCAGTTCTGCTCCCCATCATTCTTGGCTCCCTGCCCATGTTTGCTGGAAGGATTAGGGTTCTGAAACCACTTTTGCAAAACTTATGACAGTGAGAGAAATCTAACATAGCAGACTCCATCTTGCTTCTAACCTCACAAGCTTATTGCCCTTGCTCATTCCTGAGTGCAGGCCAAGCTAACCATGGGAGGAATTTATTGTTTAACATTAAAGCGAAGAAGATAACAGCCCCTTCCCAAAACTACCCTCCTCCTAGTTCAGGGACTAAAACCACCTTTGTAAAATGAATGAAAGGCCAAAAGGTTAGAATTATGGGAGGAGCTTGAATTCTGCTAAGACCTATGCATAGTTCAGTGATAACCAGCCATGTTCCCTAGCTTGCTTACTACTCAGGAGTCATGTCGCCAGAGGTCACAAGAGTTGTAACTTTCCCAATTGTTCCTACAGATAACATCACTATTGTAAAACCTAAGATTGTTCTTTGAGATATTTTTCAGATGTTTGCATCCTGATGAACTGACACCACTTGGACCCATGACTCATACCAAGGAAATAAATCAACTGGTCCTGTAACTCCCACCCAGAAGCTGACTCGGCATGCGAAGACAGTTCCAACACTCCTGTGATTTCATCTCCAACCAATCAGTAGCACCCATTCCCCAGCCCCCTGCCTGTCAAATTATCCTTTAAAAACCCTACCCTCTGAGTTCTCAGAGAGGTGGATTTGAGAAATATCTCCCATCTTTTTTTCTTTTACAACTGGCAAATATAGATGAGTCTGTAGCCATACCAGACCCATGTGGCCCAACTTTCACGTAACAAAGTAGTACAGTGTTTTTCAGTTGCCATGGACCCTCAGGTCATGTAATCTGAGCATGCCCAGATGGACCAAGTGTTCAACCACAGAGGGAACCTGATTGCTCTGACTCAGGAGTGGGAACTGAATTAAGAAGTGGACACTGCATGGCAGGATCCAGAATCCAACTGGATTGAGCTTTGGCATCACCCCATGGCAGGATCCAGTTAGATCATGCCTCCTGACATCCCCTCATTGCAAGACCCAGTCAGATCATGCCTCATTACCCTATGTTTATAAAACCTGACCCAGCCCCCAGCTCAGGCAGACACTGCTTTGGGGACTATCCCTGGTGTTCTCCTTACTCCTTATAAGTAATAAAATCCCCTTGCTAAATCTTCTTTGGTTGTGGTCATTGAGTTGACACCCACCAAGTGACTGAACCTGCTTGTTGTGTGGGTAGCAAGTCCTTCCTGAATTACTTTATATGGGAGTCCCAGAATTTAAATTTTATCCTACTGAATTTGAGAGAAATTGCTTTTTTAAATTCACAATGCTACTGCATTCACCAAATGATAAACTGTCTACTGGAACTTAGCACACCTGCCCAAAACAGGAACAACCTAAGAACACTTTCCTTTACTTGTTTTCTATGGCAATAAATGCTGAAATAATTAATTATATGTCTGATGTAGAAATGAATAAAGACAGATACAGAAGTGTGTTTAGGCTTCATCCAAGAAACCTTTCCCCTCTTAATCAGTTTGCTACCTCTCACTATTTTTTCTTCTCAGACTTGGCTCAATATAATCTGGAATGTGCTTTTTAATATTTTGGTTTTCCATGAAAATTCTTATAGCCCAATAGTACCCTGCACAAGGCTGGGGAATCAATACATGGTTTTTGAGTAAATTTATTTAGTCTGGAATGATGTCTTTTGTAGTGGAATTTCAACTGAAGACTTCTAATCAAGAGTTGTTTTGTTCTCCTTAATAACAAGATTAGAAGGTGTTTTCTTTCTTTCTGGCAGAATAAAATCTGCATGTCCTGGTGAAAGCTTAGGAAAGGTATAATTGATGTATTTTTGAAATGCCATCCTGGTTTCCTGTAATTCCTCCTCTAGGAAATCTTTCCAATTTGTCATGATTCCCAGTTGTTTTGCTATAGACAGCAGCTCCCCCTGGGTGTTAGCCAGTTTATCCATCATATTGCCAAGAGTGGCCTGATGTGTTTTCTCTGCTTCTTGAAGCACTTCCTGTACCTCTTCTTGCCTCTGCCTCTGAGCTATGCCATAGAGGATGCTCATTTCATGTTCTTTTTCCCTCATCAGTCGGGCCACACTGGTCTTCTCATCCTTAATAACTGTGACACCAGTATTCACAATTTCCTCCACGGCTTTGCTACAAAAGATAATATGGATTTATAATTTAGATGGATTGGCCACTAAAAACAAAATAATTTCATCTTTAAACGCAGATGAATGAGCAATTGTTGAGATGAGCCACCAGCCTGAGACAGGCTGATACGGATGAGCTTTTGGATTGCATTAGCTGTTATCAAACAAAACACATTTTCAGAGCAGGGAGGCTTCCTATGTACTTCCCTGCTGTGGGCTAGGGTGAGGCCACTAGTCTAACTTCTAACGGCAACTTTAGGAACCTGAGATCACCTTTTTCAGGAAAATATACATGCATTGTGCTTAAAAATGAGGAGATAAGGGTCAGAGTTCCAAACTCTGTAGAGAAAGTATTTCTTTATATTAATCCAGCTGCTGACCTTTAGCCAGAGATGAAAAATCCTTATACTCACAGGATAGATTTAGCTTTAATCTTGATTTTATCTGAGCAATACTCTATGACAGTCACCTCAAGCTTTTTGGTCTCGGGAGCTCTTTACAGTCTCAAAATTATCGAGGAAGCCAAAGAGCTTTTGTTTATATGAGTTATAGGCATTGACATTAACAGTTATATAAACTAAAAGGGAGACATTTTTAAAATATTAAAAATCTCTTATGAAAAACATTTTCCCAAACAATGAAATATTTCATGAGAAGAATGGTATAATTTAACTTTTTTTTTGAGACAGTGTCTTGCCGTCACCCAGGCTAGAGTGCAATGGCCTGGCCCTGGCTTACTGCAACCTCCAGCTCCCAGGTTCAAGTGATTCACATGCCTCAGCCTCCAGAGTAGCTGGGATTACAGGTGTGCACGACTACACCCAGCTAATTTTTGTATTTTTTAGTAGAGATGGGATTTTACCATGTTGGCCAAGCTGATCTCAAACTCCTGACCTCAAGTGATCCACCCGCCCTGGCCTCCCAAAGTGCTGGGATTACAGGTATAAGCCACTGTACCCAGCCTAATTTTTTTTTTGCACAACTCTTTAATCTCTGGCTTATTAGCAAAAAGCTGAATTTTCATACTGTTTCAATTTATTGTGATATCACACATCACAAAACCCCTGGAGAACACCATTTTATATTCATAGGAGACTAAGAGTGAAAAAGGCAAATAAAGTCTTAGTGTTATGCTGCTATAAAGACACATGCACACGTATGTTTATTGCGGCACTATTCACAATAGCAAAGACTTGGAACCAACCCAAATGTCCAACAATGATAGACTGGATTAAGAAAATGTGGCACATATACACCATGGAATACTATGCAGCCATAAAAAATGATGAGTTCATGTCCTTTGTAGGGACATGGATGAAATTGCAAATCATCATTCTCAGTAAACTATTGCAAGAACAAAAAACCAAACACTGCATATTCTCACTCATAGGTAGGAACTGAACAATGAGAACACATGGACACAGGAAGGGGAACATCACACTCTGGGGACTGTTGTGGGGTGGGGGGAGCGGGGAGGGATAGCTTTAGGAGATATACCTAATGCTAAATGACGAGTTAATGGGTGCAGCACACCAGCATGGCACATGTATACATATGTAACAAACCTGCACATTGTGCACATGTACCCTAAAACTTTAAGTATAATAATAATTTTTTAAAAAATTTGGAAAAAAAAAAAGAAAATAGTTTTAATGTCATGGACTGCCTCTTTAAAGAGTCTCAGGGACCTTGAAGGGTCTCTGGACCACATATTCAGAAGCACTGCTAAATGATTAATATACTTCTGGCTATAATGTAGGGTATTATATAAAATTCATAGCAGCCAACCATGTTGACCTCTTACCATGTCCAAGCAGGTTAATGAGCATTCTATGCATACATTAATTCAATGAATCCTCAAAAACAATTCTGTAGTGTGGTTCCATTACTGTGCTCTTTTTATGAAGAAGACATTGAGCTCAGGGAGGTTAAGTAATTGGACTAAGTTTGTTTAATAAGTTAAAGAGGCAAAATCTGCAACACAACTCAGGCAGTCTGAGACCAGGGCAAAAGCTCTTAGCCACTGTGATACATTTCCAGTGGATTTCTGCAGTTAACATAGTTTGAGCAGAACCTCAAAGATTTGAGGTTTTAAGATCTCAAATGTATGGCTGTTAATAAAAATCCTCCCCCTCTGCCTCCCAGTCTAATACAGGCTTTCCAAGATTTACCACTGGCCCTATCTCCTAAATTCCATCCTCCAAGATGCAATTCTCTCATCTTCTCTGAGTCTTTCCACTTGACTTTCAAACCTGACAGACTTCCCTAGTCTTGAAGTAAATCACATCTTTCTTTAGCCTCCGTAGCCACTATACTATTTCTCTTCTTCCTTTTCCCACCAACTAAGCTATTTCCAATATTAATAACAGGGGTAATGATTATTGAGTACTTACTGTATTGCAGGAACTGTGGTGAGCATTTTACATGCACGATATCTCATTTAATTTTCACAATAACCCATTGAAGCTGATACTTTATTTACTTATTTACAGATGAATCTTGCTCTGTTGTCCAGGCTGGAGTGCAGTGGCACCATCTTGGCTCACTGCAACCTCCGCCTCCCAGGTTCAAGTGATCCTTCTACCTCAGCCTCCCAAGTATCTGGGATTACAAGTGTGCACCCCCACACATGGCTAATTTTTGTATTTTTAGTAGAGGCAGGGTTTCACTATGTTGGCCAGGCTGGTCTTGAACTCCTAACGTTAAGTGATCCACCCGCCTTGGTCTCCCAAATTGCTGGGATTACAGGTGTGAGCCACCGTGCCTGACCTATTTTTACTTATAACCTGTGACTATTCCCTTGTAACAGGTGAGAAATGGAGGCTTAGAGAAGAGTGAGTTGTTGTTCAATGTCACACAACTGAGCACGCTGGGGAGTTCCTGCCCTTAATCATTACCTGCTTCAAGCTCATGAGTGGGCACTATACATTTTTCGTCAGGAGGGTAGCACAGTAAAAATAACATTTTAGACTTGTTATTCAGGTAACAGTGAGTGAACTGAATCTTAGTGGGGTGAGCTAGAGAGACCAATTGTATCATTTCATAATATCCTTGAGGTGCAATGATGAGGGTCTGAACTAATGACAAAAGAGAGGGTTGGGAAGAGGGAGAGAATGGGTTAAGCCTAGGAAATATTAAAAAGTCATAGCTGCCAGAATCTGTGACTGCAAGCATATGGGAGAAGTGGGAAAAAGAGGAATCAAAACCAACTTGCTGATTTTCAACCCGGGTCACAGGAGAATGGAGGTTCCATTAATAGAAGTGATGCTGTGTATAGAGTGGGCAGTGTGCATCGACACACATTCTAAGGATTTAGTCTGATGTCTGATAACATCCTCAGGCTGTTGATGAGATTGTCAGGGTGATGACCAGGGACCAATCTCCAAGGAGGAAGCTGTGCTCCCTGTGTCCTCTGACATAAGCAGGCATGAGTTTCCTGCCAGGTGGGGCTGACTTTCCTCTCACCCAAATGGGAGGTTTCATTTATGGGCTAACTGGAAGGCTCTACCAGAATTGAGTCAGGCAAAAGTGATCCAATAATGTATATCTTGGATGACGCCAGCTCCCACCCTCAATGACAGTCCCTTTCAGACTCCCTGATATCAAAATCTCTTACTGCTAACAGAATCTGGTACTTTAAAAAATCTTTCCAACTTTTCTTTCTTCTTTTTTTTTTGGTTTTAAACAGGGTCCCACTCTGTTGCCCAGGCTGGAGTGCAGCAGCACCATCTTGGCTCATGCAAACTCTGCCTCCTGGGCTCAAGCAATCCTCCCACCTCAGCCTCCGGAATAGCTGAGACTACAGGCATGTGCGACCATGCCCAGCTAATTTTTGTATTTTTTGTAGAGACAGGGTTTTGCCATGTTGGCCAGGCTGGACTCAAGTGATCCTCCTACCTCAGCCTCCCAAAGTGCTGGGATTACAAGCATGAGCCACTGCGCCTAGCCCCACTTTTCCCAGCCTGCCTTAGTGCTTGAATATTTGATCCTTTCATTCTGATGAGTTCCCTGAAGTTGTGGAATTGAAGCCAGGAGTGGGGTGGGGTGCAGTGCGTCGAGGGTGTGACCTGCAATGACCATTTATCTTTGTATCTCCCCTGCCTAGTGTGGTGCCCGTTGTGTATACAACAGGCAATCAATAAATGTATGAATGAATAAGTGGGTAATACAGACGAAACTCTCTCTAATACATGTTGTGCTGAATAACACTACAAGTTTAAAGCAGCTATATTGGAACATTACAAAAGCTTAAAAGAATTAATGAGGCTGGGCATGGTGGCTCACGCCTGTAATCCCAGCACTTTGGGAGGCAGAAGCAAGTGGATCACTTGAAGTCAGGAGTTCAAGACCAGCTTGGCCAACATGGAGAAGCCCCATCTCTACTAAAAATACAAAAATTAGCTGGGCATGGTGGTGAGTGAGTACCTGCAATCCCAGCTACCTGGGAGGCTGAGGCAGGAAAATTGCTTGAACCTGGAAGGTGGAGGCTGCAGTGAGCAGAAATCGCATCACTGCACTCCAGCCTAGGCAACAAAGCAAGACTCTCTCAAAAAAAAAAAAAAAAAATTCATGCTTAAAAAGGATTCTTAACATAAGCGAAATATTTGCCATAGGAAAATAGCCAATTCTTGGGATATGTGTAAAATGTTTTTCAATGTACATAAATTAGTCTACCTGTATTTTTTTTATCGAAAGAGGGCCTAGAAAGCTTATCATATGAGAAAGAACTGTGAAAGAACTAGGTATTAGTACTTTTTGGTTTTTCCTTCCCTTCTTCAAATTAAATCTTGGACATAATCTCTCTCCTCAAACATTTGAAGGATCACCACGCACAGAGGAGGAGCAGGGCCAGAAGCCAAGGGTAAAGGTAAGGCCCAGAGTTTTTGGATCCACATTAGGAAGAACATGACAAGTAGAGGTTGTTCAGCATTTGGACCAACCACCTCAACCAGTGACATCAAGGAGGCTCACCGATGACTGGCTGGCATCTGGCAGAAGGAATGGCACGTCCAGCTCCATAACCCCCAATGCCCATTCTGATGTGAAGTGAATGTCTATGCTTTCTGTGAGCAGTGAGGTTCTTCTGGCATCTCTATCTTTATGAGGCTGTACACTTGTAATTTTGAAATACACACCGTATTTCAGGGTGGCACTGGCCAGAAAAGTAACTATTTTCAAAATAGTTGTAGTGTGTGTCCAAATTTATAGGATTCAGTCTGATATTTTATAAAACAGACTCTTGGAGAATGAAAACAACTTACTAAATAAAAACATAATCTGATATCTAACAACTCAATCTTAACTAATAGGGAAAAAATAAACTACGGAAAGTCCATAGTAGCAATTGATCCTTTGCCTGGTTAGTCTGTAAATAAGCTATTAATCTACTTTTCATTAGAACTATAGGACTGTTAGTACTATTTCAATCAGGTACAACCACTGTGTTTACCAGTAACCTATGTTCTGATTTTCCACCTGGGACATGGGGAACCCCTGGCTCTCTGGTCTGGCAGGAGACTGCAGGCATTTCAGAAGTTACGCAGGTGAGGGACATCTCCAGATGCCAGCATTCAGCAGTGCATTTCTATCCCCGGGTTGTTAACACTCTTGAACCTCCCCTTGGCTCTGCCTCATTATACATCATACTTTCTCCTTCCATGGCTTTGCGCATTCGGTTCTCATTCGTTTGCCTCTCTCACAAGTGGGACCTCTTACCTTGTCTCTAAGGCCCAACCCACGACTAACTTCCTCCAAAAAACCTACCTCACTACATACCCCACCCATACTGCTTGATCTTTCCAGGACTTTGAACTCTTGCAGCACCTATGTGCTATTTGTACCAGTCCATCCAGCCTTGCTTGTTGGGGGCAGCCATGCTCTAGTGATTTTACACAATGTTGAGGAAGGGCTCTTAATTTGTGCCACATCCACAGAAGGTACTTGATGAGCTCTGGTGAAGTGAACAAACCCTCTAGAAAACTCACATAGCTTCTCTACCTGTAAAGCAGGTAGCATAATGGAAGGTCATAAGCTTTGGCATCATAAAGGCCAGGGTTCAAATCAGGCCCTGTCACCTCTTTCCTCTGTGACCTTTGGCAGTTTGCTTAGTTTCCCTTTAAGGCCTTAACCCTCCAGGGTCTTTGCCTGAAGATATGTAGGATGATACAATCTCCTAGGAAGGGACACCCAGATGCAGGGAGTATACAAAAGGCCTTGCATGTGCTGGGAATTGAATAAGGGAAGCTGTCAGTAGGAATTACAGCCATGACCACAAAAAATCCTGAGTGGTCACTTCATTCATGCCTTGCCTTGGGCTAGAAAACAATTAGAACCTTTACAAACAGATTTTTTTTTTTTTTGAGACAAGTCTCGCTCTGTCGCCCAGGCTGGAGTGCAGTGGCGTGATCTCGGCTCACTGCAAGCTCCGCCTCCCAGGTTCACGCCATTCTTCTGCCTCAGTCTCCCGAGTAGCTGAGACTGCAGGCGCCCGCCACCATGCCTGGCTAATTTTTTGTATTTTTAGTAGAGACGGGGTTTCACCTTGTTAGACAGGATGGTCTCGATCTCCTGACCTCGTGATCCGCCTGCCTTAGCCTCCCAAAATGCTGGGATTACAGGCGTGAACCACCGCCCCTGGACTTTTTTTTTTTTAACTTTAAGAGAAAGAGTCCAGTGTCTCCTGGGCAATCTGTTTAGAATCTAATCACCTCAATCCACAAAACGGTTTTCTGTATAGTTAACAAATTTCTCATGATATATAAATGTTCTGAATCCTTAAGTCTTGATGAAAGTTTATAGTAAAATAAAAAATCTGCATAGAATTCTCAACAGTGGTCTCTCTCCATATATTAGTTTCTGCAAATTCTCTAAAGAACAGAGGAATCTAGTACTTTCTAGAAATAAGATCTGGTGTGCTGAAGAGTGGCTTCGACTAATTGGAAGAAATTTAAACCATTTGTTCAATAAATATTTCAAGAATGCCTACCATGTGCCAGACTTTCTTCCAGGCACTTGGGAAACATCAATAAACAAAATGGGCATTCTAGCTGGATATATTTTAACAGTACACATGGCAGTTCCTTAATCCTAGTCTACAGATTCAATAAAAGGCAGACATTGAAAACCTTCCATCAAACCTCACAGAGGAAAGGGCTGGAGGGGGCGCAAAAACAATCTAGCAAGAGAGGGAGGAGACCGCAAGTGTGTGTGAGGAGGGGACCCAGAGGCTCCCACAGGTGAGACAGAGCTCCTGCAGATGGCTGGCAGGAGAGAAAAGAAAAGAGGATCCACCTTCCAGTGCATTGGGCCATGACTCATTCCCTAACCCCCTCCTGGTATCCCCTCTCATCTTCCTCTTCTACCTCCACAATGACCTGCAGTCTATGCAGGAAGAGAGGTACCAGTTAAACTGTCACAGCTGCAGCTCTCATTCTCATTTATCTGTACCTCCTCCAGGATCTTACCTGTGTCCCTGTTCTAAAGAGTTCTAATGAAAAAGATTTTACCCATTAATTATATAGAAATGTATCTGTTTGTTAACTCAAGCAGCAAAGCAAAAGGGACCAGTCACAGACTAGGAGGCCAAATAGGGAGGTCTCAGTCTCAGCTCTGCTGCTACAAATCAGTGATCATGGGCAGGTAAATGACCTGGTAAAAAAATCTGGAAATTATGGTTTTTCTCTTGCACCTGACAATCCCTGAGCTCCTAACTGCTGTCCTGTTCCAGCAAAGAATCATTACATATATAGAAATAGTTACCGTGGTTTTCTTAAAATATATATATGTATGATCTGATCTGTGATTATGCACATACATATGGCTGTAAACACATCAAAAGGGCATGGAAGGATATAGACTCTATTGTTTAAAATAACTGTCTCTGGGAGGCAGGGAGGGTGTAGGGGAAGCAATGCATCAGGACTTGCAATTTTTGCTCTATATATTTCCATAATGTCAACTTCTTTTGCAACATATATTACTTGCATAATAAGAAAAAGACCAAAAAGTAACACAAACACAATAGTGTATGATCTAGGCTAGAGAATGTGAAGATTGATTTTAATGATGTGTTTATGGGAAACTGTTTCTTGATTCCTGTCCTTGGCTTCTTAAAACTGGTGATACAGAATGAAAAATACCATATTTAGAGAGTAGCTATCTTTCAAGCAGGGACAAGAAGAAGATATGATTGAGGAAGAACACACGAGAGCTTTAGAAAACAGCAATTTTCAATCCCTTAAGCTGGGTGGTAGGTTTTTGAGTATTTATGTTATTATTTTTCTTTAAACCACACACATACTCTACAATATAAATTGTTCCCTATGTTTGGTATTTTCCATAATAAAAATGTAAAAACACAAAAACTGGGCAATATCTACCTATGTACTGTAACCTTATCTGTTTCTCCAGGTTGATTTTGATAAAGGAAGTTACTAATTTGTAAATGAGTTCTCTGGAATACCTTTTCTGGGCCTGGATTGCTTCCTGGGCGATGTGTCTTTCTTCAGCCCTGGCTTTCTCCACAGCTTCGACCTTCTCTCTGTGGCATTCCATCATAATCCTTTGGATTCTGTGGACCATGCGCTGTTCTGCAGCCAAGTGCTCTCTCTTCATTTCGTCATCCATGTTTTGATACATCTCTGTCTTAGTTTTAGCTGTCACTTCCTGAAGCAATGGCAAAACTAGGTTTAGCTATTACAGACTTAATGTTTAAAACTGCACATTAGGAGGCTATTTAAACCATAGTTTTATCTATCTGCTAGCAAGTGTACCTGTTAACACTGATGATTTAAAAGAAGAGTGTGTATGATATGGAAAACTTTTATTTATATGATGTTAGGTGAACCAAAAATGTACAAACTATGTAGCATAAATATCTACGTAGATAATATTGAAAGGGAATATGGAAAAAAGAAAATAGTTGGGTTAGAGGGGTAGGGTTAAAGGTCTTTTTTCTTGATTGTCTAAATATTCTAGTATCATATTATCATTATACATAATTACATAATGCAATTCTGCTTTAGTAAGCCAGTCCTGGAAAATGGCAGAAATAATTACTATGCCTCGTGTCTCCTGGGTAGGAGGGAACTAAGGAGAGGAACCACTAGTCAAACCAAGACCTGTGGAAAACAGAGCCACAAATTGTGCTCAAGGAAAACCCTGTCACCATTTTGGAAATCCACAGTGTGCCTGGCAGTCCGAGGCCCAGAAGCTACATATACAAGAAGGTGGGGATCTTAGTCCTCAAGGGATTCACTGTCTAGTGAAGGAGGCCAACAACGTAACTGTGCAATACAGTTACAGAAATATAACAATATGTAGAAATATAACATTATAAAGAGGAGGAGCAATTCATTCTGTCCAGGTATTTTAAAACTTTCATTTAAAGGTAATTGTTTTTTTTTGAGACAGGTTCTCATTCTGTTGCCCAGGCTGGGGGGCAATGGCACAATCACAGCTCACTTCAGCCTCCACCTCCCAGGCTCAGGCAGTCCTCCCACCTCAGCCTCCCATGTAGCTGAGACGACAGACACTTGCCACCATGCCTGGCTAATTTTTGTATTTTTTGTCAAAATAGGGTTTCACCATGTTGCCCAGGCTTGTCTTCAATTTCTGGGCTCAAGTGATCTGCCCATCTTGACCTCCCAAAGTGCTGGAATTACAGGCATGAGCCACCGTGCCCAGCCCAAAGGTAAATGTTTATCTCTATTTGGGAAGACATCAAAAGAACATAGAGAAATTAAGTTATTTCATATAGCACATCAATGGAAGAACTAGGGATAGAAGCCAGGATTGCTGACTGCCAGTTTCTCACTTCATTCCTGGCTGTGATGCTGGAGTCTTTCAAGAGATTCATCAATTGTACAGTCTTGTAAGATATAGTACACTGGGTTTTCTTTCTTTTTCAATAGCTGCAGAATCCCTTCTTTAAATGAAATCTTACCCAGAATAGAAAGGAATAAAACCAGTAAGAGTTCTCCTGGCTGAAGATTGCTCAACTCCCTTTAGCACCATTTCTATGGGAGCCCCTGAGAGAGCCAGCTCTGTTTACAGCGTCCAGAGAGAATCCTCAGCTGAAGCTGAGAGAAAGTCAAGAGAACTCTAAATTATAAGGGAAACTGAAATTGCTTCAGCTTCTTAGAAGATTATTTCAACAATTAAAATATTTGTTAAGACAAACCTTTCAGCTTTTTCATGAGAAAAAGTTCTCAACTTCTCACTTTGGCTACTTCAAGGGTGAAAAGTTAAAAAATGAAACAGACACTAGAAATCAACTTTAAGAATCTCTCCAAGTGGCCTCAGTTCATGTATTTAGAAAATCTTTTTAGGAAAACATTGGCCATTTAGAAATGCTAGCTGGGTTTCCTACACTGCAGAAGGCTTTGTCTCTTAAATCACTAAAATTTTTTTGACAAAAGAATATTTTGAATGGAAATGTTTCTAAATGTCTTTAACACCATAAAAAGAACATTTTGAAACAATCTAACACTTTCTTAATGATCCAGGCTTGGTAGACAAAGATGAATGATTGTACTGGACCAAAAACTTCATGTGGCATTTAATAATTGTTGAAGTTCATGGAGCCCCTTGTATCTGTCATAAATGACTCCAGATTACTTTGCTTTTTGAAATTTAATCTTTGCTCTTTGTAGGTATCAAATCAAATTTTTTCTTTTCTTCAAAGAACAAGAAAATTACTTGCCATCAGGCTGAGGATGCTGCTGTAGCTTCTATCAGTGAGCCCCTTTTTGTTATTTTTACTTTCCAATATTTAATCTATTTCCAAATTGAAAAATCAAGCAACCCTGCTGGGTGTGGTGGCTCATGCCTATAATCCCAGCACTTTGGGAGGTTGAGGAGGGCAGACGATTGGAGGCCAGGAGTTCGAGACCAGCCTGGCTGCCAGGCCAACATGGCAAAACCCTGTCTCTATTAAAAATACAAAATTAACTGGGTGTGGTGGTGCACACTTGTAATCCCAGCTACTTGGGAGGCTGAGGCAGGAGAATCACTTGAACTCAGGAGGCAGAGGTTGCAATGAGCCAAGATCACACCACTGCACTCCTGCGTGGGCTACAGAGAGACTCCATTTCAAAAGAAAAGAAAACAAAATAAAAATCAAGCATCTAAGTCTGTTGGGTTTAGGTTGCCAAATAAGCATAATGACATCTGAGTGGGGGTGAAGAGGTTCTGCTGTGTGTAATAAGCCTGAGTTATTCTCTTGTAGTCAGAGGCCTTTATTTAACTCCTTAGGGGGATATTTTAACTTACTTCTGGGTTTTCAAGTACATTCTCAGTAATTCAGACTGCTGGGTGGTGGTTGAGTTTAAGACAGGTGAAGTACTACCATAATATATTCCTATATGAATCAATATTTTTTTTCAGAATGAAATGTATTTAATGGAACTCTTGCAAACATCTATTGAAGAAGGAAAAAAAGCCAGTGTCAATAGGGTGGTGTAAGACCGTTGTATGCCTGAATTTTTTTGGCACAAAGTGATTGTGTTTGTTTTTTTTTTTTAATTTTCAATTTTTGTGGTGTATGAGGTATTTTGATATAGGCATACAATGTGTAATAATCACACAAGGGTAAATGGAATATCCCTCACCTCAAGAATTTATCCTTTCTTTGTGTTACAAACAATCCAATTACACTCTTTCAGTCATTTTTAAATGTACAATAAATTATTGAATCATAGAATTTAAAAATGACATTCCA
The DNA here is from genome assembly GCF_000001405.40 of Homo sapiens. Classification (NCBI taxonomy): domain Eukaryota; kingdom Metazoa; phylum Chordata; class Mammalia; order Primates; family Hominidae; genus Homo; species Homo sapiens. The sequence continues at coordinate 87,353,245 of NC_000006.12, read as the reverse complement.
GCCCTTTATTTTGGCTGGGTTGTGAAGTAGGTATTCAGATAATTAGAAATTATCTGATTCCTAATTAGTAACTAGGAATTCAGATAATTGAACTCAGTCCCTCTTTTATGTAATGATTTAATAAAACCAAAATTCATTTACTGCCTCACATAGCATGTGGAATACATATTTAAAGCTCCAAAAATTATTAAGTAACCTGCTGTTTGTCAATGTTCTTATTTAATGTAAGGAGACCTTACATTGAAATAAATTGCTTTTACTGAAATGCATCTTGAGTGAGTCACCCCACGTTTTGAGATATTGTAAGAAATAGATTCATGGACTCCATCATGTTAACTGTACAGATGTTTGACAGGCATTTTTACATAATGTCCCCCTCAGGAGATATTGCTCTGAGGTTTCATAACTAGGAATATCTGAGCCTCTCAAGTGCCTAATTTGCCTGTACCTTATGGGCATGGTGAGTCACAACATTTCTCTCTTTGCATTGGCTGCCAGAAAGCTCAAGGCCCAATCAGTGATAATTGCACAGGACATCATGGCATATATACATTTTTAAGTTTTAAATTTACCTATGACTTTACTATATTTTCTACTGTAGTTTTTCATTTATTTTTCCTTTAGCTTTCATCTTCTCATTTACTTTTTGATATTATTGTCTTTCAATAATATAAACACCTTTTCAAAAGATTACCTATCCATCAAACAAGATCTAGAAATTTTATCTAACAGCATGCATTTGAGACACACCAAACTCTTAACATCACGTAAGAGTAATACCTGGTGGTCTTGACACATCAAAATTTAATATTTGGTTCTAGAGGAACTTGGTTTTCTGCTATACATTGGTAATCTCAAACTTTAATATGTGTGAGAATCACTTGGGATGCTGATGGAGTCTGTAGGTCAGAATGAGGCCCAGGAATCTGTATGTCAGGACCCCAAGTGAATAGATTCTGATGCAAGTGGTTCACCGACAAGCCCTGAGAAGTAGTACTGATGTCTGTATCTTGGTATCCTACAGATATAACAGGTTGAAATAACCCCACACTACTCTTAGACAAATCATTCCTTCATAAGTAAAAAATATCTGAAATGGTGGTATAAATGTAAATTCTCAACCCCCGGACAAATATTTCAGGAAGGTCGATCCCCCTTTAACTATTTACCTTTAAATAGGGCTTCTTTCTACTGATGCACTAAGTACCTCAACTCCACTCAAAGGCTGCGTGGGGTACAATAACATTATTTAAAGAAAGACTAGCATGTGAACCTTGAAACAGGAATCACATCTTCCTTATGTCTTTACAACCTAATGCCAGGAAGGACATTCAAAATGTGTATCAACCAGCACAGTAGGGCCCACCTATCTGAATGGCCTCTGGCTGCAGCATTATAGCAGGGAACTAGAGCCCCTTGCCAAGCCATGAGTTATCCTTTTAAATTGCTGGATTGGGAGAGGTCCAGGAGTCTGCTGGGGAAGCAACCAGGGTGACCAAGGTGATAGAGGGCTTAGCGGGTAACTATTTATCAACTGATAGAGAAGTACTTTAATACTTTAATTGCCAGTATGGCCATACTTGTACATAGCAGCTGAAGAGCAGGCCTGCCTAAGACATGCTATAAATGCTCTTCACATTTTGAACTGAAATGGGGAATGGGCAATGGGCCACCACAGCCAACCCCTCAGACACCATACCAACCCTGGCTGAGGTAGGCCACTGGAGCGAAGCAGGGAGCATCCCACTAGCCTTCAGGACTCATGGGGAGGAGCTCCCCTTCCTGACAGCAAGTCCTCTCTGGGTAAAGACAGTTGATTTTATCTCACCCGGTACAGATCTAATATACGGTAGGTGCTCATTGTTGCAACAACGAATAAATTGGCCTGCAGTCCCTGAACTGCTCATTACTGTTCCTAAGTTAGACCAAACCTGGGTCCGGACCTCTGTCACTTTCCTCCAGCTTCTGCCCGTGTATTGTCATACCTGTACCTTATCCTGTCCTGTCCCTCCCTTGACCAAAATGTGAAAATAGTTCTGTAACATTTTCCTTTGAGCAGATTTTGTAATCGAGGTACTGAACTAACAATGAATCCTAGGGTCTCCACCTGAAAGTTTGTAAGTTACCTAGAGTCATGTACTTGAACAGGCTACAGGTTAGTAACCTTCATCTGTGACATCTGGCCCTGCATTAAATTATTGAGGGACAGCTCAGATGTCCCTCTTAGCAGTACAGTAAATGCAAAATTTAGAAAAAAGGATGCAATCAGAGAAGGAGGAGAACAGCCTGCTTCACTTGTTCAACTATTTGAGCACCTACTAAGTCAGGGAATTGTGCTGGGCACCAGGGCTAGTCCAGTGATGAGACAGACACCCCTGCTGAAAGCTGCAGTCATGTGGGGGAGTCAGACACTCAACAACTAACCACACAATCATTTATTTAATTACAATGGTGAAGACTGCTATGAAAAAGATCAGGGTGTCATGGACAGTGTGTGGGTGGCAAGGCAAGGTTGGTCAGGCAAAGCTTCCCTTGGGAAGTAAGCTATGGGGTTCTTCTTCACTTATTCATCACTGCTCTAGAGAGCTCAGCATCTCTTCTGAGAACCTCCCAGGGGATCCCAGCTAATGGCCATGAAACACCAGTCTAGATTTCCTTATTATTTTTTTCTCATTCCCTTGCCAACTTTTCTTTTTACTAATGTAATTACTTTTAAAAGACAACAAATAAGCCACTATAAAAACCTGTAAATCTTTCTGATGTTCCTCTTTCAAAATCTGAATTTCAATTTTGTGTCTGTCATTTGCTTCTTCAAGTGCTTTCTCCACTGCTTGTTTTTGACGTTCATTAGCCTTTGAAAGAAAGAGTCCATTTATCTATTAATGTATCAGAATAAGCACAAGCAAACTTGGCTTATTTAGGATGTTGGTAAATCAGGTTTTCAAGTTTACTGAAAATTAGCAACAACCATGGAGTCCCTAATTTCTTGCCCCATTCCCATCTCAAACCTCCCATAGCAAACTGTCTGCCTTAGCCAGAGATGCTCTAATGCATCCCAATCCAGAGCTAGCCTTGCTGTTTTTGGAATCGCTAAAGGCAAGGCAGCTTTACTGTATGTAGGCTGCTGGGTTGCCTTTTCTCTTTGGCACTTTATTTCTTGCTTGATTGACTCTCAAAGTAACATATGTGCATTGTGGAAAATCTGGAAAACACAGTGAAATGAAAAGACGCACAAAGCTAGAAGGAGCTGAGTAAAGAGGCAGAGTACCATCCAGGTCCCCCACATTCAGTCTTCAGAAAGAACTTTAACTCTATTTGAAAAGAATACACAGAACATTAGACCAACTTACATTCAAATTGTAGACTATTTACAAACGCATCACCTTGTATTAGGGTGTATAATTGATGGTTCACAATCAGTTTGAATTTTACCACTAATAAAAATAGATGACTACAAAGATTTTGAGATAAATCAAAATCTGGGGTATACAGAACTGGAGTATTCATAAAGAACTGGAGCATTATGTATGTTCAAAATATTTTCATAGCAAGCTTTTGCTGGCATGAATACTGAGCAATGCTAATACTATTTGCTATAATGTCTATTTTATAAAGAAACTGACAAACATTTTTCTAAGCACTGTGGTTCTGCTCTCAAGGAGCTGTAATTCTTTTACGGGAAGTTATTGATGTCATTCTATGATTGGAAGAAGTAGGGCTACAGGACTGAGGCTTTGCTTCAGTTTGATGCCTTGGATCCCACTGTGAGCCCCAATATTCAAATTGCCCTTATAGTGCTCAGCAGTCATATCGACGAGGTATCAAGGATTTGGGAGAGAGGGGAGGAAAAGGGGAGTAGGCCATAATGAAGCATTTGAGGAAACAGGAGTGTTACATGCTCCACAAATGGATGGTCTATATATTAAATGTTAGGCCATAAGAAACAACTATCAACAAGGAGTTTTCTTAGACATTTTTTTTTCTTTTTAGTTTTGGTTTCAATCAAATCAAAATAAAGGGAGCAGGAGTCCTCCCTACAGAGAGGGCAGCTGAGAAGGAAGGAAGCTCCTGATGATGCCGGCTTCTTACTAAGCACCTACTGTGTGCCAGGCATATTATTTCACTGAACCCTCCCAACTATCCCACAGAATGGGTACTATTATTACTTTTTTACAATGAAGAAACCAAGACTACAGAGGTTGTAGAACTTGCCCAATGTCCCACAGCTAGCCAGGATTCAGTCAGTTCTGACTACTACACTATACAATTGTTTCAGACAAATCCAAAATGTGAAAGAACGGTAAAGATGGACTTTAGGTTGACATGTAACTTCTTTTACCTGAGCCCATACTTCAGCTTCTGCTTTCGCAATGTGTTCTCTGAGTATATCTTCTTGAAACTGCTCTTCTTTTTTCAGAATATTTGCCCCAATATCTGTGTATTTGAAGAGCAATGGTCACAAACCTCCACCGACTGCTTCCTGGCTTTCCTTTCCACCATTATCTAGTTATTTATGAGGGCTATTTAGGAGACACGTCCTTTTAGGAGATGCCAGTATATATATTTCAAAGATACCCATTGAAAGAGTAAGATTTTCTCTGATTAGGAGGGAATTCACAGCACTGTCAGGCCTGGATAGAGTTGGTCATTCCCCTCATCACACCCAGTCCACACAGCAGACAACTGGGGAGGTGAAATAAATGCCCGAAGAAAGGGACATATTTTGTACACCCAAAGTAGAATGATGAGTGAATATTCAAGAGGTCTTAGCACATTATACAGCTCTCTCTCTCCCTGTTCCTATTTGGGTGCTAGGGCTAGCATCAGGAGAAGGGAAGTGGAATGCCTTCACATTACATGCCTTTCTTTAGCATGTGGTTCTTTGTGGGTTTAACTGCTTCAGTATGGAGTGAGCTAAGGGGTAGAAGTTTACTATTTTTCTGTCAATGATCTAATTTGATTTCCAAATAATAACATTCCCATAATAATATCCTCTCTACCCAGACAAGGTAATAAAAGTCTAGAGAGGCTAGAGGACCACGCAATATCAGACAGCCAGGTCTTTTTCCACTGGGATTTCTCTTTTTTTTTGAGAGGGAGTCTTGCTTTGTAGCCCAGCCTGCAGTGCAGTGTCGCCATTTCGGCTCACTGCAACCTCCGCCTCCCGTTTCAAGTGATTCTCCTGCCTCAGCCTCCCGAGTAGCTGGAATTACAGGCGCCCACCACCATGCCTGACTAATTTTTGTATTTTTAGTAGAAACGGGCTTTCACCATGTTGGTCAGGCTGGTCTCGAACTCTTGACCTCAAGTGATCTGCCCACTTCGGCCTCCCAAAGTGCTAGGATTACAGGCGTGAGCCACCATGCCTGGTCTTCCTCTGGGATTTCTAAGCTGAAGGTAATAGATTCTTAGAGCTATCTGGATCCACATTCCTCCTTTCCCAGCTGCCGGAGTAAGTCTAGCTGCAGCAGTAAACCATTAAGCCAACTCACTAAAAGGGTAAGCATGGACAGATTGAAAGCCTTGATGCCAGATTTCCCTTGGGTTTCTCTGTTAAAAGAGTCAAGAAATTCCATTTCATGCAGTCTATTCTGAGTTATGTTTCTGTCACTAGCAATTAAAAGTATATGTTTGGCGGCACAGAGTCTCCTACTAGTTCATCAGCGAATCTTAAAAACACAGGGCAGCATATATTACGGTGGAGATGGACACATACTGCAAAAGCCCAACATTGTGTAGAAATAATTAGAAAAGATTTTCTAGGACAAAATGTGACTAAGCATGGACCATCAACGTATTGAACTTCATAAAAATGTGATACAAGTGTAGGCTATCACTATCCTCTTTTATGTTTAAATCCCATTGGTTTTATTAGTTGTTCTCAACCCTGATTGTACAACAGGATCCCTGCAAAGCTTTTTTTAAAAATGCACATACTGTAAAAGGAACAAACTATTGATAAACAACTTGGATGAATCTCAAGGGCATTGTGCTGAGTGAAGAAAGCCAATCTCAATGGGTTACATAATCTATGATTCTTTAGATAGCATTCTCAGTGATAAAATTATAGTGATAGAGAACAGATTAGTGGTTGTCAGGGGTTCAAGTTTGGGGAGAAGAGAGTGACAGCTAAGGGGTAACACGAGGGAGTTCCTTTGTGGTGATGGAACAGCTCCATGTTGTGATTGTGGTGATGGCACATTAATATACACACATGATAAATTTCATAAAACTCTATGCCGGGGGAAAAAAGTGTACATAAGGTCTGTACCTGAGTTAATAGTATTGTTTCAATGCCAGTGTTCCAGCTTTGACAAAGTGCCAGGATTATGTAAGATATCAATGGAAGCTGGATGAAGGGTACAGGGGAACTCTGATCTATTTTGCAACTTGTGAGTCTTAAACTATCTTGAAATAAAAAAGGTTATTTAAACGTGAAGGAAAAAATACACATGCTTAGTCCTGACCGTAGAGGTCCTAATTTAGTGGCTCTGTGTTAGATTAGTATTAAATCCAGTGGGTCTGTGTTTGGATATCTGTATTAATATTTTTTTTCAAAGTTCTATATAGTGCACTGCCAGGATTGAGAACTATCGTCCTATGAAATACTCACTAGCTCTTCTACGGACATTTCAAAATGCTTATAAAGAACAGACAATTTCAACTTTCTTTCTTTTTTAACTTAAAACAGTTCAATGACAAAGGTCACTGAATAGAAAAGATTAATTTCTAACAATAGATTTAACTTATCCACTTAAGGTTTGGGTTAGATATTCCATAAGGCATAAGGAATCAATCATTAAGGTATATCTAAGAATGGAGATACACTGTCCTGGGTATGAAAAGTCACTTTAGAGATCATAATGAATCATTCATACTAAGCACTTACTAAATGCTAAGAAACAATTTTGGAATTGATGTTTTTAGAAGATGATTCCAATTTGATCTCCCCCTACATTTTAGTTTTTTTTTCCAAACACCTCTGCTCTCCAGCTTCTTATATTTTCAAATATCAGGAGTGAAATGAAATCACCCTTAGTTTACCATTTTAAAGGAAGAGAGGATCAGAGAAGTATTGTGAGAGTTCTTAGGAAAATACCTACAAGGCTCAAGGTCAGACTGAAAACTCTTACGGGGATAAAAGAGAGATGGAAACCTATAGTACAATTTGATTTGCTTATTATATATACATACGTATGTACAGTAAACGTCCTCATGTTATCTATATGTATCTACTTTTATGCTACCAGCTACTATTTAAAGGTTATATAGTTTCTTTTACCCATTTATTAGGGTACTTTAAAATTTTTTTTTTTTTTTTTTTTTTTTGAGGCAGAGTCTCGCTCTGTCACCCAGGCTAGAGTGCAGTAGCACGATCTCAGCTCACTGCAACCTCCACCTCCTGGGTTCAAGCAATTTTCTTACCTCAGCCTCCCGAGTAGCTGGGATTACAGGCGCATGCCACCATGCCTGCTTAAATTTTTTTAGTAGAGACGGGGTTTCGCCATGTTGGCCAGGCTGGTCTTGAACTCTTGGCCTCAAGTGATCTGCCCACCTCGACCACCCAAAGTGCTGGGATTACAGGTGTGAGCCACTGTGCCCATCCAATTAGGGTGTTATTTAGAGATAATATTTCCTCTCCTACACATACTGAAAGGTGCTCAAGTATGGCCAAGGGCAAAATGAACTCACATTTACTATTATGTGCCAGGATTTATAATAGATACAAATACTTCATTAAAGTCTCATAACAACCTGTAAGATAGGTATTAGTATATTTATTTCCACATAAGGAAACAGATTGAGAGGCTAAATACCCTGCCCAATACATACAACTGTAAGTGGAGAAGCTGTATTCCAACCCATATTCTCCTCAAATATCCCTGTAGGGACAAGCAACTCTGAAGAGAAAAAAGCTGATAAAAGTCTATGTAACAGAAAGAATGACACATAAGGCTATGAAGCATTAGAACAAAGGAAAACGATAAAGTCACTTACCTAGTATGTCTTTGTGAGTGTAAAAGCGTGTCTTAAGTGGCTTGTATTCATGGATCCGTTTGAAGGTTTTTCCAAAAGGGGCTGGTGGAATTATTTTATTACAAACAGCACAGCAAACAAAGTTTTTGTAATCTGAATTTCTGATCATAGTTAAATTTCAGATGTCTTCTCCTACTTACAGTTAAAATAATCTTAGAATCAGAAAAAGTCGTTTCAAGAAAAGCTGAAAGTTTAAGAAAGCTGGAAGAGGTTCAGGGTTTTAGGATAATGCTAGAGGCTGGTAAGGATTAAATGGTTCAAGTGATTAGGCTGTGGTTATGTGTCTAACGTTAAAGAATGGTGCTAAAAGCCCCTGCCATAGAAGGTATGGGCACCAGATTTGGGAAGATTTAAGTAGTTGCTCCTTCCCAGACTCTAGCATTAAGTTGTTAACTTACTTGGCAACTGTTGCTAGGTAAGACAAGCTTTGCTCATAAAAGCAACTTCAAATAATGACAAAAGGGAGCATGATACAGCCATTCATTTTCCTGATACTTTCTATATTAGTTTCCTATTGCTGCTGTCTTACTCTGTTTTCTGTTGCTTATAATAGAATACCTGAAACTGGATAGCTTATAAAGAAAATGAAATTATTTCTTACAGTTTATGGAGGCTGAGAAGTCCAAGGTGGAGGAGTTGCATCAGGTAAGAATCTTCTTGGTGGTGGGAACTCACTGAAGATTCCTGAGGTGGTATAGGGTATGACATGGCCAGGGGCTGAGCTCACATGCTAGCTCAGGCCTCTCTTCCTCTTCTTATAAAACCACCAGTTCTCCTCCCATGATAATCCATCAATCCCTTAACCCATGAATGAATTCACTCACCCCTTAAAGGCCCCACTTCTCAATACTACCACGTTGGGGATTAAAGTTCAACATGAGTTTTGCAGGGGACAAATATTCAAACCATAGCACCACTGTGACAAACTACACAAACTTCATAGTTTAAATGTAACACAAATTTATCCTCTTGCATTTCTGGAGATCAGAAGTCTAAAATGAGTCTTAGGGGCTAAAATCAAGTTGTTAGAAGGGCTGGTTCCTTCTGCAGGCTTCAGAGGAGAATGTGTTTGCTTGCCTTTTCCAGCTTCTAAAGGCCATCCATATTCCTTGGGGTCATGGCCTTGCATCATATAGCCTTTTCCCCCAGTGCTTCCATAGTGACATTGTCTCTTCCTCTGATCTTCTGCCGTGCTTTAAAGACCTTGGTGATTATACCAGCCCCATCTAGATAATCCAGGATAATCTCCCCATCTCAAAATCCTAAACTTACCCATATCCGTAAAGTCCCATATTTACAGGTTCCAGAGATTAGGATCTGGACATTTTTGCAGGGAAGGAGAGCATTAGTCAGCCTACCACACTTTGTTTTAAATTAGTTTTTAAAGAATTAATTTCTTTTAAGGCCAGCAATGGAGGTAGCTTAATTTCTTTTAGGTTTTTAATAAACATGATGTGTTGGTGCCATGGTAATAAAACTGGGAAATATCATGGTATCTTGAAGAAGAAATTACTTTCATTAAGGCAGCATTCAAAATTACTAAGCCTGGTTTTAAAAATCACATGGTTAACTAATTTGTTCCTATAATTTTAGATAAACAGCCATAGAAATTCCACCTATCGCAAAAATCTGTGCAACTGATTGTACCAAGTAACTGAATTTATAAAATTGCCTGACAATGTCATATGCTGCATCTACTTGGCAGGACTATTTTATAATAAGTGAGTGCCATCAGTGAAATTAATTTCAACAACAGGACTCCCATAGGGCCCTGAGCTAAGTGTACCACAAGTTACTCTATAATTTATATTAACACATACGGCCTGATAACTGGCTGAAGACCTTAAGTAACTATCAAATTGTGCCAGATTTGACTTCAAGAAAAGGGTTAACTGGGACTTGGAGAGGAATTAAAAACAAAGAGATGAATTAGTATGAAGAATGAGGATTACTGCATCCACACAGTTAATTATCTGGATTGAGAACTGAGGCTACTTGTGCCAATAACTTTCCTATCTGTTACTAGAAATTCTTGCCCAGATGGAAGGATAACTAACTGGCCTTGATTTGCCTGGGACTGTCCCTGTTTTAAAACTGAAAGTCCTGAACTTCCTTAGTGTCTGGCAAATTGGAAGAGTTGGGCCTCCTATGGAAGATAAGGCTGTAAAACCAATAAATACTTTCAGTGTTTGCCTTAGGAAATCCTTGAAAAACAATTTATCAATTGGACAGCTTGCTGATCTAGGCAAACAGCTCTTCCATCAGAAGATTAGACTACTCCCCTGGGCAAAGAGTTCACTTAACATTTATTGAACAATAGTTTACTAATCAAGACTTGCTTCAAGATCTAATCTGTTCTGTCAGGTACCTTGCCCATTCTCAACCAGATTCCTGCATTGAAAGACCCTTCTTTAATCACTTGAACTCAGACTTCCAAAAGACTTTAATATCTTCCCCTGACCATCCCATTCTTAAATACAGCTAACTTTGTAAAAGTGGTATTTCCCTTTAGTGCAGTAGATTTAATAAGCTTAGTTTTGTTTGATCATCAGGTTGTTCTGATGGTCTTGTGAGGGAGCTGGCAGTTAACAGTCCTTTACATAATTCTGTTTTAAAGTACAGGAGTGTTTCTCTACTTAAGATCTAAACTTCTTATTTTTAAGGGCTAATGTGGCTGCTTTATTATTATGTGCACATTTACACATAGAAGGTGGTATAGTATGGTGAAAAGATCCCTAGACTTTAGAGCAAGAAGATACAGGTTCTACTCCTGACTGAGAATCTCCCTGATCTTTGGTAAATCTCTTAGCCATTCTCAGCCTATTGTCTTAACCATAAACTGACAGGATTGGATCAGGTGAAGTTCAATGTTCAGAATCTTTGGACTATTTGAAAGGTATTTTATTTTTGATGGTTATACCCTCATTCAACAAAGAAAGGATGAAAACATCAACACATAGGCAGGCAGCTGTTGACACTCAGCACACACAAAGACTGTCCTACAACTTGTAGTCACTCTGTAAAAAGTATCATAGTCAGGTACTTGTTCCTAAAATTCAGTATGATTCTTTCCACACACTACTTTTCACAGCTTTGTGCTTGACTGACTCTAGTTACTTTGGTTCATTCACATAGATCTTACATGACTCAAGTCTGCACCTTGTACAGTTTCTGTTGCCCTCCTGCACTGCAATCTCTTGACAGTTCACGCAACTAATAACTCCTCTGCCACCAAACATCAGCTTATTCTGTTGAATAGTAAAAAATTCTAAAAGATGGCAATGTGTCATTAAATGCATAAGTTAAAAACAGAAGAACCCTAGTTTTGTGATAGCCAAAATACACAGGGAAAACAAAAACAAAAGAGTCTTTAAAAGGGATTTTGTATCACTGAAGTGCATTTTAAACTATATGAAGTACATTATACAGACAGGCATAGCAAATACATATTTGGGGCTCAGTAGTAAAGATTTTATTTAGTTTCATGTAAATTCAATTAGCTAAGTTCTTTAATACCTACAAATCACACATAATTACATTTTCATGTACCTTACAAAACCATAATAAAGTATGACAAATTAAAAATAACATTATGATAAACTCTGCCTGTGCTGTTATTATTACTTGGTAATATTAATAGCGACTGAAGCAAGACTTCAGAGGTAAGATTTACTACTGAGGCCCAATGACAATGATTTGGAGAATTAGGTATATATCTAGAAATGAAACGGGTCCAGAACCCTTGTAAGAAAGATTTGAATTCTATAAGGCAGAATCTGGCCAGACACAGGGGCCTAGCCTTGACCTCTGTCCTAGGCCCCTGGGCCAGGTGCCAGGACAACCAAGGCCATTCTGCTTCTCACCTCCAGTGGGTACTGACCGTAGGGCTAGGCTTTGTTTACACTCATTTTTACCCCCATTTCTGTCCCCACTTCCATAAAAGACACTTCAAAATGCTGATGCTTCAGAGAATAAGAAACATTCTGAAAAGGAAAAAAACAAAAAGGCCTGCTGGCATATAAACTTCAAAAGAAAAAAAAGGTACAATAAGGAGACCTTATCTATTCCTTATCCATTGAGTAGTTGTAGTTTTTAAATAACTATAAGAACACTTGGTCTTATGTTTATAACATTACAGTAACATTAATTAACACAAATTAACATAAACAAAATTAATTAACATTAATTAACATAAACACTAAAATAGATAACATTTAGTTGTAGTCAAAATCATCATACCTCAGTAAAACATACTTTTTTTTTTTTTTTAAAGAAAAACTCCAATTACTCTGGGATATTCTTAATCCTTATTTTAGTAGCTGAGTGGAAGGATCTTTTCCATTAAAATAAAATTCTGTCCCAAAAATAGCTAAAATGGAAACTGAAATATATGAACCATTTGTGACACTATAAAAACTACTTGTCAGAGCCAACTCAGTTTCTCATATCTCATATTTTTAATATTGACTTCAGGCCTTAAAATTTCTATTTATCTTTCTTTAAAAATATAGGTTCTATGCCAGGGAGAACATGAACATTTCCTTTGCAAGTAGCAAAACACAAGTAAACTTTCACGACAGCTGCACCGGCATAATTCATCTTAAAATATTTAAAACATCATGCAAATTTAACAGCATGGGTACTTTTATTATACAGAATTTAATAATTAACAAAAACAACTTCCATTCTCATGGCACTTTTATAAGAGGTAAGGAAAGAAAAATATTATGACGCTCACTCTGTGGAAAAAGAATGAGATAATGGCTGCAGCTGTGAAAGGACAAAATTTACGACAGTTGTCTGGTTGCAACTGCTATCTTCTCTCTTCATTAGCATGTTCTAGAACAAGAAACATGATACTGTACACTCACAAGGTCTTTCATTTGAAGATTTCAGAACCTTTAATAAAGGTCCATCTGCACTAACCAGCACTACTAATCCCATTTGGATGTTTTCCGCCTCATATAACTGTGCCCCTCACTATCAATAGCTTCATAGAGGTCCTTTTTATTCTCTTGTATTGCATGTAGATAACCAATATATGCCACGCAAAGTGAAAGAGTTACCAATCCGAAAGCCATTACAGGTTTGTTCTGTCAAAGAAAAAAAAATTATAAAGCTTTAGTAAGACTAACAATTTGAGGAGACCCAAATATCGGTTGCACTTTCCTCCTGACATGCCACATCTTTATTACAACACTAGCATTACCATGGCAATATTTCAATTAAAATCATTTATTCAGTTCTTTATTCAATTAGCTAAGCTACTGATTATCTAGAGATTATAGAAGACTCTTGCTTCTCCTCTCCAGGCTTTCTCCCATCTACACCCTGGACATCTCAGACCTCTACTCTCAGGAAGGTGACAGCTGGGAAAGGAGTGGGGCAGGAAAACTGGTCAGCACCCGGAGTTTTCAATGTTATCTGGGTGAAGTGGAGGAGCTGCTTAACTTCCTGGGTCCTGGGCCCAAGTCTCTCCATTTGCAAACTTCAAATTAGTTCATTTTATTAGGAAGTGAGGAATGAACTAGACATGCTATTCTTCTTGCCCAAGTCATGAATAACTGGCAAAAAACCTTTTATATAATAGGCACAGAAATGATGATGATGTATACACTCTTCTCTGGGAAACTACTCCATTACCTCAAGAAATTTAGTGATGGGAACAGCTATTATGCTGTTAACCTTGATTTACTCTTGGACAATCCAAGACCCTAAGAGGCAAAGTGATGCTTTCAGGTTAAAACACACACACACACACACACACACACAAACACACACACACACACACACACGCTGTGTTTTGTTGTTGTTAAGAGGTTAAGAGACAGGATTTCACACACACACACACACACACACACACACACACACACACACACACACGCTGTGTTTTGTTGTTGTTGTTAAGAGACAGGATTTCATTCTGTTGCCCAGGCTGGAGTGCAGTGGTGCAATCATAGCTCACTGCAGTCTCAAACTCCTGGGCTCAAGCGATTTTCCTGCCTCAGCCTCCCAAGCTGGGACTACAGTTGTGCACACCATGCCTGGCTAATTTTTTTGTATTTTTAATAAATACAGGGTTTCACCATGTTGGCCAGCTGGTTTCAAACTCCTGACTTCAAGTGATCCGCCCACCTTGGTGTGAGCCACTGTGGCCAGACTAATTTTAAATTTTTTTGTAGAGATAGAGTCTCAGTATGTTGAACTCCTGGCCTCAAGAGATCCCTCTACCTCAGCCTCCCAAAGTACTGGGATTGCAGACATGAGTCATGATGCCCAGTCAAAAAAAAAAAAAAAAAAAAGCTTTTAAATACAGGAAAGATGTTCACAACTCCAGAAAAGTATTTTGTCTATTAACTTTGTTACTCCTGAAACTGTACCTCAGACCCTTTTCTTTGCATGTTCACACTCAACGAGTTGGTCTTTCTTAGGTCAATGTAAATGCACAGTAGTGATATAAATAACAGTTTCTGCTTCTGTCACCATACCTGCTGTACCACTACTGAGAAATAAAAGAAACTCTTTAACTGTGGAATGTGAGCCCCCTTTAAATTATCAGGCCCAGAGAGGCATTGGAATGAGACAGTAGTCATGTCTTGAGCTAAGTAATAATTTTGAAGCCCTTGTTATGTGGGCTCTGGACTGACACAACCAATAGCTATATATTAACCTTACAATGCCCTCCACTAGACATTATAACTCATACTCTGTAGTTCAACAATGTATAATTACTAATCAATGTCATTTCTGCAAACCAATGAAAATTACTGAAAAGCAACTTTTGTACTTGCCCCCTCTCCTGATTCATCTTTTTTCTTAAAAACTCCAGCCTCTCTTTTGCTCTCCAGAGTGCTTCCCAAGGTTACTCTGAAGTGTTTCCCAGGCTGCAGTCCTCAACCTTGGCCCAAATAAACTCCCTACCTATATTAATTTGCCTCAGTTTCTTCCTTTAGGTGACACTTCTATTTCAAAATAAGGGTCAAACTTTTTCACTTAGATGAACACCTAAGAAAGGACACAGACTCAGAGCAGTTTAAATTTACAATTCTTGAAATGCTTTTAGCAATTAAAAGAACACATTAGTTCAAAGCTTTTAAAATATTTTACCTTGATTTAATGATCTGATTAAGTTGATCTATTTAACTTTAAAAGTTTACATTGATAACTATGTTACTAAAATTCTAATCAGATTCAACACACTTAAATATTTATCATATTTTATTTTAATTTGATTTTACATTTATTTTAAAATAGAATCTACATTTATTTAAAAATAAACTCAGCCAGGCGTGGTGGCTCATGCCTGTAATCACAACAATTTGGGAGGCTGAGGTGGGAGAATCGCTTAAGGCCAGGAGTTCAAAACCAGTTTGGGCAATATACTGACACACCATCTCTACAAAAAATTTTAAAAATGAGCCAGGCATAAAGGCGTGCACCTGTAGTCCCAGCCACTCAGGAGGCTGAGGTACAAGGATCCCTTGAGCCCAGGGGTTTGAAGCTGCAGTGAGCTGACTGTACCACTGCACTACAGCCTAGGTGACAGAACCTCTAATAAATAAATGAATATCATCAAATCAAATGTTTTGGAATTTTTCACAAAGTATCTGTAATATTGCTTAGATAAAAATATTACCTACAGGGTAGAATTGCAGTATGTTAAGAATGGTCAGATTTTCATTTTGGTTTCCTTGCTTAAATGGAAGGTCTTATTTACCTAATAGTACCTGATCAAACAACAAAAGTTGTCTTCAAATTAATGCAACTATTAAAATAGTACTTTAGATAGTTTGAGAAGCCAATCCAATAAAGGGCAACCATTTTTCATTATAACTCTCAAATGCCCTTAAAATATTTACTTTTATATGTGTATTTATATGTGAAACAGCATTTACAATCGTCCTTCCACCTGCTTTTATTCACAGAGAGGTCTTACTTGTCAACATAAAATTTCCATGATAAAATCAAATACAAGAAAATTAGAACTTTCTGACAGTCTGGTTGGATTAAACACAAAGTCTTATCCTGGATGTATTTCTTACAGGTTTAATGAAGAGCTCTGGATTCACAGCACGAAATAAGGTTGTTGTGCGCACCCCTCTGAGCCCTGGGCTTTGAAACTCTTTCTCTTTGGGTGGTTCCTTTTTGAATGTTGGAGGCTCAGGTGCTGAAGACATCTTGATCAATGATGATTTATTATCTAAAAACAAAATAATATATTTTTTCCCTTCATAATTGTGCTTCTCTGATAAATTTCTTTAAAAAGTAATTCTTAAATTCCTTCTTTGAATTCCAACCCAGATACATACCAAATGTGATTGTCAGTTATCTTATTACTTTGTATAATGTACTTTGTAAATGGTGCTTTAACTTTAATTTGTTAATTTTGTTCATTATTTTAATTTTCATCTCAAAATAAAAGTGGTGGGCAAAGGTTGTTTTCCTGCTTTTATAGAAGACTGGAGAATTGTTTGTTGCTCTGAGTCACGTCGTATCATATGCAACCAAGACTATGAGTAGGTGAGGCCAGTAGGTTATCCGTTCCTTTCCTTAGTTCCTTGCTTTCACTCCTCCTCACCTTTCAACAGCCCCTCCATAACACCAACCTGAGAGAATGACCAGCATTCCTTTGCTCATTATCTTCTCCTACAGATTCACTCCTGGCCAGTTTCCCCCACTGCTCCTCTGTCTTCCTCCACTAGCCCACACACGAACTCATTTTCCCAAGCAGTAAGGATAAGGAGCTGTTTGTACTTACTCTTCCATTGCCAATCAGCAACTTTCTGGGTAGGTTATGCCCTGCTATCTCCTTAATCTGAATATCCTTTTTTATCTTAGCTACTGTAAATCTATCCTATTAAATCCAAGTGTGTCTTTTGTCTTCTTGTTTTCCTAGCTGAAATGTCAGCACTTTGGGAGTATTTTTCTCTTCTAGGTATTATTAGGCAAAAGCTTATTTTATCCTCTCTGCCATCTAATGCTGGGATGGGAGGTGAGGGTTGAAAGAGGGGAGGTAGAGAAAGAAAGCTTCCAAAGATGGACATAAATGACAATATAGTAAAATTATTTGGGGGAAATGCTGCAATCGCTGTACAGTAAATGTTATAAAATAAAAGTTAAGAGCCAAACATTCATACTTAAACACACATTGGGGCTTTGTTTGCACAAGTATTTTTTTTTTGAGACAGTCTTCTTACTCGATTGCCTAGACTGGAATGCACGTGCAGTGGCGTGATCATAGCTCACTGCAGCCTGCAGCCTCAAACACCTGGGCTCAAGTGATCCTCCCACCTCAACCTCCCAGGTAGCTAGGACTACAGGCATGCACCACACCTGGCTTTTTTTTTTTTTTTTTTTTTTTTTGGTAGGGACGGGGTCTCGCCATGTTGCCCAGGCTGGTCTCAAACTCCTGGCAACAAAGCAAACCTGCTTCTGCCTCCCAAAGTGCTGGGATTACAGGCATGATCCCATGCCTGTATACTTATACCACACCTGGCCAGTATAAGTATTCATTAAGCTTACTATTTTATAGACTTTATAAAATCAATATTTTCACAACTTCGTAGTTAAGGAGAAAACTAGGAACTTGGCTTTTCAAAATACTTTGTGTTGCAGTAGTCGCTGAATGTTCATCTATATCATTTAATTGGGTATGCACCTCAAGAGGAACATCTGCTTGAAGAAAAAGGAACGTTCTAAGCACTTTCTATACTTGCAAAGGCTTCAGAAATGTTCACTGTTGCTGGTTCCATCACTTATTCCTCATGCATATCATGATTATCATTGTTGCCTTCTTCATCGCTATCACCACGGCTTTCTGGTTCAATTTTTACATCAGTTAGCACTCCTGTAGCAACTTCAGGATTTGGTAACTTGGGAAATAGTTAAATTGCTATCTGTAGCCACACAGTCTTCAAAATTAAACTGGTTTGAGACATCAATGACAGCAGCAGTTGAGTGCTAGATTGGTTCAAATACCACATTTAGTTGCAGTCTTCTTACAGGAGGACCTCAGGGGATTCCACAGGAATCATGCCTGTGTTTTGCTAACATTTCATGATTACAGATAACTTTATAGATCACCAAGTCTCTGCAATCATGTCAATGGCTTACTCATGTTGCTTTTCTCCATTTTTCTCTTCATGCTCTACATTTAGAAAGAGTTGTTCCAACTGCTTTCAGAAGTGAGCTGTCACTGTGCCAACTGTACCCTGATCCAATGGCTGCAGAATGGCTGTGTAGTTCAATGGGAAAAACTCAACCCCTACATGATCCAAGTGTAGGAGTATGTTGTGGGCAGACCAATTGTCTACTGGCAAGAGCATACTGTGTATTGCTCCTTGCATTCCCTTGTCAATCTTTATCAGCTATTCAGTAACACATCTCTCATTATTCAGGCATGTGTATTGGCTTGGTAATCACGGAGGAACATTTCTGAAGCACTGAGAGTTAGCTGACTTGCCAAAGACAATTGTTCCAAAATGCATTACAGTAGAAACACCAATCATCAATCTGTTTATTTCCTTTGCAAAGTCTACCTTTGGCATGAAGCATATGATAAGGTAACAAGAACACCTGTTTCATCAGCACTTAAAACACCATTCAGGCTGGGCGGGGTGGCTCACACCTGTAATCCCACTATTTTGGGAGGAAGAGGTAGAAGGACTGCTTGAACCCAGGAGTCTGAGACCAGCCTGGGCAACAGGCTGTATCCTGTTTGGATACAGCTGGACCCTGTATCCAAAAACAAACAAACAAACAAACAAACAAACAAGCCACTGAAGCTGTAACCAGCAATTTTTGTTCTTGTTTTTAAATTTCTCCTGCATGTAAGTTAATAATTTTCTCTACTGAAACAGTGTTTTCTTCACTACAGGCAACTTGTGAAACAATTCCAGAATATGCCCAAAGTTTGTTCGGGCAGCCCGCACTTGCTTGAAACTCACCATGCCTGATAAGCTCTGGATGTTTGTCCCCTCTAAATCTCAAGCTGAATTGTAATCCCCAGTGTTGAAGGTGGAGCCTGGTGGGAGGCATTTGGATCATGGGAGCAGATCCCTCATGAATGGCTTGGTGCCATCCTTGTAGTAATGAGCGAGTTCTTACTCTATGAGTTCATGTGAGATCTGGTTGTTTAAGTGTGACACTTCTTCCCCTCCCTCTTGCTTCCTGTCTCACCATGTGACATGCCTGCTTCCACTTAATCTTCCACCACAACTGAAAGCTTCCTGAAGCCCTCACCAGGGGCAGATGCTGGCACCATGCTTCCTGTACAGCCTGCTGAACCGTGAGCCAATTAAACCTCTTTGCTTTATAAATTACCTAGCATCAGGTACTTCTTTATAATGACGCAAGAAGAGACTAACACAATTCCTAAGGTTGGCAAAAATCCAATGCTTTCTACAGCACAGTTACATGCCCATTTCTTGCATGAACCTGATATCATGCAAAAACAGTGATAAAAGGGACCTCACATTCACTTTTGCTTTAGTCCCAGAATCCCTTTTTAAACTTTCTCTTCAATCTTGGCTCAATCTTTCAAAAATGTGAACAATGTTGGGGTAGTGGTGTTAAATTCCTTTGCTATTTCTCCTTTGTTGTGGCAGCAATCTACTGCTTCCACTACTACCATTTTTTTCTTCTAATGAGAACTGCTGGTGTTTCATTTTTCTTCTCTTAGCCACGATGGTGTTTATAAAGGTATTTAGAATTTAAGTAACAAATGTTGGCCACCAGGTGCCTATAACAGGTGTCAGTGATGTTTCTCCCTGTGCTAAAAACTTGTTTGACTATAAACGTGGGTGCTATAGTTTGGGTATTTGTCTCCCAAACCTCACGTTGAAATCTGACCTCCAATGTCGGAGGTGAGGCCTAGTGGGAGGTGTTTGGGTCATGGGGGTGGATCCCTCATGAATAGATTAATACCCTTCCTCGGGGAGCGTGGGGAGCAAGTGAGTTCTCACTCTATTAGTCCCCTGGAGAGCTGGTTGTTAAAAAGAGCCTAGCACCTCCCCTCTCTTTCTTGCTTCCTCTCTTACCATGTGATCTCTGCACATGCCAGATCACCATCACCTTCCACCATGAGTGGAGGCAACCTGAGCCCCTCACCAGAAACAGAGGCTGACACCATGCTTCCTGTACAGCCTGCAGAACCATGAACCAAATAAACTTCTTTTCTTCATAAATTGCCCAGCCTCAGTATTCCTTTATAGCAACACAAATGGGCTAAGATAGGAAAAGAAAATGCAAAATGAAGCAGTCATTAAAGTGGAAGCAGTATTATAGTCTGTCAACAGCCAAACCTATAAGGAACATTAGGAAGAAAATAGCCCATGGCCATGTTATTAGGGCTGAATCTCAGCCTCAGAGTGTGCCACTACATGAAACTGAGGCATTAGATAAAAATACTACAAAGGCCTGAAAAAGCAAATATACAAAGGTAAAAGTCATTGTAACCAGAAACTGACATAAACAGCATTTTTCCAAGGTGATGGAAAAGATGGGTATAGAAGTTCATATTGCAGAGCACAGAAGGGTCCTCAGAGCATAGTTTATTACATATACTTTGTGTGGATGATAATGTGCCAGGAATTGAGGAGGATGAACTCACTCCACACCTGATGTCCAAAATTATATAAAATTATGTTACATATAATTATATATTAATTATATGTAATTTATTAACATAATAAATTATATATTAAACAATAATGTAATATACAATTTACATTATATATTATTATTACTCCACTCCTGGGGTATATAAAATTATATACTGTATATAATTTTGGACTTCAGGTGTGGAGTGAGTTAATCATCCCCTCAGGGAGGGCATTAATCTATTCAGAAGGGATCTGCTGTCATTTATATATATATATATACATATATGGGGGGGGAGGAGAGGAGGAGAAAGAGAAAGAGAGAGACTAGTTACAACTAACAAAAATGTCAGTATTTTAAAATTAAATGGATGCAGTGATGCTGAGTGTTATGAAATTCAACCTATATGAAATATGTCTGTAAAAAACTATATAGTTATATAGCATTCTAACACTAATTGTGATGACTTAATTTTATTTGTAAGATTGCTTGATCTCCTTTTTTCCTTAGCAGAACCTATATTTCCTTTATAATGAATCAATAAAATAATCAGGGTAGTATTTGTTATATTGCAACTCCCAGACACTCACATTTACCTTAATAATTCACTGTTTATGTTAAACTCTGCTAGAAATGACAGAATATTTTGACTGGAAACTCACATGTATATTTTTAAAAGATTTAATATACCACAATTTCCACTGTTACTGACACTTTCTGGAAAGTATGAGAGTAACATTTTCTATTATTTATCATTCTTTTATTAGAAGTGGGATAAAACAGCTCAGTTTTATTGCTGCTTCTCCTTTATGAGCCACAGTCACTGATGATACAACAATTCTCCCAAAATTCCATGAACTTATTTACACCATCTATCAAACTAAGACTTTTTAACAACCATCTATACTTTGTTAAAAAAAATTCAGATTACTGAGACCAGAAAGGGTCTTAGCAGCCAAGAATTTGTTATATATAACTATTTTAAAAACAACAACAAAAACAAAAACAAAATCTTTTCTACATACGAGAAAATTCTTCTGTATTTGTTCACATGCCAGCCCACAGAGCTGTACAAGTATGGCTGACGAATAAATTCAAGATGTGCCAGGAATAAATAAAACAGGTAGAATGCAAAACCTTAGTCATTTCTTCACACATGTATAAATTGTTTTGGGGAAAACAAATCTGTATTTTAACAAGTAAACTTTTAATCCTGAAGTTTAAGTTGACTAGCTGTTTTCAAGTACAAAACTAATACAAGTTTCAATTTTAAAAGCTGCAGAACTAATCATAAAGTCAAGGCATGGCAATAACTTACTCTGACATTACCACTCACCTAAGACAAAACCAGTTAATGTCCAGCACACTTCCATCAGAACTTTCTTAGTCTTCCCACTAGTTTCTCCACCTTCTTCTCTTACTTTTTGTTTCCACTGCAGCTGTCACTCATTTACTTACATATGATATTGACCAATCTCTAGTTATTATCACTTTGAGGATCTATTTATTTTTAAGCTGCATTTAAAAACCTCATTTACTGTGTTAAAACAGTAATGACATAAAACATACATACACATAGATTAGCAAGGATGCTGGGAACCTGGCATTACACTGCTCTTGGCTAAGTAATTTTGTGATTAATTTGTGTGCGGGCCTACCTGCAAAATAATTAATCAGGCACCCCTGGCTGTGCAATCTGCCCCACTCTTATTTCTTCTTCATTTTTCCATCACCCACTTCTTGTTCCCTTTTCCATGCATGATTAAGAAACTGTTATTTATCTTTTCTTAAAAAAAAAAATAGAGGAGAGTAGAACATTTCACAGGTGCCTGTAAAAAAGGTCTAAACTAAGGGGTATTTGCTTCATTTGTTTCTCTCTGGTAAAATGTTCTTTACCTTTTTCTTCTGTCCATCCTCCTGTGACGGAAGCGTGCAATGGAAAAAGGAAGAAGCAAAGATAAAGGACTGCCCGTTTACCCAACTCCATGAGAGTCATTTACATCTCAAAGTGTAAGAATAGTAAGCCCCTGAAATTAATAACACACAATGTGAGAGGCTGTACAGATGGTCCTACACCGAGAGTCAGGACTAGTCATTTTTGAATGATTTTCCCTTCTTTAGCAAAATTCTTGCTCAGGGAGTTATTCCAGAATACTTGACTACCTATTAATATATTGTACATGCAAATTAGACTAAGATATAAAGAATATAAGAATTACTTTGAGGGAAACACTTAATCTTCAAACATACATTTTAGAAATAAGCACCTCAATAGAAGACAAAACAAAATGACCAGAATCATAAAATGTTAACGAGCAGGAACCTTATTAATAATGAAAGCATTTCCTTTAAAAGACAGAGAATTATAAAATGGGCAAAATATTTTAATGAAAGTATAATACACTTTTTTATAGTTTCACATGCCACATTATCTTAATACTTAAGAAACTAACTTGAACTTTGGGGCAGAAAACCTTAAAAATAATTTAAATTAGTTTAAACAAGTTTGGGATAGAATCAGAGGACTTCATGGCTTGAGGGGAAACATAGCATAACCTCAGATTCTCACTTTGCTACTTATAAGCTGTGTGTCTTTAAGTGACAACTCTGATTCTCAGTTTCTACCTTTATAAAAGGAGCAATACTATCTATTGCATAGATAGGTACTAAATGTGTGCATTAATTAAGATGACACATTTTAAAAGATGCAGATGTTCAATGAATGGTAGCTACTTTCATACTCACCATTTAGTCTAACTCCCCCTTCTAAACCCCTTTCTGAGAAACCCAGACCCAAGGAGATGTCCTTACCAGGAGGGTGCGATCACCTAGGTCTCCCAATTACCAGCCCACCAATATTTCACCACCTCACCCCATCTTACTCTTGAATTGATAAAAGGCCTTTGCATGTATATTACAATATTTAAGAAAAAAAATTATAATCACTTAAGTTTTAAAAATTGATTATATATATGTTGTTTTTAAGGTAAAACATACTTTCTAAAAAAGTATCTTTCCTGCCGGGCAGGGTGGCTCACGCCTGCAATCCCAGCACTCTGGGAGGCCGAAGCGGGTAGATTGCTTGAGGTCAGGATCACTTGAGGTCAGGAGTTTGAAACTAGCGTAGCCAATATGGTGAAACCCCGTCTCTACTAAAAATACAAAAATTAGCTGGGTGTGGTGGTGCGGGCCTGTAATCCCAGCTCCTCGGGAGGCTGAGGCAGAATAATCGCCTGAACCCAGGAGGTGAAGGTTGCAGTGAGCCGAGATCGTGCCACTGCACTCCAGCCTGGGCGACAGAGCGAAACTCTGTCTAAAAACAAAACAAGAGGGGAGGAGCCAAGATGGCTGAATAGGAACAGCTCCGGTCTACAGCTCCCAGAGTGAGCAACGCAGAAGATGGGTGATTTCTGCATTTCCAGTCGAGGTACCGGGTTCATCTCACTAGGGAGTGCCAGACACTGGGCGCAGGTAAGTGGGTGCGCGCACCATGTGAGAGCCGAAGCAGGGCGAGGCATTGCCTCACTCGGGAAGTGCAAGGGGTCAGGGAGTTCCCTCTCCTAGTCAAAGAAAAGGGTGACAGACGGCACATGGAAAATCGGGTCACTCCCACCCGAATCCTGCGCTTTTCCGACGGGCTTAAAAAATGGCGCACCACGAGATTATATCCCGCACGTGGTTCGGAGGGTCCTACGCCCACGGAGTCTGGCTGATTGCTAGCACAGCAGTCTGAGATCAAACTGCAAGGCGGCAGTGAGGCTGGGGGAGGGGCGCCCGCCATTGCCCAGGCTTGCTTAGGTAAACAAAGCAGCTGGGAAGCTCGAACTGGGTGGAGCCCACCACAGCTCAAGGAGGCCTGCCTGCCTCTGTAGGCTCCACCTCTGGGGGCAGGGCACAGACAAACAAAAAGACAGCAGTATCCTCTGCAGACTTAAATGTCCCTGTCTGACAGCTTTGAAGAGAGCAGTGGTTCTCCCAGCACGCAGCTGGAGATCTGAGAACAGGCAGACTGCCTCCTCAAGTGGGTCCCTGACCCCTGACCCCCGAGCAGCCTAACTGGGAGGCAGCCTCCAGCAGGGGCAGACTGATACCTCACACGGCCGGGTACTCCAACAGACCTGAAGCTTACGGTCCTGTCTGTTAGAAGGAAAACTAACAAACAGAAAGGACATCCACACCAAAAACCCATCTGTACATCACCATCAACAAAGACAAAAAGTAGATAAAACCACAAAGATGGGGAAAAAACAGAGCAGAAAAACTGGAAACTCTAAAAAGCAGAGTGCCTCTCCTCCTCCAAAGGAACGCAGTTCCTCACGAGCAACGGAACAAAGTTGGACGGAGAATGACTTTGACGAGCTGAGAGAAGGCTTCACACGATCAAATTATTCCGAGCTACGGGAGGAAATTCAAACCAAAGGCAAAGAAGTTGAAAACTTTGAAAAAAGTTTAGAAGAATGTATAACTAGAATAACCAATACTGAGAAGTGCTTAAAGGAGCTGATGGAGCTGAAAACCAAGGCTCAAGAACTACGTGAAGAATGCAGAAGCCTCAGGAGCTGATGCGATCAACTGGAAGAAAGGGTATCAGTGATGGAAGATGAAGTGAATGAAATGAAGCGAGAAGGGAAGTTTAGAGAAAAAAGAATAAAAAGAAACAAGCAAAGCCTCCAAGAAATATGGGACTATGTGAAAAGACCAAATCTACGTCTGATTGGTGTACCTGAAAGTGACGGGGAGAATGGAACCAAGTTGGAAAACACTCTGCAGGATATTATCCAGGAGAACTTCCCCAATCTAGCAAGGCAGGCCAACATTCAGATTCAGGAAATACAGAGAACGCCACAAAGATACTCCTCGAGAAGAGCAACTCCAAGACACATAATTGTCAGATTCACCAAAGTTGAAATGAAGGAAAAAATGTTAAGGGCAGCCAGAGAGAAAGGTCGGGTTACCCACAAAGGGAAGCCCATCAGACTAACAGCGGATCTCTTGGCAGAAACTCTACAAGCCAGAAGAGAGTGGGGGCCAATATTCAACATTCTTAAAGAAAAGAATTTTCAACCCAGAATTTCATATCCAGCCAAACTAAGCTTCATAAGTGAAGGAGAAATAAAATACTTTACAGACAAGCAAATGCTGAGAGATTTTGTGACCAGCAGGCCTGCCCTAAAAGAGCTCCTGAAGGAAGCACTAAACATGGAAAGGAACAACCTGTACCATCCATTGCCAAAATGTAAAGACCATTGAGACTAGGAAGAAACTGTATCAACTAACGAGCAAAATAACGAGCTAACATAATGACAGGATCAAATTCACACATAACAATATTACCTTTAAATGTAAATGGACTAAATGCTCCAATTAAAAGACACAGACTGGCAAATTGGATAAAGAGTCAAGACCCATCAGTGTGCTGTATTCAGGAAACCCATCTCACGTGCAGAGACACACATAGGCTCAAAATAAAAGGATGGAGGAACATCTACCAAGCAAATGGAAAACAAAAAAAAGCAGGGGTTGCAATCCTAGTCTCTGATAAAACAGACTTTTAACCAACAAAGATCAAAAGACACAAAGAAGGCCATTACATAATGGTAAAGGGATCAATTCAACAAGAAGAGCTAACTATCCTAAATATATATGCACCCAATACAGGAGCACCCAGATTCATAAAGCAAGTCCTGAGTGACCTACAAAGAGACTTAAACTCCCACAAATTAATAATGGGAGACTTTAACACCCCACTGTCAACATTAGACAGATCAACGAGACAGAAAGTCAACAAGGATACCCAGGAATTGAACTCAGCTCTGCACCAAGCAGACCTAATAGACATCTACAGAACTCTCCACCCCAAATCAACAGAATATACATTTTTTTCAGCACCACACCACACCTATTCCAAAATTGACCACATACTTGGAAGTAAAGCTCTCCTCAGCAAATGTAAAAGAACAGAAATTATAACAAACTATCTCTCAGACCACAGTGCAATCAAACTAGAACTCAGGATTAAGAATCTCACTCAAAACCACTCAACTACATGGAAACTGAACAACCTGCTCCTGAATGACTACTGGGTACATAACGAACTGAAGGCAGAAATAAAGATGTTCTTTGAAACCAACGAGAACAAAGACACAAAATACCAGAATCTCTGGGATGCATTCAAAGCAGCATGTAGAGGGAAATTTATAGCCCTAAATGCCCACAAGATAAAGCAGGAAAGATCCAAAATTGACACCCTAACATCACAATTAAGAGAACTAGAAAAGCAAGAGCAAACACATTCAAAAGCTAGCAGAAGGCAAGAAATAACCAAAATCAGAGCACAACTAAAGGAAATAGAGACATTAAAAACCCTTCAAAAAATTAATGAATCCAGGAGCTGGTTTTTTGAACGGATCAACAAAATTGATAGACCGCTAGCAAGACTAATAAAGATAAAAAGAGAGAAGAATCAAATAGACGCAATAAAAAATGATAAAAGGGATATCACCACCGATCCCACAGAAATACAAACTACCATCAGAGAATACTACAAACAGCTCTATGCAAATAAACTAGAAAATCTAGAAGAAATGGATAAGTTCCTCGACACATACACTCTCCCAAGACTAAACTAGGAAGAAGTTGAATCTCTTAATAGACCAATAACAGGAGCTGAAATTGTGGCAATAATCAATAGCTTACCAACCAAAAAGAGTCCAGGAGCAGATGGCTTCACAGCCGAATTCTAACAGAGGTACAAGGAGGAACTGGTACCATTCCTTCTGAAACTATTCCAATCAATAGAAAAAGAGGGAATCCTCCCTAACTCATTTTATGAGGCCAGCATCATCCTGATATGAAAGCCGGGCAGAGACACAACCAAAAAAGAGAATTTTAGACCAATATCCTTGATGAACATTGATGCAAAAATCCTCAATAAAATACTGGCAAACGGAATCCAGCAGCACATCAAAAAGCTTATCCACCATGATCAAGTGGGCTTCATCCCTGGGATGCAAGGCTGGTTCAATATATGCAAATCAATAAATGTAATCCAGCATATAAACAGAACCAAAGACAAAAACCACATGATTATCTCAATAGATGCAGACAGGCCTTTGACAAAATTCAATAACCCTTCATGCTAAAAACTCTCAATAAATTAGGTATTGATGGGACGTATCTCAAAATAATAAGAGCTATCTATGACAAACCCACAGCCAATATCATACTGAATGGGCAAAAACTGGAAGCATTCCCTTTGAAAACTGGCACAAGACAGGGATGCCCTCTCTCACCACTCCTATTCAACATAGTGTTGGAAGTTCTGGCCAGGGCAATTAGGCAGGAGAAGGAAATAAAGGGTATTCAATTAGGAAAAGAGGAAGTCAAATTGTCCGTGTTTGCAGATGACATGACTGTATACCTAGAAAACCCCATTGTCTCAGCCCAACATCTCCTTAAGCTGATAAGCAACTTCAGCAAAGTCTCAGGATACAAAATCAATGTACAAAAATCACAAGCATTCTTATACACCAGCAACAAACAGAGAGCCAAATCATGAGTGAACTCCCATTCACAATTGCTTCAAAGAGAATAAAATACCTAGGAATCCAACTTACAAGGGATGTGAAGGACCTCTTCAAGGAGAACTACAAACCACTGCTCAAGGAAATAAAAGAGGATACAAACAAATGGATGAACATTCCATGCTCATGCGTAGGAAGAATCAACATTGTGAAAATGGCCATACTGCCCAAGGTAATTTACAGATTCAATGCCATCCCCATCAAGCTACCAATGTCTTTCTTCATAGAATTGGAAAAAGCTACTTTAAAGTTCATATGGAACCAAAAAAGAGCCCACATCGCCAAGTCAATCCTAAGCCAAAAGAACAAAGCTGGAGGTATCACACTACCTGACTTCAAAGTATACTACAAGGCTACAGTAACCAAAACAGCATGGTACTGGTACCAAAACAGAGATATAGATCAATGGAATAGAACAGAGCCCTCAGAAATAACGCCACATATCTACAACTATCTGATCTTTGACAAACCTGAGAAAAACAAGCAATGGGGAAAGGATTCCCTATTTAATAAATGGTGCTGGGAAAACTGGCTAGCCATATGTAGAAAGCTGAAACTGGATCCCTTCCTTACACCTTATACAAAAATCAATTCAAGATGGATTAAAGACTTAAACGTTAGACCTAAAACCATAAAAACCCTAGAAGAAAACCTAAGCATTACCATTCAGGACATAGGCATGGGCAAGGACTTCATGTCTAAAACACCAAAAGCAATAGCAACCAAAGCCAAAATTGACAAATAGGATCTAATTAAAGAGCTTCTGCACAGCAAAAGAAACTACCATCAGAGTGAACAGGCAACCTACAAAATGGGAGAAAATTTTCACAACCTATTCATCTGACAAAGGGCTAATATCCAGAATCTACAATCAACTCAAGCAAATTTACAAGACAAAAACAAAGAACCCCATCAAAAAGTGGGCGAAGGACATGAACAGACACTTCTCAAAAGAAGACATTTATGCAGCCAAAACACACATGAAAAAATGCTCACCATCACTGGCCATCAGAGAAATGCAAATCAAAACCACAATGAGATACCATCTCACAGCAGTTAGAATGGCAATCATTAAAAAGTCAGGAAACAACAGGTGCTGGAGAGGCTGTGGAGAAACAGGAACACTTTTACACTGTTGGTGGCCTGTAAACCAGTACAACCATTGTGGAAGTCAGTGTGGCGATTCCTCAGGGATCTAGAACTAGAAATACCATTTGACCCAGCCATCCCATTACTGGGTATATACCCAAAGGACTATAAATCATGCTGCTGTAAAGACACAAGCACACGTATGTTTATTGCGGCATTATTCACAATAGCAAAGACCTGGAACCAACCCAAATGTCCAACAATGATAGACTGGATTAAGAAAATGTGGCACATATACACCATGTAATACTATGCAGCCATAAAAAATGATGAGTTCATGTCCTTTGTAGGGACATGGATGAAATTGGAAATCATCATTCTCAGTAAACTATCGCAAGAACAAAAAAGCAAACATCACATATTCTCACTCATAGGTGGGAATTGAACAATGGGAACACATGGACACAGGAAGGGGAACATCACACTCTGAGGTCTGTTGTGGGGTGGGGGGAGGGGGGAGGGATAGCATTGGGAGATATACCTAATGTTAGATGTCCAGTTGGTGGGTGCATCGCACCAGCATGGCACATGTATACATATGTAACTAACCTGCACATTGTGCACATGTACCCTAAAACTTATAATAATAACAAATAAATAAATAAACAAAACAAAACAAAAGTATCTTTCCACCTCTTGGATGTAGTACTGTCTCTGAAAAAAGGGGAAAGGCTTTGCTGGCGACAGCCTGAGTACTGACAATCTGAGTCTCATCTGGCTTCCCCCAATGTCATGGACTACTGTTCGGTGCCGAAGGCTTACTCAAAGACAGACGCATTGGAAGCCTCCAAAAGAAAACTTCATTCCGTTAAGTTCTACACATTGTGTTGCAGGGCTGAAAAAGCACGAGTGTCCGCACTATGACAAAAGAAAAGCGGCGTCTCCTCAAAACACCACCATGTTCCCCTATGAGTCTGGTGAGCCAAGACACTAAGAAACTGCAGGAAACGAGAGAGTTCTCGGGGTGGGGGTGTCCATGGATGAAGCACCGAACAAACTGGAGCCCGCAAGGTGAGTACGGGAAATGGGCTCTGTGGGGCCAGAGAGCTTCACCGACTTGGGGTGCGGGTACAGGGAGTCCACGGAGAGGCAAAGATTTGGGCTATCCGAGAGGACGCTCCCTCCCTGGGAGGGAGACCGGCAGGGCAGCTGGGAAGGGCAGAGACGGGAGCGTGATGGTGCGGCCGCCCTGGCCCCTCCAGGCCGGCGCCCAGCCACTCAACACCACCGAAGCCGCCGCTTACCTTTCGCGGGGTCACCTCCTCTCCTCGCCCGAGACGCCCCGCCCCGCTTCGCCGCCCCGCCTGCTAGAGAGAGCGGCGGAGGGCGCCCCGCCCGGCGCCACAGCGTCCCCTGTCTTCCGGAGGCTGCGGCGCAGCGGCGCGGGGCTGCGGGGACCCATCCAGTGCTAGCCTTTCCGGTTCTGAGGACCTCGCGCCCCTCCTTGGGGTCTGCGGGCTGAAGTGTGCAAGGGACGTTTTTGCTTTCTTCCCTTTTTGACCTTTAGTTTTCCACCTCCCAACTTCAAATTACGTTCCAGTTCGGTGTGTATGTTTGTATAAATAAAAGGAGACATCTCCTAGAAGTATGTTTATTTCATGAAAGTGGAAAGCATTCTGATTTGGGAAAGAAAGCTAGATCTGATTTCTTCCTACCCCTACTTTAGGGGAACAGTCATTTAAGTGTAGAGTTAATACTCTGCCATTACGTTAGGGCCTTGAGAGTCCAAGATGCAGGATGTATGCAGGTGCAGTTGAGACAAGAATAGATATAGGGATGCTGGTTTGCACATACTTTGCTGATGTTTAAGTTTGTTGGGATACACGTGAAAACTGATGTGGTTTGGCTCTGTGTCCCCACCCAAATCTCATATGGAATAATAGCCCCCTT
This sequence comes from Homo sapiens, assembly GCF_000001405.40. Classification (NCBI taxonomy): domain Eukaryota; kingdom Metazoa; phylum Chordata; class Mammalia; order Primates; family Hominidae; genus Homo; species Homo sapiens. Next base: position 87,321,986 of record NC_000006.12, on the reverse strand, counting down.
GTGTTGAAGGAGGGGCCTGGTGAGAGGTCACTGAATCATGGGGCCGACTTCCCCCTTGCCATTCCCATGATGGAGTTCTCAGAAGATGTTTGTTTATAAGAGTGTAGCACTTCCCCCTTCACACTCTCTCTCTTTCTCTCTCTCTCCTGCACCACGGTAAGACGTGCTTGTTTCCTCTTCCACCATGATTGTAAGTTTCCTGAGGCCTCTGGAGCCATACCTCCTGTACAGCCTGTGGAACTGTGAGCTAATGAAACCTCTTTTCTTTATAAGTTACCCAGCCTCAGGTGGTTCTTTCTAGCAGTGTGAGAAGAGACTAATACAAAAACCAAAAATAAAATTCTAAGCACCACCATCACCAACCCACCCCTGAAAGGAATGGACCTCTGTCTTGGCCAAGGTAATCTCAAAAAAACCCTGAAAAATGAGTTCAGGCCCTGATGGGAAGGGGTGGGCGGTTGGATATGCCTCATTATACCTTCCTCCCGTTGGAGGTTAGACACAACTGACCAGCATTAACATTAAAACGGAGATCGTAAGACTGGTAAAATATACTGTAGCAATAAGAAAATTCCAACCTGACTCTGGAATAACATCACGTGACACATAGTGGGACCTGAAAGAAATAAAAATATGTTACCCCAAAATATATTTATTTGACTATTTTGAAATGGCCTCGCAAAGCTGTCTCTTGTTGGGGAAAACTTACATTCTATAGAAAATCTCTTTCCCTTACTAGATCTTTTTTTTTTTTTTTTTTGAGATGGAGTGTCGGAGTGTCACTCTGTCACCCAGGCTGGAGTGCAGTGGCATGATCTCGGCTCACTGCAACCTCCACCTCCTGGGTTCAAGCAATTCTCCTGCCTCATCCTCCCGAGTAGCTGGGACTACAGGTGTATGCCACCAAGCCTAGCTAATTTTTGCATTTTTAATAGAGACAGAGTTTCACCATATTGGTCAGGCTGGTCTCGAACTCCTGACCTCAGGCAATCCACCCACCTCGGCCTCCCAAAGTGCTGGGATTACAGGCGTGAGCCACTGTGCCTGGCCCCTTACTAGGTCTTTTCCAGAGAGTCTGACATCTTTTAAGGTCTGATAAGAGACATTCACATCTATTCTTTGAAGCCAGCTACCCGGAGGCTTTATCTACATAAGGAGAACCTTGGCTGCCACAACACCCCCGCTTACCTTAACTCCAGCTGGCTTCACATCTTCAGGCAGAGCTTAACTCTTTCAACTAATTGAAAATGTGAAAAATCTTTGAATTCATCTTTGACCTGGAAGCCCACCCCCACGCTGCTTTGAGATGGGCCAAACCAATGTATACCTTACATGTATTGATACATGTCTTTGCCTGTAACTTCCATTTCTCTAAAATGTATAAAATCAAGCTGTAGCCCGACCACCTTGGGCACATGTTCTCAGGACTGCCTGAGGCTGTGTCACAGGCCATGGTCCTTAACATTGGTGAAATAAACCTCTAAATTGATTGAGACCTATCTCATAGACTTTCTGGTTTACACAAGTTATATTAAAATGAACAGAATAGTTGGAATAGAAGGTACCAATATTTTGGCATGGGTTTATGTAAAGCTTTGGTAAATATGTTTCGAATTTAAAACTTTTTCTCCCAAGCCAAATTAACTTCACATTTGATTTGAGGTTTAATTTTTAAAAATTTTTAATATTTATGTGTATGTATTTATGGGGTACATGAGATATTTTGGTACAAGCATACAATGAATAATAATCACATCAGGGTAAATGGGGTATCCACCACATCGAGGATTTATCATTTATGTTACAAACATTCCAATTATACCCTTAGTTATTTTTAAATGTACAATCAACTATTGCTGACTGTAGTCACCGTGTTGTGCTATCAAATACTAGATCTTATTCATTTTATCTGACTATACTTTTGTACCCGCTAAAAATCCCCATTTCCCACTCCCCCCATCCCCACTACCCTTCCCAGCCTCTGGTAACCATCATTCTACTCTATTTTCATGAGTTCTTTTGTTTTAATTTGTATCTCCCACAAATAAGTGAGAACATGCAAAGTTTGTCTTCCTGTGCCTGGCTTATTTCACTGAAAATAATGTCCTCCGGTTCCATCTATGTGGTTGCAAATTGTTTTTTATGGCTGAATAGTACTCTGTTGTGTATATGTACCACATTTTCTTTATCCATTTATCTGTCGATGGACACTTAGATTGCATCTAAATTGGGTTATTGTGAATAGTGCTGCAGTAAACATGGGAGAGCAGATATCTTTTTGATGTGTTGATTTCCTTTCTTTTAGGTATATACCTGGCTTGAGGTTTAATTTTTAAAAGTTCATTGACAACTGGTATTACAAGGCAATCTTCTGACAAAATAAGTTAAATTTCAATTAAAAAGCTGTTACTGCAGTAGCTAAAAACAATTGGAAGGCTATAAAATATTATTATGTTGCATCCTAAGCAGACCCAAACTTTTTTCTTATCCCTTAGGGTTCTCAGTGATCTGTAACATGTCAAATATCACTATGGAAACAAAGTACTTTTACTGTCATGATCAATAGAAAGTGATCAGATGAAAGAATACAAGAAACATAAGCATGTGTAAGAAAAGAGCACAAGCTGTAGGTAAAGATAACAGAGAAAAGCCTGAAGGCCTTGCCCATTTCATGGATATGAATACAATGTGAATGATAGGACGTGTTTAGTCATTTTTGTTTATAATTCATTCCATTTTATGCTGCTTTTAAGAAATTACTTTGAAGAGTGATGCCAATCTGATTCGGCTTTTGTAATCTTCATTTTGAGCAGGGCCATCAATATTTAATAATATTTCCAGGAGATTTTGTATTTGATGGGATTGCATAAAGCAAAGATTAATCTGTATGAAAACACATTCAAAGGGACCAATGATATCTATTTTAATCTGGGGTTCCCAAAGTGTGCTCTGGGAACAACACTGGTGGTCTGGGAGCCTTCTCAAGGGACCACTGATGCCACTAGCGCTTTTTAAAATTCAGGCAAGAATAGTTGGTTGACAATATTTAATAAAAATCATACATTACTGGTATTTTGTCAAAGCCAGGTCTTTTTTTAAAAAATAATAACATAAATGCTGGCACTTATTTCTTTTCCTACCAGAAAGCCAAGCCAAAGTAGTTGATATGATCAATGTGAGCCAAGGATATCTGACTCCCTTGAATGAATTATTAGCTGACAAATGAAAAAATTACACGTTTTGGTAATTTGAAAAAATCTTCCTAATTCTTCACCCCTCCCTGTGTCCCCACCTTTATCCATGCTCTCCCACTCTGACTCTGGGGGGTCACCCTTGTGATTTATTTTTGCTAATATGATATTAGCAAATGTCACACAAAATAAGCTGGAAAAACACCTGAACTGGTAAACATACTCCAGCTAGCCTGCTGGAGATGAAAAACATACAGAGCAAAGCCAAGTCATCCTAGTCATTCCAACTGAAGCCACTGTAGATTGACCAGACAGGTGTGCAAGCCTTGAGTGAGGTCAGTCAAGCCTGCCCAGATCAGCTGAACTCTGCAGATTCATGAACTTAAATATGTGTATTTTTGTTTGCCACATTGAGGTTCAGTTCGTTGTTGTGCAGAATTATGGTGCCAATAGAAACTGATAATATGCCCTCCATTGTAAATTCCCTGGGATCAAAGAGTATTTGCCTGATAGCTTAAGGAGCAGTCTGTTTTCTAGTGGTGCTTGTAAGAAGGACAAACATCTTGCTATTTTTGAAAACTGTATAGCTGTCTGGCATCACAGGAATGTCTGACCTGGGAAGAAAATGAAATCTATCAAATGGTGTGATATATAAATTAGTAAAAAAAAAAAAAAATAGAATGGGGAACTGATATTATTAGAGGATCACAATTCATTACTCTTTTTCTTCCATATAATTTTAGCAGAACTGTTTTTAATACTTTTCATGTCAGGTCATTTTGTATTTACTTCTCTCACATTTTGAAATATTAGAAATAATAATAATTTATTCTATATTATTTAAAGTCTTAAAGTACCTTAAAAGTGATATGAGATGAAAACATTTTAATTCTAACTGTTCTTCTTTTGAAAAAAGCATAAGTTTATTATCAGTGTAGTTAGGCTCAGGTTAGCAGGAAAATTTTTGGTGCATTCAGTGTGCCACATGCTTTCCTGGGCACCAGGAATTCAAAGATGATTAAGACATAATCTTTGCCCTTAAAACTCTTAAAGATTAGTGAGGGAGGCTGGCCACCATGGCTCACGCCTGTAATCCCAGCACTTTGGGAGGCTGAGGCGGGCAGATCACCTGAGGTCAGGAGTTCAAGACCAGCCTGGCTAAAATGATGAAACCCCATTTCTACTAAAAATACAAAAAATTAACTGGGCATGGTGGCGCGTGCCCGTAATCCCAGCTACTTGGGAGGCTGAGGCAGGAGAATTGCTTGAACCCGGGAGGCGGAGGTTGCAGTGAGCTGAGATCACGCCATTGCACTCCAGCTTGGGCAACAAGAGCGAAACTCCGTCTCAAAAAAAAAAAAAGGAAAAGATTAAAGATTAGTGAGGGAGACAAATTAAAACAGATAATTTCTTGTTGTTTGTTTGTTTGTTTGAGACAGGGTCTTGCTTTGTCGCCCAGGCTAGAGTACAGTGCCGCAATCTTAACTCACTGCAATCTCTGCCTCCCAGGCTCAAGCAATTCTTGTACCTCAGCCTCCTGAGTATCTGGAGTTATAGGCGTGTGCCATCATGCCCGGCTAATTTTTTTTTTTTTTGTATTTTTAGTAGAGACAGGGTCTCACCCTGTTGGCCAGGCTGGTCTTGAACTCCTGATCTAAACTGATCCATCCACCTCAGCCTCCCAAAGTGCTGAGATTACAGGCATGAGCCACCACGCCCAGCCAGATACTTTCAATATAAAGTGATTTGCACAAGATTCTATGGAAGCACAGAGAATTATATGTTGTTTGGCCTGGATATAACACAGAGGATGGTATGTGGCTGATGACTGAGCCCAGAATCACAATCAAAGTGATAAGCAAGGCAAAGAAGTTAGAAAGGATGTTTCAGGTCAGAGGAGACAGAATGAACACAAACCTCAAAGCATGAAGCCATATAGTGTGGTGCGGTGTGTTTCTTATTGCTAAAGAATGGATAATAAAATGGAACATGAGAGAAATGACACTGGAGAAACAGATGGGGCCAGTCCAGGAAGGCTCAGATGCATCCACGTTTAGGGAATGAGTACAGCAGGAGACCACAAAAGGGTTTGAGAAGAAATGGTCAAAACAGAGTGAGGAAGATCAAAAGTGGAGTGTTTTGAAAGCCAAAGGAGTCAAGATGATTAAGAAGATTAATGCCCCAGTGGCTTTGCCACCAGCCAAGCTCCCCTACAAGCTGTTGTCCTCCTTTCTAAAATATACATCTAATCATGTCACTGTTTGGCTTCACACTTCCTGATGGAACACTCTTTCCTACACCTGCCCTTTGCCTCACTCCTACTTATCCTTCACAAGGATAATCAGGGGAGGCATCACTCCCATAGCTCAGCCCTGCTTGGTGTGTAGGAATTGTATTCTCTGGGAGCTGACTTTTGGAGAAGAACTGGAGCTATGCAAGAAAAAGAAAAGGCTAAGAAACAGAAATAATTTTATGAGGAGGGGACTAGAGCAGGACAATCCTGAGCTCTTGCAGAGATTGGGCACATGGATCCAGCAACTTCTACCCCCACCCATTCAAAATATCTAGTGACTAGCATAGGAGTTGATAGGAAAGGCGATCATTTCCTTCTTGCTTAAGTGGGAGGGAAGATATCTGCGCATCAGCTCATGTATACAGAAGAAATTGAGAACAGCAAGTTTTCTTGTTCCTTGGCCAACTGAAAACAAATCTGATCCCCTAAAGGGATGGTGATCAGGAAGAAGCTGAAGAGAGAATTTGTTGAATATAGGGTCTTGAAGACTCAGCACACACCTGTTATTTCAGTTGCAAATGACAGAAACTTGACTGAAACTAACTCAAGTTCAAAAGGAGTTATGTTACCATATGTAATGGGAAGTCTATGGAGGGAACAGATTTCAGCAGTGAGATATGGGACATCCAAACATGTCAACAGGAATGTCTTGTCTCATGTCTCCATTCTGTTTCTTTCTTTCTTTCTTTTTTTTTTTTTTTTTTTTTGAGATAGAGTCTTACTCTGCTGCCCAGGCTAGAGTGCAGTGGTGTGATCTTGGCTCACTGCAACCTCCACCTCCCAGGTTCAAGTGATTCTCATGCCTCAGCCTCCCAAGCAATAGTAACTACAGGCACACCCCACTATGCCCTGCTAATTTTTTTTGGTATGTTTAGTAGAGATGGGGTTTTGCCATGTTGGCCAGGCTGGTCTTGAACTCCTGACCTCAGGTGATCCACCCGCCTTGGCCACCCAACGTTCTGGGATTACAGGTGTGAGCCACCGTACCTGGCCTCTATTCTGTTTCTTAAATACACTCATTTCATATATTGGGCACATCCCTGCTGGCAGCTCCAGGTTTCTATCCTGTTAAAATACATCCAAGTGGAAAGGAAGCCTTCCCTATCACCCATATATCAAATCTCATGGAACAACTCTTTTGGCCTTGTTTGGGTTTGTGCCCTTTTTCAGGACAAATTGCTTTGGACAGGAGGAAAGATATCATTGCTGGACAGGCCAGGGTTAAGGTCACATTATCATAATTGTGGAGGTGCAGTTCCCCACCAGTTGGGTTGGGAAACAGATGCTAGGAAGATGAAATCAGCAGACGCCCACTTCACACAAGGGGTCGGCGGGGAATATGCTCCTGAAAAGCAGCATCCAGAAAACAACTCTTTTCCACTGAGTGGTGCTTTTGCCACATTTTTGTGGAAAAGAGATGCTTTCTTCCAATGGTGGCTAATTAAATGAGGGGGCCAGAGTGGAAAGATAGCTGGGCCTATCTTTGCTCTGAGTACACATGAGAGAGCTATCGTCTCTGAGTGCACAAGAGAGATTCCTGAGTTACCTAAAAAAAGTTTATTATTTCCTGACATCATATGATTTATTTCTTTATTGTTTCTCTTCTCCATTAGAATGTCAGTTCTGTGAAGGCGTGGATGCCCCAGGAAAGTTCCATGGAGCTCCATGCAAGCTCCATTCCTAAATGCGTTAAGTTTTGCTTACAGCTGGATTCCCAGATATATTAAAGAGTTCCAGAAATATTAATTGAAAGAATGTTGAGTAGACTAGGGAGATGTTAAGTAAGGAGGTGGGGTGCCATGGTGAAGTGAAGTAACCAATGCATTGCTTTGAATCCATAGACCCTGAGGGGCCACTTGCCCAGAATGAAGGTGGGAGTGAGATAAAGTCAAAGAGGGCTAAGTGGAAGAGAGTGGAACTGGTCAGGATGGGCCTACAGCCTCTATCCATGTCCTAAAAAATTCCGTAGCTTCTTCCCACAGCACCCAGGGTTACAGAAACAACTTGTCTCAAGGTGCTGAGGCACAGGTCTCTTATTTCTTCATAAACTTCATCCCATAACTGAAATAAAAACACAAAGAAACCCCTAAACTCACCCTTCTTCTTACTTTTCTACCCTTGCCCAAACCTACTTCCCAGAAAGGAGGGAAAAAAGGGGAGCCCTCTGAGATAGAGAGGGGCCCGTGTGAGGCTTTGTTGCAGATCTTTTGTAACTAGCCACACCCTTGGGTAGGGAGGGCTAAGGTCCTAAAGTTTCCAGGGAGAAGCAAATAAGTCAGTGAAATGCCAGTATCAATGTTCTAATGGCCTTATATTTACCCAGATACTAGAAAAGCATGGAAACATTTAGGTTGTACTAGAAATTGCTGCTTACCATACAGTGCCTGTGAAATAAAACAACTTTAATGTAGATATAAAAAGCAGTACCTTATGAAATGTATAGCTATTTAGGGGAGATGTCCCAGAGCTTAACAGATGAACTCACAAGATTTCTTAGTGCTTCTGAAGACTTGTCAATTGGTCCAAAACATCCACATCCCCTCAGCATTATCCTGCATGAGGAGTTCTCAAACTTGAGCATGCATTAGAATCACCTGGAGGATCTTGTTAAAACACAGATTACAAGATCCCATTCTCAGAGCCTCTGATTCTGTAGTCTGGAGTGGGCCTGGGAATTTCCGTTTTTAAAAAGTTCTGAGGTGCTGCTGCTGCTCCTCAAACCCCACTTTCAGAAACGCTGACCTACATGATAAGGTGATTTCTTTCCTTTTCCATTTGCCAAATAAGTCATAATTGCTTTTTATTACATAGTTTCTACTTTGGGGAGAGAGACGTGTGATATTTTAACTCAAAAGAATTCTCTGAAGATTTATATTTCTGACCTAGTGAAGCCTCCAACACAACAGACATAACAACCATTTCAGATGGTTGAGATTTGAATATGATTGGAATTAATAATAAATCTTTATGGATTAGGAATGGGGCAATTTTATTTGAATACAGTGACATTTATCCTGAGAAGGTACTTCACAAGACTTACAAGAAATACAGAGATTTTGGGAAGATTAAAACTCTATTTTTAACTCCATCCTTTTAGGGCATAAAGCAAATAATTGAGTTACTTACATGCATTAGCTATAATAAAGTCCTTTACTGTAATAGTCCTAAAAGGGTGTCCCATAATGCCTCAAATAAAACTGAAAAGTCTTAAGTTCAATAAGTAGTAGGAAGAATTCCTTCTCTTTTATTTTTGTCTATCTTTTTATCCCCTTTCTTCTCCTGTTCCTTGATACATTTGAAAACTTGTGAGGTTTTCCTCAAATCATTTAGAAGTTGTTATACAATAGATGACACACAGGCAGGATTATTTGTAGATTACCGTCATTGTTTTATTCACAGCAGAGCTGTGAATGTGCCAAATTAAGATAACCCAGTGACAAGCTAAGTGCTTTTCTTGATTAATGATAGAAGTTGTTTAAAATGCACAGTGAAAAGACTGAAATCTCCAGGAGAGGACAGTCTCACATGGTAACAGGACTTTTGGGTTTTTCTAATCTGAACAAGATGCTCACCTTATTTCTGTTTCAGATCACTAAACCTCTACCACTCATTCCAAGCAACTAGGAATGCCCTGTCTCTTTCAGCCATGGCTCATAAACATCATATATTACACGTTTTCTTCCTGAAGAAAGTAGAGCTTTGATCAATACAATTTGAATAGGGAGGCGGGTAAAGAGTGTTCTGCCATTTCCCCATGAATGTCTGATAAAATAAGGCAAAGTGGCAGCAGGTATGTAATAACGGAAACTGGGTGAATCAAGGCAAAAGGGATAATTGGCTTGTATACTTGTAAGAGATTCTCTTCTTTTGTTAAAATGTTCTTTAATACTGTTGTTGCATTTATTTTCAACAACATACTTAAGGCATAAACTGGTGCTAAACTTAGAGCTTTGCCTTGACCACCTCCAGTTTTTTTTTTGTTTTTTTTTTTGTAGACAGAGTCTCACTCTGTTGCCCAGGCTAGAGTGCAGTGGTGTCATCTCGGCTCACTGCAACCTCCGCCTCGCGAGTTCAAGCAATTCTTTGCCTCAGCCTCCTGAGTAACTGGGATTACAGGTGCCTGCCAACATGCCTGGCTAATTTTTGTATTTTTAGTAGAGACGGGGTTTCACCATCTTGGCCAGGCTGGTCTTGAACTCTTGACCTCGTGATCCATCCACCTCAGCCTCCCAAAGTGCTGGGATTACAGGTGTGAGCCACTGCACCCGGCCCGACCACCTCCAGTTTTTAAGTAAACTTTTTGTTTAATTGAAGTATAACATATGAATAGAAAAGCATACAAATTCTAAGTCTACTGCTTGATGGATTTTCACAAGTGAACATACTCAGGTAACCAACATCCAAAATAAGAACTGGAATATCACCAGCATCCTAGAATCCCTTATGTCTCCTCCCACTCACTATCCACTCCCTCCCCTGGGAACTGACTTTTTTATTTCTATCACCACATACTAGTTCTTTTTTAGTTTTAGGCTTTACAATTCTTCATACTGATGCATTTATTAGTTCATTATTCATTCCCATTGATGTCTAATATTCCATAGTATTAAGAATCAAGGGTACCTGCATCAGCCTGAACTTAACTATGGGACTGAGAGCTGAGACCACCTGTGTCAATATTATTGCTTTTATTCCCCAAGAAATTCTTGCCAGGAAAAATGTGATTGCAGAACAATAAAGTACTATACTGTTTGTATCAGCAAATTCTGCAAACCAATTTATACAATCAGTTTGCTTACTGAGGTAAACAGCTCACTTAATCAGGACAATAGTTTGCTCTTCATAAAACTCATCTCCAGACTGTCACCTTACTGTGTCCACCAGTCCTAAAATACTGTGTCATGAACTTCACACATTCCTATCAATTCCCCACCTTGAAATACCTGCCTTAACCTCATGAATCCAGAATCCCAAACCCTGTATATATTCCTCTGTGATTTCTCTTTTTAGAGACACTAAGACTGTGTAAGCTTTGCTTGGTCAACAGGTTTTTCTGGTGGTCTTTGTGAGGAGGTTGACAATATGAATATTTCCCAATGTATCTACCCATTCTAATGTTGATGGGCATTTGGGTATTTCCAGTTTGAGGCTATTATGAATAGTGCTGTTGTGAACATTATTGTATTTTGATGCACATATGTATATATTTGGGATTGGAATTGCTAAGTCATTGGTAACCATATGTTCAATTTTAATAGATTCAATAGTTTTTCAAAGTGATTGCACCAATTTATACTCCCAGCAGAAGTGAATGCAAGTTTGTTTCCATATCTTCTCAGCAATACTTAATAGTGTCAGTCTTTTTGGTATTAGCCATTCTGGTGGCTGTGTAGTGGTAGCACATTGTGGTTTAATTTGTATTTCCTTGATGGTTATAATTATTCTCTTTTCATATGCTTATTTTTAAACTTTTTATTTGGAAATAAAGATAGACTTACAAGAAGTTTATTCCTTATTTTCTCTTTTGGCTCCTGCTTTTGGAATCATCTCTAAGAACTCTGCCTATCCCCAGTTTGTGAAGATTTGTTTCTGTGTTTTCTTCTGAAAGTTTTATAGTAATATAATATGTTTTACATCTAGATAGATGATTCATTTTGAGTTAATTCTTATACAAAGTGTGTTTAAGTTAAGATGTTTTGGTTAAGGTTCAATATTTTGGCGATTAGTATCCATTTATATGCTTATTTTCCATTGGGGTATCCTTTTTTACAAAGTACCTGTTTTTTGGCTTTGATTGAGCTTCTCAATTTTTCTTGTTGATTTGTATGAATATTTGGTTTATTTTTTTTTATTTCAATATGTTTTGGGGGAACAGGTGGCTTTTCATTACATGGCTAAGTTCTGCAATGGTGATTTCTGAGATTTTGGTGCTCCCATCACCCAAGCAGTGTACATGGTACCCAATGTGTAGTCTTTCATCCCTCACCCCCCTCCCACACTTGTTTATGTTTTCTTATTAATTTTTATGAATTCTGTATAGGTGCTGGATATAGTTTTCTTGTCAGATACATGTATTGCAAATATCTTCTCCCATCCTCTGATTGCCTTTTTACTCTCTTGATGGTGTCTTCTGATTAACAAGTTCTTAATTTTAATGAAATTCAAGTTATCAATTCCTCGAAACACTGAAATTCAATTTATTAGGCCTTATGATTAGTGCTTTTCATATCATATCTAAGAAATCTTTTCCTACACCCTGGTAATGAAGATATTCTTCTTTGTTATATTCTAAAATCTAGAAACTTTATTATTTTATCTTTCTTGATTACATCTACCATCCTTCTACAGTTGTATTTTGTGTATCGTGTGAGTTAGCAATCAAGATGAATTTTTTTTCCATATGGATTTCCAATTGGCCCAGCATTGTTTATTGAAAAGACCATTTTCTCCCCCATTACACTGCAGCATCACCATAAAAGATTAAGGACTATATAGGAAACCAGCCTGTTGCATGAAAGAGTGATCCATCTTGATGCAAAATTACCATGATGACCAATGTTTGACTCTTGCATACCAAGGTGTTCTGCAGCAAGGTCTTTAAACAATGCTCATAGCACAGACAACCCCTCATAAAGCTGCTTCTCTGACCTCTCCAGTAGTCACAAGTTTCAGCAAGAAAGTCTGAGATATGAGCAGCTGTATGTCTTACCACAAAAGCTTCCTATAGAAAGGATACTTTCTAGAGGGTGGATGCAGGGATTCACTGTCTTACAGCCACCAGAAACATGGTTTCTGTTTTTAAGTCCCTATTAAATATTTTCTTTTTTCTTCTCTGATCAATACATCTCAAAACAGAAGAAAAAAAATCAATATTTTCTTTCTGAGAAACTGGTTTTGTCAGCCTCTTCCTTCAGCCTTTCAGCTCCCTTGGCCTTTGGGGTAGGTTGCATATACCTGCTCACCACGGAAGAGACTGTGTATGTGTGGGTCTGTTTCTGAGCTTTCAGAGAATTGGACTGTGCAATTGTGGGAGCTGGTTGAACAGTCTCTGTGAGGCCGTTGTCTCCATGTGTGATGCTGGAGTGGGAAGTCCACGATGCAGGCAGTCAGGCAGGGAAGACTCTGGAAGGCTGGAACTCAAAAGCACAAGCTGGAAATCCATAAGGAAGAACTGAAACATTTGTCTTGTTGCCTCTGACCTTGGTGACAAGGGTATCCTGCAGAAGCCTGTGCCCTTCATTACAAAGCTAAACACGTACCTGGCCCATGAGTCAGGGAAGATGAAGGAGGATCCAGGAGAATGTAGAGCAATTGCAGGCCCAGCTGCTGCTTCACACCAACAAGGTGAATCAGTGTGACAGCAACAACGTGTGTCAGCCGCCAAGGCTGTGGCTTCTCTTCCAAACCTCCCACATCTCTCCCTGACTGTCCATGCCAATCGGAAACATGCAAGAAAGGGAATTCAGCCCAGCCAGAGGGACACTTCCAGTATTCATTACAGATGATTCATAATATCTTTGTCTTTTTTTGTCAGGAAAAGGAGATGGAGATGTGTTCCCTATAAGATTATTTTAATTGGGTAAATTTAGATTGCAATTCTTTTCTTTCAGCACGTCATATATGTCATTACATTGTTTTTCTGGAATCCTTTATTTTTATTATTTTGTTTCTTTAAAAGTCATGCATTTTTTTTTATCTGGTTGCCTTTAAGGTCTTCTCTGTCTCTGGTTTTCAGTAGTCTTATCACGATATGCCTCAGTAAGTTTTCCTTTGTGTTAATCCTCCTTGGGATTCATAAAGATTCTTGAATATATGTCATGATAATTTTTGCATGATTGAGAAAATTCTTGGCCAATAATCAAAATTATTTCTCCCTATTTTCTCTTTTCTCTCATTTTGGACTCTGAGGATTTATATTTTAAACTTTTCATTATGCCCCAAATGTCTTTTTCTTTTTTGTTAAATACATATTCATCTTATTTTCTCTCAATGCTTCAAGTGACATTTTCTACTGATTTGTTTTCCAGATTAATAAATCTTTTTTCAGTTAATCTGCTGTTAAAGCTATCTTTTGCAGTCTTAATTTCAGTTACGGGATATTAATTAGAATCTGTAATTGATTTTTTTATTATACTTTAAGTTCTAGGGTACACGTGCAGAATATGCAGGTTTGTTACATATGTATACATGTGCCATGTTGGTGTGCTGCACCCATTAACTTGTCATTTACATTAGGTATATCTCCTAATGCTATCCCTCCCCCCTCCCCCGACCCCATGTCAGGCCCCGGTGGGTGATGTTCCCCTTCCTGTGTCCAAGTGTTCTCATTGTTCAATTCCCACCTATAAGTGAGAACATGCGGTGTTTGGTTTTTTCTCCCTGTGATAGTTTGCTGAGAATGATGGTTTCCAGCTTCATCCATGTCCCTACAAAGGACATGAACTCATCATTTTTTATGGCTACATAGTATTCCATAGTGTATATGTGCCACATTTTCTTAATCCAGTCTATCATTGAAGGACATTTGGGTTGGTTCCAAGTCTTTGTTATTGTGAATAGTGCTGCAATAAACATACGTGTGCCTGTGTCCTTATAGCAGCATGATGTATAATCCTTTGGGTATATACCCAGTAATGGGATGGCTGGGTCAAATGGTATTTCTAGTTCTAGATCCTTGAGGAATCGCCACACTGTCTTCCACAGTGGTTGAACCAGTTTACAGACCCACCAACAGTGTAAAAGTGTTCCTATTTCTCCACAGCCTCTCCAGCACCTGTTGTTTCCTGATTTTTTAATGATGGCCATTCTAACTGGTGTGAGATGGTATCTCACTGTGGTTTTGATTTGTATTTCTCTGATGTCCAGTGATGATGAGCATTTTTTCATGTGTCTGTTGGCTGCATAAATGTCTTCTTTTAAGAAGTGTCTGTTCATATCTTTTGCCCACTTTTTGATGGGGTTGCTTGTTTTTTTCTTGTAAATTTGTTGGAGTTCCTTGTAGATTCTGGATATTAGCCCTTTGTCAGATGACTAGATTGCAAAAATTGTCTCCCATTCTGTAGGTTGCCTGTTCACTCTGATGGTAGTTTCTTTTGCTGTGCAGAAGCTCTTTAGTTTAATTAGATCTCATTTGTCAATTTTGGCTTTTGTTGCCATTACTTTTGGTGTTTTAGACATGAAGTCCTTGCCCATGCCTATGTCCTGAATGGTATTGCCTATGTTTTCTTCTAGGGTTTTTATGGTTTTTGGTCTAACATTTAAGTCTTTAATCCATCTTTTTTTTAATAGTTTTTTTTTTTTGGCTAAAAATTTTTTTTTAAATTTTATTATTATACTTTAAGTTTTAGGGTACATGTGCACAATGTGCAGGTTAGTTACATATGTATACATGTGCCATGCTGGTGTGCTGCACCCATTAACTCGTCATTTAGCATTAGGTATGTCTCCTAAAGCTATCCCTCCCCACTCTCCCCACCCTACAACAGACCCCAGAGTGTGATGTTCCCCTTCCTGTGTCCATGTGTTCCCATTGTTCAATTCCCACCTATGAGTGAGAATATGCAGCGTTTGGTTTCTTGTTCTTGCGATAGTTCACTGAGAATGATGATTTCCAATTCATCCATGTCCCTATAAAGGACATGAACTCATCATTTTTTATGGCTGCATAATATTCCATGGTGTATATGTGCCACATTTTCTTAATCCAGTCTATCATTGTTGGACATTAGGGTTGGTTCCAAGTCTTTGCTATTGTAAATAGTGCTGCAATAAACATACGTGTGCATGTGTCTTTATAGCAGCATGATTTATAGTCCTTTGGGTATATACCCAGTAATGGGATGGCTGGGTCAAATGGTATTTCTAGTTCTAGATCCCTGAGGAATCGCCACACTGACTTCCACAATGGTTGAACTAGTTTACGGTCCCATCAACAGTGTAAAAGTGTTCCTATTTCTCCACAGCCTCTCCAGCACCTGTTGTTTCCTGACTTTTTAATGATGGCCATTCTAACTGGTGTGAGATGGTATCTCATTGTGGTTTTGATTTGCATTTCTCTGATGGCCAGAGATGGTGAGCATTTTTTCATGTGTTTTTTGGCTGCATAAATGTCTTCTTCTGAGAAGTGTCTGTTCATGTCCTTCGCCCACTTTTTGATGGGGTTGTTTTTTTTCTTATAAATTTGTTGGAGTTCATTGTAGATTCTGGATATTAGCCCTTTGTCAGATGAGTAGGTTGTGGAAATTTTCTCCCATTTTGTAGGTTGCCTATTCACTCTGACGGTAGTTTCTTTTGCTGTGCAGAAGCTCTTTAGTTTAATGAGATCCCATTTGTCAATTTTGGCTTTTGTTGCCATTGCTTTTGGTGTTTTAGACATGAAGTCCTTGCCCATGCCTATGTCCTGAATGGTAATGCCTAGGTTTTCTTCTAGGGTTTTTATGGTTTTAGGTCTAACGTTTAAGTCTTTAATCCATCTTGAATTGATTTTTGTATAAGGTGTAAGGAAGGGATCCAGTTTCAGCTTTCTACATATGGCTAGCCAGTTTTCCCAGCACCATTTATTAAATAGGGAATCCTTTCCCCATTGCTTGTTTTTCTCAGATTTGTCAAAGATCAGATGGTTGTAGATGTGTGGTATTATTTCTGAGGGCTCTGTTCTTTTCCATTGGTCTATATCTCTGTTTTGGTACCAGTACCATGCTGTTTTGGTTACCGTAGCCTTGTAGTATAGTTTGAAGTCAGGTAGTGTGATGCCTCCAGCTTTGTTCTTTTGGCTTAGGATTGACTTGGCAATGCTGGCTCTTTTTTGGTTCCATATGAACTTTAAAGTAGCTTTTTCCAATTCTGTGAAGAATGTCATTGGCAGCTTGATGGGGATGGCATTGAATCTATAAATTACCTTGGGCAGTATGGCCATTTTCATAATATTGATTCTTCCTATCCATGAGCACGGGATGTTCTTCCATTTGTTTGTATCCTCTTTTATTTCCTTGAGCAGTGGTTTGTAGTTCTCCTTGAAGAGGTCCTTCACATCCCTTGTAAGTTGGATTCCTAGGTATTTTATTCTCTTTGAGGCAATTGTGAATGGGAATTCACTCATGATTTGGCTCTATGTTTGTCTGTTATTGGTGTATAAGAATGCTTGTGATTTTTGCACATTGATTTTGTATCCTGAGACTTTGCTGAAATTGCTTATCAGCTTAAGGAGATTTTGGGCTGAGACAATGGGGTTTTCTAGATATACAATCATGTCATCTGCAAACAGGGACAATTTGACTTCCTCTTTTCCTAATTGAATACCCTTTATTTCTTTCTCCTGCCTGATTGCCCTGGTGAGAACTTCCAACACTATGTTGAATAGGAGTGGTGAGAGAGGGCAAACCTATCTTATGCCAGTTTTCAAAGGGAATGCTTCCAGTTTTTGCCCATTCAGTAAGATATTGGCTGTGGGTTTGTCAGAAATAGCTCTTATTATTTTGAGATACGTCCAATCAATACCTAATTTATTGAGAGTTTTTAGCATGAAGGGCTGTTGAATTTTCTCAAAGGCCTTTTCTGCATCTATTGAGATAATCGTATGGTTTTTGTCTTTGGTTCTGTTTATATGCTGGATTACGTTCATTGATTTGCATATGTTGAACCAGCCTTGCAAACCAGGGATGAAGCCCACTTGATCATCGTTGATAAGCTTTTTGATGTGCTGCTGGATTTGGTTTGCTAGTATTTTATTGAGGATTTTTGCATTGATGTTCATCAGGGATATTGGTCTAAAATTCTCTTTTTTTGTTGTGTCTCTGCCAGGCTTTGGTATCAGGATGGGGCTGGCCTCATAAAATGAGTTAGGGAGGATTCCCTCTTTTTCTATTGATTGGAATAGTTTCAGAAGGAATGGTACCAACTCCTCCTTGTACCTCTGGTAGAATTTGGCTGTGAATACATCTGGTCCTGGACTTTTTTTGGTTGGTAGTCTATTAATTATTGCCTCAATTTCAGAGCCTGTTATTGGTCTATTCAGGGATTCAACTTCTTCCTGGTTTAGTCTTGGGAGGGTGTATGTGTCCAGAAATTTATCCATTTCTTCTAGATTTTCTAGTTTATTTGTATAGAGGTGTTTATAGTATTTTCTGATGGTAGTTTGTATTTCTGTGGGATCGGTGGTGATATCCCCTTTATCATTTTATATTGCGTCATTTGATTCTTCTCTTTTCTTCTTTGTTAATCTTGCTAGCGGTCTATCAATTTTGTTGATCTTTTCAAAAAACCAGCTCCTGGATTCATTGATTTTTTGAAGGGTTTTTTTTGTGTCTCTGTCTCCTTCAGTTCTCCTCTGATCTTCGTTATTTCTTGTCTTCTGCTAGCTTTTGAATGTGTTTGCTCTTGCTTCTCTAGTTCTTTCAATTGTGATGTTAGGGTGTCAATTTTGGATCTTTCCTGCTTTCTCTTGTGGGCATTTAGTGCTATAAATTTCCCTATACACACTGCTTTAAATGTGTCCCAGAGATTCTGGTATGTTGTGTCTTTGTTCTTATGGGTTTCAAAGAACATCTTTATTTCTGCCTTCATTTCATTATGTACCCTGTAGTCATTCAGGGGCAGGTTGTTCAGTTTCCATGTAGTTGTGTGGTTTTGAGTGAGTTTCTTAATCCTGAGTTCTAGTTTGATTGTGCTGTGGTCTGAGAAACAGTTTGTTACAATTTCTATTCTTTTACATTTGCTGAAGAGTGCTTTACTTCCAACTATGAGGTCAATTTTGGAATAAGTGCAACGTAGTGCTGAGAAGAAGGTATATTCTGTTGATTTGGGGTGGAGAGTTCTGTAGATGTCTATTAGGTCTGCTTGGTGCAGAGCTGAGTTCAGTTCCTGGATATCCTTGTTAATTTTCTGTCTCATTGATCTGTGTAATATTGACAGTGTGGTGTTAGTCTCCCATTATCATTGTGTGGAAGTCTAAGTCTCTTTGTAGGTCTCTAAGGGCTTGCTTTATGAATCTTGGTGCTCCTGTATTAGGTGCATATATATTTAGGATAGTTAGCTCTTCTTGTTGAATTGATCCCTTTACCTTTATGTAATGGCCTTCTTTGTCTCTTTTGATCTTTGTTGGTTTAAAGTCTGTTTTATCAGAGACTAGGATTGTAACCCCTTCTTTTTTTTGCTTTCCATTTGCTTGGTAGATCTTCCTCCATCCCTTTATTTTGAGCGTATGTGTGTCTCTGCATGTGAGATGGGTCTCCTGAATACAGCACACTGATGGGTCTTGACTCTTTATCCAATTTGCCAGTCTGTGTCTTTTAATTGGAGCATTTAGCCCATTTACATTTAAGGTTAATATTGTTATGTGTGAATTTGATCCTGTCATTATGATGTTAGCTGGTTATTTTGCTCATAAGTTGATGCAGTTTCTTCCTAGCCTTGATGGTCTTTACAATTTGGCATGTTTTTGCAGTGGCTGGTACTGGTTGTTCCTTTCCATGTTTAGTGCTTCTTCAGGAGCTCTTGTAGAGCAGGCCTGGTGGTGACAAATCTCTCAGCATTTGCTTGTCTGTAAAGGATTTTATTTCTCCTTCACTTATGAAGCTTAGTTTGGCTGGACACGAAATTCTGGGTTGAAAATTCTTTTCTTTAAGAATGGTGAATATTGGCCCCCACTCTCTTCTGGCTTGTAGAGTTTCTGCCAAGAGATCCGCTGTTAGTCTGATGGGCTTCCCTTTGTAGGTAACCCAACCTTTCTCTCTGGCTGCCCTTAACATTTTTTCCTTCATTTCAACTTTGGTGAATCTGACAATTATGTGTCTTGGAGTTGCTCTTCTCGAGGAGTATCTTTGTGGCATTCTCTGTATTTCCTGAATTTGAATGTTGGCCTGCCTTGCTAGGTTGGGGAAGTTCTCCTGCATAATATCCTGCAGAGTGTTTTCCAACTTGGTTCCATTCTCCCCGTCACTTTGAGGTATACCAATCAGACATGGATTTGGTCTTTTCACATAGTCCCATATTTCTTGGAGGCTTTGTTCATTTCTTTTTACTGTTTTTTCTCTAAACTTCTCTTCTCGCTTCATTTCATTCATTTGATCTTCAATCACTGATACCCTTTCTTCCAGTTGATGGAATTGGCTACTGAAGCTTGTGCATTGGTTATGTAGTTCTCGTGCCATGGTTTTCAGCTCCATGAGGTCATTTAAGGACTTCTCTACACTGGTTATTCTAGTTAGCCATTCATCTAATTTTTTTTCAAGGCTTTTAGCTTCTTTGCGATGCATTCGAACTTCCTCCTTTAGCTTGGAGAAGTTTGATCGTCTGAAGCCTTCTTCTCTCAACTCGTCAAAGTCACTCTCCATCCAGCTTTGTTGCATTGCTGGTGAGGAGCTGCATTCCTTTGGAGGGGGAGAGGTGCTCTGATTTTTAGAATTTTCTCTTTTCTGCTCTGTTTTTTCCCCATCTTTGTGGTTTTATCTACCTTTGGTCTTTGATGATTTTGACGTACAGATGGGGTTTTGGTGTGGATGTCCTTTGTGTTTGTTAGTTTTCCTTCTGACAGTTAGGACCCTCAGGTGCAGGTCTGTTGGTGTTTGCTGGAGATCCACTCCTGACCCTGTTTGCCTGGGTATCAGCAGCGGAGGCTGCAGAACAGCGAGTATTGCTGAACAGCAAATGTTGCTGCCTGATCATTCCTCTGGAAGCTTCGTCTCAGAGGGGTACCCGGCCATGTGAGGTGTCAGTCTGCCCCTACTGGGGGATGCCTCCCAGTTAGGCTACTCCGGGGTCAGGGTCCCACTTGAGGAAGCAGTCTGTCCGTTCTCAGATCTCAAACTGTGCTGGGAGAACGATTACTCTCTTCAAAGCTGTCAGACAGGGACATTTAAGTCTGCAGAGGTTTCTGCTGCCTTTTGTTCAGCTATGACCTTCCCCTCCAGAGGGGGAGTCTATACAGGCAGGCAGGCCTCCTTGAGCTGCAGTGGGCTCCACCCAGATAGAGCTTCCCGGCCACTTTGTTTACCTACTCAAGCCTCAGCAATGGCGGGCGCCCATCCCCCACCCTCGCTGCTGCCTTACAGTTTAATCTCAGACTGCTGTGCTAGCAATGAGTGAGGCTCCGTGGGTGTGGGACTCTCTGAGCCATGTGCAGGATATAATCTCCTGGTGTGCTGTTTGCTAAGACCGTTGGAAAAGCGCAGTATTAGGCTGGGAGTGACCCGATTTTCCAGGTGCCGTCTGTCACAGCTTCCCTTGGCTAGGAAAGGGAATTCCCTGACCCCTTGTGCTTCCCGGGTGAGGCGATGCCTCACCCTGCTTTGGCTCACACTTGGTGGGCTGCACCCACTGTCCTGCACCCACTGTCCGACAAGCCCCAGTGAGCTGAACTCGGTACCTCAGTTGGAAATGCAGAAATCACCCGTCTTCTCTGTCGCTCATGCTGGGAGCTGTAGACTGGAGCTGTTCCTATTCAGCCATATTGGAACCGCCCCTCTAATTGATTTTTTAAATGTATTTTCATCCTCTGATGAAATTTTCCATCTTGTCATTTATTTTCTTGAATACATTAATAGCTATTTTAAAGTCCGTATTAACTAACATCAGTATCTGGATGCTTGTCAGTCTGTTTATTTTTTTAGCTTAAACAAATTTTTACTACACAAAGTTGTCACATAATTGGATATTTTCCTAGTTTGTACACAATTCTTATTCTCTACAGAAAGGCTGCTTAACTTTTCATCTGGTGATAGTAAGCACTAAAATTCTGACTTATAGAATAGTAGTAAAAATACCTCTGTGATTTAAGTTGAAAGAAGTACATTGGTACATGGTGGTTGCACCCAATATCAGGAATGCACAAATGTCCTTTTATACAAAAATACAAAATAAATTATTTGTAGGCATGGACAATGGCAGCAGTAACCCATTATATATTGTCAACTGAAACCAGTAACTGATGGTTATAGTGATTTTCTTAAACATCAGCCTTCAGCCATTTTCTCCAACTGACTTCTCTGAAGTTATTGGTGAGGAACACTGCCTTGAGCTTCCTGTCACAGTTCATTAATAAAGCACTATTCTAGGAATAAGAACATCTCACCTCCCATTCCACCCACTGCACCCATTCCAGGGTTCTTCCCTTTAGAAATTTCTGTAATTACAGCTTATGATTTAGTTAACAGAGTGCACCCCAGCAGCGCCCAATAAAGCAGTTCTCACAATGTTTGTTGGGTCAATTTTTCCTTTTTCCACCATATTCATAACATAGCATCATCACCAACTTCTTAGGAACTTTGCATAATTTTCTCAACTATCAAAAATCCTTCAACACCTGCATTCTTAACAATAGTCACTGCAGGATTTTTGAGTGTTCTTTTAATAACTTCTGTACGAATTTTTAAATCTTCATTAGCTGGAGTTAATGAATCCAAGGCTCAAGTGCACTGGAGCAAGGCACAACCCCCTCCCAGAGCAATGCCTTCTTCAACAGCAGCTCTTACAGCATTAAGGGCATCTGTAACTCTGTCTTTCATTCATTCACTTTGACATCACTTGTCCCACCAGCCTTCAGCACTGCTACTCCATCTGAAAGTTTTGCCAGACATACATTCAGTTTTTCCTTTTCATATTCACTAGTTGTAACATCTAACTGCTCAACGATTTCTTGAATATATTTTTCAATTTGAGCCTTAAAAGGAAAAACATTTTCCTTTTAAAAGCATAGCATCATATTTGGTCAAAATGACCTCTCCAACTTTTTCTAAGTTACGAGGCTAAATAGCTTCAAAATTTAGGGCTAACCCCTCTTCACTAAACACCAGACCACCAGTAGCAATAGCTGTATCTTCACGTTGGTTCTTTCTGTTGTCACCAAAATCTGGAGCTTTGACTGCTATGATCTGAAGACCAACTTTTAGCCTATTAAAAATGAATGTACTTCGAGCTTCTCTATCAATATCTTCAGCAATTATGACCAAGGACTTACAGTGAGGATTGGCAATTTAAAGAGCAGGTACAGTGGTCTGGACACTAGAAATTTTCATTTCATTCAATACAACATAGGCATCCTGGAATTCACATTTCTAACCTTTTGACGTATTAATAAAGTATGGAGAAATATAGCCTCAATCAAACTTTATGCCTTTAATAATTTCTAATTCATCATTCAGTGTTTTTCCATCCTTTACTGTGAGGACACCCTTTCTTCCAAATTTATTTGCATCAGAAATGATGTTGACAATTTCTTTGTCTCCATTTGCAGAAATCGTAGCAACCTGAGCAATTTCTCCAGGGGTTGTCATGGTTCAGACAGCTTCTTAAGTTCAGCAATTATAACATCAACAGCTAACATCACACTTCTGATTTCCACAGGATTAGCACTTTTGCTAATCTTTTCAAAGCCTTTCTTGGCAAAAGAGCATGGCAGTACAATAGCACTGGTGATGGCCTCCCCAGCTTCTTCATTTGTGTTATTAGCAACATCTTGAACAAGTTTAACTCCAATATTTTTATGTTTATCCTTTACATCAATTGACTTTGGAACAGTCACACCATCTTTTGTTACTTTAGAACTTCCCCAGTTGATCAATCATTGTTTTTGGCCCTATTGTAACAGCTACAGCATCTGCTAAAAAGTCTACACCCTGAAGCAGTAAGGCTTGGGAATCTGCACCAAATTTTACATCTTTGGCAAAATCCTGTGAGATAAGGGGCTAGTACCCTGGACACCGGTCTCATCTGGCAAGACTGTGGGTAATTGAAGCATTTCTGTCGGATGGCAGCGAGGCGTGGGTGCGGTGAGACAGGTCGTCAGTGGCGAGTGAGGGGCGAGCCCATTTCCATGGTTTTGATTAAATGGCTGAAATTATGCATTTTACACTATAGAAGTTAGTTCTTTCTAGATAATGCTGTTTTCCTCTTGAGAAGTATTTTTTTGTTTTGTTTTGTTTTTAGCTTCTGAGACACAGAGTAGGAACATATCATCTTCATCAGATAAGGACTCCATGTGATTTAGAGTTGGATTTCAGCCCTTTCATTTCTTATTTGCCTTACTGAAATTCTGGGGTATGTACCAGGACTTCTTTACGTTGGCAAACACTGAAGACTAATTTTAACTCACTAGCACCAAGATATGCCAATAGCTCAACTTCAGTCCTCAACCTGACAGTATTCACTTTCCTCTTGGTTCTCCACTTCTTGGCCTGTGCTGCTTCTATATCAGTGAAAACCTAAGGGAAATAGAGAAGGTGAATGTTGGGTTGGCTTCAGTGAATTTTCTTTCTCTCAGTGATCTTGGTTCCACAATCCCCAGTTACACTGGTGGCTCTCTGATGCCTTCAGACAATTTAACTTTGTTTTGTTTTTTAGTTATATTAGCCATTCTAGTTGTTCTCAGCTAGAGGATTGATTGGCCACAAATCTGTCATAGCCAATAGGAGGAGAGCCCTCCATTCCCTTTGATTCTGTCTCTGACTCCAGCCAATACCTGCTTTCAAGGACCAGAACACTTTTACTTACTTTTGATTGATCAAACCTCTTTAATTCTGGTGACAGAGTTGTTCAAACACTCTTTATCTCCTTGCCTTGTCCAAGACAAGCCCTTCTCTGGAGGATCATCATAAGAAAACCAAAGAGAAAGATGGCCCTGCATTCTAGGGTCAAGTGAACTGTTTCTACAAAATCTTTAAGTCCTCAAACCCAGTCTCCTCATTTGCCCTGACCCTGCCTGTCCAGGTGGAGTGAGGAGCACCACTAACTCAGTGCTCATCCTACTAGAAGCTCCTGCCTCATGACACTGTAATCATTTGTGGAAGCCTAGAAATGTTTCTATAATCTACTAGACTAAATTCCTTAAGGAGCTTTTATTTTCTGTATATTCAATTGCCTTTTCATGTGACAGTAACTTGGTTAAATTTTCTCTAGAGAATCAACAAAGATAATTCAGTCATTTCTCTAGTGTAGTTGTTTAAAATGTGCTTTTTATTATTAACAATTTTTAATTTTATATTCTTTTTTCTGATTACTTTTTACTAATAATATTTACACTGGGAATGATCAATTTGTGGAAAACTTCCATTAAGTTTCTCCATATTTGGAAGATTTTTCCACAGACTAAAATCTGCCTTGATATATTTCTCTTCCAAACTCACATTCTTTTGATGCTGGGTATCACTGGACACATCCAAATTGCAATGAGACATTGATCTCTGCTCCTTTGGTTACAACATTGGGTGAGTCAGCACAGTGGGAGGTAGTATGATTCTTGGAAGCTACCCCTATACCATAACACATAGCCATAAATTAACTGTAAATATGATTGAATGTGAACCACATAAATACACCTCACTAAATCAAAACTAAGCCCAAATTAGCTTACCCAAACCCTTCGTTGGGTCCTGTGGCCACTCCAACTCTATCTAACAGGAGGGGAAGTGCAATGAAGGAAAAATTACAGTAGAAAGAGACAGCTGTTTTGACTGATTATGGTTAAAATGTATTTGCAGATTTTACAGAAACATGTTACTATGAGAACATACTGCCCAGGCCCTTCCCAGGGCCTGACAGGGGCCATGAAGCTTAAACTTCATTAGCTTCAGGGTAAATCTACCTTGTATTTAAATATTATTAAAGATCAGCCCCTGCAAAGAGTTGGCTAATTTAGAATGTCGGCTCTGAAATAATCATAGACCAAGAAAAGATGGCTAGGTCTTTTCCCTTTATATAAATTCATACATACGATCTTGGAGAGATTCAGTACCACATCAACCCCCTTCCCCTAATAGTCTCATGTCAATAGGACTTCCCAAGAGGAGGAACAAAAGAGTAATAGTTATTCCCCAAATCCTTTCTCTCTTTCCCTCCAAGTCTTCAGTCCAACACACTTGTAATATTATTTATACTTTTCCTCTTTAACCTTAAATTGAACTAACATTCATTAAATACCTATTACCTGTCAGACGCTGTTACCCAATACCTTCACATTATTGCCAGATAATTAGGGCAACAATTCCTGAGGACATAATGAAGATATAGTTGCAATGAGTCTATTCCAATCACTCTAGATGGGAGATCATTACTTATGTCCATATTTATGTTTCATATATTAATCTACAGGGTACATTTAAAGTATAAGGATTTATATAAATTTTCTAGAATAGGATTCTATTGCCTGTGTTTATGTCTCTATATAAAATTTAACTCTTAAAATAGGATTCTTCTTGGGGGTATGTGTGAAAGTGGTTAAGAATTGTTTATTTGGCAAAAGTTGGTGGAGATCAATTTTTTGTTTGTTTCCCAACACCTGCATTAACATCCCTGTGCACACACAGTTTTTCTTAAGCAAATTCAAATAAGGAAGGAGCAAGATAAAATCCTAGATTTATCTGTCACCTGACTATAGTCACTATTGTACTGTATATACAGCAAATACATTAGTTGGCTCTAAATGTTTTCTGATACTGCACACTTGTTTTCTTAAGATCCACAAAACGCTGAAGAGTGAAATATGGCTTTTCATTTGTTGACTCAACAACCAGAAAACTAATTAGGGCTGGAGGCACATGCCATCATCAACTTAAAGCCCTGTCAAACCCTGAAAGGTCTGAGGCAGTGGTAGCTAAATTGATGTTAGGTAATATGTGAGTTCTTCTTTCTTAGGAAAAATAAGATCTCAAAACATTTCTTGGACATGGAAATTGCTTAGAACATATTTAATGCTTTAAGTGCAAATATTGAAAATATGAGCCCTTCAATTTCTGGGAGGAGACAGGGTATCTGGCTGGGACCAGAGCGGTGGCTCTGCTGACGGTCAGCCATGGTGTGGGGCAACGTCCTTCATGCCACTAGATTGCCAGGCAGCAATGAACTGTGATTAAAATCAAGAGATCAAGACTCACATTTTCATTTGAAAAAGGTTGAAAACTCACTTCAGATATAGAAATGGTGCTAAAATGTGACCATTTCTATGCCCCTCAGATATTCTGTACCCACAGAGTATTTCCCCTCCATTCTTTCCTACATCAGGCAGAAGATGGATGAACTACCTATGGCACCAGAAGAGGCAGCAGCTGAAGGCACAGAGCCCTTCACCCCATTCTTCCCTGAACAGGAAACCTCAAAAACACTTGTCATTTGACAGATTTGATGTCACAAATGTCAATCATTACTAAGTAATGATTATTGCATTCCTGAAGTTGCTCTAGATGCTACAAATAATCTCCTACTACTGGTATAACTGAGAATTGCCAGGCACTTCCTTCTTCATGTAGGTATCTTATGTTTCCAAATTGTACCAAAAAGTAGTTGTTCTGAGATGTGGAGGCAGCCCTCCCCACAAGTGTTTTGCTGCCCAGTACAAAAGGTAGTTGTTTTTTTCCCCAAAATCTATGCATACTTCTCTCATTTCTTATGCCATTTTTTTTTTTGGCCAGGAAATTATACAACCAAAGGTCAGTGTTGCTTACAAAGATAATGATAGCTGTCATCTATTGAGCAGCTGTTGTTTCATTTAACCATTATAAAAACACTGTGAAGCAAGGAATGCTTTTCCCATTTTGAGACAAGGAAATGGAAGTTCAGAGAAGTCAAGCATCTTGAGCAAGGCTACGAAGTTAAGTAAGAAATAAGTCCAGGATTCCAAGCCCAGTTTGTTTGAACTCAGAGTCTATGGGCTGGATATGTATTGTGGGGAAAAAAACAAACAAACCTGGAATTAGAAATGACACCAAATTCTGATAAGTAACTCCCCCGTACCTTGCCTCTCCAGGCTAAACATCTCAAGTTGCTACAATCCTTCTTTCTATGACATAGTTAGGGATGTCCTCATCACCCTGGTCACTGTCTTTTAGACCTACTTGAGTTTGTCAAAGGCCCTATTCAGGCCAGAACAAAACACAGTGCTCCAACTGCCTCTAACCAGTGCAAAAAAGACCAGAACCCCTGGCTTCTCTTGGGAGGGATACTGCTGAGAAATAAAGGTCAAGTTTAAAGCACAGTTCTACATGTGTGATGGTTCCCAATGCATAATAGTGCTTATACCTCCATCACTGCAGCCAGCTCTGGTGCTAATGCTTAGAACCTTGACCATGTTCTTCTCATAGGGCATCTGCATTCAACACAACTCTGTGGTCTTTCTCGATAGAGTGATCACTCAGATGTGTTTTCCTGCAGCCTCCACCCTTGTGTGGTTCATTGAGGGGGACACACCAGTCATTCAAAGGCTCTGGCTTACACTGCCTTTGTCTGCTCTGGGCTGTGCACTTTCTGATTATCTTGCAGCGTCACATATTCACACTGAAGAGGCAACTATTAAAATTGAAATCCAAAAGGGGCAGAGAAGAATGAGGCTTATAGTATTCATCCCATTTCTCCAGTTCTGCCTTTCTTATTTCGCTTTATCCTTAGCCTTTTGACTTCAATATGGTGTTATTTTCTATTACAATGCTCCACTCTTTCTGTGGTCATTATTATATTTGTTTCTCCCAAACCAAAGATGGAGGTGGAAGAATTAAATCCCTTTGTCAAAAGTGTAGCAGAGGCACTGTGTCCATAATATGCCCATGTTAATGCCTCTCTTTCCATAAAGATCCAACTTGTAACCTGCTCTCCATAGAACCTCTTCTGATCAACCCCAGCCCCTGGTAATTTCTCCGTCTTCCAGCTTCTGTGTGAGATACTGCAAGATACTGGAGGGATCTTTGTCTGGAAAATTACACCTCTGTCATACTGGATTCTTGCATGCTACCTTTGTTTGGGTTAGTGCTGACATTTTTAGAAGGCTGGGATCCTCTGAATCATCAGTGCCTGGGGCTTCAGTACAGTCACCTTCAAGGTTGTGGCAACAACAAACGTCCTCAGCCCCGCTGCTGCTAGCAGAAGGTGTCTTAGCACAAACAGGTGATGCTTTAAGGTCATGGATAAAGTCTGGTGAGTGCCAGTAATAAACAAAGGAGTGGAAACTGAAAGGGACAAACAATTCCAGAGACAAGACTTTGGGATCTTATCACGATGGAAACCCTTTGGGAACTGGGAACTGGATCGATATTCTGGGATCCTGGGATCTCTGTAAAAAAAAAACAAAAACAAAAACAAAACAAAAACCCAGAAAACAAAGCAATATCTGCTTTATTGGATTTATCTGGTAATTTATCCAGTAATTGCCCAGTAACATAACTAATAATATAAATTGATGATTAAAAAAATAAACTGTAGGCTGGGTGCGGTGGCTCATGCCTGTGATCCCAACACTTTGGGAGGCCGAGGCGGGCAGATCACGAGGTGAAGAGATGGAGACCATCCTGGTCAACAGGTGAAACCCTGTCTCTACTAAAAATAAAAAAATTAGCTGGGCGTGGTGGCGCGTGCCTGTAGTCCCCACTACTCGGGAAGCTGAGTCAGGAGAATTGCTTGAACCCGCGAAGGGGAGGTTGCAGTGAGCCAAGATCGCGCCACTGCACTCTAGCCTAGCAACAGAGCGAGACTCCGTCTCAAAAAATAAAAAATAAAAAATAAAATAAAATAAACTACATTCTTCTTTGGATTTTTGGATTGCATATATGGATATATGGAATAACCAAGGGTTGTGAATATGAAGAGCAACCAGAGAGAACCTGTGCTGAAACTCACATGGTTTGTGGATGTGGACATCACAATGTGAAGGAAAGAGCTCTGAGACATGGGTTTCATCTCTAGCTCCTTTCTATACTTTTCATGCTGGCTCTGAGACCTAAAGCAGGCCACTCTCTGGTTATGTTTTCTCATCTCTAAAATGAAGGAATGAAGGTGTTAAATTTCATACCATCTAAAACATTTCCAACTGTAAAATTCTCTTCCTAAGCTATTCTCATTCTAGCAGGAAATAATTTTGTTTTCATTTCTACATATCTTTAATTTTAGATGATCTCATGCCTAGAAATGGTTCCATAAAAGGATAAAGTACTTTAAATCACTCCCTCTCTCTCTCTCATCTGTTTTTTATATACATAGAAAATGTCTGTTATCAATGATTTCTGGGGTTGGGAAAGTGATTTTTACTTCTCTCTACTGCTGTACTATTAGCTTTTTTTATAATAGTATACATTACATTTATTAAAAATATGAAAATGAAAACTATGCCCTTTTACTTTCTGGATTTCCAAGAATAGGACTTATGAAGTGAAGTTAAATTAAGCTCATCAAAGATAAATTAACTTAAATTGTTATTTTGCTCATTGAATTTTGGTAAGTAGCTTTTGATAAAATGTTGGAAAATCATTTAAAGAGATGAAACACACTCTCATTGTTCCAGCTTCTTTGTGTAGATGATAGCAAGGTTTTATACAAAGTAATATTCAATGAACTGCGTGTATATGAGCGATTTTGGATTTTTTCCAGTTTCAGTTCTCTTTCAATACATATTGAAAACAGCAGAAACCCAGGAATTCTCATCTAAGTTATGTGCCAAAACAAATGATCAGGTTACACCTGTTTGGCTTACACTACCTTGGAAACCACTGGGCTTAAAGCACTAGTTTGCTCTCAGGGAAACAATATAACCAACTCATGCTTTTTTAAATCAAATGAGTAACTGACTGGATCTCTTATTAATCTCCACATCTGTGTAAAGAGGTAAGTTAAGCTTATTTCTCTTATGATAGGTTTTGTCTATTTAATGGGAAAATTGCATTTCTTGTAGTTTTGTCTATTTAATGGGAAAATTGCATTTCTTGTAGTTTTGTCTATTTAATGGGAAAATTGCATTTCTTGTAAGTGGGTAGTCATTACTTTTTAAAAAGTTCCAGTAAGAGAAG
Organism: Homo sapiens; assembly: GCF_000001405.40. Lineage (NCBI taxonomy): Eukaryota > Metazoa > Chordata > Mammalia > Primates > Hominidae > Homo > Homo sapiens. The sequence continues at coordinate 87,291,750 of NC_000006.12, read as the reverse complement.
TTATCCAAATTATTGCAAACCTCATCATACTGCCATTCAGTTTTGTGCCGCATCACATGTGCTCTTTCTGGATAAGCTGCCACGAAGTAAGGTTGCCTATGTGGAATGTGTGGTTGACTCTAGAGCTTTCAGAGGGTGTAGCCAAGAAAGAATGCCAGGCCTGAGCAAAAAGTGTGAGGGCTGATGTGAATGAGCAGGACGAGGGGGAACAGAGGAGCAGTCCAGGATCTTCTAGGGACATTTTCTGTGTGGATGGAGGGCAACTTTAGCACTGTTTTTAATAGGGGATTCTCTAAAAATGACAATGCTTATACAGGAAATTTAAAAACCTTGCAAGTGGTGTGTATGCACATGTGTTGGCCTATGTGGGTACTGTTCTTTCTACTCAGTATTTCATGGATTCCTAGTGTCGAAGTGTTTTTTATATTATTTTTTTAATATACAATTATTTACATGTATCAAACCTAAAACTACTTGTAGATTTATGGCTCTTATGCATCTATATTTACAAAATAAAAATTGAACATTACAAAACGAGTACAATTAAAATAATTAAAGTTTAACAGACAAAAGACATCATGTTGCTGAAACTAAATCACTGCTCATTGAGAGAACCAGCTACTGACTATAGAAGCCTGATTCTTTGAAGCTAGGCTCACTTGTTCTGTGGGCCAGGTAATGGCTTGTTTGTCGTCTACCACTCGTCTCCAATCAAACTACTAGCAGGCTTCATTCCTGCTGTACATCTACCCATCGTGGCTTCATTTATTTGGCTTTCTCTTGAGCATACCCGTTATGTGTTGTTTCTCATAGGCTAAAATAATTAAAGTTCTGGTACTTGGTTCCATTATGATTTTAAGTACTATGTAAATGTTTTGTGCAAAGGGCGAGATAGTAAATATTTTAGGTTTTGAGGGCCATACTGTCTCTGTCGCAACTACTCCACACTGCAGTTCTAGCATGAAAGCAGCCATCGACAACAGTAAACATTTAGGCGTGGCTGAGTCTCAAAAAGTGTTATTTACAAAACAGGTGGTGGACTGGATTGGGCCTGAGTGCTGTGTAGTTTGCAGAATGCTCATAAATATGAGTGCAGAAATGCTGAAATCCTCTGGCAGTCCTTAAATATGAGCTGGTCATTCAGCTTTTTTGCTTTTCTGTTTGTTTTTTAAAAGCTTAGGAATATGAACGTACATATAAACTTCTTGTAGACACTTAAGAATATAACAACAAACCCTCAGTGGGCCACAGATCCTGGGTTTGGGAAACACTGTTTTAGGGATTTTCCAAATAGGCCATCTTCAAAAATAAAAATGCCTCATTCAGATGGGGAATGAGAGTTTGCTAGTGTCAGCAGGCACAACAGGACTCAGAGATGGAAAGATGCCCCTGGGAGGAAATGCTTTTCTTCAGGGGTTAGATGATTTGTGTGCAAGGCAGAACAGAGTTATGAATGTACCAGAGAATCCAGCACTCAGGGGAGAGTAGAAACTAGCCAGGCAGAACTTGGGTTCTTCTACTGCTGGATTTGCTACTGACTTATTGGGAGTGTTGGATGAGTATCCCACCTCTTTGAGTTTTTCAGTTCTTCCATCACTAAAATGAAGGTTGTACCATACATCCTGCTTACTACTGAGGATGGAGGTAAGCATTGGATGAGATGCTGTGAAATGCTGCATAAATGGTCAAGTGCCCAAGGATGAGCATTTTGTTACTAAGAGGTGAAAGGAGCTGTGTATGAAGGCTGAAGGATTTTTCAGGGAGTGTCGCTGGCAGTCTGCAAGGCAATTGGAAATCCAGTGCTCCTCGAACACAAGTTTCAAACCAGCACTTTTGGGGAATGACGAAGCAGCTCTCTGGCTCCCAGCAGTGCAAGGGCTTTTTGGACAGTATTTATGCAGGTAGCCTTGCCTGTCTTCCTCCCAGAGGCCAGCTTGACATTGCCTGAACCTCGCAGGAAGTTAAAGCCTCCAGTGTTGGGCAAGAAGTTGCTGGTGTGGCAAAGCTCATCCTGCAATAAGAGAAGAACAAGTGGGCTGCTCAACAGGGGTTTCAACAGTGTCACCACAGTCAGAACTGGCACTCATTTCCAAAAGTTCAGAAAGTCAGGCACATTGTTTACTCAATCTATTCTAAGGGATTCATCCACATGAGCCAAGCCCAGAGACCTGATCTATAAAATGCATCTCCAGGAACTGGAACTCTTGTATCTAATTTCAGGAGGACTTCCTTGCACAGCATAAACAATTTCAGCATGAAAAAAATTATTACTCAGAAGCTTGCTTGGTAAATTGGCGTAATGAGAATCAATTGTTATGTGTAGTATCTGAAATTCAAAATTTCCTGTGCATTCTACATTTTTGCTTCATCTGGCAACTCTAGTTCCTTCTCTTAAAGAACATGTGGTCTGTACAGATATTAATCACGAAAACAAGTATATGATTACAACTTATAAGTGGCATGAGGGAAAAAAAGCCAACATAATGAACAAGAATACCAAGGAAGACCTAATTTAGATTAGTGGGGTCAGGGAAAGCCACTCTGATTCAGGTTAAGGGGACCAGAGTATTGCAGGAAGGAGGAACAGAATGGATGTAGTGTCTAAAGGAGAAACTGAAGGAAGGAAAGCATGTCTGGAATCCAGTATCCTTTGGAGATGTGCAAGACAAGGTTGGAGATGCAGGCATGGGCACCACTACACAGGCTATTGTTGTCCAGATAAGTGTTTGGCCTTTTTTCCCCTACCCTCAATGCAACAGAAAACCATGGTAGGGCAGAGAAATGAGAATATACAGTCTCCATTTTAAAAGTTAATCTGAATGGATAATGGGTTGGAGAGGGCAAGAATGAGAAACAGAGTGACAGATAGGAAGCTATTATGGTGTTCCAGGCAGGAGATGAAGGTGGCATGGATTAGAGTGGTGGAAGCGCAGATGAAAAGAGTGAAAAGTTTTGGTATGTATTTCAAAGGTAAAAACTTTGGCCTTGAATGTAGATTGGATGTGGGGTTTGAGGCAAAGAGAAGGATGAAGAATGACTTCCAAGTTTCTGGCTTCAACACTTGGGCGGATGGTGGTGCAGTTTACTGAAGCAGAGAACACTGAGAAGGATCAGTGCTTTGGATGGTGCTTCATAAAGTGAAGAAAGTACTGGCAAGATTTCACTTTTGAATATTTTAAGTTTATGAGATGACATCCTATTGGAGATGATAAGAAGGCAGCTGAAAGTCAGAGATGAGAGGTCCACACTGGAGATACATAATTTGGGAGTCATTGACATATATGTAGAGGCAAGAAAGATTTAAAAGGATTCACTATATGATTTTCCGACATGGTAACCTTCCAGATGTCCGTTAATTGGCTTGCTTTGTAAACATTATTCTATAAACAGCTTTCTCCAATTGTTACAAGAACCAAATATATACATATGAAAGAGTGATAGGTCTCTGATTTCATAGTGTTTATTAGGTTTATTTTTTTCAGATTTAATTTTGTATATTCTTATTGTAAAGAATAAGAATGCCATTGTCTTTCCATCCTTTGAAAATAGGGGCCAGGCACGGTGGCTCATGCCTGTAATCCCAGCACTTCGGGAGGCTGAGGTGGGCGGATCGCAAGGTCAGGAATTCGAGACCAGCCTAGTCAATATGGTGAAACTCCGTCTCTACTAGAAATACAAAAATTAGCCAGCCGTGGTGGTGGGCACCTGCAATCCCAGCTACTTGGGAGGCTGAGGCAGGAGAATCGCTTGAACCCGGGAGGCGGAGGTTGTAGTGAGCTGAAATTGCACCACTGCACTCTAGCCTGGGCAACAGAGCAACACTCCATCTGAAAAAAAATTTTTTTAAAAAAATAGGATGGACATTTATAAAATAAAAGTCATAATTATGACATTTGATGCCATCATCCTCTGATTATATTCAAAGATCAGTCACTTTTTTTTTGTTGCCTTTCTTTTAGCAACACAGTCTCTTACCTTCCTCCTACCTCTAAAATGCCCAACAAGGTACTTTCAAATGTTTAGTAAGATTACATAAATATCCTCTTGAGTAATACAGACAAACGCCCAATGATACATGTCATAGGGAAACATATTTTTTCCTTTTTAATCTTTGGGGCTTTGTTTTAATAATTCATAAAGACATTAACCTTTCCGGTAGGCTTAAGAATCCTTTTTATTTAATACAATTTTGTTTGTGTTCTGAAAACCAAGGACATTGAAGTATTTATTCCCTGCTGAATAGGGCATTGTGTACATGTAGCTTTGTTTTCCCTGAAAATACCTCTTAGCCTTCATTTGCCTTCTCAGGGCTCTGGAATGTGGGCTTGCTCTATATTGCTTCCTCTGTAAGAGAACATGTATTATGCTCCCAACATGTGTGCTGTTGGAACATCTCAGTTTTCTTAACTCCCCGTTTCCACTCACACCACCATTTCCATGATTCTCTTTTGGCTGAGTCTATGCAGAAAACAAGAAGTATTAATTATTGTACTATAGGAAACAGGACCTGAAAAGGCAAAGTTTTCACCTGAGAAATTATAAAGTAAATTCATGGCAGGCCTGGAGCTCTAGCCCATATCTACAGGTTATGGTAGAAAGTTAAAGCAGTGGCTCTCAACTGGGAAGATTTTGTCTTCTCTCTCCAGGGGACATTTGAAAATATATGGAGACATTTTTTGTTGTCACAAATGGTAGGGGACAGGGTTGGCTACTGGTTTCTAGCTGCTAGGAGCCAGAGATGCTACTAAACTTCCTACAATGCACAGGACAGCTGCTGAAACAAAGAATTAATCAGCCCAAAATGTGTATGGTGCAAGTGTTGAGAAACCTTGCTGTCAGTTAATGGAAATTAGACTTGAGCCCTGCTCTGCATCTTACTTTGTGACCTTGAGAAAGTGTCTTCATTTCTGAGTCTGCCTTTTCATTTGCAAGAATAAAACCACCACCATCATAAGGCAAACAAAGACAAAACAAAAACAAAAACAAAAACCACCTTTCAGAGTGGTTTTGAGAGATCAACTCAAAAGCACAGAACAGAGTTCTGAGCATATCATGGACCCAACAAACAATGAATCAGGCCCATCCCACGAAGTTCAATGATAAGATGGAAGCAGTCAGTGCCAGAAAGAAAATGTCACCGAAATGAAAAAGAAGGCTCTTCAGATTCTTATTAGCTTTTATTGAGAAAAGAGCAAGAGATGCGAAGAAGTTTAAGAGAATTAAATAGCATCGTGGATGTACTAGAAGGGGAGGGAAGGAGATAATGAGACTGGAAATAGAACCTAATGAGAGTTGTAGGAGTGACAGAGATTTCAGCAGTGACCTGGAGATGGATTTGAGATGCATTTAGGAGGAATCTGAAGAACTTTGTGGGCAATTAAAAAGGTCATGAGAGAGGAGTCTAGGATGAATATGAGATTTCTGACAGGCGCTTGGGTGTTGGTGATGCCATTCAATAAGAATGAAGTTGAAGGGCAAGGAAAAGAATAAATTCAGTTGTAGATGTATCAAGTTCAGAATTCTTGTGGGACATTTAGATGATCATCATGAGGCAGGGAGCTGTGTAGGTTTAGGGAGAGTCAGGAAGGTGAAAGCAGAAGTCGAATCCATGGGGATGAGTGAGATTTTCTAGGGAGAGCATAAAGAGTAAGAAAAGAGCAAAGGACAGAATTCTTAAGAGGTGGACAACAAAAACGAAGATGAAAGAATCAGGAGGCGTGAAACAAGAAGAGAGGGTAGAGTGGTATAGAACTCAAGTCTGAAGAAGTTTCAGGAATGCAAGCACAGGCAACAGTGTCAAATGTCACAGGAAAATTACATAAAATCCAAGTGTCCAGAAGATTTGGCAGTTGCATGACAGTGCTAACTTTAGCATAAACGTTAAGTACAATGATGAGCAGAAAAACTAGACTCAATGAGTTGAGGAGTAAATAACAGTTGAGGAAGTAGAAATGAGGAATAAAGGAAGAAAGACTGTCAACAAGATAAGCTATGAAGATTCTCCCTCTCCCCCACTAAAAATGGACAACACTTAAGCATATTTGTATACTGAGAGAAAGGAGACGGGAGATTGAAGACCACAGAATACAAAACACAGAAAACTGATAGATCAAGAATGGGATATAGAGCGTGAATGATTATTTTGGGGTAAGAAGAGGGAGACTCTCTTTCCAAACTGGGTAAAGAAGGTAAATTTGGTATGAATATGTCAGTCTGGAGGGTGAAGGAGCAGAGTTTAAGGAAATTTGTATTGGGGAGCTTCACTTTTCATTATCAAATTGGTGGCAAGCTGAGCTGCTGATATGGGATATGGGAACCAAGAAGAAGCAGGGGCAGGTAATAAACCTTAAGGACTGGGAAGGGCATTAACGAATTAGAGAAAGTGAGTAGAGACTATAGCGTCAACAATCTGGTATGTGAAGGACATCTCAAGATACCAGGATCACCTTGATATTCATGTCTAATTCTCTTCATATCAGTAACATGACCCATCCATCTTTAGAGGGAAGCAATAAACTAGAAAGATTTTGCCAACCACAGAATTGTTTGAAAATGGGGTAGTGGGCGGTGGGGTAGATGACCAACCAAATCTCAAATTAAAGTGGACATGGGATTAATTATGTCCATGGGCCAGTTGTATCATCTCCTTGTATGTAAGACAGCATATCCTTCGGGATTCTTAGAGAGCCCTAAACCACCAGAGTTGTTATAATGCAGAAATTGTAATTTATCTTACATAATCCCTCAAATAGTAGAAACGATCTGTAGAATAGAAATAAATGGATCCTGATGAAATTGTCTTATTTTGCAGAGTCTTGCCTTCTTTTGAGCCTAAGTCATGAGTTGGATGTTCCTCAGAGATCTCCTGAGTGGAGTAAATAAATACTCCACTGGGACTGGATGGATTTGGCTGGCTGTCGTGTTTGTCTTCCGTTTGCTGGTCTACATGGTGGCAGCAGAGCACGTGTGGAAAGATGAGCAGAAAGAGTTTGAGTGCAACAGTAGACAGCCCGGTTGCAAAAATGTGTGTTTTGATGACTTCTTCCCCATTTCCCAAGTCAGACTTTGGGCCTTACAACTGATAATGGTCTCCACACCTTCACTTCTGGTGGTTTTACATGTAGCCTATCATGAGGGTAGAGAGAAAAGGCACAGAAAGAAACTCTATGTCAGCCCAGGTACAATGGATGGGGGCCTATGGTACGCTTATCTTATCAGCCTCATTGTTAAAACTGGTTTTGAAATTGGCTTCCTTGTTTTATTTTATAAGCTATATGATGGCTTTAGTGTTCCCTACCTTATAAAGTGTGATTTGAAGCCTTGTCCCAACACTGTGGACTGCTTCATCTCCAAACCCACTGAGAAGACGATCTTCATCCTCTTCTTGGTCATCACCTCATGCTTGTGTATTGTGTTGAATTTCATTGAACTGAGTTTTTTGGTTCTCAAGTGCTTTATTAAGTGCTGTCTCCAAAAATATTTAAAAAAACCTCAAGTCCTCAGTGTGTGAGTGCCACAGCCTCAGATATGTTGAATGTGGTAGGAGAGGGACCCCTCCCCTACTCCAGAATCTTCACACTTGGCCATAAACACACTCCCTCTACCTGAAGCAAAGCTACTCTGTGACACACAAGAGGGTTAAACAAAGAAAACCTGCATCCCTCCTCAGCAAGGCCTAAGCTGAGTTGGAAGACAAAGCACATCAGCCTTAGTATCATTTGGGAGGAATTTTTTTACATTGTCAATATGCTTTCAGTTATGAGCTCTAGACAGAGGTCTCATTGTTTTGTTGTAGGGTTCTCCAGTATGTGGATAACATTAGTTGTTTTAGAATAGGTAATTGCAAATTAGTCTGAAGAAATCTAACAGGATTCTTTTAAGAGCTTAGATTTTTCAGGGAAAAAAAAAAAAAAAGAAACCCTGTGTCAGTTTTCTGTTTTTTCTAACTATCTCATTACAATTGGTGCACAATGAACTGGAAAATATAAAAAGTGACACTTTAGGCAAATGTGATGGCCTCCGAGCTGAAATGAAGGAACTGGCAATCTTTCCAAAGTGGCAGCCAAGGCCCCACTCCCTGTCCTACTCAATCTCTGCAGGGAAAAACTGTGGGATAGGATAGCAGCCAGCTGGGGACACACAGAGGAACATTCAACAGGAAGGTCCCGCCTAGGGAAAAGGCCACAGAGCCCAGGCCTCTTGCCGATTCAGGGATCCTTGGATATAAGTGGATTAGAGGAGAGGGAGGAAAGCTATCATTTCAGTGGTCTCCAAATCAAGTAGAAATATTACTGGGAGGTATCCCACTTAAGCCTGAACCAGCAGACATCCGAAAGGGTCACTCTAGAGTCAGAAAGGAAAGCAGGTCCCCCAGAAGGCAACACATTGATAGGAAGTGGAGGCCACAGAAAAAGAATGTGCCCACTTGATAATTACTTAAGACTTCTATTTAACCAAAAGAACATTGAAATACTTTGTAAATATTCATATTGTTGAACCTTTCATAATCAGGAATTCACTATGTACTATACTGTAAGTCATAGTTCGCCTATAATTTACTAGTATATCTCCCTCTAGGACAGATAGTAAAATGTGTACTATGTTGTTACAGTGGTGCAAAAATGTTTTAAAAGTTTATCACTTGTTTTGAAGACTAGAACTTTCTTTACTTTTCTATATTTTCTTAGCAATTCACAGATATGTTCTCTTTGGATTTAGTACTTTAACATATGTACATTTCTTCAGAATAAAAATAAGGGTATTTCACAATGCTCTTTGGCTGTCATTGGTATCTTTGCTAGACTGCAGTAGGTATGATTACTATGTGAAATAAAACATGTTCTGACAACTTTAGAACAGGATTTGCAACACTGCTTGGCTAAGAAATTATTCTTCTCCCTCAAGAATTTAACAGAAAATCAGGGCATAAAAATGTAATTTTAACAAAAACCAATTATGTCTTCCATACCTTGCCCTCTTTAGAATATAATCTCATTACAAGTCATGCGCAATGAAGGTTATTTGGGTCATTACGTGGTCTACAGACCATGTCAGCAGCAGCGGTCATTATTTCTATCTTAAAGACTGTGTTCTAGACAACAGAGAGAGAGGTGAAATTTGTGGTTTACCCCTTTCTTCAATTTATACCACAGATCACTGCTGGACTTGAGCTTACAAACATGTACTTTATCATTGAATATGAAAACATCTAGCCTGCATGAATGCAGGTAATCATGAATTTTGTGTGTGTATGTGTGACAATAATAGATGGTTAAAAAAAATTTAAGGTTTTTGAGACCCTGATCACAGCACAGAATCTAGAAAACAGGGTTTCAGAATGCAGAACTGGAATGGAAATAAGGGGCTTTGTCAGTCTGAGGAAGAGTTTGATGCCAAAAATGTTTTGGGGGAGCTCATCCTCTTCATATCAGTTATGGCAAGTTCTGCCTAAGCAAAAAAGTCCAACTGCTTGGCCATATATTCTTTGCATTTCCACTTTGTATAGAAGAAACTGAAAGGTAATGTGAGCAAGGGCAATGGCATTGAAGATGTTTAAATAGGAAGGTGAGTGATTTTCGTTCCTTGAGTCTTGCTGGTAGTGCCTTAATTTACAAAGTGAGTTTCCTATGAGAACATTCTGATGGCTTTCTTGGGGTCAGTGAGGACCCAAAGTATTTGATTGAGAGAAATTGGCAGTTAATTTGTACCATATTGTTTCTCTTATTGGTAAATTAATATTGATTGAGCACCTGGGAGCAAGACACTGTGCTATGTACATCCCAAGATTTAATGCATAATTCCTGCTCAAGAAAATGTCCACTTCTGTTAAGGCTCATGGAGGGTGAAGTATCTTAAACCTGTGTCCTGGTCTCACTGGCCCACCTCAACTGTTCTACTCCGAAACCTTCTGGTGTCCACAGAGCAGACAGTAACCTTGGAGATGGGGAAAAAGCAGTCACTTTTCTTCAGGGACATGCAACTAGTACAGGCAGACTGAACAATCAACCATAGGTCTTCCCAGATCACTAAACAGAGGTCTCCCTAATTTCATTTAAGCCACTCCCAGCTTGCAGTGATTATTCCGACTGCTCTGCACTTGTCCCATACTCTTTCTAGTTACAGACCTTGTTCCTGGCCACAGGAGTTCTCATTAGAGCTGGCAGGAAATGTTTTCAAGCACTTGTACAAAAGAATGCCCAGAGCTCTAAGTGGCTGTGGTTCCAGTCTTCCCAGTGGAATGAAGCCAATCTAGAAAAAAGACTGTGAAGATGAGAGAGGAGAGGGAAAAAGGCAAAGACTTGAGGATGTTTGAACTCCTCAATCCCATTGTCCCTGAGTCTGGCTCTACCCCTAATCTTTCGGTGGTTAGTTACATGAAAGATAAATTCCTTTTTGCTTAAGCTGGTTCAAGTTGGATTTCTGTGTCTTGTAACTGAGAGTCCCAATAAAGCCACCTTCTTCATAACTTTCTTTCCTGTATAATACAAAATTTTAATAATTTAAAAGCCTATAGTGCCCTGCCTCTCCTTATTCTAGCTCATATCCCATCACATACATGTAACACTTTTCTTAAACACTGATGTCGATTTATTCCTAGTTTATTTTGTTTGTATATTTAACACTGCACAGAGCACAAAAGTGAGGAGCACTTCATAGCTCTTTAAAAGACTGATTAGAGGGCAAGTGCAGTGGCTCATGCCTGTATTTCCAGAACTTTGGGAGGCCAAGGCAGGAGGATCCCTTGAGTTTAGGAATTCAAACTTGAGGTGGGCTATGATCGCGCCACTGCATCCAGCCTGGGTGACAGAGCAAGACCCCGTCTTTTTTTTTTTTTTTTTTTTTTCGAAATGTAGTCTTGCTCTGTCCCCCAGAGTGAAGTGCAGTGGCATGATCTCAGCTCACTGCAACCTCCGTCTCCCAGGTTCAAGCAATTCTCCTGCCTCAGCCTCTCGAGTAGCCAGGATTATAGATGCCCACCAACATACCCGGCTAACTTTTGTATTTTTAGTAGAGACGGGGTTTGCCATGTTGGCCAGGCTGGTCTCGAACTCCTGACCTCAGGTGATCCACCCGCCTCAGCCTCCCAAAGTGCTGGCATTACAGGCCTGAGCCACCACGCCTGGACAAGACCCTGTATTAAACAAAACAAAAAAACTAATGAGGAAAGAAAGAAGCAGTGGTGGAGCACGTAGAGGCAAAACATGTCAGAATTCAATTGAATTTTTATGACAAAAGCCCAAGGAAGGTGTTCTAGGAAAGACCTGCCAGAAGTGCTTTCTCTAATATAAATTGGGCCTTTTTTCACAAAGCAAATCTTCCTTTGGCTGTAAAAGATATTGGTGACCGTGAGGAGCTCTGAGAATTTTCTGCAGACCCATCTTGTTTCCACAGTGTTAGACAGTCTAATAAACAACTGAGATACTTATCTTTTAAAAATACTACAATCTTCCCAAATATTGTTTGAAAGCAAAGTAAAATGAGTTCTGGATGTTACTGACATAGGTCTATATTCCCATCTATTTAAAGGTGAAGTATCAAATCCTGCTCCAGCTACAAATAATTTTTATTTTTTTTCTATTAAAAAGGAAAAATGTTCAGAGGAAATATGTAATTTGTTAATACTTTATCTTAAAAAACCTTCAGATATTAATGCCTCCTATCAGAGTAAAGAGAGAGAATGGCTGTTGTGTAGAATTGGGGATGAATCAAAAACAGGACATTGAAAAAGTGGACTTGATTCCTCTTCTTTTGTAAAAGGTCACTATTAAACTCTGTGCTGTGGATTGGGGCCAGAGCAGACAAATATTAAGCAGTACAACTACCACATTCTTGGTATAAAAATGTTAACTAAATAGATGATCAGTAATCCCGTGATTAAAAGAGGTATTAATCACTAGGTTAGCCAAGAGTTTTCATTCATATTTATCTCAAAGAAAAGTGCAGTAACTTGAGATTTGACTTTCTGTGGAAGATAAGCAAACCCGATAAGCTAATTCTCTTAGAGAAGATTGTTCCTAATTACATTAATTTGATATTAAAAATTAATCACTGTGATTATGGTCAAGGACTTTGTCTTATTCATCTCTTTATATCCCTATATCCCCACAGGTTAGGTCCCTGCACTTAGCAGCTCAACGTTTCTTGGAAAAAAACGTTGTGTTCCTCTTCCCTCTCCACTTAACCCAGATTTTGTTGGGGATGTCAATGTGCCCAGCTAAAAAGGTATATTTTAAAGTCTCCTCTGCATGTAGAGGTAGCTGTGTGACTATCTTCTTGTCAAAGCAACAAGGTGCTTTGGGGAAAGTTGCTTAAAAAGTGTGCTGACCTAGTTTGCATGCATCTTTTTCCTGCCCCCACCCCTTCCTGCCTGAAACATCATAGCTTAATGTTGCCGGCAACATCTTTCTGCCATGAGGTGACTCTGAAGATGGATGTGAGACCTTCTGAAGATAGGCAGGCTTCTGGGACACTGATGCCACTATGAAATTGCCTTATCAGCCTCGAACTGCCTATTTTCCTACTGTCTGCTTGTTGTTATGTGAGAGGCAACTTAACTCCTACCTGATATAAATCACTGACTCGTTAATTTCTTTTACTTACTGCTCCAAACAGTTCCAGAGTACATTCACATTAGTGACTAGGATGAAGACACAGAAGGCATGCCTATATCAACTGAAGACAAAAGAAATGCCTAGTATTTGAAACATTTAAAAATTGAAACATTTAAAAAATTGAATTGAAACATTTAAAATTGAAACATAAAAAATCTCAGCAGGGTTAATTTTGTTCAGAATTTAAGTCAGGTGAAATGGAACAAGCAATCATTCTGCAGATTTAAGATTTTAGTATGAGACCAAGATGATATTAGTTCACGATATGAATTTCTTGGAATTTTAGCTGTCCACCACCTTAACATGAGCAAAGTGTAGTATGAGACTTTTTTGAGCTCATTTATACCTGTATTAACAAAGGTGTGTGTCCAGACTGTAGTGAATTGTTTTCCCAATGCTTCAAAGACAACTTATTTTGTGTTTCAAAGTTGCAGAACCAGGACCAATGGTTGAAAATAAGAGAAAAAGATTTTTCTTTTTTACCTAATAATTGGAAAGTTTTATTAATTTGAACTGCCTCAATGAAATGGTTGCCCAATAAAGTGGTGAGATTCCCTAACATTGAATAAGATGTTCAATAATATTTCCGGATTATATAGAAGGTACAGCTAGATGACCTCCAAATTTCTTTTAAACTCTTCAAGATCCCATGTTTCTAGTAACTAAATATTGGACAATGGCAAAATAAGACTTTGTATTGGCTGTATCTAAACCTGAGTCCACAGAAAGATCTCTGATGAACAGAATCATCTTTAAGAAACAAATTTCACGTATGACAGGGCAGCTCATTACAACAGACAATTTAGGTAGTCCCAAAGAACTGGTTATAATATGATTTATGTTCTTTAAAATCATGGCATTATAGTTAGTACCTGTGAGGTACTTAATATTTTGTGTGATTTAATTCTTTTCTCCACCTTGAGAAATTGTAAGGCTTCGATCAAATATTTCTGTCAGAGAGCAAAATGTGATATAAAATGGGGATAAGTGATAATACATATCTCACAGGGCCACTGTACAGATTATATGACTCATGCAAAGCACGGCATGTAGAGATTATTTTAAAATGTTAGGTGTTGTAATTAACAATACATGGCTTTATCATATCACTTATCTCTATGTTATTTGCTTACACATTTGTATCCCCCCCTCTAAATAGTGAGCATTTTGAATGCAGGCAAGAACTATGTCCTCCATCATTTTACCTTCAGGGGTTAACCCACAGTAATTGCTCAAAAACAATGAACATATTTCTGAATTTTTCAGCATAACTGTGTTGTATGAAGTAACAAAAATCACAATATTCTGGAACTGGAAAAAATCTTCAAAATACTTACGAATCAGACTACAACCTAGAATGATACAGTGACTTGCCCAGTTACCTGAAGTGACTGAGCAAGAATTCAGTTTTTTTAAAACTCCAAATTCAGTCTTCCAGAAATTTCCTGTAAAACATTTTTTCAAAGATCTTTGGAATACTGGCATATCCACATAATGACCGTTACTTTTCTTTAAAGCTTATTAGATAACTAAATATGTATAATCAAAACATGATGGCTTTAGCCTTTTTCCATTATGAAGGCTGGTCTATTAATCCTAAAATGGACCAATAGCTAAAGTGTCATAGTCATCTCCCAATAAAAAAAACCTGTACTTTAATAACTGTTTAAGTACCCCAAAATATAAATGACTACCACATATTAGCCCATGTCCCCTTTAAAATATAAATAAAAAATGGGAAGGTAATTTCTGGTTCAATTTTCAGACCTTAACTGTACATACTCCTTTCCAGTGTTAGTTTGCCATCTTGTGGCCTCTTAATCCTGTGCAATTCAGTAACTGAGCAACATGTATGTTAAGTTAGCCTATGAAACTGACAAGCTTTATACACTCATCACACACCTCCACTTTTAAACTTACTTCATATGGAGCCATGTAAGTTACTGTACTTCCAATTTCACTCCAGACCCAACTCCAGCTACAAGTGAAGCAAATCACCTAAAAAAAATATTCTGAGAAAAGTGCTCAAAGAACATCTGAATATTTATTGATTATGCATACACGTTTGCTGAAAAGGAGTGTATGTAACTTTGATGAAGCCAATATGAATATGGCCTCTGATAAAGAAGAGAAAGCAAGGTAGTAACAGGATTTGAATGTAAATTTTGCCAAATGGTGACATGGTCTTTCTCACTACCCTGACAGGATTATAAAATCTACCACAATGTTTGCTTTGTTGAAGGTGTGTGTATATAGTGTGTACATACACACACACACACACACACACGCTATTGACTACTATATAAATTTTCCTTCAAGCAGTATCTAGGATTGTTAACCTGACTCAGCAAGAACACACTGGTCCCTTGGAATAGTCAGATGGTGATAACACAAATAAGACTGAGTTACCTCCAGTGGTAGCTAATTCCTTTCTTAGTTATGAGAAATGAATTGCCATACAAAGAGCTCAGAACAGTTGCTGACACATGATTGTTTATTAAATATTACCTATTGTTCTATCTAGAGCCAGTCCTCAGCCTTGGGCTTCCCAAGCTTCTCTTCCAGGATCTTTGAGCTCGGCACTTTGTAACTGAGGGCCCAATTCTGTGTATGAGACTTGAAAACTCTAAGAGAGCGTGTCTGCCCTTTGCTTCAATGTTGTATTTCCAAGGAAAGCTGCCTAGAGGTTATAGCTTGGTCAGTAAAAAGAAAAAGAAAAAAAAATGTAGCTAGGCCACAGGAATGCTGGGTTCCAGATTATAGTTTTAAAATCAAAATTCAGTTTTTCTCTCATTGTCAGGGATATCAGCTTAGAGAAAGGCAGTCCGAACAACACATACCTAAAGCTCAAGGATTACACAGAGCCAACCAGCCTCTATTTTGTGCTGCTAAGAGCACATCATGATCAGAGCATTCTAGGTTTCTGGTCTTTTCACTTCTGGCAGAGCAGATGTTCTCTTTCATACGGTCCTCAAGATTTTGTTGAAATAAACTAGAATTACTTGTTTCTCATTTTATAGTGATAAGACTTTTTAAACTGAAGACATTAATGTATGACATAACTTCTAATTTTGCCTTATTTACTGAAATGAGAAGTGTATTGCACTACTTCCTGTATTTACAATGAAAACCTAAAAACTTTCCCTATATATTTCTGACAATCTCAAGCTTCATTCTTCTGCCTTGAAATAAATGGCAATACACTCATCAGCCAGGACAATGGAGAACATTCTGAACTAGGGGCCAGAGACCTATTTCATAGGTTTGCTGTTAAAAGTCTTTAAATTTTCCCATGTGACTGTCTTTATAAAATGGGGTTGCTAATTTTCCTCTTCTTATGGGGCAGGGGTGGTTGTGAGGATCAAATTTTAAACTGCATAAATGAACACCCAACTGCCATACTTGATTAGAAATTCTCCTTTAAGAGTACACATGCTTGAGAGAAAATTTTGTACTGCTGCAGCTGAGGTTTTAAAATCTTCAAATAAGTAAATCTAATGAGCCGATCAGTTTTAATAGGGTTGGAAGTAGCAAACAAGGATTGCCAAGAATGACTTAAGTATTTGGATAATGTAAAAGTGTACTGAAAAAACATAAACAAGACTGATTCTCTGTATATCCTTCTCCCATCCAAATCTTAAGTGTCAAGGAGTTGGTTAACATCTTAAAGGCGGCCGGGTGCGGTGGCTCAGGCCTGTAATCCCAACACTTTGGGAGGCCGAGGTGGGCGGATCACGAGGTCAGATTGAGACCATCCTGGCTAACATGGTGAAACCACGTCTCTACTAAAAATACAAGAAATTAGCCAGGTGTGGTGGCAGGCACCTGTAGTCCCAGCTACTCGGGAGGCTGAGGCAGGAGAATGGTGTGAACTCGGGAGGTGGAATTTGCAGTGAGCCGAGATAGCGCCACCGCACTCCAGCCTGGGTGACAGAGCAAGACTCCGTCTCAAAACAAGAAACAAAAAAAGAAAACATGTTAAAGCCTCTGTATAAAAGAAGCAAATCTGACTTGGCAAGAAGGGGGCATTCCTCTTGAGAGGATGACTCACAGACATCTCCAGTGAAGAACTGCCTGGTGTGATCTGCTCCTGAATAGTTTGAAACACACTTGTGTCCTCAAAAGCCCAGTGGCTTCTTGAACACCTCACTGCTACAGAGGGACCTAGGGACATGAGGGCCATCATCATCGTGTCCACTTCTTTTCTCCAACTTACGCAGGGGAAGAGGAGGATCCAGGAGACCTATGGGTGGTAGCACTAAAGACAGTGTAAGTGCAGCTTGCACAGTGAACATTCTTTTGCCATGTTCATAGCTATTCTGGGGAACAAAAAGAACCTGGTAGCAAACAAAACCTCTGACTACAAGTTTCTATTATAACCCTCCCAATTCACACTGACTAGAGAATTCTACTCTAGTCAGAGTCCATTAAATTCCTGCACAATTGCTTCTCATTTCCATTTCTCTCTTGGTTTCTCTGGTTTAAGAGTACACACTGCAGTGCAGACCTCTTGTAGACAGCCCCTTTGTTCTGTGCTCCCTACCTTCATCAACACAGCCACCTCCTTCCTGGCTCCAGAAGTTTATTCTTTTCCTTTGGAACCAATGTTAATTAAACCATAAGCAAAGGTGAATAGGTATACATATATATATACATGCACACATATATATATTAGTAAATAAATTACTAAGGATGGTTTTGAAATTTTCAAATAAGTAAATTTCTATTATATATAGAATACATGATATATATATGATATATATGATATATATATATAATATACATGATATATATATAATACATATACTGTGGGTCTTAAAAAACGAAAATCACTTACTAATCAGCTCCTAACACTGCTTCGTAATCACCTAGAGAAAATTCTTTTCTGATACTAGGATAATTTTTATGGAATCTTCCAGCTAAAAATACTAAGCAACCTATTATCTCATTTGGCTAAGCTCTGGACTGTTTGCCTGGTTTCAACTCTCAGCTCTGCCACATACTATCTGTGTGATCCTTAGGTAAGACCTGTAGCCTTTCCTCATATTACTCAATTTCCTCATCTTAAAATAGGGATAACAGCACTTAACTCTTAGAGTTAGTGTAAGAATAAGCAGAAATACAAGAAAAGTTCTTGGTGCAGTGCCTAGCAAATAGTAGCAGTCAATAAATGTTAACTATCACTAGCAGATCCGATGCACAGGGCCTAGGCAAGCCAGACAGACCAGATTCCTTGGACTTGAAGAATTATAAAGTTTATCTTTTCTTTTGGCCACTAAAACCCAAAATCTTCCTATTACCTATCCTCCCATTCCTACTATTCCAATTCTTCTTCTCTGACTTCCTCCAAATATGCCTGCCAATATTGTTAATTATGTTCCCTAGGGTTCCCTCTATTCTCTCTAGAACTCTTGTTCTTTACTGCTGCAGACTTATATACGGCAATTTCATCTTAACTGAACATGGATCTCCCAAGACAATACTCTCAAGAAGCTGCTTTCCCAAACTCCTTACGTGTACCACACAGCCTGTAGGTACACTCCTTATCAATTATTTTTTATTTGAGACAGGGTCTCATTCTGCCACCTACCCTGGGATCATAATCCACTGCAGCCTTGAACCCCTGGGCTCAAGCGATTGTCCCACCTCAGCCTCCCAAGTCACTGGAATTACAGGGATGATCCACCAGGCCTGGCCCTGCTAAAGCAAATTTAGGACTTCAGCATTTCTCACACTGGTTTCTACTAAGGGCATCTTCTGCGTACAGTCCATCCAATAAAATGGACCAAAGTTAATCTACATCGAATTCAGGAATCTAATTGTATGGCCATTTCCAGACACTGTGAACTGTACTACTCCTAAAATCATAAATTTCAATGTCCCAGTCTTCCATACCTCATTTTTAGCCTTATTCCCACTATACCCTCTTTGTCACCATTAAGACCTCCAGTTCCTTGACCACTCCCTTTTCATGTGTCCTCTTGGCTGTTTCCTTCCCTATCCAGACTCAACTCATCAACATATTACTTCTACCAGGACTACACAACCACCTCCTTCTTTCATCCAACTGAGGAACACTATCAGGTATACCATGGAATCATGCAGAGGGTGCTACTAAAATATTATGCTTTCCTAAATCACCTGGGCATTGAATGTGAGAAACAGCATTTATTAGCTGATTGGTAATCCTTTCATATCCCCTACTCAGCTCTTCCTCCTATCTTTTGTTTCAAATTTTCACCATTCAAAACTTCATTTTCTACTTTCCTAAGGCTTGCTGTTGAGTGGTAATGTTGTTTCTTTCCTTCCTGACAAGGAGCTCAACATTTCTACTTAACAGACTTAGTCTAAGAGGTATCCTTCCTACTTTGTAATGTTAATACTCCCAACCTGTGTTCTTGGACCAGGTTCCATCCACGACTTACCTACCTACCTAAGTAACAACTACCTGCTTTCACTTCCTTAGCTCATTCAATTAAACTAGAAAATAAACAGTATTTGGCATTCTTTAAAACTTCTCTAATGATCAATGACCACCAACAGTTAATTCTAGTAGTCTTTATCTTACTCTTAATTATCTCTCAATGGCATTTGGCATGACCATTGACACTTCATCATTCTCCCTCTTCTGGCTTCCATAATGCTCTGTACACTCACTCCCTTTCCTAGTTCTCACCTGACTCTTCCTTCCCAAGTCATCTTTGCTGGTCTCTTCTGCCTACTATATGTTGGTGTTCCTCATGATTTTCGCCTTGGCTATCTTTTTCCGTGGGCTTTCTGGGCATGCTGTCCTTTCTTTCCTCAAACTAAGGTTAAAAATGGCTAACTCTCAGACTTGTATATTAGATCTAAAGACTGATTTTGCTTCTCCCTTCAGTTCCAATAAAATGTAATAAATACTAACTATACCCCAGATCCTGAGCTAAATGCTTTGGAGATAAGACAGACCACTTGCCCTCAAGTAATTTAAAATCCAGAACTGCAGTTTCAGAGTCTCATATAAAGTACTGATCACTAATTAGGTTTAGCCATGGGATGCAAGGTTGGTTCAACATATGAAAACCAAAAATGTGATTGATCACATAAACAGAACTAAAGGCAAAAACCATGATTATCTCAACAGATGCAGAAAACGCTTTTGATAAAATTCAACACCGCTTTCATGTTAAAAACTCTCAATAAACTAGGCACTGGAGGAACATACCTCAAAATAATAAGAACCATTTATGATAAACCCACAGCCAACATCATACTCAATGGTCGAAGGCCGGAAGCATTCCACTTGAAAACTGGCACGAGAGAAGGATCTCCTCTCTCACCACTCCTGTTCAACACAGTATTAGAAGTCCTAGCCAGAGCAATCAGGCAAGAGAAAGAAATAAAGGGCATCCAAACAGGAAGAGAGGAAGTCAAACTATTCCTGTTTGCAGACATGATCCTATATCTAGAAAACTCCATAGTCCAGGCCTAAAAGCTCCTTAAGCTGATAAACAACTTCAGCATACTCTCAGTATATAAAACAATGGAGAAGAGTCACTAGCATTACTATACATCAACAACAGTCAAGCCGAAAGCCAAATCAGGACACAATCCCATTCACAACTGCCACAAAAATAATACAGTACCTATGAATACAGCTAACCAGGGAGGTGAAATATCGCTACAAAGAGAACTACAAAACACTGCCCAAAGAAATGACTACCCAAAGAGATGATTGGGCTGGGCGTGGTGGCTCACACCTGTAATCCCAGCACTTCGGGAGGCCAAGGTCGGCAGATCACCTGAGGTTGGGAGTTCGAGACCAGTCTGACCAACATGGAGAAACCCCGTCTCTACTAAAAACACAAAATTAGCCAGGCTTGGTGGTACATGCCTGTAATCCCAGCTACTCAGGAGGCTGAGGCAGGAGAATCCCTTAAACCCGGGAGGCGGAGGTTGCGGTGAGCCGAGATTGTGCCACTGCACTCCAGCCTGGGCAACAAGAGCGAAACTCCATCTCAAAAAAAAGAAAAAAAAAAGAAAAAAAAGAAAATAAAGAAAGAAATCAGAGATGACACAAATGGAAAAATAGTCCATGCTCATGGATAAGAAGAATCAACATCGTTGAAAGGGCCATATTGCCCAAAGCAATTTATAGATTGAATACGATCCCTATTAAACTACCAATGACTTTCTTCGCAGTACTTGAAAAAACTATTTTAAAATTCATATGGAAACAAAAAAGAGCCCAAATAGCCATGGCAATTCTAAGCAAAAAGAACGAAGTTGGAGGCATCATGCTACCCAACTTCAAACTAGACAAGAGGGATACAGTAACAAAAACAGCATGGCACTGGCACAAAAACAGGCACATAGACCAATGGAATAGAATAGAGAGCCCAGAAATAAGGGCACACACCTAACACTATCTGATCTTTGACAAAGCTGACAAAAACAAGCAATGGGGGAAGGACACCATTCAATAAATGGTGCTGGGATAAGTGGATGGTCACATGCAGAAGATTAAAATGGGACCCCTTCCTTAACTCAAGATGGATTAAAGACTTAAATGTTAAACCCAAAACTATAAAAACTCTGGGAAGGCACCTTAGTATCATTCAGGACATAGGCATGGGCAAAGATTTCATAACAAAGACTCCAAAAGCAATTGCAACAAAAGCAAAAATTGACAAATGAGATCTAATTAAACTAAAGAGCTTCTGCACTGCAAAAGAAACTATCAACAGGGTAAACAGACAACCTACAAAAGGGGAGAAAATTTTTGCAAACTTTGCATCTGACAAAGGTCTAATGTCCAGCATCTATAAGGAACTTAGGCAAATTTACAAGAAAAAAAAAACCCTCAAAAAAGTGGGCAAAGGATACGAACAGACAGTTTTCAAAAGACATACACGCAGCCAACAAACATATGAAAAAAAGTTCAGTATCACTGACCATTAGAGAAATGAAAATCAAAACCACAATGCAGTACCATCTCACACCAGTCAGAATGGCTATAAAAAGTCAAAAAAATATATGTTCACTGCAGCACTATTCACAATAGCGAAGACAAGGAATCAACCTAAATGCCCATCAATAGCAGACTGGATAAAGAATATGTGGTACATATACACCATGGAATATTATGCAGCCATAAAAGAATGAGATCATGTCCTTTGCAGGAACACAGATGGAGCTGGAGGCCATTAGCCTTAGCAAATTAATACAGGAACAGAAAACCAAACACTGCATGTTCTCACTTATAAGCAGGAGCTAAGTTATGAGAACACATGGACACAGAGGGGGAACAACAGACACTGTGGCCTATTGAAGGGGAAGGTAGGAGGAGAGAGGGGATCAGTAATAACTAATGAGTACTAGGTTTAACATTTGGGTGATTATTAAATAATCTGTACAACAAACCCCCATGACACAAGTTTACCTATGTAACAAACCTGCACATGTACCTCTGAACTTAAATTAAAAAAAAAAAAAAAACTGATCACTATACATCTCTGCATGGATGACCTACAGGAATCTCACACTCAACATTATCCTTTCCTCCAATCCAATTCCTTCTATGTTATCTTGGTAAACAGCATCAACATTCACAAATACTAAAGACAGAAACTTATGAATTTTATAAGATATGCTATTCCTCACATCGTAACCTCTACCAAATCCTTTCACTGGCACTTCAATATATTCTATTTTGTCCATCATTTTAAGAACTTTGATGAAATTCCATGACATTTTTCAGCCACCAGTCCATCTTTCCCTCCCCTTCACAAACTTTCAAATATAGGCGTTTAAACTTGCTTTCTATAATCCTCAACCTTCTTCTGGCTTCCACTAAAACTAAGTAATTGCAAAGGTCACTGATTATTTTCTTACCACTAAATCCAAAGGACACTTTAAATTCTTATGTTGGCAGAATGTAACAGAGCTGTACATGCCTCCTTTAAATATGTCCATCCTACTGTTGCCATGATTCTATTTTGCTATTAATCTGCTTCTAAGTACTGAGTTCTTCTGGATTCAGCCCTTTTCTATATTCTCTTTCCCTAAGCAACCATCCATTCATAAAATTGCTCCTCTTCATCTTAGCTTCATGAAGAAATGGTATGTCTTCAACCATTTATTTAAACCAAAAACCTCACATTTCTTTCCCCTCTCTCCTTTCCCATAATCCTTAATGGTCAAGTCCTGTCCAATATTTTAGATCTCTCAAGTCCATCAACTTTTCTCTCTCTCTGCCAGCACCAACCTATTCCAAGCCAGTATCTTCTTTCCTGGATGACTTGGACAGGCTTCCTAACCAGTCTTCTTGAATTCCCCATTGGAATGCTTCCCCTCCAGAGTAAACTTTTAAAACTCCAAGTGTAAGAAATCTCATTCCTCTGCTTAAAAACCAAATGTGAACTCATTACTTAGGATAAAGTCCAATACAAACAATTAGGTCTTCCTAAGACACTTAAGTGATCTGGCTCTTGCTTACCTTTCTTCACTTTAAATTTATCCTTAGCAACTTTCTATCATTTCCTCAAAAGCTATTCTTATCAGAGCTTTTTACACATGCTTTTCCCTTAGCCTGAGTTTTCACTGCCTTCCCTCCCCTAATTTTTACTTTTTTGAGATGAAGTCTCTCTCTTGTCACCCAGGCTGGAGTGCAGTGGTGTGATCTCGGCTCACTGCAACCTCCGTCTCCTGGGTTCAAGCAATTCTCCTACCTCAGCCTCCCAAGTAGCTGGGATTACAAGTGCCTGCCACCACATCCAGCTAATTTTTGCATTTTTAGTAGAGACGGGGTTTCACCACATCAGCCAGACTGGTCTTGAACTCCTGACCTCAGGCGATCTGCCTGCCTTGGCCTCCCAAAGTGCTGAGATTACAGGCATGAGCCACCGTGCCCGGCTAATTTTTACTTTTATAGGTAAGCCTTTTATTGCTTTCCCTTACCAGAGTATATATCATATTCTCACCCTATTATATATCCTGAGAATACCCTGTATTATTCCTTTATTGAACTTACTAAAAAATAAACATATTTTACTCAAAGTGCAGTGGGAAAATCATGAGTTTTCCTCCCTTTGAAATTACTTGAAAAAAAAAAAAAAACCAATCTGTCTGCTTGGTGGGGAATATTCTGGAAGTAAGCCAGTAGGGAGGCTGTTATAATAATTTAGGCAAAATATGATGGTGATTTGGATTAGAGTTATGATGACAAGAAAGGTTCCTTCCTACTTAGAAGGTAGAAATGACGGCTGGGTGTGGTGGCTCATGCCTGTAATCCCAGCATTTTGGGAGGCCAAGGCGGGTGGATCACGAGGTCAGGAGATCAAGACCATTCTGACCAAAATGGTGAAATCCCATCACTACTAAAAAGTACAAAAATTAGCTGGGTGTGGTGGTGTGCGCCTGTAGTCCCAGCTACACAGGAGGCTGAGACGAGGTGGAGGTTGCAGTGAATCAAGATCACACCACTGCACTCCAGCCTGGTGACAGAGCAAGACTCCGTCTCCAAAAAAAAAAAAAAAAAACAAAAAACAGAAGGTAAAAATGACAATTGTGACTAAACAAAGGGAAAAAACATGAATTGGTATGAGGACATCTAAAAGCCTAGCTTCAGAAAACCAGGTAGTGACTTCACTTATCAAGATAAGAGATATCGGGAGAGGAGCAGATTGAAAGTAGGACAAAGGACATAAAGGTTTGGACATGATATACTTAACTATGAAGTAGGCAGTTGAATATACAAGCAGAGAACTATGAAAACTCTGGTCTTCAGAGGTATAAATATGGGTAGGATAGATACATCGATCAGATACTAAACTCCACAGAATCATGCAAAGAGAGTGTAGAGAGAAATAGTGACCCAGAGGTCAGGTACTCGAAATGGAGCTAGGGATGGAATCAGAAATGGAGCAGCCAGAATAGGTAAGGAGAAAACCAAGAGAATATTTCAAGGAGTCATCAACCTTTCTGCATGCTCCTGAGGCAGTGAGTGGGGGCAGAAAAATAAACAATACATACGGCAGCATGGAAGACAGTGGTGATCCTAACAAGAAAAAATTTTAGGAGTGTTGTGGGAACACAGAAAGTGGCAGTTAAGTCAGAAGTGAGGAAACGGAGCATATATGAGCAGAAAAGTCACACTGGCTGTAACTGGGACCAAACAAATAGGGTTATAGTTGGATGAATAAAGTGTCTAACCCCTATTTTTTCAAGAATAGTAGCTACTAGAGTCTATTCATAAACTGTTGGAAAGGATCAAGTAAAAGAAATATTGATGAAACAAGAGAGCAACAGGAAGTTCTTAAGGAGATGGGCAGTGGGGGGATGGAATCCAGAAGAGGAATTTGTTTTTACTAAGTAGAATACAGTGCAAATACAAGCAGGTTTATTGATTTGGTGGTGAAAAGTTGAAAGGGTTCATGTCGTTTTTCTTTTTCCTCAGCAAAATGTGGTTAAAGGTCATGAAACGAGGGATGTATGTCATTTAAGCTTGAGAAAGCAAGTTACCAGAAAACTATAGAAAAACTGCCAGGTAGTGTTGAGTCTACTTAAGTTTTGGGATTACCAACCTATCTCCTGGAATAATTTTCTTCCATTCCACTGCTGAAGAGTAGACAGACGGTTTGAGGATTTTTCAGGATCATGACAGAGGGAGAGGTGTATGGTCTGAGGATATTTGCAAAGGAGTGCGTTTAACAATGGGATCTAGCTAGTTTCTAGGCTGAACAAGCTGAGGACAGGAGTAAGCTGATGAATAGTCAGCAAGTGGTAGTAATAAGGTAGAAGTATTCTTTTAGCAGAGATATCTTGAGCAGGTGAGCTACAAGTTTGTGGCCAGAAAAATAAATTGAATTCAAGATTTGGAAGTGATATGGGGTTTGATTGTGGCAAAGTCATTGAAGAACACAGGTATTATTATCATTTTCTTCATTGACTGGTAGTGTTGGAAGATATAGATTAAAGTAAGTATTTTTTAAAAAACTGTTGTAAAGAATGGGCATGTGAAACTTTATGATCTGGGTGTCTTTCCGATGAGGTGACATTTAAGCTGTGAACTGACGGGATATGGAGTCACCCATAGAAATAAGAGAAATAAGCATTCCAGATAGGCTTTGAAGTGGGGAAGGAAGGTTACTATGCGTTCAATGAAATGAGAAGAGTGGGAAATGGGAAGTAGGATAAGAATGTTTAAAGGCAGGGGCTTCTGGCAAGTATGACTGGATTTTAATCAACGTTTAATCACAATTACTTGAAATTCAATGAGCATTACTTGAATACCGGGTAATATTCAAAACATTAACAACCAATACAGCAAAGGAATCAACCCATTGGGATATATAAATTGATCAATCAGAATAATCACCATTTGCAAACAGCTGATACAATTGAATTGGTGTACACGTTGATTATCAGTCCTGGTTGAATAAATGCCATTTGAGATCAGCATTTCCCAAAGTGTGTTCTTTAGAATGCTAGTTCAGTGGGATATAACTAAGTATTAACATTAAAAGAAGAAAAATGTTCTCAGGGTCAATTAAGTCTGGAAAATTCCCTTTCAACTTTTTACATATTTACAGTAGAACTTTTGTCTTTAATATGCAAACATGCATTAAATTATTTAAGAGAGGCTGGGTGTGGTGGCTCATGCTTGTAATACCTGCACTTTGGGAGGTGGAGGTGGGTGATCACCTGAGGTCAGGAGTTCAAGACCAGCCTGGCCAACATGGTGAAACCGTCTCTACTAAAAATATAAAATCAGCCAGGTGTGGTGGTGTGCACCTACTTGGGTGGCTGAGGTAGGAGAATCACTTGAACCTGGGAGATGGAAGTTGCACTGAGCTGAGATTGTGCCAAAACTACAAAATTAGCTGGGTGTGATAGCATGCATCTGTAGTCCCAGCTACTGGGGAGGCTGAGGCAGGAGAATCACTTGAACTTGGGAGGCAGAAGTTGCAGTAAGCCGAGATCGTGCAACACTGCACTCCAGCCTGGGCAACAGAGCGAGACTCTGTCTCCAAAAAAAACAAAGAAAAAAAAAGAGAGAGAGAGAGAGAGAACTACAGCACACAATTTAGAAAACTTATTTCATCACAGCAATAACCTTCCACCTGCCTAGTATCTCACTACAATAAACATGCTGAAACAGGCTGCCTTAGACATTACTTTTTATTATCTCTCTTATCCATTAGTCTCTTCCCCAACTTCGTTAGCCTTTCTTCTGGCTCCCATCATTTTTTGCCTGGACTATTTTAGGTCCCCCTAATTAATCTCCAACTTACTCAATTTATCCACTATACCATGACAATTATCTTTCTAAAACTGATACTGATTAAATTGTTCAATATACATGCATCCAATAACAATTTTCAAAAACCAAAATAAAGACTTAATACAGCATACAAGAACACTCCTGATCCCACCACCCATCTGCTTCTTCAGCTTCACCTTCTTCAACTTCCTATCTTTCCAAGTGGCCCACTGGCAATACCGCAATTACGCTCTACCCCCAAGTCTGGAATTCCCTTGTCCCCCTGAACCAATGAGCATTCATTCATCTTTCAAAACTCATATTTTCTACAAAGACTTTCCCAACTACCTACCTCCTTTTCCAGAAAAATAGGGCATTCTTTCTGATGTCCCTAGGTATAGTATTATTGTACTTTCATATTATCTACAGCAACTGTGACTGCTCACTTGATAAAAATTTGCCTTAAAAATATGTCTAGCCCTTTAAAATAATAATGTACCTATGTTAAATTTAACACCGTTGAAAATTTCAAAAACTGTTACATTTCACTTAAGGTGATGTATTTTGAATAATACAATTCTGACCTGTAATATGCAAACTTTGCGGGTTCAGAAGAGGAAAAACTCCTACTTTTTAGTGATGAAACTTTAGCAAATTTAGGCTGTAGAAGATATCTCAAGACAATAGGCTGGGGAAAAGTATACCATGAAAAAAATATATTTTATGATTTTTTAATACTTAGACATTACATTCCGTATCAAAATTTACCAACATGCTATTCTATAAATTCATGTCTTTTTACCATAGTTTGATTTTTTTTGTTTCATGCTAAAAAGCCCACTCTCATAATTACCTTTAGTATACATTACCTGGAATATAAAAATTTCATTAAATGTTGGCAAACTCTTCCCCATGACATGTAAAACAATTAGAAATGTCTAGTTATAAATTTTCTTAAGCTAATGAGCAAAAGAAAAGCCCCAATACATTGGCATTTTCACTTAACAGTGGCTCATAGTTACAATGATCAGAAATAAACCTACTTGCTACTGTGCTATATAGGGCAGTTTTGCCAAGTGCCCACCTTTAAGAGCTAGGTCAATTTCTAAGAAAACTGTATGGAAACATTCAGTTGTTAACAAAAATTTAATATTAAAATTACTCAGTTATTTAAATTATTGTTAATTTAGGAAAAAGAAAACCCATGTATTAATCACCCATAAAATAACTTTTATTTTAATAAATAACAGTGGGCTCACCAAAGGGCAGGGATTTTAACGTGTCAGGTTTTATGCTTATTGGTAGTAAGTCTTAAACAGGTGAAATGAACTATTCAATAAAACCCAAAAGGCCCTAAAAATAAAATACTTTAATAATAAAAATTAAAAAGAAATTTCCAAAAGAAAATAGTTCACTCCTTGACCATGCTTATTTATTCAGAGTACCAGCGATTTCAGTAAGTGCTTCATTTTTCCTGCAAATCTGATGTTGCACAGGGAATGTACACATTTTCATACCATCACAATATCATCAATATCTCAGGCCAATAATATTGTGAATGCAACTGTTTTATAACAAACACAAAATAAAAAAAAACAATGTTACTATTTACGGCAAACAGAAACAAAAGTAAATATTGCAAAGATGTTTTCTTATGTTTCTACTACTGATTTTAGTTGGACTTTAAATGAAGGTCATCAACTCTCCTGGAATAACCTCTACCTCTCGCTGTGAATCCACAGTATAAATATGGTGAATAAAGCTAAACTGTAAGAGCTAACTATATACTGAATAACCAAAATAATTATAACTAATACTGTTCTTGAAGACCAATCTAATGAAAAAAGTATCATTAGATATGGTGAGAAATACAGACAAATCTGTACAATCTAACATCTATAAACAGTAAAATCAAAACATCCAACTTCCTTATAGAAAGTGTTTTATCTATGTAATTATAAATGTTAAGGACTCTTGTATTTTATAAACACAAGATGGGCTCACTTTGATGATATCAATTTTAAGATTTATAAAAATGTTTAAAAAAATCTTTCCACAAAACTTTATACAGTTTAAAGCTATACACCAATCTATAAATCTCAGAAAATGGAAAACAAAACAAAACAAAAAATCTTTATAAGATCACATGTATAAAACAAGAAATGAAATGTGATTTTATTTAAGGCAATACTGGGCTACTTCACAAATCACCACCTCAAATATTTACACTGCTCCACACTACTAGTTTTCTATCACATTCACAAAGGATTTTTTTTTAATACCAAATGTTTAAAATCTTCAATGTAGTAAATTCTTTATTCACATTTCCATTGTATTTCATGGACTCATAGTAACTATATCCAATTAGAAGCAATGAAAAAAAAAAACTGTAGCTATAGGAAACTGCTAGAGAATCTGCTTTAATTTCACATGAATACCACCCCAAAATCCTGGATGGCAAATTTACAAAGCAGAGCAAAGTGTTGATATAATGTGCCTATTTTGTGAAAAGTAATCTTGATATCATCTTGTAAATAAATGTTTCATGTAAAAATCAATGAACTATGGCAGAGTTTCTGGTTTTAGTTCAAAAAGTTCTTAATTTAAAACAATAAAAGAACAATTTAAAAAACTTGATCGCTTAGTTAAAAATTAAAATTCCAAATATAAATGTGTCATTTAATAGTTTAGACTTACAGACTGCTGGTGGCAGCACATGATTTACAATAATAAATATATACAAAAAAGGTATCTACAAATAAAGAGTACTGTTATACATGAGCAGTGACCTGGTGAAACATACCAATCACACAGATAATTGTTTAGTTCATGAAAAGGGCAACTGGGTGATAGAAATTTGAGGTTTAGCTCACTATTTACAATAACTGAAGTACTGATTCTGTTCCTCAAGTCCCATAGGGATAAAAAAAAGTTTTACATGACAAATGTCATGTTTTTTTTTTCTTTTTTGTTTTTGGCCAGGTTAATTCATGTCAACAACAAAAAAATATAATGAAAGTTTCACAATTCTAGCATGCTTGATGGCTTCCTATTTAAAATAAAATGGTAAATGATGTATTTATACTACATTAATTATCAGTACTGACCTCTGCCTGTGGCTTTACCTATACTGATATCTTTCATAACAGACATATCTGGATCATTTGAATGTACTTCAAGTTTTTTCAGACTGACGGTAGGTTTCATTTCCTGAAGTTGCTTTAAGACAAGCTCAGTGCAATCTTTAAGATTCTTGTCTAAAACAATTTTTACATTATCACTGCACTGAAGCTGTGATGGATTGGCAAACTGTACAAACGTTTCGCTTTCTTTACAAGGACATACATGATTTCCACTAGTCACAGCAGTCTTATCAATATTTTTTCTTGAATTTGAATGGGATCCTTTTTTGTTTCCAGTATTCGGATGGTCTTTGTCAGTATTTTTCTTCTGCTTCACTGCAGACTCCTCAAGAAACTTCAGAAATGATACTTCAAATCCCATTGGCTTAAAAGAGCTCCAGTCAAAAGATGCAGGATGCTCCTCAATGGTTTGAATGGCAACAGCAGTTTCTTCTTCTTTACGCACGCTACTTAACTCAGCTGCTGATGCTGGTTCAGCTTTTTCAACTTTCCTTTTTTTATTTTGTGAGACATTTTTTTCCTTATTAACTCTCTTCAAATTACTTGCTTTTTGTCTTTCTGACTGGCAGAGGTTATCTTCCTGAAAATCATTACTTACATTTGAAGAAGTATTAGCTTGGGTCTCTACACTTGTGCTATCTTCATTTATTAATTTTGTAATAAACAATTCTGTTAGTTCATCCATTTCATCTTTTTCATTTTTTTCAACTTCCTTTTGTGAAACTGTAGCTGTTGTTCTTGAATTATCATTGCTCTCTGATACACACGTGTCAGAATCTTTCACATCATTCTTAGCACCTTCTTGCTCAGACGTTTCCTTTACTTGTGAGTTGCAACACCGTTTGAATACAATAAGAAGATTTCGGTGTTGTGATGTAAATGCCTTAGATAATTTATGGCACTTATAATGTCTAATTATATTGCTTTCACTTGTAACAACTGAAGTACATCCCTTTATCATACATGGATACTGGGTTACAAATCTGCTTGTACACTCAGACAGGGCATCATTTCTAGCCTTTATAGAATATACATGCTTCCCACGTTTCAGAGAATAAGGCTTATTTTCTTCAATCTGCACAATCTTTGCATTCTTGTTTTCTAAATTATTTTTTTTCTTTCGTTTGGTCTTGGGCATTTTTATTCCTTCCTTTCCACATCTGCTGTGCTTGGTCCCCCGATGTTTAGACTTTGATTTTTCTTGGTTTGCCTTGCTTGACATATTTTCCTGGCCTGGTGTTAATCTTCTTGGACGAATCAAATGAGCCTTATGTTTGTCATTATGCTTATTAAAAATGTGTCGGAGGAGATTCGACCGGGTTGCATATATACGGTCACAGCCTTCACAATCACATTTGTATACACCATCTTCTTCTGTTTTACTTGCCCTTAGTCCAATCCCGTGGTCTGCCTCTAGATGAACAACATAGTTCAAATATGTAGTAAATGAAGATTTACACTCTAACTGGTCACATGGAAACTTCCCAACATCCACTGAAGCAGTCATACTTTCAATTTCTTCAGGAGTCATTTCATGAAGTTTCATGTAGTGTTGTATTAGGCCAGTAATTGCTTGGAAAATTCGAGAACAGTCACTTACCTGACATCGAAATTCTTTCAAAGTTTGTTTAGTTTCAGTTTCTTCACTTTCTTTACCAGCTTCACTTTCCTCTTCGACCTCTGCTGAAAATGCAGGTAGATCTGATTTGTGTACAGCCTGGTAATGGAGAATCAAGTTTTGCTGTATCGTAAAGGCAGCAAAGCATCCCTGGTGAACACATCGATAAGGTCTGTAAGGACTGTATCTTGTTGGAAACTCAAGGGATTGGGAAACTGGCTTCTTTCGTTTTTTCTCCTCCTTTTCTTTTTTATGCCTCCTAATCTTCCGTCCTTTGGTTTGTGTGTTTGTGAGTGCATTTGTATTACATTGTTCTGAAGTAACTGTAATCACTTGTAAAGAACTTTCTGTTTTGTCAGGACTTTTTTTTTCTACAAGTTGTTTTTCTGGGATCACTGCTACATTACTGTGGGTATTTTGGGTCTCTGCTCTCAATTCTAAAGCAGGCTGAGATTCCTTTTTATTTTCCTCTGTCATAGCTAGCTGTTTTTTCACTTGTGTACTTCGTGAGGCCGGCACATTTTCACTCTGAGATTTTCTTCCATAAGGCCTTTTAATTTTTAACTTTACCATTTCTTCAGTTGTAAAATGATGCACCAACTGACAGTGTGCCCGGAGGTTAGAATTTCTTGTAAATGTTTTTGTACATGTAGGTACTACACATTTAAAGGGAGCAAATTTCAATTGATTCTTCTTAATTTCAAGAATCATTTCTGGAGTGTATTGATGAATTTTACCATAGTGCTTAAATAGTGCATCCTTTGTCATAGCACTGTAGTTACAGCCTTGGTTTTGACACACAAAGGGTTTATTAACTTTGTCATTAAATTGAATGTTTATCATTTCAGAAACTGGCTGAATAACTGTGATATCTGCAGTTGATTTAACAGGCGTGGGAGTCAGTGTCACTGATGTATTTATCAGTACACATTGGGATGCTGGAGTGGATAGGTCATTTTCTAATTTTAATTTCTGTAAGCCTTCTAAAATTTCCTGTATTTGATCCTCCTTATGTGATACTTCAGACTGAGGAATGTTACTTTTTGTTGGCATGACACTTATAAAGGAGGAAAACGGAGAAGAATCGGGTAATTTGTTATTTTGCACAGTGTTTACTGAAGGAAGCTGAATGTTATAATTTATTTGAGCATTTTGTGAAGTTTCACCAGCACCCTGAGATCCACTTTTTACCTCAAGTATTTGAGAATTCATAGCAGTTTTAATAATTTCAAGAGTCTTTTCAAAGTTTTGTATAACATTGTCTTCAGAAATCTGCAAATCAGAATTTATTGAAGTTGTGCATGAATTCAAAGCCATCATTTGGGAATCACCATTTTCAGTTTTTAATGTTAAAGGGGCTAACACTGTATGGGACTCAAGACTGGTTTTGAAATTCTCTTTTACATCAGTCATAAATAACTGATTGTTAACATTATTTAATTTCTGTGTTAGATTTTCCACCAAACTCTGAGGTTCACAAGTTGGAATTACATTTGAATGAAGGTTAGTAGTTGGGATTTCAACACTCTTTGCTATGAGTCCCATTGTTGTTAAGTCACTTGTTACCAAGTTTTGGGAAGCGTTAGGTGCAATTAGTGGAGGAGCAACTTTCTTTCTTCTCTTAGAAGCACTGTTTCCCTTTTTATTTAAATGACTGGATCTTGTGTTCTGAGGACCACTTATAACAGAAACACGAGAACTGTTACTGGTAAAATTTTGTGATGGCCCACCAGAATTAGGAAATGAACTAGAGCACAAACCATTTTCAACAGTCTTCAGTAGTAAGTCATTCGTTGGAAAAACAGGCAAGCTGCTACATTCCTCAATGGAGGAAGTTTTGGAGTTTGACGTCCTATTCTGGTTGGTCAGCAAGGTGTTTGGATGGCATACAGTGTGCAACAGGGGTGGTACAGTTGGATTTGGCATCACCGTTGCATTTACTTGTGATGCATCAGAGACACAACCTGTTGAAACATGAGAAAGCATTTCGGCACCCTCAAATGTACTGGGAATGCCAGCAGTTTCCAAAGCCTGTTTAATAATTTCACTACCTTCTTGACTGACACTGGTATTAAAGTTAGTCACACCAGATCGAGGAAATGTATTTGGTAAAAATGCTGGCGAGCGATTTTCAGCAAGAAGCTGTAGAAATGATGGATCTTTAAAACATGCTTCTGGATTGAAGGTAGATTGTTGTGGCTGCTGCAAATTTACTGCATTTGTGGAGAGAATCATGCTGGCAAGAAGAGAAGGCTGTCCATTACTCTGTAGAAGTTCTTGAGCAATTTCGGCTCCATCCAGTGGTTTACAGTAAGATCGCTTGGATAAGTGCCCACCCAGTGATCTGGGATTAGTAAAAGCCCTGTAACACCTGCTACAGATAAATTTCCCATCTCTGATAATTGCAGGCCATTTAGCCCTTTTGTTGTGCTTAGGTTTTCTTTCCTTCCCATTTGGGCCCCGCCCACGGTCTTTTTTAACTTTTTCAGGTGCAGACTGTTGGGCATTGGTGCTACTGAAGTTATTTGCAACATTCACTTGTGAAGGAAAAACTGCATTTTCACCATTACCCCCCTTTAGAAAGGAGGAATTAGTGTTTCCTTCAATCTGTGAGGAATAATGATTTGTATTATTTTCCAGTTGGGAAAAAACAGAATTAGTCCCACTATCTGCTGGTGAAGGGAAGAGAGACATTGAACTACTTTCTGCAGGTAAAGGAAGGAAAGGATCTGAGCCACTGTCAATATTCAAAGGCAGAACTGTTTTGGTTAGATCTTCCATTTGTGCTGGCAAGGCAGTACTAGGTAAATTTTCCATTTGGGAACATAACATACCACCTTGTTCATTTTTATCCTGAGAAGTTATATTTGGATTTATGACACTTTCCATTGAGGACAACAATGGAGTTGACACACTTGCTAAATGAGCTGGAAAAATGGGTGGCGAGACATGCTGCAACTGGGCCGAACAAGCAGGATTCCCATTGGCTTTGGTCTGTGATGTAAAAAATGGATTTGAGCTGTTCACCGGTGATGGCAAAAAATAAACAAACTTTCCATTATTTGGTGTATTTAAGTTGTTAGCTTTCTGACCTTTTTTACTTTTGCGCTGCATTTTAAATGCAGCATATTGGTCAGGGTGTGCTGTCTTCATGTGTTTCCCAATACTCTGTGAAGAATTATAGGTTCGAGTACATCCCTCGACCTGGCAGCTGAATTTCTGAACTGGAGCTTTTGGAGGCACTGATGGAGTTCCTAATGAATTACTTAGGTCGGACTGCGGTGGAACAAATGCAATACTTTCTAATGTCTTAAGAGGTAAATTATAAAGATTGGATGATGTTTTAACATTATCTCCACATTCAAATTTGGAAGTTGGTAAATTGTTTTGAAATGCTGCCTGATTTTGCACAGAAAAGGTCATCAAGTTGTTCACTTGTCTTTCTAAGTTTTGTGGGGTAAGGTCACCTATTTTGAGAGTTTCTGAATTTACTAAAGAATTCTGAGTAACATGGGCATCATTAAAGCAATCTTGTTCTTTTCTCTCCTGGAAACCTGGATGACACAAATCATTACAAGTATCTTCAACTGGCGTATGTAAGTCTGTGACCAGTGCTTCACCACTGCCTTCCACAGTTGAGTTTTCTTGCTTTCCAAAGTTATCCTCAATCCCCTGATTGAGAGACACCTTAATGGACACAGCTACTTCACTGGATTGAAGTAGAGGAGTAGTAGCAGGGTTTTCCAAACCATTTGACAATGGTCCATTAGCTTGCCTGAGCTCAGAGGCAGAAATCTGGTCTTGTTTGGTCACAGCTGATTCTGCTTTGCTTTTATCCCAAGCATCACTTCTATCTGCTAGTAAGCTGTTTTCAATGTTATTTTCTGAAGGAAGCATAGATCTTTCTTTCTCAATATTCTCTGCTGTGTTCTGATTCACTTCAGAAGGCTGAATGGAATCTCCAGATGAATTAAGTTGGGCTTCAGGAGGCAGCACTTTTTCAGGAGGAGTACTGTGATCATCCAGATGCTTTTCCAGCTCACCCTGAGAACGATAAACTTTACCACAACCTGTGAACTTACAAGTGTACGTATTATAATGTTGTGCTTCATGATCATATAGTAAATAAGCTTCCGAAAAAATTCTTCCACATTTAGGAAACATACATTTTGCTCTAAAGACTTGATGCTCCTTTCGGTGGGTTAAAAGCTCGGCGTAACTATTAAAACCAGCTTTACATTTCATCTGTATACAGATATATGGTTTACTGCCACAGTGCATCTGTAAGTGATCATTGAGATGAGTAACACTCACAAAATGCCGCCTACAGTACTGGCAAATAACTTTTTTGCTCTGCATTTCAAGAAAGCGCTTGGCGTCTTCATTATCTTTATGCCCCTTCACATGAGCAATTAAATTTTTAAAGTACTTAAAGCCCTTTTTACAAAAAGTTACAGGGCAATTAAATTCATTAACAGGTACTGGTTTCTGGACTGGAATCACTTCTGGCTCATAGGATTTATCTTTGTCATCATTCTCATCATCTGAACCATCATTGTCATTAAACACTATAAAATCTGTTGAATAGAGACTATTCTTTTTTATAGGTCGCTGCTCCTGTTTAGCCACAGTATTAGTCTTCTGATTTTCATTGGTAGTTGTGATCTTTGGAGGCCTTCCCAATCTTCTTAATGGTTTCATAGCTGCTAGTCTCTCTTTACTAGATTGTTTAACATGCAGTGTGACATGAGGGACAAAAGTTTCTTTAGAATTAAAGTTCTTTGCACATATGGGGCAACTATAAATTCCATCTTTGTAATGTTTCTGAGCATGTCGTACTATTCTGTGACCAAGGAATTCTTTGTCACACAACACACAATACTGCATGTAGGCTTGCCAATTCCTAAACCGAGCAGATATAAATCCCCTCTCTCTTAACTGTTTTATCTCTCTCTTCTTCTGCTTTTCATCACCAATGTCTTTAAGAAGGCCAGAATTAGCACCAACTCCACCAGAAAGCCCATTCATAGAAGTTTCTTTACTCTCTTCTTGGTAGTCTACCACTTTTTCATATACTTCACTGTCATTTAGTTCATCTATTGAAGACACAATGGATGCTTCTTCTCCCATTAATGCAAGACATTGTCGTTTCAAGGTTTTCCAATCCCAGAATTCTGGATCAAAGGGCCATTGAGTTTTCAATACAAGTAACAGCTCACAGCGTAAAGAATTTGGTATTGGAAGATTCTCTTCATCATATTTCTGGTCTGGCTGATTATACAACATTTCCACAGCATAATACGCATCTACTGTAGGCTCAATAAGAAATTCACTCAGTTGACAAGCACGTTTAACTTCCAGATCATCAGGCAACAAACATGAAATGGTCTTGCAAATAGATATTTTCACTTCAGTATTTTCTGTAGACTCCAAGCGAAGAGCCTTTACACACAGTTCTATACAGGTAGCAAGTCCAGCCCCTTCAGTCTGTGAAAAAGCAAATAGGAAATGTTAATTTAATCTACACTAATCAACACTAATTTATTTCAGAATTTAGTTAAGATTGAGATTTGTTTTACTCAAATCTTGCAATAGCAACTTATGAAAGGATTCCCCTTCTAAAGCACTGCAGCTTAGTCTGGTATGTGTGTATGTAAAATGAACTGCATAGAAGGGCAGAAAATGTTTAAGTATTAGAAGCTAAGACTTTGGTATGGAATTATTTAATGGCTAGGCAAACTTGGAAGTTATTTGACTTTTCTGACCTTTCCCATCCCACTTATAAAACAGAGGTCAAAACAGCACTTAAACTTCATTAAACTGCTGTATTAAAGGAGATTAAATATGTGTTATAGTTTAGTATAATGTCTGGCACATAGTAAATGATCAATAAATGTCATCCTTATTGTAACTCTTACTTCCTGTTTGCATAAGCAATCTAACTGAAACAAAACCCTTCTAATCTAATTATAAAACTGAGAACATCCCCATATTTCCAAACTGATCAGTACTGAAAGAAATAGTTTGCTTCTATAAAATAAGGTACTAATCCCTAATAGTGGAGATTCTAGTGCTATCATAAAACCAAATGTCAAATTACCTACCTCATGGCTGGACCAGCTTAAGAATTAGGAGTAGGGGTAGACATAGCCCAACAAACTTTTTCTTTTGAATTAGCATCTTGAACTATTATTATTAGATAGCAATAACAAAGGTAAGTCATTTGAAAGACACATGGAGTAAAGAGATAAAAATGGGTTTTAAAGACCAGAAGGGAACAATGATAAATGAGAAATAAGATAGCCACAGGATGTGGCCACATTCACTGGAATAAAATATGTACGATACAGGATCAAAAGGCAACAAAGAAAATAAGTAGAGAGAACTGATAGGGCCTCTATTTTCATTAAGTTAAGAAGAAAATATTTTACTAAATCAGAAGCTTAAACTTGTAGGGCAAAAGTATTTTAGTATTTTTACTAAAAAGGAAAAGGAGCCTGGGATACTGAATTGGTCTTGATTTTAGAAACAGCAAGAGCACAATGACCAAAAAGAAAATGAATAGAAAGAAAAGTATGAAGAGACGTATTTTTAAAATGATAGGTTAGGCTGGGTGCGGTGGCTCATGCTTATAATCCAAGCACTTTGGAAGGCCGAGGCAGGAGGATCGCTTGATCTCAGGAGTTCGAGACCAACCTGGGCAACATAGGGAAACCCCCATCTCTATAAAAAGTACAAAAATTAGCCAGGTGTGGTGGTATGCAGCTGTAGTCCCAGCTACCTGTGGGGCTGAGGAAGGAGGATCGCTTGAACCTGGAAGGCTGAGGCTGCAGTGAGCAGAGATCGCACCACTGCAACAATCCAGCCTGCATGACAAAAGTGAGACCCTGTCTCAAAAAAAAAAAAAAAAAAAAAAGGCTGGGCATGGTGGCTCATGGTTTATGCGTGTAATCCCAGTGCTTTGGGAAGGCAAGGTGGGAGGGACTGATTGAGGCCAAGAGTTTGACACCAGCCTAGGCAATACAGAAAGACCTCATCTCTATCAAAAAAAAAAGAAAAAAAATTAGCTGGGCATGGTGGCATGTGCCTGTAATCCTAGCTACAAAGAAAGCTGAGGCAGGAGGATTGCTTGAAATTGGGAATTCGAGGCTGCAGTAAGCTAGGATTGCACACTGCACTCCAGCCTGGGCAACAGAGCAAGACCCTGTCTCTTAAAAATAATAATAAAAAAATAAAAAATGACAGGGAAGATGAAAACTGGGAAGGAAGTGGGACCATATGGGTGTCTCTTGATTTCATATAAACTTGTATATGTTATACTATTCCTAGATAGATCTGTGCCTTAAAACTTGTACAGTAAAACATCTGCATCTCTGTTACATGCCTTAAGGGGCTGCTAATGGTGAACAATTAGGCCACTCCTCTATTACGATATGCAAGAAAGAAAAAAATCACCTGTGGTCTGTGAAGCTGCATACTACACACAGAAAGACACAAAGAAAGAAGTCTGGGAGGAATTAAGGGCCAAGTAAACCATAAAGATGATTAAAAGTAATACTGAAGGCACATATAATAATGTCAGAAGAACTGGTACAAGTTCTTACTGGTGAAAGTTCTGAGAAGCAGTGTGATTATTCAGAAATTCAGGAAATGATGGAGAAATTTTAAAAAAGGATTAAGAGAGGCCTGGTGTGGTGGCTCACGCCTGTTAATCCCTGCACTTTGGGAGGCTGAGGCAGGTGGATCATGTGAGGTCAGAAGTTTGAGACCAGCCTGGCCAACATGATGAAACCCAGTCTCTACCAAAAATACAAAAAATTAGCCAGGCGTGGTGGCGGGCACCTGTAATCCCAGCTACTGAGGAGGCTAAGGCAGGAGAATCACTTGAACACGGGAGGCAGAGGTTGCAGTGAGCCGAGACTGCACCACTGCACTCCAGCCTGGGCAACGAGAGCAAAACAACGTCTCAAAAAAAACACAAAAAACAAAAAAAAAACAAACAACAAACAGAAAGGATTCAGAGAATGAAGGATTTCTGGATGAAGGGTATCTGTCTTGCAGAATATAACTATTTTATATCATATGAATATTGAGCCTTTTCTCCAGGAATGGCAAAAGCTGATTAAAGAATTCTACTTATTGCTCACAAGACACATCTAAAATTATTTAAAAGGGGAATTCCACTGACATTCTATTCTAATCCAGTCTGCAACTAAATTCAAAGGTTCATTTTGATTCATTAAGGGTGAGGAGCCTCAATAAATTTGCTTTAAAAACATTTTCATGTTATAATTAAACCTGAAACCTTTACATTAATGACAATGAAACAAAAGAAACTATATTTTACAATTTTTTTTCCTTCTGACCTTTCATGTGTGTACTTGAAAATAAGTGAACAGGCAATATTCAAATCATAAACTGGCTATACAGCAGGTAAGTTTTAAAAGTTGAATTAAAATTCACAACAATTTTCTATAAAGACAATGTAATTAAGTGATTTGCCCATAAAAATCTATTTAATTCATAACAGTTAATCACAAATACTAATAGCACAAGCTTAAATTGATGAGTCACAGGAACAGAAAGCTAAGTGACATTAATTCAGAGGAGGAACAGAAACTCAATCCCTTTCCAGGAAAAGAACAGCACCAGGTAAGTTCTGGAAAACAGAAAGGTTTGTCTTTTGTACCCTCTTCCCATTGCCTTTTCTGTTCTTTCCCTCTGGCTGCCTAGTATCCTTGACCTAAAGCCACCCAAGGCTTGCATGTTGCTTTCAGTTTCCCATGTAACATCCCATTCAGTTCTTCCCTGCCCACTCATAACATCATGCTTTACCCTGTTTTAAAACTCTTTAAATAATTACCATGTATTTCAGAATGAAATATAAACCTTAGTGTGGAATACGAAAAGGACTTCACAGTCTGACCACTGCCTCATCTGTTCTAGTTTCCTCTTTTATCTTTCCCTCTACTCAAACAACTGAGCTACCTGTAGTTCCCCAAATATTCCATTCTCTCATTTGTCTTGATACTACTTTATGTGTTTTTTTCTGTGACTAGGAACACTCTCTCCTCCCTCTTTAGCCATTACTAAGTGAGTAACGAAAATAGACAAGTGGGTTATTATGGCCCACTTCTTTTATTCATTCAGCACCTACTTTATACCAGGCACTGCACTAAGCAATGTACCCTCACTGGATATTCAAGATTCCACTCTAGTAGAAAGACCCATATAATATTGCTACTGGTTTTGAGTTTCCATCAACAGACTACAAAATCCTTAAAGGCAGGGATGTATTTTTCAACTCTTAAACCTCAAGGAGTCTAGTGAAGAGTATACTATATAAATAAAAAGATCCCAAGCCATCTGCTCCAATTCCTTTGCAGATCTCAATTAGGATTTAAGACATTAATTACAGTTGTCCTTTAGAATCTGGGGGCATTGGTTCCAGGATTCCTGTGGATACCAAAATCCACAATGCTCAAGTCCCTTATATAAAATGGCATAGTATTTGCATACAAACTATGGACATCTTCTCACATAATTTAATTCATCTCTGTATTACTTATAATACCTAATACAATGGCTACATATTACTTCATTTGCATAGATTCAATACAGTACACTTGTGGCAAACTCAAGTTTTGCTTTTTGGAACTCTATAGAATTTTTTTTTCCTTTTCTTTTTTGAGACAGGGTCTCACTTTGTCACCCAGGCTGAAGTGCAGTGGAGTGAACCTGGCTCAGTGGCATGATCTTGGCTCACTGCAATTTCTGCCTCCCAGGCTCAAGTGATCCTCCCATCTCAGCCTCCTGAGTAGCTGGGATTACAGGCACACACCATGTTTGGCTTATTTTTTTTTTTTTGGTAGAGATCAGGTTTCACTGTTTTACCCAGGCTGGCTCAAACTCCTGGGTTTAAGCCTTCCAAGGTGCTGGGATTACAGGTGAGCCATCACACCTGGCCCCTGAATATTTTCAATCAGTAGGTGGTTGAATCCACTGATGTGGAACCTATGAATATGGAGGGCCAACTGTATTTTAAATTAACATATGAGTAGCTGGTTGATAGTCTTCAATTCCTGGAGTTTTTTTTTTTGTTTTTTTTTTTTTAAGGGTTACCAGTTGGCTGGGTACAGTGGCTCACGCCTATAATCCTAGCACTTTGGGAGGCTGAGGTGGGCAGATCATCTGAGGTCAGGAGTTCGAGACCAGCCTGGCAAACATAGTAAAACCCTGTCTCTACTAAAAATACAAAAATTAGCTGGGCATGGTGGCGTCCGCCTGTAATCCTGGCTACTCAAGAGGCTGAGGCACGAGAATCGCTTGTACCTAAGAGATGGAGGTTGTAGTGAGCCGAGATTGCACTACTGCACTGCAGCCTGGGCAACAGAGGGAGACTCCATAACAAAAAGAAAAAAAAAGGTTACCAGTTAATTCAAATCACTACATCGAGGTTAACCTCTCTATATGGAAAATGAAGAGAGTTATTACACCAGAATCTAATCACTATAGCTTAACTTTAAGGTCTCTTCAGTCCTAAAATAATAATAATCTATGATTCTAGTTTTAAGATAAAACCTCTGCTTGATCAGATTTCAGAAAGTAGAAAAAAAAAGGGAAAAACATTTCATGCAACAAGAAGCAAGGTTTTTGGACAGAGCAATTACCATGGTGCATACTATCCCTGTCAAGAAGGCTGCTGCGAAGGTCATGTGTGGTGGCTCATACCTGTAATCCCACCACTTTGGAAGGCCAAGGCACGGAGAATTACTTGAGCCCAGGAGTTGGAGATAAATCTGGGCAATATAGTGAGACCCCATCTCTACAAAAAATAAAAAAATTAGCCAAGTGTGATGGTACACACCTGTAGTCCCAGCTACTTAGGGGGCTGAGGTGACAGCATTGCTCAAGCCTGGGAAGTTGAAGCTGCAGTGAGCTGTGATTGCAGCACTGCACTCCAGTCTGGATGACAGAGGAAGACTCTCTCAAAAACCAATGAACCAACAAAAGCAACAACAGAGAAGAAGGCTGCTGCCATGGCCAACTTCCAAAGCTATTCATACTTTTAACTGCTTTTTTATATACTCTAATTCTGAACCCAAACTCTCTGGAATAGTGTTACCCAACAGAACTATTAGTGATAACAGGAATGTTCTATATCTGTGCTGTCCAGTAGGATTGCCACTAGCAACATGGAGCTACTCAGCAACTAAAATGTGACTACCATAATGGACAATGCAGCTCTTGTCCAGTATTTTGCACCCCATCCTCTGGCCCACCATGGTCTCTTTATGAGTGGTGAGTAAGACTGAAGAAGGATGGTCACTTTTACCTAACCTCCTCCATTCATCTGATTTAATAATGAAACCTATGGTGATTAAGGTCAATTGCAAGTCAAGATTTATAGCCAGTTTGGCTTCTAGTTCCAAGTTCTTTCTACTCTACTCTGTCATGCTGCTCTTTAAGTTAGTGGCACAACCTATGATTTAAAACTGCATAGTAGTTTCATAGGAAATTTATTATTGGCCCCTTTCAGGTTTTTGTTTGTTTTGTTTTGGAGACAGGGTCTTGCTGTGTTGCCCAGGCTGGTCTTGAAATCTGGGGCTCAAGTGATCCTCTAGCCTCAGCTTCCCAACTAGCCTGGGACTCAGGCGTGCACTCCCATGCCCAGCTACTTTATTTTTTAACTGCAGCACCACAATATATAAATGAAAAATCAGGACAAGTTAACAAGGTTGACAGAGGAAAAACTGGAAAGCAGGATTCATTCATATTCTTTCCTCCTGAAAATGAAATTATTTTTAGAAGAGAAAAATGAAGATACATCTAAGACTTACTGACCAATGACAGATTTTAAAAGGTACTTATAAAGAGGGATAGGGAAGTATCTTTTGGTCTTTCCTTTCAAAAACAATTACAAAATACAAATAAAAAACAAATAAAAAATTCACTTAAAAATACTTCTTGTTATCATGCTGCATCTCAGTTTTTAGATTCTACACAATGGTAGCACCTTTGGAAGGTGTTTCCTATGTACATTTAAATGGAAATCAACTGCATTTCTACAAAGGTTACTATAAGAAAATCAGTAACTTTATGAAACTTGAGTTCTGATTTATTAATACTTAATAGTAAAAAATAAGTGGAAGCACATATACAACCTCTGTTCATTAACTCCCTCTTCAGTTGTGTCTAATCTGTATAATCCATCTGCTAAAATTTTCATTTCGATAACTATGTATGTTTATTTCCAAACGTTCTTTTGACTCTTTTTACGATCTGCTTGGTCATTTTGATACTTTCTCATACTTTAATTCCTAAATTTTAAGTGTTTAAATACATATACTTCCTAGATTTTTCCATAATTATATTATTTAAAGTATTAGGCAAGTAATCCTATTATTCCTTTGCTGAAAATCACTCAGGTCAGATAGTTTTGTATGTTTATAAATCTTAATGGTGAACTCATGTTAAAGCAGGGCTTTATGAGACGCCTGTGTTGACAATATGTCCCTCCTAAAGCAGTTCTGCATTTTCTTCTGCAGGAATCTTAGGTATTCATCCTCACCTTCTTAAACATTAACTTACTTGGCATACGGATTTCTGAACTACACAGCTAGGGTAAATGTGGCTCCCAAATCTGTATGAGGGTAGACTTGTAGTTATAACTTCCTAAAGATTTTCCTCCTCTGACCCAGAGTCCAGTTGGACATACCTAAAATTCCCTACCATCCATATGTGTTAGACAGTATTATTTTTCTAGTCTACCTTTTCAATAAAATTAAAGTACTTCACAGGTTCCAGCTTCATGTAGTGATTGTGCATGCATGCATGCATGCACGTGCGTGCGCATGTGTGTGTGTTGCGGGT
The DNA here is from genome assembly GCF_000001405.40 of Homo sapiens. Lineage (NCBI taxonomy): Eukaryota > Metazoa > Chordata > Mammalia > Primates > Hominidae > Homo > Homo sapiens. The sequence continues at coordinate 87,247,263 of NC_000006.12, read as the reverse complement.
GGCAGGGGGCGGTGGTGAGGGGGTGGTTGTTTCAGATCTACCTACCCAAGTAGACAAGAAGAGCTGGCCCAAGATCTTTTTTTTTTTTTTTTAAGACCAAGTCTCACTCTGTTTCCCAGGCTGGAGTGCAGTGGTATAACCTTGGCTCACTGTAACCTCCAGCTCACTGTAACCTCCACCTCCTGGGCTCAAGCGATTCCTGTGTCTCAGCTTCCAGAGTAGCTGGGACTACAGGCACCTGCCACCATGAACAGCTAATTTTCTTTATTTTTAGTAGAGCATGGTTTTGCCATGTTGGCCAGGCTGGTCTTGAACTTCTGGGCTTATGTGATCCACCCGCCTTGGCCTCCCAAAATGCTGGGATTACAGGCGTGAGCCACCATGTCCGTCCGGCCTGCTTTTTGTTTTTGAGACAGGATCTTGCTTGTCACCCAGGCTGGAGCGCAGTGGTGCAATCTCGGCTCACTGTAATCGCTGCCTCTGAGGTTCAAGCCATCCTCCCACCTCAGCAGGGACTACAGGCAGGCGCCATCAATTCTGGCTAACTTTTGTACTTACTTTAGTAGAGATGGGGTTTCATCATGTTGGCCAGGCTGATCTCAAACTTCTGACCTCAAGTCATCCGCCCACCTTGGCCTCCCAAAGTACTGGGACTATGGATGTGAGCAGCCTGGCCTGGCCCAGGATCTTATATCTGTATAGCTATCTCCTGTCCCTGTGTAGATATCAAACTTCCAACTACTTAGTCACTGCAAGAAGCAACATATCCCAATCTCCAGGTTAGGTGAGACTCAGCATCAGTTCAAGCTTTCTGTTCCCGTTTTTAGGTTTTACCTTTTGAGCCCAAATATTCCTGCAATCTCAGCTGCTATACACTAAAAAAAGATGTTTGTTTTATTTTATCACGTATTTGTGGCTGTTTGTAAAATTTCAGATAATGTAATCTTCCCTTCTGCTAGCAGAGGAACCTAGCACTATATATTTTTCTTTATACTTTTAAAATTTCTTTTTTTGTTCGTTTGTTTGTTTGTTTGAGATGGAGTCTCGCTCTGTTGCCCAGGCTCGAGTGCAGAGGCACGATCTCAGCTCACTGCAATCTCCGCCTCCCAGGTTCAAGCAATTCTACTGCCTCAGCCTCCTGAGTAGCTGGGATTACAGGTGCACGCCACCACACCTGGCTAATTTTTGTATTTTTAGTAGAGACAGGGTTTCACTATATTGGCCAGGTTGGTCTCGAACTCCTGACCTTGTGATCTGCCTGCCTTGGCCTCCCAAAGTGCTGGGATTACAGGCATGAGCCACCACGCCCAGCCTACTTTTTAAATTTCTATAGCCAAATTATCAAAGTAGTATAACCCCTAGAACCAAAACAGAAGAATGATATAATTTAAGTATTACATATTACTTTTCTTCTGGCTAAGAACAAGTCCCTGGTTCTCAACTGCATTTTTAAGTTTTTCTGTATCAAATATCTTAAAGGACTAACAAGAAAATGTTCAAAGGACTAACTGAAAAAATTTAAAAATCACTGAAAAGGGAGCCAAAATCATAAAAGTTATAGTCTTTTATTAATGATAATGTACACATTTTAACCTTAAAAATATTCTGATTATTCTTACCTCTGAATTAATAACTTTAATCAGGAAGAAAATGTGATATACTGTTTTCGTTAACAAAGAAAGTTGACGACACCTCTCAAGGTACACTTGTATAGATGGTTCTACTCTTTGTTGTAATTTACTCCAAAAGAGAGTAAGTTCCCTTAAAAAAAAAAAGTTATAATAAGAAAAGTTGGAGCAGTAAGGTAATAATCATGGACATCAGTCCAGTCATTACATTTGAAATTAAAACTGGTTTTATATTCCAATCCTATATGCATGCTTAAGTTAAAATGCAAGAAAACAGATCCCAATTTTCTAAATACCAAATAAAATCAGAATATGATTTATCATTTTATTAATTAATATTTTTCAGTCCCAGAGAAGCACTACCTTCTACTAGGAAAGCATCTAACATTTTTTTTTTTCTGAGACAGTCTCACTGTCACCCAGGCTGAAGTGCAGTGACGCAATCTCGGCTCACTGCAACCTTGCCTCCCGGGTTCAAGCGATTCTTCTGCCTCAGCCTCCTGAGTAGCTGGGATTACAGGCGCGCACTGCCATGCCTGGTTAATTTTTGTATTTTTAGTAGAGATGGGGTTTCACCATGTTGGCCAGGCTGGTCTCAAACTCCTGACCTCAGGTGATCCGCCCACCTCGGCCACCCACAGTGCTGGGATTACAGGCATGAGCCACTGTGCCCGGCCAGCATTTAACATTTAAACAAGTTTTACAGATGATGACTTTGAGCCACATGTGAACTTTATGTAATAAGAAAGCTCAAGATATGTGTGTGTACGTATATATGTGTGTGCATGTGTATATATAATATATATATAAAAAAAATCAATGACATGATTTTTAAACAGCATTTCTCTTTTATCTTCTAACAAATTTAAAATTGACAATAAGGTTATTATTATTAGATGAATATAAGAACCAATGATGACAAAAAACCCAGAAGAAACCAATCTGTGCCACAGTAATTTCCCAGTTGATTTACTGGCTTTCCAGGTGATTTTCTGTCTGAACTCTGTACTACTACTTCTTTGCCCAACTCTGCCCTCACTACTGAGTCATCAATCAACTCACAACTGCTTATCTTCAACAGTGTTTCTTAAACATAAACTTCTATGTTGCCCTTCAAGAGCTTATAATGGACTGCTTTTGCTTAGCATATGAAACTCAGCTTTTGATGCCTTTGTAAAAACCAACAAAACACATTAATTTCTTAGTCATCACTGATTTTCATGCTGGTATAACTAGAAAACCTATTACACTTGTCCTGGATAAATACTTCTTATTTATTCTCCCTTCAGAATCTTTCTGCCTTTCACACCAAGCCTCTCTGTATTGCATATACTATTTTTCCTTCATAACGAGGCTCAATGCTCAGAAATCCTTTATAAGCTTCAATCTTTATTGATTACACAACCATTGATTTACCTTGGCTGTTCTATTATTCATTTGTATGCTGTCATTTGGTAAATATTCTTAAATGTTGGAATTTTATAAATCAAATTTTCTTATGTGTTCCCATAATATCAACACAACACTGAAGACTAATAGTGCTGTTGACTGACCAGATAAATTGTCAGTGTTAGCTAAGCTAATTTAAGGCAGCTGATCTTCAGTTTTTACATTAACTGAAACCAAGATCTCTGTTTCCTGTAGCCTCCCAAAGGATTACATATAACAAGCTATGCCCAACTGAAAATGTACCATAAAAAGAAATGTATTGCTTACATATCTAAAAAAATGTTATGGTGGCATTAGACAAAACAAGTCTTTCTTTCACTTTCTAACACTTAAAAATTTCCTGACCAAAGATAATTCCTGGTATGCATGCTAAGGAATTGTGTGGCCTTTAATACACAAAGTTTTGAGTTGTAACAACTACTCGATAATAAGTTTGCACAGCATGTAATATCTAAATATAAGCCTTTTGTCTTAAAAAGATTTTAAATTATGTTCCTAAGTTATATGAATTCTCACAGCCTATTTTGCATTCTTATTTAACAAATATTTCTTTAAAAAAAAAAAGATCAACTCACCAAGCGCAGTACATATCTCCTTGTTGGAGCTGACGTGACAAAAACGCAGTACATAAAACAAGAGCGCTTTTTTCATCACCCTCAGATTCTAAGTTACAGATCATTTCCAGTGCATCTTTGCAATCAACTTCTGAAATCTAAAGAAAAAGCCAATAGAAATATGCCACAAAATGGTTTTATATTAGAATATAGAGCAATATACCTTTAGTTTTCATTAAATATTTAGATAGTTTTTATGAATAAAATGCCATTAATTCATACACTATCAAGTCAGTTATAATTTGTCATTACTGGGACAAAGACTGGCTGCAGTTAAAAAAAAAAAAAAAAACCTTTCTTTATAGCCAGTAGAAATTTATATAGTAATTCTGAGAAAATTAAGAAACACCGGAGAACCAACTATTTAAGAATTTACAAGCATTTATATGTAACTAACTGATGATAACTATAAGCAATCTCTACCCATTAAATCAGATCTGATCATGAAAAAAAAATGCAGTACTTTTATTTTTTCCCCTTTTATCCACTGATTTAAACAAGCATTAGAATCAACAGAGACACACAGAGAGGTACACTGGGTATAGACTAATAAACTACGTATCTATTCATGAGGGAAAAATATAGTATGAAGCATTTTATGTAACTGTACCACTTTTAAAATAAGCTCACCTCAATTTTCTATAAATCTCCACTATTTTTCTTTTCATATAAATTTACTCCATCTCAAAGCTTGCCAACAGTCATGCATGTGTACGTATAACCTAGATGAAGGCAACTTGCTTCATTTAATGATGCACTTACATCTATGATTTCTTTTTAAAAAAATTAAAATTTATTACCTCATTACAATGATGTACTATATAAAACGAACAGACTTTACCTGTGATTGCTACAAGCATCTGCTATAAGACAAGGGATCTGACAAACAGCATACAATCACAAATTACCAGTGTTCCACAGAATAGAAAGATTAATTCCAATATGGTACAACTGACAGATGGCAAAAAGAACTGAAGACAAAACAGACCATTAGCACTCACGTACCACAGAGACTATGCCTCTCCTAGTTGATTTTCTCTCTTTCATAAAATATTGAGTAAGCAAAATGTGCATGTGTAAAATGTAATGTGTTTAGGATTCAACAAGCATGTAAATGGAGAATGCGGGTAATCCTGAGGTCAATCTTTGATAATAAGGATAAACGCTGTGGGGCAATAGGTTCACAGGTTCTATTTTACACATTAAATTGGGCCTTCTTAGAAAACACTAAGACAAGAAAAAAAAATCGTGTGTTCAACATAAATGATTACCCACAGGAATTATGAAGTTAGTGGAAGAGTTAAGACTGAAATCTAGTCTTATGCTACCTGGTACAGTGTTGTTCCCACTACTCCTCTCTCTGCCTCTTTTTCAACAAATCTTTATAAGCAACTTGATTTAAGCAAATAAAAAAAGACCGAAGGATATATATTTATAAAGTAAAGATTTAAAAATATCTACAATATGTTAAACACACTGTCAGACATTTTATATATATTATTAATCGTAACTTTCCCACTAGGTAGGTATTATCACTAACATTTTATATACAGATGGTCTGCGACTTATGATGGGGCTACATCCCAACACGCCCATCCTAAGTTGAAAATAATGTTAAGTTGAAAGTGCATTTTTGACTTAAAGTATTTTCAATTCAAAGTAAGTTTATCTAGATGTAACCCCCTCATACGTCCAGAAACTTACTGAATGTGTACCACTTTCGCACCGTTGTAGAGCTGAAAAATAGTAAGCTGAACGATCATAAATTGGGGGACCACCTGTATGAATGTGCTAGTTAAGTGGTTAAGCCACAAATCCAATCATGTCTGGCTGACATTAAAGATCCAAGCTCTGGCCGGACACGGTGGCTCACGCCTGTAATCCAAACACTTTGGAAGGCCAAGGTGGGTGGATCACCTGAGGTCAGGAGTTTGAGACCAGCCTGGCCAACATGGTGAAATCCCATCTCTACTAAAACATACAAAAACTAGCTGGACATGGTGATGCATGCCTGTAGTTCCAGCTACTGGGGAGGTTGAGGTGGGAAAACCGCTTACATCTGGGAGGTGGCAGCAGTGAGACAAAATCGCACCACTGCATTCCAGCCTGGGTGACACAGCAGCACTCGGTCTCAAAAAAAAAAAAAAAAAAAAAATCCAAGCTCTTTCCACTTCATCACAATATATTTTATTCAAAATTACGTTAAACAATTACCCTGTGACACTCATGCAATGCTGCCTGGTAGATGCCACCACTTTATTTTATATATTTATTTATTTATTTATTTATGAGACGGAGTCTTGCTCTGTTGCTCAGGCTGGGGCACAGTGGTGCCATCTCAGCTCACTGCAACCTCCGCCTCCCAGGTTCAAGCGACTCTCCTGCCTTAGCCTCCTGAGTAGCTGAGACTACAGGTGCGTGCCACCACGCCCAGCTAATGTTTTGTATTTTTAGTAGAGATGGGGTTTCACTGTGTTAACCAGGATGGTCTCGATCTCCTGACCTCGTGATCCACCTGCCTCGGCCTCCCAAAGTGCTGGGATTACAGGCATGAGCCACGGTGCTCAGCCAATGCTAATACTTCTTTTAAAGAAAGAAGGCCTAAGCGTTAAGTTCTTTGCTCAAAGTTATGCACTTAGTGGCAAAGTCAAGATGTCAACCTAAGTTTAGCTTCATAGTCTGTGATCTTTCCAGAATTCCACCTGCACAGGAATACTAAGGCCATATATTCATATGCTGCTAAATACAGATTTTTACTTGTTCGGGTTTAATAAAAATCCGTATTTCTTGAAAGTCTCATTTATTTTTAATCTTATCATTTTTGTTGTTCTTCTAAAACCTAAGCCACTCTTAGGCTGGGCCCGGTGGCTCACGCCTGAAATTCCAGCACTTTGGGAAGCCAATGGGGTGGATCACGTGAGGTCAGGAGTTCGAGACCAGCCTGACCAACATAGTGAAACCCTGTCTCTACTAAAAATACAAAATTAGCCAGGCATGGTAGCAGGTGCCTGTAATCCCAGCTACTTGGAAGCTGAGGCAGGAGAATTGCTTGAACCTGGGAGGTGGAGGTTGCAGCGAGCTGAGATGGTGCCACTGCACTCCAGGCTGGGCAACAAGAGCAAAACTCTGTCTGAAGAAAAAATAAAAAATTAAAAAACAGAATCAAATAAAAAATAAAACCCCCTCCCCCTCCCCCACCCACCGCCACGGGTCTCCCTCTCCCTCTCTTTCCACGGTCTCCCTCTGATGCCGAGCTGAAGCTGGACTGTACTGCCACCATCTCTGCTCACTGCAACCTCCCTGCCTGATTCTCCTGCCTCAGCCTGCTGAGTGCCTGAGATTGCAGGCGCATGCCGCCACGCCTGACTGGTTTTCATATTTTTTTGGTGGAGACGGGGTTTCGCTGTGTTGGCCGGGCTGGTCTCCAGCTCCTAACCGCGAGTGATCTGCCAGCCTTGGCCTCCCGAGGTGCCGGGATTGCAGATGGAGTCTCGTTCACTCAGTGCTCAATGTTGCCCAGGCTGGAGTGCAGTGGTCTGATCTCGGCTCGCTACAACCTCCACCTCCCAGCCGCCTGCCTTGGCCTCCCAAAGTGCTGAGACTGCAGCCTCTGCCCGGCCGCCACCCCGTCTGGGAAGTGAGGAGCGTCTCTGCCTGGCCACCCATCGTCTGGGATGTGAGGAGCCTCTCTGCCCGGCTGCCCAGTCTGGGAAGTGAGGAGCGCCTCTTCCCGGCCGCCATCCCGTCTAGGAAGTGAGGAGCGTCTCTGCTCGGCTGCCCATTGTCTGAGATGTGGGGAGCGCCTCTGCCCCACCGCCCCATCTGGGATGTGAGGAGCGCCTCTGCCCAGCCGCGACCCCGTCTGGGAGGTGAGGAGCCCCTCCGCCCGGCAGCCGCCCCGTCTGAGAAGTGAGGAGCCCCTCCGCCCGGCAGCCGCCCCGTCTGAGAAGTGAGGAGCCCCTCCGTCCAGCAGCCGCCCCGTCTGGGAAGTGAGGAGCGTCTCCGCCCGGCAGCCGCCCTGTCCGGGAGGTGGGGGGCAGCCCCCGCCCGGCCAGCCGCCCCATCAGGGAGGGAGGTGGGGGGCAGCCCCCGCCCGGCCAGCCGCCCCATCCGGGAGGTAGGTGGGGGGCAGCCCCCGCCCGGCCAGCCACCCCGTCTGGGAGGGAGGTGGGGGCCAGCCCCCGGCCCGCCAGCCGCCCCGTCAGGGAGGGAGGTGGGGGGCAGCCCCCGCCTGGCCAGCCGCCCCGTCCAGGAGGTGGGGGGGCGCCTCTGCCCAGCTGGCGCCCCGTCCGGGAGGTGAGGGGTGCCTTTGCCCGGCCGCCCCTTCTGGGAATTGAGGAGCCCCTCTGCCCGGCCGCCACCCCGTCTGGGAGGTGTACCCAACAGCTCATTGAGAACGGGCCATGATGACGATGGCGGTTTTGTCGAATAGAAAAGGGGGAAATGTGGGGAAAAGATAGAGAAATCAGATTGTTGCTGTGTCTGTGTAGAAAGAAGTAGACATAGGAGACTCTATTTTGTTCCGTACTAAGAAAAATTCTTCTGCCTTGGGATGCTGTTGATCTATGACCTTACCCCCAACCTGGTGCTCTCTGAAACATGTGCTGTGTCCACTCAGGGTTAAATGGATTAAGGGCGGTGCAAGATGTGCTTTGTTAAACAGATGCTTGAAGGCAGCATGCTCGTTAAGAGTCATCACCACTCCCTAATCTCAAGTATCCAGGGACACAAACACTGCGGAAGGCCCCAGGGTCCTCTGCCTAGGAAAACCAGAGACCTTTGTTCACTTGTTTATCTGCTGACCTTCCCTCCACTATTGTCCTATGACCCTGCCAAATGCCCCTCTGCGAGAAACACCCAAGAATGATCAATTAAAAAAAAAATATATAAATCAAAACCAAAAAGAAATAAAAAAATAAAAAAATAAAAAAAATAAATACTTACTGAAAAAAAAAAACCAAAAAAATAAAACCTAAGGCACTCTTGCTGAGTGCTCATATGGTACCAAATTTATCTATTATGTATAAGGCAAGAAATTTACTTCCCCAATGTTATTACTATCATTAGCTTACTTTTTTTTTTTTTTTGAGATGGAGACTCGCTCAATCACCCAGGCTGGAGTGCAATGGTGCGATCTCGACTCACCGCAACCTCCACCTCCCAGGATGAAGCGATTCTCATGCCTCAGCCTCCTGAGTAGCTGGGATTACAGGCTAGTGCCACCACGACTGGCTAATTTTTATATTTTCGTAGAGACGGGGTTTCACCATGTTGCCCAGGCTGGTCTCAAACTCCTGACCTCAGGTGATACACCCACTTTGGTGTCCCAAAGTGCTGGAATTAAGGTGTGAGCCACTGCACCCGCCCAGCTTACTCTTAATATTTAAAAATATAAATTTGTGATTGCCTATGTGTATTTTTTCATATACATGCAACATACCAACTGAAACATCTGCTACATTCAGTAACACAGCAAACTTCATTTCTCATAGGCATACTAATGAAACAATTTTCATGGTGTACTTGGGATCCTTCATTTCTCTTATTTGCCACTAGATGGCTGTCTTGAAAAAATATGACATTAAATAGAATGCAGGAATAAGGAAGTCATATACAAAGTAGTAAATTACTAATTAAAATCATGAAAAGTGAAACATAGCCACCAATGAACAAGATTTAAAAATCCAAAGAAGCAAAATTCAGAGATTACCAGTATATTACCTATATAGGGACTATTCTCTATTGCTCTGACAAATGAGCAAAAATTTAAATACCAGAAAATTTAGAACTCTTAATAAAATATTTAAAACCAATTAGAATGATCTGTTTGCTAAAGACACATTATGCTGAATAAAGTCCCTTTGTAAAGCATAACAATTATTTCAAAGATGTAAATAATAATTTGTATGTTTTAAAATGGCTCTTTATGCCAACTATTCAAAAAATATAGAACACTATCAATATTTTATATGAATTTACGAAGTATACTTTTAAAAAGTATTGGCTGTAATCACATTTCAAAAACAGTTTCAGTTGGGTGCGGTGGCTCACGTGTGTAATCCTAGCACTTTGGGAGGCCAAGACAGGAGGATTGTCTGAGCTCAGGAGCTTGAGACCAGCCTGAGCAACACAGTGAAACCCTGTCTCAACTAAAATACAAAAAATTAGCCAGGCATGGCGGCGTGCACCTGTAGTCCCAGCTACTTGGGAGGCTGAGGCAAAATTAATTGAACCCCGGAGGCAGAGGTACCATGAGCTGAGATCACACCACTGCACTCCAGCCTGGGCAACAGAGCAAGCTTACTCTGTCTCCAAAAAAACAAACAAACAAACAGTTTAAAAAATTGATTTGCTTATCAAAATAATATTGCTTTCCATATAGAAAATAAATGTTAAACCTGTCATAACTAAGAAAATATAAAATCAAGAGTTAATCAAAATTAACTCTTGGGCTAGCAAATATTTAAGACTAATAATCTCTAAGAAGATATTTCACACTGTTTTTGGAAACATAAATTGCCATAATCTTTTCTGGAGGATAGTTTGAACCTATCAATTTAAAATGTGTTGATTCTTTGATCCAGCAATTTCACTTCCAGAAATTTACCCTACCAGTATACTCCCCACAAGGATACACGGATGTATGTAAAAGGCAACAATATAAGTAAGTGTCTACCAATCTGGTTAAAGATATTACAAATGCATACTATGGAATTATGTAGCCATGAGAAAGAATAAGGTTGATCTATATGAAATGATATGGAAACATGTCCACAATAATAGAGGGAAAAGGGACCGGCAACCAGGGAGTGTGTATGCGATTTTAAGTATTAAAAATGCATGTATGTGCATAGAAGAATGTCAGAAAGATTATATATCAAATTTTAATCTTAATAATAATTACCTAGTGGAGTATTAATTAGGGAAATGAGACAGCTACAGAGATACAAGATAGAAAGTTTTAGTTTTTAAACTTCTATATTTTAATGATAAAACAAATAGAAATATTGGATCTAAACTAGACACTGCTAACTTAATTTTTTACTACTATACCAAGAATCCAGACCAAAGTTCATTCCTTCCAGAAAGGCCAGATAAACACTTAATCTCTCCCAGCCCCATTCCTCTGCCATCTACCAAGGCTAGCTGCTATTTCTTTTCTTTTTTAAAAAAAAAAAAAAAACAACCTATGGGGTATCAACTAGCTGCTATTTCTATCACACCGAAAGGGTCCTGGGAAACAGTCAATCCCTTGCCTCACTTGGACAAAGATTTCCTCAGAAAGATCACCACCAATCCAGGCCATTGCTGACTCCTTCTAACAAAGTCTGTTCCCACTGTCCTTTAAGGAACACGTAAACAAAACCAAACCTCAAATACTTGTAAGAAACAGGCAAGTAACGTACATTAATGAAGTGGACAAAGAGTAGGGTGGGCAAGTGAGAGAGCACATGGTGCACACCTCTTCTAAAGGGGGCAATGTCTCTGGGTTGGGGACAATAAATCTTAACTCACCTCATATGGAACAATGAATAAGTTTCTAATGTGTTTATAACAGAAACATTAAAGAGCAATCATCTCTAAGCAAAAAAGGACTTTTAACAAAGTAATGTTGTTACTTTGTAACAAGGGACTTTTAACAAAGTAATGTTACTATATATGTGTAGTGCTATGTAAGTGTAGACTTAACATCTATCTGTCCTGTTCTGCACTATATGATCTAGTTTTTTTCCTGGGATGGAGTATATAAACCTTAGTGAACCCTGCTTATGAACATGAAAAGTCTTAATTCTACCTGCTTAACATGAGAAGTGGGGGGGAGGGAAATAGTTCCATATGACACTGGAAGTACCCAGGGTCTTCACAGAATTTTCCTGATCATCTCCCAGAGTAGGCTGGACTGTTGTTACTCAACTCTGGATAATTAAACCAAGAAGGAACTTAGGCTCAGTATTGCAAGACTGGATTATTCAGAGAGCTAGAAATACAGATTTTTTTTTTTTTACTAGATTTTTACTTGAGACACAGATTCACAGTCTTCAACTTCAAAGCTAACCCAACAACTCTATGCTTAGATAGTCAGTTTCCTAACAGGAGATACGCTTCTTTAGTGAAGGGCCTACCCCTTATTCACCTTTAAATCCCACCTCCCCCAATCCCCCCCAATGCTTATACAGAAAAAATCATTCACTTAATACAAATCTGTGGAAGGGGAAGGGAGGTCAGATGAACCTTAAGGGCAGGGACTGAACTGATAATAAAAGCTTTCGTGGCACTGAAAAATATCTGAGAAGCAGCAGCACAATAACTAATGATTTTTTTAAAAATGTTACAACACGTCAAAGGTGATTTCAATAAATTTTATACATCTGCAAATTAACTTATCTAGTTATTTGGAACTAATAAGAAAATGTCAGTCTTCTATTTTGCTCTCATATATAATAGCAATTAAAAGGCCAATTACCTGTAATAAAATAAATAATAAAGAAAAAAATCTATAGACTAGTTGAAGTCCAAACTAATAGTGATATAGTATCCTAGGCTACAGACCATGGTTCCACTCCATCTAGCCTACAAACTGTCTGACATTACTCTTCCCACTATCCTCAATATCCTCACATAAGAAACCCAACAGGTTTATTTCTTATCTTGGTCCAAGCCTACCACTTGCCTTCCTACTTGTCTATTCTCAAGGAAAAAAAAAATCACACAATCATCATTACAAACCTCATGTGGCACTGAGCTTTCTGTATGAGGCTATTCTGCTTTGAGACTGATGACAATACCTAAGAGGATCATGCATGCTCTATTAGTTTACTTCTCTGTCTTATATCTCAATTTTTCCCTTAACATATCCTTATGTTTTACCTACAATCCCTTTGTTTTCCTCTCTATTGCTCTGGAGTCAAAGGATATGTTATTACAGATATAAGACACCCGTACACATTCAGTGCCCACTGAACACTGATCAACCTACTATAGGTTTTCTTTAAAAAAAATTTTTTTTTTTTTTTGCGACAGAGTCTCACACTGTCACCCAGGCTGGAGTGCAGTGGCATGATCTTGGCTCACTGCAACCCCCACCTCCCAGGTTCAAACGATTCTCCTGCCTCAGCCTACCAAGTAGCTGGGATTACAGGTGCCCGCCACCATGCCCAGCTAATTTTTGGTATTTTTAGTAGAGAGAGGAGTTTCACTACGTTGGCCAGGCTGGTCTCAAACTCCTGACCTCGTGATCCGCCCGCCTCGGCCTCCCAAAGTGCTGGGATTACAGGCGTGAGCCACAGGCACCCAGCCAATCTAGTATAGTTTTATCTAAATTCTTTAAATATACACGCCCTGTTTCTTGATCAACAACTTCTAATTCTCCTACCCTGTTTCCAACTTCCTTTTGAAATTGTAAGTCCCTCAAAATGCAAAATTGCAAAATTCCCATTTGGATCATGATTCCATTCTCAGAATTTTGTAGTCATAAACTATACAAATATGTGAATACTATGCTTTATACCAAACTAGAAGTGAAAAGACAATGTCTCAGAGAGAAAATAAGGTTTTACATTAAATAGGCAAATAAATACGTACTCAAAATGATATATAGCATAGATGTGCATATATATATTCTATATAGAATTTATATGACAAAGTATTTCCAGAGATAAGTCACAAAAATTCTATAAAGTTACTTAAATTAGCCAGTTTAAAAGATGTGCAAGTATCTTGAAGTCAGACAAGATTGAAGTTAAGGCCAAAAGCTGACAAATATAGATATTTTACTAAACTGTTAAGCCACCACTATCTTTCCCACAATTTAGCCAAAGCATTTAAAAGATGTATATTATTTAAAACAGAAACTAGGTGCAATCAGTTTACATATAATTCTAAAAGCTACTTAGAATCAAGTTGCCACCACTCAAGAACATACCAAAAATGTAAGATTGACAATGATCTCTTCGCTATCTAAGAGAAAAGGAAATCAAAGACATTCTAATTAAAAATTAATTTCTCAACTTAAAAAATAATTACTAATGAAAGAAAACATACTCACCTCTTCGATTAACTTTCCATTTGGTGATGATGTACAAAGACAGACAAGGTAAGTTTGCTTAAAACTACCTTTTATGCCAATCTCTGGATGGTCAGAACACAGCTTTGCTAGAGCAGTTGCTTGACTTAACTGATTTGTTTTGATTAGATGTTTAATTCTCATATCCAACAAGATGGGACCCTCAAAAGCTAAAAATTCATTCACTTTAAAAAACAAGACATAATAGATTATTAACATTTGGTAATAATTCATTTGCAATACCAACACTTATAAGAAATATTTTTAAACACGGGAACTAAAATGCTTTTTTTCAATTTTCTATTATTGCTAGTAAGGCTATCACAAAAGACTTGACCTTATAAGCAAGAAGAGATTATATTGCTAACTTTTAAAAGTTAAGTACTTTTGGCCCTTATATAAGGGACCATTTAGAATGAGCTGAATAAACTTGTTGATGATGAAAATAGTTCTGTGTTAAATGCTAATAGTCAATGTTATTAAAATTACACTAATTTTTTTTCCTACAGCAGTTATTCTTCAACACCAGCAGTTAGCATCCCTAAAATCTGTAATGCTAGGGCATTACAACCTTCCACGATGAGTAACCACAAAAAGCTATTGGGACATTCCAGAAGAAGAGATTCAACTAATATTTTGTTCAATACTGATGGTATATTTTTCATTTTACAAAGCTGAAATCTGACTTTTAAAAATAGATGTTTTATAATGAATCAAAATATCTACAGAAAAATAAATAAGATGGGAGAAAAGTTTGCCAAAGGATAAAACTTCGCCAAAGGATAAAACTTCTGTGGGTTTTATGTCGTTATTTTTAAAACATCAATGAATAAACTCAAAACAGTCACTTATGCATAAAACATTTCTACTTTGTTCAAACCTCTGACTATCCCCTAGTGCTTGTTTGGTCATCTACAAATAAGAATTAATATTTTTATTTTTTGTATTTATGAAGGAGAATTTAAGTTTTAACAAGTTTAAGTTTTTCCTAAGTGTTCTTTACCAGAATAGAAATCATGTTTAAAAATTTATTTGACAATGGCTAGCCTGAAACCTTGGGAAGGCTTTTAGTAATAACATTTAAAATGCTCCATGAATAAAACACAGTATCTTCTCTGCTTGTTAACAGACTGAAAGATACATCTGGTAAGTAATTTGCAGGTTAGAATACAGAAAATGAGAGATGTTCTTTACTTCTTGTAATATCCTTTGTTTCCCTCTAGTACTTTCATTTTTAGATCTAACTGTACTCCACTATAGAAAAGATTCTTCTATAAAATGCTATGATCATGGCTCGTTGGTATTAAAACCATAAACATATAAGCTATAGAACACAAGATCTCAAATCTAATCCTTTTCTTGAAGTCTAGACCTTTTCACCTGCTACCCTCTATTCTTTACATTACACTAAAAGGCATAAAGGGTAAGCACAGATAAATAAAGCATATGTTTCTGGTGCCTCTGACTACATGTCTTTATGAGATAAAGGGCATTACTTTTCTTTTTTAATATTGCATTATCCTATTAGGACAATTACAATGCAGTTACAGTTTAGTTCACTGCCAAAGCAAAAGATTTTAAATATAAGACTAAAAAACAAAGTTATAATAAAGTTATTCTGGCTATCAAGAGCTTTAGTTTCCTAATTCAACAATTTTCTCCAAAGGAAACTCTAGAGATACAAAGTCTGGGAATTATTGCAAATATTCTCACAAAAAAGTCACAATCAACACACTCTAAAAGATCATGGTGAAGAAATAACTTAAAGGTGGGAAGTATTTCACAAAACTGATGGTCCCAATCTCAAATAGGCCCTGCATTCTCAAATAGCAGCATTTAAGTTAGAACGACAAATTGTGTAATTTCTGCATTAAATCAATGTAGAAGAATATTAATATTGCAAATTTCAAAGCCATAGGCTTTTGTTTGTCTCTTAATGATGGGAAACCACTGCCACACTTAGGGCAAAATGGATTTCAAAAATACACAGAATATTTGAGTAGAAGGAAATTTATAGATCATTTTGTCTGTTCCATCATTTGGCAGATGAGTAAACTGAGGCTCAGAGAAGGCAAGTGACTTCCTAGGGACATAAAGCCAGTTAATGACATAGCGAGGAGTAGAATGAGTCTTCTGACTTCTAGCTTTATACAGTGTGAGGTAAGAAAAAGAATTTTTTTTTTTCTATTTGACTACTGGGTCTACTTCTCATTGGAATGGCACCTTACAGCAGTAAAAACCTGTGAAGTAGCATCAGCCTTTAAAGGAAGATAATTATATATTCTGAAGTTCATGATTCAAATGGATCAAAAGTGGTTTACACTCAATTCAGTCCTATTGAAAGCTCACTTCTCTCCCTCTACTTCTTCACTACTTTTTTTTCCCACTTCTCTGCATCTTTCTATTTCTCTGCAATCCAAGATGTTTTTCCTTATAATGTTACAATATTGCAACAAAGACTGTTTTCATGCTTCTCAGACTTATCTTTGAGTAGCTTAGACGTATCAAATTTCACTCCCTAGTCTGCTTTTCCCACTAGCATCCCACAAAGTATAAAATATTTATAATTTTACTCATGTGTCACCTTTTTATGTTTTCTCTATATTCACAGACTTCAACAGAAAAGCAGGCTTTACTATATTTGGGCCTATCAAGAAAGCTATGTGACATAGATAACACTACTTCACATGGCAATATAAATAAATGATATTTAGCCAATTTGATTAAAAATGTAAAAGAGCCTTCTTCCTATGTCACTTTCTTTTTTTTTTTTTTTAAGACGGAGTCTCTCTCTGTCACCCAGGTTGGAGTGCAGTGGCGCAATCTCGGCTCACTGCAAGCTCTGCCTCCCGGGTTCATGCCATTCTCCTGCCTCAGCCTCCCAAGTAGCTGGGACTACAGGCGCCCGCCACCACGCCCGGCTAATTTTTTTGTACTTTTAGTAGAGATGGGGTTTCACCGTGTTCGCCAGGATGGTCTTGATATCCTGACCTCGTGATCCGCCCACCTCAGCCTCCCAAAGTGCTGGGATTACAGGTGTGAGCCCCCACGCCGGGCCATGTCACTTTCATAATATTAAAAGGAAACCACTAATTCCTACATTAAAGATAATTAAATACAAAATATGAGTTGATTTTCTGTGATAAATAATTACACAAGAATTAATTGTGTACTATGTACCACAGGTTACACTAGGTCCTAGATTCCCCCTAAAGTGGGGTCAACTCATTTACTGGGTTCCTATTCTCATGCCCAGATTTGCATGATTTCCTTTGCAGCATCTTTGACTAGCTGTTTCAAAAGCATCTCAAACTCAGCATACAATATCTCTACACCACATTACGTGTCATCTCCACATTTCCATCTATTCAGTTGTGCTCAAGGCAGAAACCTAGGAGTCTGCCTTAAAAATGCTCTCTCCTACCTCCTTTTCACCCAGACATCAATCTATCACCTAGTTGTGTCACTTCCAATGCCTAAATACTCAATTCCATTAACTCTTCTTCATCTCCACTTCCATATTGCTCCCCCAACCCAACCCAACCCAGCCCAAATCACTAATCAGACTACTTCGTAGCAATCTACTAGTCGTCTCCATCTACTCTTACCACCTCCATCACTTCACTAGAATCCAGGGTGCTTCTGGTATTACTTTAAAGCACACACTTGATTGTCTTCCCTGTTTAAAACCTTCTAGTGGTTCCATTGCTTTCAAAGCAAGGATCACTTATCCTTTTTAAAAATACTTAATTTGTATTCTCTCTTAGAAATAATTCAGCAATTAGGCTGGACACGGTGGCTCACACCTGTAATCCCAGCACTTTGGGAGGCCAAGGCAGGTGGATCACCTGAGGTCGAGAGTTTGAGACCAGCCTGACCAACATGGAGAAACCGTGTCTCTACTAAAAATACAAAATTAGCTGGGCGTGGAGGCGCATGCCTGTAATCCCAGCTACTCGGGAGGCTGAGGCAGGAGAATTGCTTGAACCCGGGAGGCGGAGGTTGCAGTTAGCCGAGATTGCGCCATTGCACTCCAGCCTGGGCAACAAGAGCAAAAACTCCGTCTCAAAAAAGAAAAGAAAGAAAGAAACAATTCAGCAATTAGGCAAGAAAAATAAAAGAGATACAGATCGAAAAGAAGTAAAATCATCTGTTAGCAGATGACATGATCTTGTATGTAGAAAGCCCTAAAGATCCCATTTAAAAACTACTGCAACTAATAAACAAATTTGGTAAAGCTGCAAGATATAAAAATCCACACATAAATATCAGTTGCATCTGTACACTAACAATGAACAGTTCAAAAAGGAAATTAAGAAAATAATTCCATTTACAATTGCAACAAAAACAATAAAATAAGAATAAAGCTAACCAAGGAGGAGGCGAAAGACCTGTAGACTAAAGATTATAAAACATTGTTAAAAGAAATGAAATGCATAAATAATTGGGAAGGTATCTTGTGTTCATGGATGATAAGACTTAATATTATTAAGATATCCATACTAGGCAAAGCAATCTATAGACTTAACACAATCTCTATGAAAATCTCAATGGCATTTTTTTTTGCAGAAATAGAAAAATGCATCCTAAAATTCATATAGAATCTTTAAGCCAAAATAACTGACAAAGAACAACAAAGTTGAAGGTCTCACACTTCCTGATTTGAGATGTATTACAGAGCTCAAGTAATCAAACACTGATGATACTGGCATAAAGACAGACATGTGGACCAATGCAATAGAAAAGAGTCCAGAAATAAACCCTATCATATATGGTCAAATGATCTTTGACAAGGGTGCCAAGGTGACTCAATGGGGAAAGAACAGTCTCTTCAACAAATGGTGCTGGAAAAATTAGATACCTAAATGCAAAAGAATGTAGCTGGACCCTATTCCTGCACCATATACAAACATTAACTCAAAACGGATTAAAGACTTAGATGAAAAATCCAAAATTACAGAACTCGTAGAAGAAACCATAGAGAAAAGCTTTATGACAATAGACTGGCAATGATTTCTTGGCTATGACACCAAATGTGTCATAGGCAACAAAAGCAAAAATAAAACTACATCACACTTAAAAACTTTTGTGCAAAGGACACAACACAGTAAAAAGGCAACCTTTTCACCAGAGTGAAAAGGAATGAGAGAAAATATTTGCAAATCATATCTCTGATAAGGGATTAATATCAAGAATATATAAAGAGCTCCTTTAACTCAACAACAACAAAAAAATCCAGTTAAAATATGGACTAATAACTTGAATAGATATTTCTCAAAAGATAACATACGAATGGCCAACAAGCATACGAAACATCAAAAATCATCAGAGAACTGCAAATGAAAATCACAATGAGATATCACCTCACACCCAGTAGGATGACTACTACGAAAAAAACAGAAAACAAGTGTTGGTGAGGATGTGGATTAACTGGAACCTTCGTACAATACTGTTAGGACTGTAAAATGATGTACCCTCTATGGAAAACAGTACAGAAGTTCCTCAAAAAATTAAAAATACAGCTACCATACGATCCAGCTATCCCACTTCTGGTTATACCCAGAAGAACTGAAAGCAGGCTCTTGAAGAAGCGTTTGTATGCCCATGTTTATAGTAGCACTACTCACAATAACCAAGAGGTGGAAGCAATCCAAATGTCCAACTACGACAGATAAATAAATAAACAAAATGTGGTATAAACATATAATGGAATATTATTCAGCATTAAAAAGTAAGCAAATCCTTTCACATGCTACCACACGGATGAATCTTGAGGACATTATGCTAAGTGAAATAAGTCAGTCATAAAAAGAAAAATATGATATGATACTGTTTATATAAGGTATCTAAAGTACTCAAAATTATAGAAACAAAAAGTAGGGTAGTGGTTACAGGGGCTGAGGGCTAAGGGAAAAGGGGAGTTGTTGTTTAATGGGTATAGTTTTCACCTTGGGGTTCAAGATGAAAAAGTTCTGAAATATGTTTACAACAATGTGAATGTATTTGACATTACCAAACTTAAAAACAGTTAAGACGGTACATTTTATCTTGTGTGTGTGGTTTTTTTTTACCACAATTAAAAATATATTTAAAAAAACACAATTCAGCATTGTTGGTCAAAAAAAAATCCAAATTAAGACATTTAATAAAACACAATGCTTCAAGTTCTAGAATACTGGTTGCCCAGAGAGTCTAATTTAATTGGTATGAGGTAGGGCCCTGGCACTGGTCTATCTAAAACCTCTCCAGGTAATTCTAATTATAGCCAGGATTGAGACTACTGCTCATGGTAACTTCCAAATGACCAATTAGGGATAATCAACTTTGACCCCACCTCTTACCCTTTCCTGAAGAAAGATGTTACATTTTCAGGAAATAGAATTAACTTTCAAAGATTAGAAAGTATTTCATATCATAGATGAACTTAGTATGCTACAATTTTTGCGTAAAATAAGATTTAATTATGAGTATTAGATTTAACTAAATTCTGACAGATTTTTCCATGTAACATTATAAAATATACCCATTAAAGCCAGGCATGGTGGCACACGTTTGTAATCCCAGCACTCTGGGAGGCCAAGGCAGGTGGATCACCTGAGGTCAGGAGTTTGAGACCAGCCTGGCCAACATAGTGAAACCCCGTCTCCACTAAAAATATAAAAAATTAGCTGGGCATGGTGGTGCATGCCTGTAGTCCCCGCTACTCGGGAGGCTAAGGGAGGAGAATCGCTTGAATCCAGGAGGCGGAGGTTGCAGTGAGGCAAGATCATGCACTGCACTCCAGCTTGGGCGACAGAGGGAGACTCCGTCTCAAAAAAAAAAAATCTATATATCTATATATCTATATATCTATATATATATAGATATATAGATATATATACACACACTAAAAAATAATGTCCTTGTCTAGGAGCTTTAAGAAACCAAAGAGTGCGTTTAAAAATCCTTTTCAGTAAAACTGAAAACTTTGGGTCATATAATTAAATACTTATATTTAATTATAAAATAGTAGGGTATAATCTGCATGTAATCAGATCTGACCTCACCCTATTTACCTGGGCAACATTAGTTATCGCTAGCTCTCTCCTCCCATCCCCTCTCCTGCTAAAATATTATTGCATCTTAGGTATGCTAATATCTAGCAAACTAAGAGCAATTTTTCCATTTTCACTTTAAAATGCAAAGTTTATTACTAAATAAGGGCTTATTTCCCACAAAACCATGAATGATTTGTAAGTATCATGGAAAATCTAAAGCTTTAGAAATTTCCTTTGAAAAGAAAAGAGTTCTGGGGGGAAAAAAGAGAACTGCAGTGCTCAAGATGCAAGAAAGGACTGGCAAGCTGACAAAACTGCAATTTATGCAATTGCAAATTAACCCAATATAGAAGTAGAGGGAAAGTGCCTAAAAAATTCAGTGTGACTATAATAGGGAGTTGTCTTAGAGCTTAGATTTTAAAATAATACATACAGAAGAAGGAAAAACAGGTTTAAGACCAAGGATGCACCATGAGTGTCAGACACCTGGTACTAACAACCTATGCAAAATGTTAATAAAAGTAAAACCCAAGATGACACCTAACTCACCAAAAATGCTGAGAACAATAAAACTGAGCATGGTGAGACCTTCTTGGGAAAGTCTGCTACTTGGGTTTGATTATGTGCTATTTATGATAGCAGAGAAAAGTATATTTCTTCTACTCTTACTACTCTACTTCTTTGATAAGCTTAAGATTTAAGAGTAGAACACACCATAGAATAAGTGAAAACAGATGGCAAAATGTAATTTTCAAAACGGGGCTGATGGTACTTCTTGCAAAACTGTAGAAACGGCAACAGATGTAATCCTGAATAAGAGTTTAAAAATTAATTATATTAAAAAAGATGGGTTGTGATTGTTCAGAAAAAGAAGTGAGACTAGTAAGAGCCAAGATGAATTCACTAAACATAAATTAAGTTACACTTTTCACAGAAATTCATCTAAAAATGGATCATATACCCATATGTAAAATGTGAAACTATAAAATTTCTAGAAAAGACCATAGAAAAATCTATATGGCCTTGGATTTCACGATGAGATTTTAGATAAAATACCAAAAGCATGATCCATGGAAGAAAAAACTGGGAAGTAGGACTTTATGAAAATGTAAAACTTCTGCTAAGTTGCTCTTAAGAGAAAGGACAAGCCACAAGAGGATTCTTTCACAAGAGGGAAAGAAAAGATTTGCAAAACACATATCTGAAAAAGAACTTGTACCCAAAATATACAAAGAACTGTTAAAACTCAACAATAAGAAAACAAACAACCCAATTAAGAAATAGGCAAGAGATCTGAACAGATGCCTCACCCAAGATATACAGATGGCAAATATGCATATGAAAAGATGTTCAGAATCATTTGTCATTACAGAAATGCAAATTAAAATAACAATGTGATATCACTACATGCCTATTAGAATGGCTAAAATTCCAAAAACGGACAATACCAATTGTTGGTAAGGGTATGGGGCAAAAGGAATTATTCATTGCTGATGAGAATACAAAATGGTACAGGCACTTTAGAAGACAGTTTTTTTTCAAAGCTAAACACAGTCTTACCATATGACATAGCCATCATACTCCCATGTATTTTCACCCAACTGATCTGAAAACTGACATCCACACAAAAACCTGCATGCACATGTTTATAACGGCTTTATTCAAATCACCAAAAACTGGCAGCACATACATCAAAAACAGCATCCATTACATGGCTGTACCACAGTTTGTTTAGCCATTCACCTTTAACAGGTGAATGGATACTGTGGTATAGCCATATAATGGAATATTATTTAGTGATAAAAAGGAATGAGCTAATAGCTCATTGGTTTAACAGACACGTAAAGCCCTGGATGAATGTTAAATATACAATGCTATGTGAAAGAAGCTTGAATGAAAAGCTTTAATTACGTGACATTCTGAAAAAGGCAAAACTATAGAGATGGCAGATAGATAAGTAGTTGTCAGGTGTTTGGGAGAAGGCTGGATAGATGAAACACAGTTTTTTTGTTGTTTTTTTTTTTAGGGAGTGAAACTACTATGTATACTACTGTAATGGTGGACACACGACACTATTTTCATTTGTCAAAATCTATAAAACTATACAACACAAAAGAGGGAATCTTAAGGTATGCAAATTGAAAAAAAAGTTATTTAGGAGGTTCAGGAAGCCCAAGATGGAATACAGAATACAACAAAATAACTATATTACAAATGTATGAAAAGAACCTCACTGAAAGGAATGGAGAAATAAGGTGCTGACCTAAGTAACTTTGGAAATGAGTGGAGAATGTAAGAATAAAGTAAAAAAGAACTGTACAAAAGCACTGTACTGTAGTTAATAAAGTTTTTTCCTATAGGGGTATACTAGGATTAAGTAAATGGATGGCCAATGGTGGAAAAAGCTAGTCTGAAAGGCTACATACTGTATGATTCCAATTACATGACATTTTGTTGAAGTGGGAGGTCACAGATAAGCAAGGGAAGGAGGCTACAATGATCTTTGTGTTAATGAATTAGACTTGGAGACATCAGTAAGAATTCATATTTAGTTTAATATAGATCTTGGTTTCTAATACCATTCTCCAATAAAAGGAGCAAGTCCTCCCTAGAGAAACGGTTGATTCCAGGACTCAGGCAGGAAATACGCCAGATGAGCCTGGAGCATATTACAGTGCCAGAAAGCAAGGAAGTAATCACACAAAAAACAAAACCCATTGATGAGGGACACAAGAGTCAAAGGAAAGAGCTGCCAACACTGGAAGAAACTGAGCAACAAAATAAAGTAGTATCAGATTATGACCAAAGAATAAAATAAATATATATAAGGCCATACTAATATAAATGACTGATTGAAAAAATAAATAGGGAGGAGACAAATCTCCTGTGTAGAATTCCAGATAACATGTAGATACTGCTTCCTCAAGGAGGTGGAGCATAACTTCCCACTTGAAGATGGGCTGCACATTGTAATTTCATTCTAAAGAATATAACATGGAAAGGGAGAAAAGAGTAACTTCACAGTGGAGAAACCTGACACATGCTGCCACAGCTAGGTGGTCTAGGTTCACATCAACAGTGATAAGTCGGCTGGGTGTAGTGGCTCATGCCTGTAATCCCAGCATTTCGGGAGGCCAAGGCAGGTGGATCACTTGAGGTCAGGGACTCGAGACCAGCTTGGCCAACAAGGTGAAACCCCATCTCTACCAAAAAATACAAAGAAGTTTAGCCAAGCATGGTGGTACATGCCTGCGGTCCCAGCTACTCGGGAGGCTGAGGTGGGAGAATCGCTTGAACCCAGGAGTTGGAGGTTGCAGTGAGCTGGGATTATGCCACTGCACTCCAGCCTGAGTGATGGAGTGAGAGACCCTTTCTCAAAAAACAAACAAACAAACAAACAAAAAACCTCAAAAAACCTCAAAACAGTGATAAGTCATGTTGACAACAGATACCCTTTATATAATGTGATGGCAATGGTACTTTACCTTTCTGGTCTTCCTCCTCAAAACCCATAACCCCAGTCTAATCATGAGAACAACATCAGACAAATCTCAATTGAGGGACACTCTACAAAATACCTGACCAGTACTCCTCAAAACTGTCAAGGTCATCAAAAACAAGGAAAGTCTGAAAAACTGTCACAGCCAAGAGGAGCCTAAGAAGACATGACGACTAAATGTAATGTGGTATCCTGGATGGAATCCTGGAATAGAAAAAGGACATTAGGTAAAAACTAAGGAAATGTGAATAAATTATGGATTAATTAATAACAAAGTATAAATATTAGTTTATTAATTGTGACAAATGTACCAAACTAATGTAAGATATTAATGAGAGTGAAAACGGGTTCAGGGTATATGGAAACTCTTCACAATTTTTCTATAAATTTAAAACTATTCTAAAATAAAAACTTTTATGTAAAAAATAAATTAGGTCAGACTAACCTCAGTATTGAATAATCTTACATAAAAGAACTTTAGCCAAACATTTGTCAAAAACAAGGAAAGTCTGAAAAACTGTCACAGCCAGTTTTTCACAGCCACAAACACTTGTTATGGTCTTTCACCAAATCCTTTAGACAGAAAAGGAGAACCATGGGCCAGCATTATGGGAAAATAGGTATATTTGATAAAACAATAATAATCAACGGATATGGATGTAAGAACTAAAGGCAAGCAGAAAGATTTTTTTAAGTATCCCAGAAGCTTGATTTCTGGACATGACCTTTTTATGGTTATGATGAAGAACCTGGATGCCAATATGGTATATGAAAATGAAGTCTGCAAAACGAGAGGAAATTGGGAAGGACAAAATCCTTGAATAACAAAATCAGGATTAAAAAGAATCTTGACAAGTTGGGGAGACAGAAGGGATCTAATATGGTAAAATTACACAGGAAGAAAAAGGTAATACACTTGTACACCAAAAGAAAAAGTATACAAACGTAGATTGAGAAGACATAATTAAAAGTTAGCATTTATTTTTTAAAAATTTTAAATGATTTTAGTAACCTCATTGAGTTGTGAGAATTACATGGCTGCCCAAAAACGTAATGTCATCTTACATTACATTAACTTAAGTATAAATTGTTAGCATGAAGAGAAAGAAGATACCTCTGACCTCAAAACTGGCCAGATCATATTTAGAGTACAGATGAAGTGCTGAGATTTACACATTTAAGAGAACTACAAAAACATAAAATGCACTCAAAAAAGAGGAATCACGATTGTAGATTTATAATCATGCCACATCAAGGTTTTTAGTCTACAAAAGAAGACTTCCATAAATATGTACACCTGCTATATATCCACAAAAATAAAAAATTAAAGAAAAGAAAAGAAGACTAAGTGTAGACATGATGGCAATCTTTAAAAATCTCAATTGCTACCAAGTGAAAGAGAGATTTATACTTTACTATGGCTTTAGAGGCAGCACCAGGTCCAAAAGCTGGAAGCTCCAAAAATTAGTTTTCACAATTTTCACAATGAAGATTTTCTAATCGCAGGCTAAGAATAGACTGAACTACATAAGTACCATACTCTAGAAGTGTTTGAGCAAAAGCTAATTTATTAGTGATGTTTTAGAGGGGAATTAAAATTGAGTAACAAATAATTGAGCATTAAGCACCTTTCCAATCCCAAGATTATGACTAAAGAGAGGCATAAGTAATATTTAAGTATGCCTAAAGTTCCTTTGATATTCAAAACCATCTACTTGACTTGTATTGGTTTAGTTATTAGAGCTACCTCACTCTAGGATACTCAAATGTTGAAGTGAAACCAGTATCTTTGAGTCCTGTCCACCCTTACTCTCCCAAATCAAAGAGTATTTCTCAGTTGAGCTGGGCTTTAGTAGGTCCAAAATCAGTCAATTGAAAAAAATAAACTAAAATAACTCAGAATTAATCAGATTAGTCACTGTTCAAATACTACATCAAAACTTCAAAGGCTTCACTATAAACAAACGAATGAGTATAACCTATAGAGGTATACTCATTTTCTGGGCTCTTATTATTCTCTTCAAACTTGCTGCAGGCTAGATTATGGGTGCAAATCTCTCCATCATGTAACATCTCTCTGGTTGTTTCATGAGCTGTATTGTATTAGTTTGGCTACCTACAATCCATCTACTTTGCAGAAAACTCCCCTGGCTGCATAGTCCTAATTATTCCAGTGGCTATGACAAGATGAAGGTCAAGAAATAAAGCAGCACAGAGATGGGCAGAGACATTGGTTAACAGATACAATGTTAGGCACATTCAAACAAGTAAAGAAATCAAGCACATTATCTTTTCAAATAAAGTTGAAATCTCTGCTAGGATAAAGGTTCCTTTTTCCTGCTTTAGCATAATATGTGAATTTGGCAAAATGCTGTTCAGAAACTGACAATGGGAAAAGGAGTTACTCCTTTATTTAGAGTAGGTGCAACTCTATTTTATTAGGCTAGATGCAACAGGGCATTAATAGGGAGAGGCTGAGGTCTGATTTTAATTCCTGGCTCTGCCTCTCATCACTGGTAATGTGGTATGAAAAAAATACTCATCTTTCTGAACCTCTATTTTCTCATCTGAAAAACAGGGACAATAAGGATCCTATCTTTTTCAAAGCATTCACTATGATGGTTAAATAAAACCATGCATATAAAAGCACTTTCCAAACTGTGAGGAACTTGTAATTTGATATTATTACTAATATATCACATCTAATATTTCTAAAAGCTGAGAAGATCAGAAAGTATAATTTGGTGCTAGAACTAAAGCATACTGGTATTAATCTATTGGGAATAAAGTTAATATGGCAAGGCAAAAAAAAAAATCTAAGATTCTCAACTTTTAAATTTATTGTTAGGCTGGGTGTGGTCAGTCATGCCTGTAATCCTAACACTATGAAAGGCTGAGGTGGGAGGATGGCTTGAGCCCAGGAGTTCGAGACCAGCCTGGGTAACACAGGGAGACCCTGTCTCTACAAAAAATAAAAATACAAAAACTAGCTGAGTGTGGTGGCATGTGTCTGCAGTCCCAGCTACTCAGGAGGCTGAAAGGATCACTTGAGTCTGGAAGTGAGGCTGCGGTGAGCCATGATCGCACCACCGCACTCTAGCCTGGGCCACAGGGCAAGACTCTGTCTCAATAAATAAGTAAATAAATAAATTACTATTATTAAGTAATGAAAGGATCTCCTTCCAAGGTCTCGAGAACACTGTAGCTAATTTTTGGATATCCATGAAGGTAGGGGATACTAAAAATAAACCTCTTGTGAAAACTAAGAAACAAGTACACTGCTAGAACGATCAAGAAAGCATGGAGAAAATGGTGAAGACAGAAATCCAGTAGGAATAACCAATCTAAAGAGAAGTTTGAAGATTGGCTGGGAAGGCTTTGGGTAAACATCAAAGTACCAGAAGAGCTCACAAGCAATAGACTTAACACTCCCTTCTCATGGCCTTCATAACTTGCTATCACATAGCAAAACTTCCTAGAATTTGCCACTGATCAACAAGAAAAGCAGCAATAAATGACGGAAGAAGCTTACAGTGGTAAATACATGCTTTTCCATTAGATATATTACAATTTTTTAAAAAAATTTACTTCTTTAGTTAAATACCTTGGGAAAGGTTAGGGTGATATTTGGGCACATTTTCCTAAATAATCTCAAGAAAAGTATCTAGAATACAACTGTACTTTTCTTCAGGGTCTATATAAATTTTAAACTCTAAAAAACATTAAGTGTTATACATATAAGTAATTTAGCCATCTACTTTCAATAGGATACCAGGCTGAGCTCATAAAAGAAAAACGCAGGGGATACAATAAGACTGAGCAATAAACTGAGAAAGCATTTTAATCTTAGAGACAAAAGACTTAAAGAGTTCTAGTACTGACTTCTTATTTTATTTTGAGGAAAAGCATTTCAGCACCCTATTTCTGTTTCTCCCAACTATCAAATAAATTATCAAATATAAACTGGATTGCCACCTGTCAGAAGTTACAGAAGGAATTCCTCTGTTAAAAAGATGTTGGGAAAAAATTCTAGTTTATCTGTTAATCTATGATTCTATAATCGTATAAATTCATCTTCCCCAAAATAAAATAAAGGCGCAGGGCCTCAAGCACACCTCAGAAGATATTTAATTAAATGGTCCTTCTTTGGAATATCTTGAGATAAATTATATCAAAACAACTTTAACACTTATTTTTTCTAGTCTAATTATTCTTTTTTTTCTCTGTCTCTCGAAAATTTACCTTTATCCTTATCCAATGGTTCCTGGGAAAGAATAGTGCACAGTACCGGGTTTTTCCACACCCCAGTCTCTTGAGCTAGAGTAGCTAAAAAATGCAATTCACAGCTGCCATTCTCCATCAGCTTTTCATGAGCTACCTATAAATATTAAATAAACATCCAAAGAATTACAACAGATTTTTAAAAGCAAGCTTATCAGGCTTTAAATATAACACTAAACTTCTGAAAAGACTTTCATCTTAAAAATTTCACATCACATTACAAAGTACTCAATTCCTTCTAATATTTAAAGATGAATTTCAAGGATAAGAAATACATCATTTACAAATCTTAAATAAATATAATGTATTTACAGAAGTAAGTCTGTATTTTTTCTTCCCCAAAATCTAAGCCAGGAGTAAAGTTATTCCTCAAGGAAGCAATCAGAATATCCATACGCATAAAAGACCTTACACATTTTATATCCTCTGTGTTTAAAAAAGTTTTCCCCCAAATCTACCATTAATAAAAAGATTTGCATAACGAACTAAGTGACAACTTATGCATATTCCAATAAAAGGGAATTACAAAAAGAAAATAACTAAATGCATGATTTTTTCATTTATTCATTGTATAGTTCTGGCAATTTCACATTAAAGCTGATGATGAACCTTGCCTGCTAGTTGTTTCCAAGTGTTCATGAAATGGGCATAGTCTTCAGTCCACAAAAGACCAATAGTTTTTATTCAATTCAGAAACTGTTTATTGAGAATTTCTATGAACAAAGTTCTAGAGAAGAGCAACTAGTCCCTGACTTTATGGGGCTTATCCTCTGGGTAAAGAAATGTTTAAATAGTTAAAACACAGGGAAAATAAATGCTGTTAAACAGGCATAAACTAACCTTGAGGAAGCTCAGAAATGGGAGCAAAGTGTTGTAGAAACTCTTAAAGCTGCATGCTATGTTCAAACAAAAAGTCTAATCCTCAAAGCCATCCAAATATTCCCATTCCAACAAAGTTCAGGTGCTTTACTAAGTTTTCTTTAAGTAACTGAATGTAGAGGGATGTAAAGAGTTACTTCCTTCATAATCCATCTAAAAAGGTATTAACTAGTCCTTTTGTTTCAAAAAGAAAGTGTAAAATTTTATCTTACGTTGGCAAACAAAATCAGTAGCATTTGGAATTCTGGTTATGCATATTAATTCTGTGGTAGGGTGTATCTGAATGGCAAGCAATAGGAAGTTTCAAAATAATTTACCTAAAAATACTTTTTGGAAAAAAAACCTAAGATACAAGTTACGGATATCCGAAGTAGAATATGCATGATCAAAAAGTTAGTTGCAATGTGACAAACAGGACAAGACACTTTCATTTCAACAAACAGTTATTAAGCATCTGTTATGTGTAAGACATTATGCAGAATCCTATGACGTTAAATAAGATATGAATTCCACCTTCAAGGGCCTGTTGCACTTGATGTAGATTTTAATGTTTAATATTAAAACAGGAAAGTTTATTTCTCTGCCTAACTATAGCTTATTTTACATGCTTCTAAAGTTTAAGGCTATACCTCTTTAATATATTTCTTACAGAAAATCTTAAGGCCTAAAGATATTTTAAGAACTCTGGAAAGAGAAATGGAGAGAAAGAGAACTATAGCTTTGAAACTAGCTGGCAGGAGCATTCTTTTTAACTAACCAATTAATCAAAATTTAGTTGAAGCCATAATACATCCAGCTCTAGTGTTGAAACAAAATTTAACATTCTTGAAAAAACTTCAAGACTACTAACTGCTAAATTGTGTAGTACCTCATATAAGCAGAATAACAACACTAAATAAAATAGACAAAGCATGTGTTTTCAGACAGAAGAAAAGGCATGGGCTTTGGAATAAAGAACCTTAGTTCGAATAACTACTATGTGATCTTAGCTAGACAAGTTTGGGCATATAATTATTTTGGAGTATGAGCCTCAGTTTCCTCACCTTTAAAATGGGGAAAATATACCTATCCACACAAATTTTCATGAGGATTAAATGATATATGTGAAATTCTTATAAAGCACATTGAAGACTTTCAGAAACCAGTTTAACTGTTTCTAAATCCAAATGAGGGCACTTTCTTTTGTGTTCCCTTGCTGCTCTTACAAAGCCCTAATTATCTGATCATAACGATTATTCAATCTATCTAAATGTATATATACATTTAGCAAACATTTGTTGAGATCTACTCTATGTAAGATACTAGTGTCAATAAGATCAGTAATTAATGTCTGTCATTATTGAGATGTCTTAAAGTTTAACTGAATAATTTTTTTAAGAGTAAGGAAAACTGACATAAGATATACCTGTATTAAATCTAAAGATAAAGATTCTCACCTGCACCAGTGTCTGAAATTGTTCCCACTGTTTATCTGATAACTCAACAGGCAGACACAGTAAAAGTTCAACACAGCTTCTAAAAAACAAAAAGTTGGTAAGGAGAGGAATAATTATTAAAATTCAAAGGAAATTATAAAACCAGTAATTCTAGTATCATAAGCAGACTCCCCATAACTAATCTATTTAAAATTAAACTATAAGACTTGAGATTTAATGTTGTGTGTGTGTGTGTGTGTGTGTGTGTGTGTGTGTGTGTGTGTGTGTGTCTATGTATTTTTAAAGCTAAATCTAGTTTATTTACTCAAAGGTCTACTCACAATGCCAAGCGTTCCAGAACCAAGGCTACATTTTCACATTCAGAGGTAAGATAAGGTCGGGCTTTAACATAACTTTGGATAGCCACTGTGTATACCTCCAATAAAGGTAAAGGATCTTCTGAAGTTTTCCATTTCTCTGCATATTCTAGGAGTGTCTGTTTTGGAAGGAATAATAAAAAGTATTCAAAATGTAAATCAAAATATACATTGACTCATCAGCTGTTTTTTCCTGAAAAATTTTGAAAAATACAGATTTTTATTTATAAAAACAAAAAGTAGTTTATATTGATTAAAATATTAAATGAAATAAAGTCATAGTCATATTTTTGGCAGCTCTCTGTAGGAGAAAAGATTAGTATTAATTCATCCAGCAACAGCATAATTTCATCAAGGCTAGTTTTAAATAGGGCAAGAGTTATCTCCTCTATTCCCTAGTAAGTTTTAAAAGTTATTTTAAAAAGACATCTGAGCAAGTAACAGTTGACCAGGCATGCAGTGAAGAATTTGAAATAATATCTGTTTTCTATTTCTCGTAGAAGCAGCAGAAAATTCAATATTGAACAACAAAATAAATCATGTATGGTCAGCAAAGACGTGTCCTTTTTCAGTCCATAAAAAAATAACAGTACATACAAATTAATAATTTTTTGACAAGCACTAGCAATTAAAAAGTCATCCAAAGACTTTCAACATATAAAAATCAACATTAAAGATATTAAAGAATTATTATAAGGTTAAGTAATTTTTGTAATAGTGTTTTTTTAATTAAAAATATTTCTCATCTTTCAATTAAGTGAATATTTTAAATTTACCTCATCAGAATTACTTTAAAAGATGCTATTTATCTTACTGAATAAGAGATGGGAGATAATGGAAAGATAAGTTATACAGAAACACACATGTTAAGACTCTTACCTAAAAGGTTCTATAGTTATGCTAAATGAAGAGAGATTCTAATTAAATGTTTTTATAACACAGAAGACTGCCACAATTGGTCCTCTCCACACTTCAGGGTTTAAGACTCATTTAATCAAACATATGGAAATTCAGGTTTCTTTTCCTAGAAAATAGGGTATTGAAGGAAAAAAAAATTTCCTGAGGGCCTGTATCCTCTGGCATACAGAAGCACTTTTAAAAACTGGAGGGAGGGAAGGGGTGGGGGGGATTGTATTCTACTACCAAAGCACTTACTACCTTGACCTCTCTACTAACTTCCAACTAACAGAATTAGTAAGTGATTAGACGAAAGCAATAGAAAAAGTAAGCTGGTAAACTAAAGGGCAACAAAATAACTACTCACCGACTGAGTAGCCATATATTCACAGACCTTGGCTCTCAACTAATCCTTTCCTTTCCTTTCCCCCTAAGAAGTGAGGGCAAATACTGATTGCTAGAGACAGAAAGGACAGAAAACCTGCAGCCACAGTGCAGGATGTAGGATGGGGTGTCGGGGGATACTCAACTAGGTCCAAAACCAACTCCACAGCAAAATTTCTCAGTAAAGTTGAAGTGGAAAAACGTGTTTCTCAGATATCCAGGAAAAAACACTGCAATCTTTCCCAGATGAACCCTGAAACAAATTTGCTCTCATCCACACTTGCACCTCACCTCACAATCCCATTATATCCCAAACCTTCATGGTACAAAATAGATTCTACGTGAGGATAAAAACAACCAGAGATAAGTTCCTTAGCTCAATCCACATGAAACCCAAAGGTAAAGCTATTCCTGATCTTTTAAGTTCCAAGCAGGGACAGAGATGCTGGGGAAGAGGGGAATCCATGTTTCTGTACCCTCTTGGCATTGTTAAATGTAATGATGAACAAATGACATTGTAGCTGGTCATGAGATGAAGCTGCCTACATTATACCCAAGCTGCCTACATTATATCCAAGATTATTCAGCTTCGATGTAAACACAGAAATTAAAGCCTTTTATTTGCCTAATCATGTCACTATTATACATATAATCCCAATCCAGAGACTCACTTTTGCAGGTGCTGGGGCTCAGAAACTGATACCCCAAACTGTGGCACTTTGACATGCTGAAGAAGCAGCCTCAGAGTCTCTCCGACCTTCCCCTGTTTCTTCCCATCTCTTGATCCTCTTTCTCGCAAAACACAGTATGAAGTTGTTCTGTGAAGTTTCCTTATCTGTCTAAAGTCCAGGCCCACCAAAGAAGAAGAAAATTACCTTTGATCCTGTTAAATATAGTGAACCCCAAGTTTCTCTTCAAAGAATCAGTATGTCAGTATGTTCAGCTCTCTTATTCTTTGATTCTCCATTTTAAAGTTTAGCTTCCTGGTTCTCTTCACCCCCTTGCTTCTAAGTTTCAGTAAACAACTTTCCCACCAGTCCTAATCAGTAGTTCACATCTGTTCCCTGGTCACCTGGTCCATCCTGACTCATCCCGGTCACCTGCTTTACCTGAGTCACCCCTGGTCACCTGCTCTGACCTAAGTCACCTTTAGTTACCTGTTTCTAACCATCCTTCCCGCCAAACTACTCACCCTACCACTCTGGCTCATACCCCCTGCTCTTTTTAAAATAGCCAGTTGGAATTAGCTTAGACTGTGCGGGCCAACCCTAGCCAATACAGGAATGACACAGCAGTAGGGGATACCTGCGTCAGGAACAAGAACTCCTTCCCCTCCCCTGTCCGGGTGTGGTCTCACCATTGTTCCATCTGCAAGGAGCACCCTTTCCGCAGAAAGTAAAAATTGCCTTTCTGTGAAAATTAAATTTATGTTTGAGTGCTATTTCTTTGTGGCACCGGGAATAAGCATTTCTAACAGTCCCCTCCCTGAGTTTTCATTAACTGAACTCATAGGGCAGGAAGACGGAAGTCTGTCAACACACCTAGCCAGACTTTTGTCACAAACCACTGAATGCTTAGCAGGCTCAATAGACTTTGTCCCAGGCCACTGTATGTTCAAGTCCATTGAATTCCCCTAAAAATAATTTACAACCCTCCTCTAAAATCACCCACATTTCCCCACCTCCCTTTCATTAATAAATCTGTATGCCATTTCTCCTATTAATCTGCTGTTTGTCAGGTGATTTTCAGTGAACCTTCAGAGGATGAAGGGAAGTTTTCTTTTGACCCCTACACAGAAGAATTCTTAACTTTCTTCTAAACAGCCCTCAAATAAAGAAGAACTTATATTTCTTATGGATCTGAAATGGTTATACTCTCCAATCTTTTGACCAGCTAGATGATTCAGAGGACAATGACAGAGAACTATGGACTGCTAGAAATGAAAACATTCTCTTGCATGGTGATTTTGATTAGAGCAATTAAAACCTGGGATTAGTTCCTGGTTGAACCAACATGAACTAGGAAAGATTATACAAGAAAATTTGGAATTCAATGATGCAACCATTCAATCAAAAGGGATGTTAAGATTCATGACCAGTCTTTGAATTCAGTTTGTGCCACTGGCAGGCATACAAGTATGGTATAATAAAAAATAACTGGTCTTTGTCCTAGGTTCTTAGCACAAAGCTCCTAAAACCCTTGAAATCTACGTAAGTGTCTTTTTCATGTTAATGAGATAACATTAGGCTGAGGAGCTTCTAGATAGCTTTAAGACAGGGACTGGTCACTACAAAGACCATGCCATGATTAGAGAGATGGAACTTGTAGCCCCACCCCCCAGTCTTGCAGGAGGTAAAGGGGCAGAGATTGAACCCAATCACCAATGGCCAATGATCTGATCAATCATGGCTATGTACTCCACAAGACCTCCTAAACAACAGTAGTCTAAGAGCTTCTGAGTTGGAAAACACATCCATGTGCTGGGAAGGTGGCACATCCCAACTCCACAGAGACAGGCTCTGGTGCTTGGAACCCTTTCAGATCTCACCCTAGGTACTTCTTCATCTGGCTGTTCATTTGTATCCTTTATAATACCTTGTAATAGTAAGTATAGCATTTTCCTGAGTTCTGTGAGTTATTCTAGCAAATTACTGACCCTGAGGAGGGGGTTGTGAGAACCCCTAACATTGTAGCCAAGTTGGACAGACTTGGGGACCTGGTACTTGCGACTGGCATCTGACCAAAGTCCTACACTTTTTTCCCCATTAAACCAATGGTTTTTGTTACGACACCCCTTCAAGAATGAATGAATGTCTATACACATATATTTATATTTATACACATATGAACAGACAAAGATAAATGTCACTGTAATCTGGTTTGAAGATGAGTTGGGGGGAGATGGCATAGAGGGGAAAAGACAAGGAACAAAACCTAAATGTCTTCCTGCAATGCACCATATTGCTTCCATTAATGAGTAACCTGTAAGAAAAATATGGTAAGAAAATTTAAAACTGTTTTTTGATGAATGACTGATGGAACTAGGGATGCTTTATCTGGATACTAAATAATATTTACTGAATATTTACCATGTGCTAGGCGTTGTTCTAAGAGCTTTACATGTACTACCTATTCAGTAATTAGGTAAATTATAGTAATATGCTTATATTAAAAATTAACTAACCAAAAGTAGTGAAATAAAAAGCCATAAGACCACAGAGCTAGGAAAGGCAGAGAAGGGATTCAAATCCTCATAGTCTGACTTCAGAGTGTTCATTCTTAACTACTATGTGATACATTTCTGGAGAAATAAAAATTGACTTGTAAATCCAATTTTTAAAATTTGGATTAAATTTTAGATTAAATTAGCCAAATTCACAAATCTAGAGGCTTGTCACATAAGAGAGGAGTTAATTTTATTCTGTGTGTCTCACAGGTCATACCAGGACCACTAGGTTGAAGTTTAAAAGAGACACTTTCCTGTTTCCTATAAGACAGAACTACCAAACCATTAGAGTAAACCAAAAACAGAACAAGTTGGCCTCCTGAGACAGGTGGTGGCCCACGAACTGAAGTTATTCAAAGAGGAGCAAGATGATTCAGAGTTGAGGATACTGAAAGGAGTCATATATTAAAGACACACTCCACCATACCAGAAGGGACTACACTAGTGAGTATATGTGTGTGTTCATAAACTAGTGGCTCATGGATGTTTTGATGTGCACATTGTTCAAAAAGTATTTGAATTAGTTTCTAATATTTAGAAGTCATATATTTTACATAAAAACTTGGGTTTCTGGCTTTTCTTTTAAAACAAAAAAAATTGGCAACTTTGGGCCCACATCCCAGCATGGCAACTAGCTAGGGCTGAGTGATGACCCAAGATCTCCCACTGAG
Source organism: Homo sapiens (assembly GCF_000001405.40). NCBI lineage: Eukaryota > Metazoa > Chordata > Mammalia > Primates > Hominidae > Homo > Homo sapiens. Next base: position 87,210,843 of record NC_000006.12, on the reverse strand, counting down.
ATCAGACACAGGCTCTGTGGGTGCTACATGCCTCACCTCATTCTTTGTTTGTTTGTTTGTTTTTGAGACAGAGTCTTGTTCTGTTCCCCAGGCTGGAATGCAGTGGCATGATCTCGGCTCACAGCAAGCTCCGCCTCCCGGGTTCACGCCATTCTCCTGCCTCAGCCTCCCGTGTAGTTGGGACTACAGACGCCCGCCACCAAGCCTGGCTACTTTTTGTATTTTTAGTAGAGACGGCGTTTCACCTTGTCAGCCAGGATGGTCTTGATCTCTTGACCTCGTGATCCGCCCGCTTCAGCCTGCCTCACCTCATTCTTTAAGGGAGCTACTAGATCCCCACAAAGTTATTTGTGGCTACTGCATCTGCTCTATAGTGTGTGTTCTGGGGCAAGCCTAGGATAGAAGAAATAGGTAAGAGGTTAAAGGATCTCTAACACACTGTTTCTTGCGGTGTTTTTCATTATTGTCCCCTCTTAAGGAGACTTTTGACTTTTTTTCCTAATTGTTCATCATCCTCAATGATATTTTGATACCACAAATTAAACTATGTATCTGTTTACATGTAACAAACAATTTAAAAAAAAATTTTTTTCTTTAAGAGCCAATTTTTAACCCCTTGAGAACAAAAATGCACACTTTAACAATTTGGCTCTTAAGTTTATTTCTCATTATTTAAATAAGCAGAGTCTAGAACATACATGCTTTAGGGAGAAAGAGTATAGATTAACTTCTGATAGCTTCCTTTAGTTGCCCTAAGGATTACCACGAGGGAAAATAAAAGAGAAATAAAACCGCGGGGGTGTTACATTTAATAAACATGGGGATTAAATTACATTATTGTCCTATGTAAAGATAAGACTAGTGGAGTGTTGGTTATGGTTATATTATTACATTCATGTTCCACTTCCAATTTACATCTAGGGTTCTCTAGAACAGAAGTTCTCAAACATTTTGATCTCATGACTCTTTACTCTCTTAAAAATTACTGAGGATCCCAAAGAGTTGTTTATGTGAGTTACAACTACTGACATTCACCATATTCAAAACAAAAACTGAGACTTTTACTTACTTATAAACAAGTTTAAAATAACAATAAACCCATCACATTACCATAAATAAGATATTTTTAATAAAAATGCATTTTCTGAAAAAAGTGAAAAGAGAGGCATTGTTTTACATTTTTCAAATCTCTTCAATGCCTGACAAGAGAAAAGAGCAGGTTTCTCCTATCAGTTTATGCACTTAATTTGCTGCAATACCACACATCATGTAAACTTTGGAAAACTCCACTGTACACGACTGAAAGGTGGCAAATAATGTCTTACAGTTTTGACCTTCTAAACCCGCTGAGGAGCCTTTGATGAATGTGAAATACTCTTTAAAACTTCTAAGTTATTAAAATGTATTTTAAGGTTTTGTGTAGAAATGGTAGACTGGACACATTCACTTTGCACCTTACTCTCCTCTCCCCAAACCTCACTGAAACTACAGTAATTTTTTTTAAAGTGGCATAAATCCATAAGAATAGGAACATGGGAATGGAACAAAAAGAAATAAAATCTTAAAAGCTGGAAAGCATATGTAAGACTGACACTCCAAGAAAAGTGACTCCTAAATAGGCTTTAGGTAAAAACAACAACAAGAACAAACAAACAAACAAAACCCACTAACTCTGCATAATCACCAAAGGGCTCAGGAACTGGGAGCACTAGATGCCTCTGAAAATGGGGAGGGGGGGGTGAAAGTGGGGCTAAAAATGAGATAACTGGTTGAAAAGTCTATTTTAGGAGTTAAGCCTCCCTGATTTCCTCCTCACTCTCCACACCTAGAAAACCCAAGCGAGGTACTGCCACTCTTCCTCAGTAAAGAAGTTTAAAAAGAGGTGTTTGGACACAGTCAAGGAAAAGTATCTTACTTTTCAGGGCAATAAGTCAACTTTACATACTCCCTATAGACAGCAAGCCCCTTTTTTCCAACTCACTGCCTGAACTTCCAGGTCCCTAGCTGAGTCTTTTTCTGGGAAATCAAAAAGAAAAGACCCAATATTCTGACACCAAGCCTTCATCAGGGACTGAAACAAACTAGACCCCCTTATTTGTGAAAATCACAACAAATGTCATACATGAACTTGGAGCTCTCAATCACCTTTTTAGCAGTATACCCTTAAATATGGTATTTAAAGACCAGTAGACATTTTTAAAAAGCTTCTAATGTTGAGAGAAATCAAAACAAGGGGGAAAAAAAAAGCAACTTTGAATAAAGAGAAATCATGCAGGAAGAAAGTAAAATTTCAAGAAACTATCACTGATATTCTTCGATATGTGAGAAAACATATTACATCTACGAACAAAAACACCATGTTATAAGAAATAGTTAAGGGAAAAAAGACTAATAAAAATTATGGATAGGAGAAAAAAGATTTTAAAATTTAAAGAATAATGCTAGAGGTCCCATAATAAATAACAGGAGTTCCAGGAAGTCAGAATAGAGAAATTGAGGGGAATAAAGAAAATATTTAATTCAAATTAATTTTCTAGAACCTAAGAACATGAATTTTAGGAATGAAAAGACCCACTGAATGTCCAGCACAATTACTGAAAATAGAACTGTACCAAAGTACTTTCTCATAAAATTTTAGAGCTCAAAAACAAAGAGAGGATCAAAATAAGATTGGTGGGGGAAGAGGCAGCAGACTTCTCAACTGCAACACTGGAGCAAAAAGAAAATGAAGCACTGCATTAAAAGCTATGGGGAAACTATTTATATCCAACGATTGTAACTATTAAAATAGAAAAGTCATTTTCGGACATACGTGGTCTAAAATTTTTTACCTTCTAGGCACATTTTTTCAGGATGTTACTGAAGAAAGAATTTCACCAAAATGAAAAATAAACCAGGAAAGGAGTCAGAATGATACACAGAAAAAAGGGAGCTCTAACATGAGAGAGATGAATGCAAGTAAGATTCCAAGAAGACAGTTGTGCAATGGGCCTGGAAAATAATTATAGCATATTAGATGGATTTTGGATAAATTTCTTCAAGATGAAATTGATAGATAACCTAATGTGCTTGAATAAGCTTAGAGGAGATTTAAACAATTGAGGGAGAATTTGGATTGAATTGGTGATAAACACACAGAAAATTAAGCTAAGAAAAAAATACAATAATTTACGTCTGGAGAAACTGGACTCACCAATTAGAAAATGCACATTCTTCACAAACACAAGTAAAACAGTTACAAAAACTGAACACAAACTAGGCCACGTAGACAGTCACATGAAATAAAGAATATGTTTCACATTTTTTATATTTTTTTCACATTTTTCCACATTCTTTGAATAAAACGCAATAAAGTTAAACACTTAACAAAAGAATACCCTAACAAAGAAAACTACAAACTTGAAATTTTAAACTGTACTTCTCAGTCAGGGGTAAAAGAAACCATAATAGAAATCAGAGAATACTTAGACTTGAATTACAGCAAAAACACAACCTATCAAAATTCGTAGGATGCAGCTAAAGCAATCTTAAGAGGGACAGTTTTAGATGCAAATGTTTATACTGTCACTTCTGTTACAGCTTAAAAAAGTACATATATACACATTTGTTCTGACACAACATTAGCAAAACAAGAATTTCTCATTTGCTTATGTACTATTTTTTGGTGGGAAACATTAGGTGAAAGCAGACAACTGTACCCAAATGAACTGAGCTGTTAGAATACGCAAAATGCACATGCGCACGCAAATCAAAGATGTACCAGCTACCTTAGTTCACCATGAGTGTTATTAGCGATACCCATTCACAAGTGGTGTTACAACTTTCTATCCAATTTCAGAGAACTCTCCTCCTGCTAATTCACATTAACTCACAAACTACATCCCTTTCGACACCCACTTTCCTTCTGGTGCCCACTTCTGCAAAGAAACTTCAGATCTTTTTCAAGGTAAACTACCTATGTATTTAACTACTTAATAGGTATAAAACTGTGCTACTGTTTCAATAAGGTTCTGCGTGTGTGATGACGTTTTTGCATGCTGTGTCTCTAAGTACACTTTTTCGGTAAGCCCCGTGATCTTTAATGTGCAATTTTGCATGACAAAGTGATTGTTAGGAATTCATATATTGTAATAAAACAAAACTGGCTGCATTTAAAAAGAGAAAATAAAGAATAGCCAAAGAGAATATTATTGGGACAAATGGAGAAATTTAAATATATATTGTAATTAGATAATAGTGGTGTGTCAATATTACATTTCCTGAGTGTGATGATTGTGTTGTGAGTATACAGAAAAATGTATTTGGCCTTAGGAGATAAACGCTTAAAGTATATAAGGGGGGCAATGTCATAATACTGGCTAACTCTTAAAGGATTCAGAAAATAAAATGTGAGATAAAGCAAATATGGCAAAATGTGAATGAAGGGGGAATCTCGGTGAAAGCTATGTGGGTATTCATGGTACTATTCTTTTAACTTTTCTGTTATGAAGAGTTTGAAAAGCAAAGTACTGAGGGTGGGAAGTGTGGTAGATTGAATTCTTCACCTCTCCTTGTTTCCCTGTCCTTTGTCACATGACTTTGGAGTACTTATCATAATGGTAGAAAATATTTTCCTAACCATGTGACCTGTTCTGACCAAGAGAATGGGGCAGAAGTGATAGTAGGACAGCTGTAAGTTTAAGCATCTTGTTTTCTTTTATGCTTCTGCCCTCACAATGAGAAGATACGTCCAGATTAGCTTGCTGTCCCCAGCAGGGTAATGAGAGGTAGATGTCATCCTGTTGCTCCAGTTGAGTCCAACCTGTATCAGGTAACAGCCAATCTGAAACATATCTATCAGTCCAGCCAAGATCAACAGATACTTAGCCAGACCTCAGATGAGTGAGCGATAATGCTTACATTAAATGCTACTAAGGTTTTAGTGGTTTATTATGCAAAATTTGGCGAAAATAACTAAGTAGCCAACTTAAATTGGACAAAGAACAGGATAAACTCAGAGTATAAAAACGTAAAAGTAATAAAACTGAGATGAGAAATAAATGACATAGAAAATAAAGACACAGATTGTGGTGAGGATGTTTAAAAAAATAAGAAAACACACAGAGAGGGTCAACAAAACTAAACCTAGTCATCTGGCAAAGCTGGTCAAGAAAAAAAGAGAAGGCACAAATCAACAGTATTGGAAATGAGAAAGGAACCATAACTACAAGAGCAATAAAGATGTTTTAAAATCAAAATATATTGAATAATATTATTTGAAATAAGATTATTAAGAATCATCTTATCTGAAAATAACTTAAAAATCTGAATAAAATGGGAATGGTTAGAACATTACTAAAATGTTCTAACATTTTAAAATGGTCTCACAAAGAAATAGAAAAAAATAGTCCTTTACCTATTAAGAAACTAAATCCAGGTTAAGAAAAAAAAATAATTATCATACAATTTTTATAGAAAAGTCCAGCAAGCAGGCTGGGCATGGTGGCTTATGTCTGTAATACCAGCACTTGGGGAAGCCAAGGTGGGAGGATAATTTGAGGCCAGGGGTTCGAGACCAGCCAGAGCAACATAGCAAGACCTCATCTCTACCAATAATTTAAAAAATTAGCCAGGTGTAGTGGCACATGTCTGTAGTCCCAGCTACTTGGGAGGCTAAAGCTGGAGGATCGCTCGAGCCCAGGAGTTTGAGGTTGCAGTGAGCTATGATCTTGCCACTGCACTACAGCCTGAAGACAGAGAGAGATATCATGTCTGGGGCCAGTGGAGAGCGGGAAAAAACCCCAGCAAACAATTCTTTAGGAAACAGATAATCTCTTTATTACAGAAGCTTTTGGATGAAAGGAAGAGTGGGAAAATTCACTAATTCATTGTTTGAGGGTACTATAAACTTGAGATTAAAACTGGGTACATACGGTATGAGAAAGGAAAAAAATCACAGGCCAATCTCAGACATACACAGCGATTTAAAAATCCTAAATGTGGCCAGGCGCAGTGGTTCACGCCTGTAATCCCAGCACTTTGCGAGGCTGAGGCAGGGAGACTGCCTGAGGTCAGGTGTTCGAGACCAGCCTGGCCAACATGGTGAAACCCAGTCTCTACTAAAAATACAAAAATTAGCTGGGCATGGTGGAAGGCGCCTGTAATCCCAGCTATTCGGGAGGCTGAGGCAGGAGAATCGCTTGAACCCAGGAGGCGGAGGTTGCAGTGAGGCAAGATCGTGCCATTGCACTCCAGCCTGGGCGATAAGAGCGAGACTTAGTATCAAAAAAAAAAAAAAAAAAAAAAAAAATCCTAAATGTTACCAACCAAATCCTACAATAAACTTTAAATTAAAAAAAAATTTTTGAAACAATCACAAAGTTACAGAAAAGTTGGCGATACAGTACAAAGACATTTTTTTCCTAAGCTATTTGGTAGTTAGTGGCCAACCTAATGCCTCACTACCTTCAAAGAGTATGTATTTCCTACAAACAAGTACATTCTCCCACATAACCACAGTATGACCACCAGAATCAGGCAATAAACACTGATACATTACTATTATTTAATCTGCAGACATTATTCACGTATGCCAAATTATCCCAATGACGTTTTATAGAAAAAGATACAGTAGTAGTACAGTTTGCATTTGTCATGTCCCTTCAGTCTCCTTAAATCCTAAGTAACACTTGAAAGACTCTTTCAGGACCCTGGCACCATTGGAGATTATTATAGGCCACCTATTTTGTAGAATATCCCTCAATTTGGCTTTAGTATTTTCTCTTGATTAGATTTAGGCTACGCATTTTTAGTGAGAACAGCACAGAAGTAATGGTCATTTCTTCTCATTATATCCTATCAGGTGGTACACATTATGGATGATGTTCATTTTGATCCCTTGATTAAAGTAGTGTCTGCCCTCCTCACTCTGCTTAGGCTTTGACTCGGCATGCTGGAACTAGGCGGCTCTCTAGGTAGTTGTCCCTTCCTGTTCTGCTTAGGCTCTCACATACTATGCCAGGCTGCCCCTATGCCTGCTCACCCTGCTCTGGCTCTGACTCCCCATACCAGGTAGCTCCTTCCCCACCCATGGATGCCTAACTCATCTCACCTGGGCCCTAAATCCCCACACACAGCCACCCCAGTCACCTCCCTATGGTGCCCTCCTTATCTTGAGTGGGGTCTGATGCCTTCCCCCAACATGATGCTACTACTCAATCTGGGCTTTGACATTCCACTCTGGGCCATTGCAGCACCCCACCCCCCCTTGCAGATACATACCTTGCTTTGACCCACATAATGGCTTCAGGACTGAATTATTCAGGAAGGGAAGAGAAACGGTTGCAATATACATTTTAAATGTATTTTGGGCCTAGTAGGTGTTATCCTAGAAACGTGAGGATAATTTAAAGTTAGGAAAATCGCTCAGCACAGTGGCTCACACTTGTAATCCCAGCACTTTGGTAGGCTGAGGCGGGTGGATCACTTAAGCTCAGAAGTCCAAGATCAGCATGGGCAACACGGCAAAACCCTGTCTCTACTAAAAATACAAAAAGTTAGCCAGATATGGTGACATGTGCCTGTAGTCCCAGCTACTCTGGGGTGCTGAGGTGGGAGGATCACCTTAACCTTGGAGGTCAAGGTTGCAGTGAGCCATGATCATGCCACTGCACTCCAGCCTGGCCAACACAGTGAGCCCTGTCTCACTTTAAAAAAAAAAAAAAAAAAAAAGGAAAATATATTAATGTAATTCACTCTAATAACAGATTTTAAGGGGGGAAATTATATGATTACCTCAAAACCATTAAAAAGATATGCAGTAGTCCCCTATTTATTCATGGGGGATAAATTCCAAGACTCAGTGGATGCCTGAAACCCTGGATAGTAGTGAACTCTACATATACTATTTTATCCCTATATATACATATACCTAAGATAGTTTAATTTGTAAATTAGGCACAGTAAGAGATTAACAAAAATAATAAAATAGAACAATTAACAATATTCTGTATTAATGAAAGTTATGTGAATGTGGTCTCTTTCTCTCCCCCCTTACTGTATGTAATACTTTTGTACCAGGGTAACTAAAACCACAGAAAACAAAATCATGGATGGGGCGGGGGGAAGGGGAAATATTGTAATCAAAATGCAACTTGAGGTAAAGAAGAATCAGTATCTCTTTACGACAAGGAACAGAAGGAAAGCTCTTTAATGTGATAGAGGGTATCCAGAAAAACCCATAGCAAACTACATTCTGGGAGTATGAAATGTTAGAAGCATTTCCCTTTAAAGTCAGAAAACAAAACAAAAATGCCTATCACTGCTTCTATTCAAAACTGTAGGGCTAATCAGCACAATCTGAAAAAGAAATAAAAGCAGTAAGAACCAGAAAGATAAAATAAAAATGTCACCATTGCAGACAATGCACACGTAAGAACTTCAAGAGAATTCAGTATAGTAGTTAGATATAAGATCCATACACAAAATCAACTGCAATTCTATTTTTTTAAAAAAGCAGTTAGAAACTATAATTTTTAAAAAGATAACATTCACAGTAACAAAACTCGTGAAGTACCTAGGAATGAATCTAACAAAGTATTTATAAGATCTTTTCAAAAAAAAGTATAAAACTTTATTTAAAGAATAAAAGGAAGGGTGCATAAATGGAAATACCACATACATAGATAGTGGAAGACAAGTTAAAGATGACAATATGAGCCATATTTAAAAAGTCAAAGCAATGCCAATGAAATTCTCCATAGGATTATTTACAGAATTTGACATGTTGATTCTAAAAATCATTCAAAAGGCCAAATCAATTTTGAAGAGCCAGGTTTTTGAATTTGGAAGATTATCTGCCCTAATCAGATAGCAAGACTTATCCCAAAGCTATAGAAATTAAGACAGTGTGATTTTGTTATAGACATAGATGACAGAAATGAAAGAGCTTTAAAACAGAATTACATATATGTGAGAGCATGGTATATAAAAAAGCCCCATCAGAAACCAGTGAGGAAAGTACAGACTATTCCATAAATAACCTGAAACAACCATTTAAACAGGAAAGAAAAATTATAACTATTCCCAGCATATAACAAAACTATATCCTATATGGACAAGTAACTGAATGTGAAAAGCAATACTTTAAAACTTTAGGATGAGGCTGGGTGTGGTGGCTCATGCCTGTAACCCTAGTACTTTGGGAGGCTGAGGTGGGCGGATCACTTGAGGTCGGGGGTTCAAGACCAGCCTGACCAACATGGAGAAACCTCGTCTCTACTAAAATACAAAAACTAGCTGGGTGTGGTGGTGCATGCCTGTAATCCCAGCCACTCGGGAAGCTGAGGCAGGAGAATCGCTTGAACCCGGGAGGCGGAGGTTGCGGTGAGCCGAGATCATGCCATTGCACTCCAGCCTGGGCAACAAGAGCAAAACTCCGTTACAAAGAAAAAAATAAAACAACAACAACAAACTTTAGGATGAAAACATAGGAGAACATCTTAAGACCTTAGGGCAAAGAAGGTTTTCTTAAGACAGAAAATACACATCATAATGGAAGATAATAATAACTGCAGATACAATAGAATTAAAAACTTCTGTTCAACAAAACCCCATAGAAAATCAAATAAAAGGCTACAAACTGGGAAGACATTTTGTATCTCATATTCGCAAATAATACATAGTGCCATATGCATAATACAAAATTCATAATATAAATATAAGTCTACCTCGGAATCTCAGGGTTGAGATTGGTCCACCACCATTTTTACTTCTGAGTATGTTGCCTTTATATCATCTCTCTCCCAAATTGTGAGAATTCAGGAGAATCTCTTACTTGTGATGAAATCCAATAATCTTATTTCCACATTGTTCTGGTTGAGACACTTGTTTCCCCATATCTCAGGCTACCATCCCTGGCAAACGGCCCAGTGCAGTAGTTATTTCAGTAGCAGTTTAGCATTTTCAAAGAAAATCAATTATGAATTTAACATGATTCACATTCCCATATATACTCAATGCTAGGATGTGAAATAACCATTCACAAAACTGAGTTTCTGATAGCTTTGAATCCCTAAATAATCTCCAATATGGATGCTATAACACAATCTCCAGACTTTCTGAGAATTCTAAAACTTCTGGCTCCAGGGCCTACTCTCTTTGTAGCATTCTGATGGCACGAACCAATCATAATCCCAAAACCTCCCTATTCCCTAGCCTGACATGGTGTGGCCCATAATTTCTCTGTTCTTGCATATTCTTTGCTATAAACTAGGCTTACAGAAGCAACCACATTGATGCCTTGGCACAAAGGGTTTCAATCTTGGAAAAACACGAGCATGTTTGATGCTAACCTAATTGCTAAGAAACCTGACTTTAATGGGAGCAGAGATTTTTTTTTTAAATGTCTAGTACATAACATAGAAAGGGAATGTTTTTAGGTTTCATCCACTGAATTAATTCTCATAATGCTATGTAACTGTTTCTCCGTATAAAACACTCTGAAAAGGACAATTCTGACTTCAGCTTAGTCTCCACAGTATTTCTGGCTTTGAACTTACTTTCCAAAAACACTAACACAGTATGTCTGTTTGATCTGTACCTTTACATTGTGACTCCCATAGTCAAGCAGTCATAATGAAGGTAAATACATGGCTCAAATCTGAAGTGAAGACTTTAGCCCAACATATAGCTAAATATCATGTGGGAGGTCCAAAATTCTTAAGAGTAAACCCCCTTATACAGAATATAACCCCTAGTAACTTCAGAGACCTACAAGCCCAGGATGTACATAATTAGATTCAAAGAAGCAGAGTCTAGCTGCCATAAATAATTATAGCACGAGCCTCAATCTCAACTTGCTGGGGATAAGCCAGAAAGGCTGCCACAGTCTACTGTGTATGTCTATCATGGGCCAGTTGGCACACACAATACATCCTTACTTCAGAACATGAAATACAATGGTAGGAAACCCAGCTTTAAAGGTGATTGATTCCTTTAATTTCTATATTCTCTAGTAACTGCTCTGAATAGAAATAAAATTAAACAGAAATAGGTTTTCCCTTAGTCATTTATACTCATTGTATAAGTGACTTTTTGATGAAAAAGAAATTAAAAACATTTTCCTAGAAACAAATGTTAATATAGGCTGAACCAGAGGGCATGTGATCCATTCTCAGCGCAGGAAATGGTACTGAGACAACTGAATATCTACATGCATAAAAATGAAATGAGATGCTTACCTTGCATCATACACAAAACCCAAAATGGACCATACTTAAATGAAGAACTAAACCTATAAAACTTCTTGAAGAGTTCTTCGAACACCAAACATGATCTATTTTTATAAAGTTCATAAATTGGACTTCAATTCATCAAAATAAAAAATTTCTGCACTTCAAAAGACCCCATTAAAAAATGAAAAGCCAAGCCATAGGCTGAGAAAAAAATGTTTATAAATGATACATCTAACAAAGGGCTCATATCCAGAATACATAAAGAACTACTACAACTCTAATAAAAAGACAACCTGGTTTTTTAAAATGGGCAAAAGATTTAAATGGACAGTTCACCAAAGAAGATAAATGGCTGAAAATGCACATGAAAAGATTTTCAATATTATTAGCCATTAGGGAAATACGAATTTAACTATGAGAAACCACATCCACTAGAATGGCTATAATTTTAAAAAGACAATATCAAGTGTTGGTGAGTATACAGAGAAACTGTAACTCTCATGCATTGCTAAGGAGAATGTAAAATGGCACAGTCACTTTGGATAGTCAGTTTCTTAAAAAGTTAAACATAAATTTACTATTCAAACCAGCAATTCAACTCCTAGCAATCCACCCAAAACGAATATAAGCTTGTTGGCCAAAAGAAAAGTATATGACTGTTCACAGCAACACTATTTATAACTGCCTAAAACTAGGAACAAGCCAAATGTCCATCAATGGTTTGAATGGATAAGCAAAATGTAATAAATCCATATGGCTGAATATTTTTCAACAATAAAAAGGAATGAAATATTTGATAGCTTTTATCCCATTTAGTAAGAATATTCATGTATTCTGCTGTGTTTATGAGACGCAACCCAAGGACCCTTTGAAGTTATTGTGTAATACAATATATGCACCATATTCTTTTTTGAACGAAGAACATTTCTGAATTCTGATTCACATCTGGCTCAGTTTCAGATAAAGATTGCAAAGTTCACAGAGAATAACTTCCCCAAGTCTAATATATTTAAGTACTTCGTATCTTATAAAACCTATTTTAAGTCTCATCCATTTCCCAACTACAAAGCAGTTCTAATGTTAATATTTTCTAAAATGACTAACATGGAACACATAAACATGCAATGGGCCGGGCGTGGCTCCTCAGGCCTGTAATCCCAGCACTTTGGGAGGCCCAGGCGGGCGGATCACGAGGTGAGGAGATCAAGACTATCCTAGCTAACACAGTGAAACCCTGTCTCTACTAAAAATACAAAAAATTAGCCAGGTGTGGTGGCGGACGCCTGTAGTCCCAGCTACTCGGGAGGCTAAGGCAGGAGAATGGTGTGAACCCGGGAGGCGGAGGTTGCAGTGAGCTGAGGTCACGCCACTGCACTCCAGCCTGGGTGACAGATCGAGACTCCATCTCAAAAAATAAATAAATAAATAAATAAATAAATAAATAAATAAAATAAACATGCAATGGTGACTTGGTTATGTCAGGATTTAAATTTTAAGCTAATTGGTGTCATCTGTTACACAGATCTCTAGCTATCTGAATTTTCTCTCCAACTTATCAAATTTATAGAATCAATTTGAAACTGATGAAAAAGAAAATACCAATCAGTATCTATTAAACATTGCTTAAAACAGCAATGATTCAAATCATATTACTTTTATCTTCAGGAAAAATTAACTACATTTCAGAGAGACCTGTTCTTAAGATACATAAATATTCTTAAAATAGAAATGATCTGAAAATCCCTTTAACTGTAGCAACTTCATAACCCAGAATCAAAGACTGAAAACACCTACTGTTGAAAGCTAGAAATGAATGTACTTCTTTCAACTAAAACAGATACTTCTTAGATAAAAAATTGAAACTAACTCAGGCTCTAATGAATGCTTTTTTTTTTTTTTTTTTTTTTTGAAACAGCGAGTCTCACTCTGTTGCTCAGGCTGGAGTGCAGTGGCATGACCTCCGCCTCTGGGGTTCAAGCAATTCTCCTGCCTCAGCCTCCCAAGCAGCTAGGCTTACAGGCATCTGCCACCAGGCTCAGCTAATTTTTTTTTATTTTTAGTAGAGACGGAGTTTCACCCTGTTGGCCAGACTGGTCTCGAACTCCCGACCTCAGGTAATCCACCCGCCTTGGCCTCCCAAAGTGCTGGGATTACAGGTGTGAGCTACTGTGCCCAGCCTTACTTAATGCTTTAAAAAAAAAAAAAAAAACCCAAATGTTAAAAATCTGATATTCTCAAATTGTACTCAGGTTTCAAAAACATTTATGGTACTACCTAACCTACTGCAATTAAATGAAATACTAAATTTTCTGCTATGGGATAGATTTCCAGAAGAGCAACTGCTAGAATATAGCAAACAGATATGCTATTTTACTAACACATTTACTGGCCAGGTTTATTTTACTGGCCACATTGCTTTCCCAAAAGGTTGTTTTCTCATGTCCACCAAAGTTTGAGAGTGCCTTTCTCTGTATTACCTCTAGCAAGAAGTCATATACAGCCTATTAAATTCTACAGTTTCTCTAATTTGCACTTCTTTAACTAATAATGAATCTGACCTCCTTTCTCATTTGTTGGACATTTGGATTTGTTTTGTCTGTTGCTCTATCACACTGATGGTCTCTTTTCTTGTCACACTGCAAGAATTTAATATATTACAGAAATTTACCTTTTGTTCATCAACAGTTTTAGAAATAATTTTCTGGATCTATTGTTTTCCCTGTTGGCTTTGTTATTTTTACCATAAAAATTCATTTTTATATTATGAAATATGTCCGTCTTTTTATGCTTTCTGGGAATAATACAAAGACTAGAAAGTCTTCATTAGGAAGGACTAAATACGCAGTCTCTCAGATTATCTTTCAAGATTTTGTGTGTGTGTCATGAACACAAGCAGTCTTTGCTTTTGCACAGTTCTGAAATACACAGGTACCAGCCATCACAGTATAAATAACAGTCCCCAACAACCTGGTTCAACACTTAGTTACCACAGTATATCAACTTTGAGTAAGTGCATAGCTTCTGAATGCTTGGTCCACAAATCACTAAGTAAATAAGAGATGTGCATCATGATCAGTAAGCAATCACATAACTTTTCCCAAAATTTGACAGCAACTGGTTACTGGGCACCTATTTGTTATTCAGTATATGCATGAACAGCAAAGTGTGTAACTGTGTTGCCTTCCTGTCTCCCAGTGATACACTGATTTGACATTTTACAAAAGTAAACAGTCAAAAGAGGGGACTGACCAACAAAAATGAAAGTGTAGCAAGGAAACAAAAAGTGGCAATGCTGAAAGTGGAATTGGAAACTGGTTATGACCAAAAGATGAAGATATCCCAGAGGAAAAAAACATCACATTAAAGGAAGTCTCTGAAATACTTCATGACTTTGGAAATGCAAAGTACTATATAAAATGTTGAAAACTAATACAAATTTAGAAAAGAAAATGACAATTTGGCAAGGCACAGAAGAGATGCTTGTTCCATATCTTAAGTTATACAATTAGAAGGCAAGCATCATTGAAAGTATTCTTGATAAGCTTTTTACAAATAGAAACATCCTAATTCTCAATTTTTTTTTCTTTTTGTTTTTTTTTTTTTGAGACGGAGTCTCACTCTGCTGCCCAGGCTGGAGTGCAGTGGTGCTATCTCGGCTCACTGCAACCTCCACCTCCTGGGTTCAAGTGATTCTCCTGCCTCAGCCTCCTGGTTAGCAAGGATTACAGGCTTGTGCCACCATGCCCGGCTAATTTTTGTATTTTCAGTAGAGACGGGGTTTCCCCACGTTGGCCAGGCTGGTCTCGAACTCCTGACCTCAGGTGATCCACCTGCCTCAGCCTCCCAAAGGGCTAAAATTACAGATGTGAGCCACCACGCCCTGCCTAGTTCTCAATTTTTCTAATGTTTCAAATTTTTAGATAATTTTAAATATTTTCTATTTTTTGTATTTTTAGTGTATTAATTCTTTTCCATTTCCCAATACATTTGTGACCAGTCATGGGTGTTTTTAATAGTTTAATGAAAATTTTAACGGTCACAGGAAAACTATAAGATTTCCAACAGATAAAGTATTAAAATTGCTTTGCAGTTTCAGCTCTCATCATTTCTGCAACACCTCAAGGTGCACCACGCAAATGAAGGAGTGCCTGTATTTAAATCTTTATCTAAAAAACAATTTTGTATGTGATAGGACGGTCCATTTTTATCTTTGGACAGCCAGTTGATACCAAATCCTCTTATTAAACTTTTCCCATTGAATTTAACACTATGTTGTTATATACTAATTTCCCAATTTGTACCAGAATTTTTTCACTCTCTACTTGTTCTACTAATATACTTTTCTGTTCCTTAAATGTTTACATATTGCTATAATCTAAAATGCGAAAAGGCAAATCCTCCTTTTACTATCTTTTGCACAGTTATTTTAATCTATTCTTCAACATTTTACTTTGTCTTAAACTACTAACACTATGTTAAATAAAAATAGTACTAACAGGGATGCCTATCTGTAACCTGTTTACAATGGAGATTTTTGTGATTTTATCATTTAAAATTATGTCCTATTACTTTCTAAAACTTAGTCCTTATTACATTTAGATAATTTCCCTCTATTCCCATTTTACAGAGTTTTTACTGGGAATGGTGATTTTATCGAAGGCCATTTGTAGCATCTACTGAATACAGGTTTTTTTTTTTCAAATGAGCTTTTCAATTTAATATAGTATATAGACATTTTCAGGTACAGAACCAGCACTGAATTCCTGCAATACCATCTGTTTTGTTATAAGGATTTTTCGCATATATTGCTGGATTCTATTTCCTAATATTTTATTTAAACTTTTGCATATATATTCTGTCACATGTGAAATTGGCCTACAGTTTTCTTTTTAAACACTATTTGTTAGGTTTTGATATTACTTTGTAAAATAAATTTGGAAGCTTTTATTTATGGCCTATAACAGTTTTAACAATAGAACTTGTAACCATTCAGACTTTTCTTGATTCAATTTCAGTAGTTTGTATTTTAAATGGAAATCCACCATTTCTTGTTGTTTTCAAATTTGGTGCTACAGAGCAGCAAACTTAGTTCCTCCCCCCTAGATCCATGGTTGTCTCCTTATTCCTGATTTTGCCTACTTCTGCTCTCTCTTTTTTCACTTGGTCAGATGTGCAAGTTAAACTTACTTATGAATTTACTCTTTTTCAAAGAATTCATTTATTTTTAATTCTATTTATTTCTGCTTCATTAATTTGAACTTTTTTTTCTAATTTTACATAAATATTAAATTTCATTTTTCACTCTTTAAATTAAAAAGTGCTTGTAAACAGCATTTTTATGTCTAAGAGTGAACTCAAATTATTCACATTTAATTTTATTCCTTCTATATTTATCATTTAATCTCCCCTTTCTTTTCCCTATTTGTGCTACCAAGTTTGTTTTTATTCTGTTTTCCACACTTACTTAGAAGTTCTAAATTCATTCTGATAGCTGTGCCTTTTCTAGACATACGACATGAAAAAGTTTCCACACTGAATTTCCCGTGCTCCAATTCTCCCTAGTTATCCACCTAAAGGATGAGCCCTTTAGGTTGGTTAGTTTATTTCCTCTGTTCTTGTTTTTCCTCTTCCTCCATTAGACCTTTAAGATGTTTTATCTCCCTCTTCTATCTCTCCTCATCTTAGTTCCTAGATTTCATTAAGATAAATTAGTACAGGCTGAGTATCCTTTATCCAAAATGCTTGGGATCAGAAGTGTTTCAGATTTTTTCAAATTCTGGAATATCTGCATACACATTAATGGGATATCTTCAGTATGAGACCCAAGTCTAAACATAAAATTCATTTATGTTTCATGTAAACTCTACACTTAGCCTGAAAGTAATTTTATATAATGTTTTTAAATAACTTTGTGCATGAAACAAAGGTTGTGCACACTGAGCTGTCTTATTACCCTCGGAGGGCGTGCTTGTGTGGGAATCTGAGTATGCACGTGCAGAAAAGATACATTACAGTTGAAGGGCGCAGGTTGTTTTTTCCCTTGGGGACACTGAATAAACTGTGTTGCGCCTGCATTTTTCTTTTTTTTTTTTGGAAGGTCTCTCACTTTGTCACCCAGGCTGGAGTGCAGTGGTGCCATCTTGGCTCACTCCAGCCTCAACCTCTCAGGCTCAAGCAATCCTCCCACCTCAGCCTCCCAAGTAGCTGGAACTACAGGTGTGCCACTGCCTGGCTAATTTTTGAATTTTTGATAGAAATGTTTTTCGTCATATTCCCCAGGCTGGTCTCAAACTCCTGAGCTCAAGCGATCTGTCTGCCTCCGCCTCCCAAAGTGCTAGGATTGCAGGAATACCACCATACCCAGCTGTGTGACCTGTTACATAAGCTCAGGTACGTTTTCCCCTTGTGGCATAATGTCGGTGTTCAAAAACTTTAAGATTTTGGAGCATTTCTAATTTAGGGTTCTTAGATTAGGGAAGCTCAACCTGTACTTAAAATTACCCTCATCCCAGATACTTGGAGGCTAGGGCAGGAGAACTGCTTGAGCCCAAAGGTGGAGGCTGCAGTGAGCCGAGTTGCCATTGCACTCCAGCTGGGACAACAGGAATGAAACCCTGTCTTTAGAAAATAACTTCCTCATATTTAATGTTTTTTGCTTCAAGATTCTTCATATAACAGTAATTGAACACATTCCTGGTCAAATCTATTCCTTATCCATTAAGATCCCTGGAAATCCAGCCCACTGAAATAAAAGTACCAGTATATGTGAACTTAAAATACAGGGACGTGCAATGCAATACTGTTCCTGATGGTCAAGATCTCACAAAAAAGTAAACGTTCATCAGTAGAGAATTAATGAATAAACTGTGATACAGTTACTATAAGATTCTCATGGAAACATTCACATGAGCCATTATTTATTTAATAATTAAATGCAACGAAGTATATAATTCCATTTTTGAAAAATCAGAACTGAAAAAGGCATTGTCTATATGTGTGGATGTATCTATGTCTGTGTACAGAATTACAGGATCTTTAAAAAATTACGGAAGGGCACAAACCTAAGTGAATAAGGGTTTCCTAGAGGGGTCTGGGTATGTGGAAGAGTGTCCATGATAAAAAACGTAAAATCGTCCTTTTTGTGAAAAATTACAGTGTATATTGGAATGTACAACATGCATGGAAGCACAATAACTGACTTATCCATGATGGAATTCTAAGAAACTTACCAAAAAAGTTATTTTCGCTAGGGTTAAAAAAAAAAAACCACCCTCACCCTAAAAAGTGCATCTAGATTTATATTCACTTTTTAAAGTAACAGAATTGTTCCAGTAGCTCTAGAAAGACTGTTGAGATATTTAATTGGACCTTCTTACATACAGCAAAATTTCCAATGAGAAACTGCAACTCATTCTCTGATAAATCAATCCGTAAACCATAAAAACAAAGTTCTATGTTAAAAGCATTTTCTTCCCCGGTCTGTTGTTTTGCCTTTTGTGGTTCCCACTATAAAGACATTATAAATGTTTTTGTAGTCAAATCTGTCAGTGAATCTTTAATCATTTCTAAGTTTGTGTTACCCTTAGAAAGGCTTCCCCATCACAAAGCAAATGTTTATGAGAAACAAATTCTCAAACCTCCCCAGTATCAGGCACATAAAGATTAAAAGTGCCAGGCATGGTGGCTCACACCTGTAATCCCAGCACTTTGGGAGGCCAAGGGGGGTGGATCATCTGAGGTCAGGAGGTCGAGACCAGCCTGGCCAACATGGTGAAACTCTGTCTCTACTAAAATACAAAAATTAGCTGGGTGTGGTGGGCACTCCTGCAACCCCAGCTACTTGGGAGGCTGAGCCAGAATCGCTTGAACCCGGGAAGCGGATGTTGCAGTGAGTCGAGCTTGCACCACTGCACTCCAGCCTGGGTGACAGAGCAAGACTCCGTCTCAAAATAAATAAATAAAATAAAAGCAACAAGGAGACATGATTGTAATTATAAATTATAAAGCTTCAAAAACAAGTGTTGTAGAATGTTTATCACTGCACTTTTGGAGGTCAATTTGGGAATGCAAAACTTTACATAGGCATACTCTCTGAACCAAAAATTCTGGTTCCAGAAAACAATTCTAACCAACTATTGCCACATACATGTAAAGACACTGATATTAATATAAGGGTATCTTGACACAAACTCTAACCAAACATTGTTAACAATCTAAGTGTCACTAATAGAAGACTGTTTAATAAAAGCTTGTCCAACCCGTGGCCTAGGATGACTCTGAATGTGGCCCAACAGAAATTTGTAAATTTTCTTAAAATTATGAGTTTTTTGTGATTTTTTTTTTTAAGCTCATCAGCTATCATTAGTATTAGTGGATTTTATGTGTGGCTCAAGACAATTCTTCTAGTGTGGGCCTGGGAAGCCAAAACATTGAACACTTCTGGTTTAACACATTATAGAATGTCCATACTATGAAACATTACATTTAAGGATGTAGTAGCTTTGAATACACTGATATGGAATCATGACCAAGATTTATCATTAGGTTAAAAAAAAAGTATGGTACACAATATTATGTATTATATGATCCCACTATTTAAATATAAACATATAAGTACAAATGAATTATATTTGTGTGAATGCATAGGAAAATGTCTAATATACTCAGTTTTGTAAACAGCTACCTCTGAAGAGTGGAACAATTTAAGGAAGATATTTGTATTGCTTCATTTTTAAAGAAAAATGTTACTTTTATAACTTCAGAAGAAACAGTAAAGAAAAAATGCAAAAAGACTATCAATACTATGTACCAGAGAGATAGCTTCAAAGATGTTTATTAACTATTTAAATGTTCCTTTGGAGAAATTTTTCTCCAGTCTTCTTGAAAATACATATCCTGGGAGGCTGAGGTGGGCAAATCACCTGAGGTCAGGAGTTCCAGACCAGCCTGGCCAACATGATAAAATCTCATCTCTACTAAAAATACAAAAATTAGCTGGGTGTGGTGGCACGCACCTGTAGTCCCAGCTACGCAAGAGGCTGAGGCAGGAGAATCACTTGAACCCGGGAGGCAGAGGTTGCAGTGAGCCAAGATTGCGCCACTGCACTCCAGCCTGGGCGACAGAGCAAGACTCCGTCTCAAAAATAAATAAATAAATAAATAAAAGTATAAAATAAAAAATGAAAATACATATTCACTGGCCTAACAACTCCATTTCCTGATAAATTTCCCTGTAAGCAAGCATAGGTAATCTTCACTGCTTTAATAACTTAAAAATCTCCTAGGATCTTTCTTAACAATATTCACTTCTAAGACAATGTTCATTAATGCTTCTGAAAGTACCTGAATGAAGAAAGCTAGCAGTAAAGCATAAACATAATAAATTTTGTTAGTTATTACGTGGTATTATGGTTAGCAAGGATATAAAAATGGAAGGTTGTCTGTATATGAAACTTACATCTTACAAATTTTCTTCTCAATCCAAAGACTAGAATATCCCTCTAATACACACATATGCATACACACATACACACACAAAGGTTAGGGAATATATCAAAGGGACATACAAGTGAAAGAGTTCCTGTGGGCAAAGTTGGAACAATTTGAGCAACAAAATAAAGTGGTGTTGGATTATTAACCAAGGTATAAAATAAATATCCATGAGTCTATACTGACATAAATAAATCACTGAATAAATATAATGTGGGAGAAGAAAAATTTCCCATGTAGAAGAATCCCAAATAGTTTATCTAGATTCTGCCCTCAAGGAAACAGCCTAACCTCTTAAGTGTGGGCTACAAATAGTGGCTTCCTTCCTTCCGAGTACAGTATGGAAGGGGAAGGGTGAAGAATAACTTTACAGTGTAGAATCTGACAAACAGTATTAAACCAGCCAGGTAAGTTAACATCAACTGTGCTAAGTCATGTTGAGAATATACATCTTTGATGATGGCACTTTATCTCTGTGGTCTTCTTCCCCCCACCCTGTAAAAAAAAAACATAATCCCAGTCTAATAATGAGAAAAATATTAGACAAATTCATATATTCTACATAATACATTACATGGCCATTACTCCTAAAAGAAAAGTTTGGAAAATAATCATGCTCAGAGGAGCCTAAGGAGATATTACAAATGTAATGTGTATCCTAGATGGGATTCTGGAACAGAAAAAAAAATTAAGAAAAACCTAAGGAGATCTGAATCAAGTATGGACTTAGTTAATAATAATAATAATATATGAATATTGGATCATTAATTGTGACACATACTATGTGAATATAAGATCTGACTAATGGGAAACTGTGGCTATATGTGAACTCACTATACTATCTTCCCCATGCTTCTACAAATTTAAAACTAATAAAAAATTTATTTTGAAAAAGACATTTTTTATTTTATTTATTTATTTTTATTTATTTATTTCTGAGTTGGAGTTTCACTCTGTCGCCCAGGCTGAAGTGCAGTGGTGCGATCTCAACTCACTGCAACCTCTGTCTCTCGGGTTCAAACAATTCTCATGCCTCAGCCTCCCCAGTAGCTGCAATTACAGGCGCTCGCCACCTTATCCAGCTAATTTTTGTATTTCTAGTAGAGACAGGGTTTTGCCATGTTGTCCAGGCTGGTCCCTAATTCCTGACCTTAGGTGATCGGCCCGCCTCGGCCTCCCAAAGTGCTGGGATTACAGGCAAGAGCCACGGTGCCTGGCCTGAAAAAGACTTTTTAAAAGCCTTCATTATTATGTTCATTTTCAAACCTATAATAATTTATCTGCATTGTATTAAAAAAGTCTTGTTTAGATTAATATATAGCCAGCCATAGTAATTTTTTTTATTAAACAGTTTAATTCACTGTTGTTTTTCAAGTAAAAACAGCCAAAACAACAGTGAATTAAACTGTTTAATAAAAAAAAATTACTACGGCTGGCTATATATTAATACAATGCAGAAAATTAAACAAGAAAACTGACATTCTAAAAACTAATTTCAACATAAGCATTTTGTAAGAACTTTAAATAATCATGTAATTTTCAAGTTAACATGGTTACAAATTAGTGTTATCTGATTTGCTCTCCTCTATCCTTCCACTGAAATACTCATAAAATCACTCTTGGATATATACAATGTTTATATAGTTCTGGAAGCTTAGAATACTGGTTAAAAATCTGAGATCTCAGGATAAATTAAACAAAGCATAGAGGCTTATAATAGAAATATAAGGCCAGGAAGACAGTAAGGGATTTCTACATTATCTGTCAGTTGGGTATCTTTACCTTAGCGATTTCTCTTTGCTCAAGGTATCAAAACAGCCTGAGTTGTTTCCCTTCCCTAGCCACGCTGACCATTTGTACACCTGTTTCCAAATGCATTCATAACTGTACAACTTGCAGGTATGTGAATAATGATGAAAGCACAGAGACCACGGTAGAATTAAAGAATCAAAACTCACTATCAGAGAGTTGTTTTTCATGTACAACTGGCAAACTAGAGAATGCTCAAAATATCTAAGAATAAATTCCCCAGGCATGTTTTATTTGGCTCATACAGTCTTTTAGGGTCTTTTCCCCCAGATATTTTGAATTAATTGCCAATATTTCAAAATTGAGACACTATACACAAGCAACTGGACCTAGTTCTCACTGAAAAATCAAAAGACTCAGCAAACACCGGCCAGCATTCCCATATGGCAGTAATAAGCAGATAGGTAGCAGTTGGTGAATTAGGGTAAGAGCTCTCTTGTTCCCCACTGTCCTTTCTCTATCCAAGTCATTAATTTACATGCCTGGGGTCTACAGGCATTTAATGTTGCAACTACTCATACAGGGAAACAGCTAAGTAGTAAACACAGCTTTTAATCTGGAGCATCAAACTACATTAAGTCAACAGCAAATATCAAACTTTTTTTTTTTTTTTTTTTTGAGGCAGAGTCCCACTCTGTTGCCCAAGGTAGAGTGCAATGGTGCAATCTTGGCTCACTGCAACCTCCGCCACCTGGGTTCAAGTGATCCTCCCACCTCAGCCTCCTGAACTGGGACTACAGGCATGCACCACCATACTTGGCTAATTTTTGTATTTTTAGTAGAGATGGGTTTCACCATGTTGGCCAGGCTGGTCTCAAACTCCTGACCTCAGGTGATCCGCCCACCTCGGCCTCCCAAAGTGCTAGGATTATAGGTGTGAGCCACTGTACCTGGCCAAATATCAAACATTTGACCACAGAGTGGGTTCATTCAACCACTCTCCAGTTTAAGATCTGGCTAAGCATTAAGATTTAGTAAAGTGAGTTACTGAACAAGATTTTCTTTTAAACTTTACTGATATTTATCATGAGTACAGAGATTTAGTAAAGTGAGTTACTGAACAAGATTTTCTTTTAAACTTTACTGATATTTATCATGATTGACCTGGACCCATAATTAATAGTACTTAATATACATTTAAATCAGAGAAGACTGACAACTTTTTCTAGTTACTGCAGGAATTTCTTTTTTCTAAAACTTTGGATTACTGTTTGTCTTAAGATTAGAAATTAAACGCAATGTCACTGAAGTGAGGAAAAAATTAATTTACTAGCTCATATAATATTAATAACTAAAAAAGACCAGAATGATATACAACTATAGTCCTGAACTGAGAAAATCATACACACCAAAGGCTCTAGTCTTACCCTCCTCATTTATCCCATGAACCCTTGCTGCTAATGTAACGTGAGTAGTTGGAGGAAAAATTTTTAGTTCACGCGTTCAGAGAAACTTTAAGTTCTGGAATACAGGAACAACTATAACAAAAGACTGGACACAGCAGCAACTGAGAGGCTTGCCTCTTTGGAGATCCTTCCACTCCAAATTATCCTTCCTCCGAATCACCTGTACTTCCCTGCCTGTTTTTTGAGACCAGGTCTTGTTCTATCGCCCAGGCTGTAGTGCTGTGGCATGATCACGGCTCACTGCAGCCTCAATCTCCTGGGCTCAAGTGATCCTCTCACCTCAGTCTTCCAAAATGCTGGGATTACAGGCATGAGCCACTACACCTGGCCATTTCCCCATACTTATTATCTACCTGAAATCTTATTTACTTAAGGCACATCCATACAGTATCATAAGTTAGTTCATATTGTTTTCTTTAGCAGCTAACTGAGCTCTCCTATATTGAAGGAATAGGTTTGAGTGAAGATGCAAAGTGTACTCACAGAAATATGAGAACATCAGCTACTTGAGAAAGAGGACTGGAGAACTAAGAGGGAATGAAAATGAAGTGGTAAGGCATTCCCAAAACAAAACTCTGAATTTGACAGTGGTCTTTCCTGCACAGTATCCTGTTCCTAGAATATAAAGTAACATTACAGTTTTACTGTGAATTTAAAAAATACTTTTTGTAACTAGTCTGGGAATTTAACCTCCATTAATAACCTAGAAAAATATGCCTGAAGGCATCCTTGTATATTAATGAGTTGACTGATGGCTGGCAGCCCATAGGTAACTTGAGGACAGGGGCTGGACATCAGAAAGGCCAAAGCATGACTACAAGGTTGAGACTTTTATCCCCACCTGTCCCCCCAACCTCTGGAGAGCAGAGAGGGGCTGAAGACTAAGTTGATCACCAATGGCCAATTACGTAATCAATCATGCCTAGGTAATGAAACTTTCATAAAAATCCAAAGGACTAGGTTCAGGAATTTCTGGAGAGCCGAACGTGCATGAGGTTTCTGGAGGGAGGTGTACCCAGGCAGGGCGTGGAAGGTCCCTGAGCCCCTTTCCCCCATATCTTGTCCTATACATCTCTTCCTGTCAATACTTTGTAAAATCCTTTATAATAAATTAGCAAATGTTTAAAAAATAAAAAATAAAAAGTAAGAAAAATAGAGGGCTGGGCGTGGTGGCTCATGCCTATAATCCCAGCACCTTGGGAAGCTGAAGTGGGTAGATCGCTTGAGCTCAGGTGTTCAAGACCAGCCTGGGCAACATGGTGAAACCCCATCTCTATCAAAAATACAAGAAATTAGTTGGGTGTGATGGCACGCACCTGTAGTCCCAGCTGAGGTGGGAGGAATCACTTGAGCCCGGGAGGCAGAGGTTGCAATGAGTGAGATTGTGCCACTGCACTCCAGCCTGGGTTACAGGGCAAGACCTCCTCTCAAAGAAAGTATGCTTCAAGTTCTAGAATATTCTAGAATACAAATGGTACACCAACAGAATTAAATTACTGTATTAATTAAATTGTGACACCGGTAACGAAAGCAGTGCTCATCATAATCCCAAAACACACAATCCTAAATGTTGAAATCCAAAATATCAAAATCCCGGAAGTCTAAAATCCTGAAAATCAATCTTGAAATGTCAAAATCCTGACAGTCGAATTCTGGGGAAAGGTTTAGCACATTTTTGGGTTGTACAAAGGACATTTGCATCATATGAGTTGCATCATGTTAGGTGGAACTATTCCTTTGTTAATGTCTTTATTTGGAAACTAAGTATAGTTTAAGGAAATGCATATGGGTACGTGGTCAAAGGGTAGACTTATGGACTTAATTTTAGGTGTCAACTTGACTGGATTAAGGAATACCTAAAAACCTGTTAAAGCACTATTTTGGGTGTGTCTGGGAGGATGTTTTCAGAGGACATTAGTGTGTGAGTCTGAGTGGACTAGGTAGGGAAGATCTGACCTCACTGTGGCACCATCAATTGGCCAGAAGCCAAGAGAGCAAATACAGAAAATGGATTGGTCTCTGAGAGTTAGGACAAGACTTTTCTTCTGCTTCCTTGGATATGAGAACTTCAGGCTCAGGGGCCTTTGTTCTCCAGGACTTACACTAAGCAGCCCCTCAGGGTCCTCGAAGCTTTCAATCTCCCACTGAGAGTTACACCACCAGCTTCCTTGGTTGAGGCCTTAGGAACTGGACTGAGCTTTGCTACAGCAACCCCAGAGTCTCTGGCTTGCAGATGGACTGTTGTGGAACTCCTCAGCCACCAGAATCTCTTATGTGAATTCTCCTAATAAATCTCTTCTCATATATCTATATACATATCCTATTGGTTCTCTCTCTGGAGAACCCTAATACAGACCTAGTATTGGAGAAGCCAATCATTCCTTCTTATTGTATTCCTTACAACACAATGGAAGACATCTACGGAACTGTCCCCTCAAAAAAAAAAAAAAAAAAAAGCCTATGGTAAGTTGAGCGCACTAAGCTCCTTAATGGTGAAAGACAGAAGTTTAAAAGCTAATTATTACTGGTGATGTGAAAGCAGAAAAATACTTAATTGCAATGGCCAAACAATAACCAGACTTCCAAAAAGACAACATATACTTACAAAATGTGTAGAGTACACCACTCTCCAAAAGTTCACAGAAGTGAAAATGCAGGCAAAAAGTAGGAGAAATCTCCCATGCCAAATTATTCAATCATGTATTACTTCTGCCCCTTCACACATTGTGCCAATTAGCTATGCTATCTTTCATCTTCACATCATTTCCAATTTTGGAGGTATAAATTGTATAAAGGTTTAGAGAGTTCTAATTCGTTATATGCATTTTAGTAAATGTGACTCTACAAAAGTGTATTATCACAACACTGACTTTGTGTGTAAGCACTGTGTGTATATGTGAAAACATTGAAATTTCCTCAATAAATGGAGATGTCCTTTTTTTACATCTGTATTTGTGAAAGACAAAATCTCTTGAGATCTTGGCTCTCTGGGCAACTGCATATGTGGTGGTGAATCATTACAGTTTTTGGCTGACCTCATCAAAAGACTCAGTTGTCCATCATGGTATTTGAGATGACTACAGTTATAATACTGCGTGTATACAATTACCAACCATAGTGATATGTATTTACACATTTCACTTTGTGACCTATTTCTTTATGAATAATGGCTTATCTGCTTATAACTGTTATACCCATGTGACTATCCTTAGTGTATCTATTTATGCTTGCAAAAATATGTATGTCATTACTGCCTATTTTATGGTGTAAAGTGGTTTATGTTCTGTGGTATTTTATGATTCTCAAATCCCCTTTTAAAAATGTAAATAAACATCTTTTAAAAAGTTTGTAAAAATTATTTTTTCCAGAATTAATGGAATTTCAATCCTTTGGGATTTCAGACATTAGGGATTTTGATCATTGAGGATTTCAACATTTGGGATTATGGTGTTCAGGATTGTGTCTTTTAGAATTATGATTCAACCCCAACTGAAGGGACCATTTTATTTTTTTAAACAGTCATTTCTTAGATACAATATGCTTGAATTTCATGTTATATTTTCCTGCAGGGGCCAGCCTGTAAGAAAAAAAAAGTATTTGATAACAATATATATTTTAAATTATTTTATTCCCTGTTTCTGTCTATTGCAAAGCATTCTATTTGCCTTTAAGATTATTAGATGCGGCTCTTTGTAATTATAAACTTCCTCTAGTACTTAACACCCTTACTGACTCTAAGGTGTCAAAGACTTGAATGAAGCATCATTCTTTCAATTGCAGGGGAGAAATGACTATTTGTAACTTTATTGCAAGCATTTTTTCTTTTTCAGCAACATTCACTGTATACACAGTCATTTATAATCTAAGTTTAAAAAAACTGACTCCTACACAGAAGTCATCACTGCTTTTAAAAATTTATGTAAAACACTATCTCCATGAGTGTTTCATTGGGAAGATCACCTACAGAGCCAGGGCCATCAGTTTTATCTTCAATAATATCTCTCTACACAAAGTTGTCACAAACAGTGAAGTTAAAGCAGTAGGACCAGGAAGTAGAAAATCTCTCAAAAAGATTCTGGTGTCCTGCTGTTTTACTGATTTATTAAAAATAATATAATTTACTTAATACAAAATGCAGGTTCATTACTTCTATACTAATGTAAAGGCTACTGGATATAGCAAATTTAACACGTTGCTATGGAATCAATAATATGATTGTTAATTTGCTTTTATTCTTTCCTCCTTCAATTTCTAGAAACATATCATCACCAACTATTTTACACATATAACTTCAAAGGAAAAGCCAAATATGAAAATGAACACAATCATATTTAGATGTCTACAAATGAACCATCTATTAGTAACAAGTTAGCACTAATAAATTAGTCACAATAGTTCATCTTCTGGTCTCTCTGCCTCACCAACCCCACATCCTCTAAAAGCGTAGGAGTGCTTTTCTTTTACCCGAGCCTCCTACTTGGGGAAATTTTTAAAAGATAATTTACATGACTGTCATTTGCTAATTTACTCAAAAGGAAATAACCAGGTGGAAATTTTTTAAGCTACCAAGCATGATAATAAAGTAATAGAATTGAAAAGTTCTCATTTGATGTTTCTTGTTTAAATTACAATATAATAGACTTTTAACTATGGAAACACACTTACACAATTATTCCATTCTCTCAGCTCAACCATTTTTGGGATCGATGACTTTGAAGGGCTACTCCTGCATAGTAATATTCCACTAGAGTGAATAACTGCATTTACAACCATGATATTTTTTAATAACAAAGCTAATTACCATGGACTAGCAGTGACCCAAATATGCCCTGTATATGAGTGGGTGAGGAGGAAGCACTGGTACTAATCTTCAGTTTTCAAGCACAAGGATAATATGTAATTTAACTCACTTTAGCCCATTGCATCTGGTAGGATCCAATCAAAAAAATGAGAACCGCCGGGCGCCTGTAATCTCAGCACTTTGGGAGGCCGAGATGGGCGGATCACCTGAGGTCAGGAGTTTGAGACCAGCCGGGCCAACATGGCGAAACCCCATCTCTACTAAAAATAAAAAAAAATTAGCTGGGTGTGGTGGTGCGTGCCTGTAATCCCAGCCACTTGGGAGGCTGAGGCAGGAGAATTGCTTGAACCCAGGAGGCGGAGGTTGCAGTGAGTCGAGACAGTGCCACTGCACTCCAGCCTAGGCTACAGAGGGAGACTTCATCTCAAAAAAAAAACAAAACAAAAAAGAACCACACCCTAACTTGAACAGGCAAAGTTTCATATACACATGAACAGAAGACAGGAAAATACTGGGTAGAAGAGGGCAGATCCCCGGCAAATGCCCCACACTCAAGTCTGAAGACCAGTGGCCCTAAAAGAGGACAGCCATTCCTGTTTTTGCGCCCAAAAAGTTGCCTTTGGCCCACCACTTCCCCCATCTTGCCCCCATTTAACCCAAGACCTTAGTGGGCACACACACAAACTGCTGAATGTCAAGAGAAGCGGTGGAGAGCGGCAGAGAGCAGCAGGGTGGCATGGCAGAGGAGGAAAGAGGCACCTGAATATTGAGAGGAGTTTGGCTGAGAACAGCTGAACTCCAGGGGAAGATTATATCCCCCACCCCTCCCCACCTTCTGGCTCCCCATCCATCTCACTGAGAGCCACCTCCACCATTCAGTAAAATCTTGCACTCATCCTTCGAGCCTGCGTGTGATCCGGGACGCTAGGGAACAGCGTGGGATATGGAAGGCTGTCACACTGGCCCTCTTCCTTGCAATAAAGCAGAGGGTCCATTGAGCTGATTAACACTCAAAGCCGTCTGCAGACGGCAAAGCTGAAAGAAAGAGCTTTGTAACAGTGGGGTTGCAGGCACTCACCCCTAGACATTACCATGGGGCCAAGAGCCCAAAGCTTCCTCCTGGTCTCTGCACCTACCTGTCTGCATGCTCGCCCTAGGGGTTTGAGCTGCGGGGCGACCAAGCAGGTGAGCCACACCTCTGTCACACCTCCTGCAAGGGGAATCAGGGAACTCTCAATTACAATTATTAATTGTAATAGGAAAATAACTATCAATGTGTAATGAAAATTCTGAAGAATACTCAAGTACTCAAGGGCTGAGTGAGGGTATCCACGGAAGGAACAAACTTAGAAGAGGGTCCCCACTCCCCATAACTAGGGTTCAGGCCTTATTGGAATTATGGCTGCAGCCCACTGGATGGCAAAGTAGTTCTCCCTGTGGTTGCTGGGGCTTAAGGGGCTCGAGGTTGAGCATACACAGTCAGTTGGGACATTGAGAATCTCATTACCAGCAGGGCCTGCACAAGGAAAGCCCTCCTGAGTGTAAGTAGACATGCAGGGGAAGTTGGAATATTGGCAGCTGGCTCTCCAGAAGGCAGGCATGAGGTCTGGGGTGTGCAGCCTCATGCTGGGAAAACTACAGAGAGGAGGTCACTAAGCTGACGCTGGGGCTGTGAGCTAGACAAGGGTCTGTCTGCTCTTGGCACATACTTGGGGCAGAGGACCCCTGGATATCCATAGCCACACTACTGGCAGCCGTGCATTCACAGTAAGAAGAAACAAAACCATAAGCCCGCCCTTGTGCACTGTCCTTCCAGCACTCTCCACTCACAAAATTAACATCACATAAAGAAGAAATGCCGAAGGCAAGCTTGTTCAACATCAACATGTGGCCCAGGATGGCTTTGAATGCGGGCCAATGCAAATTTGTAAATAAGGTTTTTGTTTTGTTCTGTTTTTTTGTTTTGTTTTGTTTTGCGATTCAGCTCATCAGCTATTGTTAGTGTATGTTATGTGTGGCCCAAGACAATTCTTTCAATGTGGCCCAGGGAAGCCAAGACATTGGACACCCCTGGCCTAAAGGGTTAGGCTCCAATATTGCAGATCAAGTAATGAAGAGGTAATTTAGAGCTGGGAGAGAATCTGGTAACTGGCACACTCAATACTCGGGGATCTTCATAAAGAATAAAACATGGCAGAAGCAATAAACTAGAAATACACATTAAATTAAATCTGACTAAAAGATAGCATGAAAAAAATCTGACTGGGCTGTTGCTGTAATGTCTCCGTACATGGAGGAAATAGGGCAAATAAATCAGGCAGTTATTTAATAATGTATTCTTAGAAAACTTCATTACTCACAGCACTATGAACTAGTGGTTTCCAAACAGAGGATGTACACTGAAGTACAGCAGGAAAAAAAGTATATTAAATTGTTCTGAAACATAAAATTACATCATAAACAGACTTGAAAAACTATATAAGCCGAAATAGTATATATATTTATACATATGATTTATAATTAGACATACTTATATTGAGGTTTTCTATTCAAATGTTTTCTGGTAAGGTACCCAATTAAAAAATTTGAAGACCACTGCTGTAGAAAATAGCCCTACTTCTCTCCACAGTTTACATACTCCTTTATACCATATAGAGTCCACATTGGCCAGGCACAGTGGCTCATTCCTGTAATCCCAGCACTTTGGGAGGCTGATGCGGGCGGATCACCTGAGGTTGGCAGTTCGAGACCCTCCTGGCCAACATGGTGAAACCCTGTCTCCACTAAAAATACAAGAATTAGCTGGGCATGATGGTGCACACCTGTAATCCCAGCTACTCGGGAAGCTGTGGCAGGAAAAATCTCTTGAACCTGGGAGGTGGAGGTTGCAGTGAGCTGAGATCAAGCCAGTGCACTCCAGCCCGGGCGACAGAGTGAGACTCCATCTCCCAAAAAAAAAAAAAAAAAGCCACATATATCACAAATACAGACTTGTTTTTGTTTAATCCAATAAAACAAATAATCTTATATTAATATTTAAAGATTGGGAAACAATGTCTGCAACAAATTGCTATCACTATAGTTCATAAATATGTATTATTCAACCTTTAAAGGGCCTATACATCACTTAAATTCAAAACTAATGAAATTCCCACTAATATAGAATAAAGAACCCTAATTAGCACATTCTTAAATAAGGGTATTACTAAGCCTCCACAAGGGTAAAATGCTTACATTCTGCTTTCCTGAAACTTAGTTTCAAAAGATTCAAGTTTTCTTTCACAAATTCCTTTAGTACCCTAAAGCAAACTTCAACAATCACACCTACACACTGTCCCTAAAAAAAGAAATAAAATGTTTTACTTAGTTTGGGTTCTGCTTTTCTTGTGTTGTTAAAAATTCCTAGTTACTTGACTAGGTCGTTATTTTACATCTCTGTACCTTAGTGGTCTCATAAATAAACAGGGATAGTAACCACCTATTTCAGAGAGGTGCTGAGGACTAAATAAATAATTTCCCTCTCTCTTATACACATAGGCAGACATACACAACACACAAACGTAACAGTTCCTGGCATATAACTTTAATAAATGTAAGCTAATAAGAGTACTACTACTTATTATACACTCACATTTGCTTTATAAGAACTGTTTGATCAAACTGAATCCTTGCCCTGAATATAGATATCCAATTCAGAAATGAGATGAAATAAGAATAGTCAAAAGTAACATAATTTCAGTAAAGAACAGCTTCTTAAAGGCACAAAATTCACCTTTCTTCCAAAAATTGAAACCACCTATTCAAGGAGAAAACCATTCAACAAGATTTAATTACTTACAATTCAGCAAACTAGGCATGTTCCCTCTTTTTAAGAACACCAGCTTGGGAGGTAGAAGAAAGAAACACAATCATAATACAAAGAAACTATGAAAAACATACACAGTTCAATAAAAAGAATGAGGAACACGTAATTAAATCCCTTTAGTAGCATAGGAAGGCCTAATGAAAATGTAGAATTTGAATAGCCTTACCATAGACTAAAGCAAAGAGATGTGGTGAAACCAAGTCAATAAAAAAAAGAAAACACTAAAGGAGAAAGCTAAGGCAAATGCACAGAAGTGAGGGAGGATACATAAGCTGTAGTATAAGAACAGACTACAAAGCCCTAAGACTACAAAAAAATAAGAGATATGGTGCCAATCAGTTAGGATGGGACACTGGAAGCATGAAATATTCCTGAATGTAAGGTTTATGAGCTAGAATTTTAGTTTTCATGGAACAATAGCATTTTACATGGTGCTTGTTAATGTGATGTGCACTGTACTGATGCCTCATTTAATCCTTACAAACCTATGAAGTAGATATGACTATTATCCTCATTAAAGAAATTAAGAAAATGAGCCCATAACTAGTAGATGGTGAAGTTGGGATTTTAACTCATGGTGTCCAACCCAGAATTTGAATTCTTCAACATCACATAGTCTTTTAAAGTCTTTAAGGAACAAATATGGTATCTGTGCTTTGGAAGGATAACTAATAATCTTAGTGACAGTATAGAAGACAGATTTAAAAAGAAGTGAATGGAGGACAGAAAAGTAACTTCATGAAAAAACAAATATTTGTTAAATTTTCCTATGGCAAGAAAACTATGTAGCCAGTAATGACATATCAAATTTAAGCAGCAAAGGATACAAGAAATAGTACAGGAATAAAATTGACAAAACTTGGTAACTGGCCTGTGGAAATAAGAGGAGGAGCTAAAAATGACTGAAGGATTCAAAACATTTTTTTTTTTTTTTTGAGATGGAGTTTCGCTTGTCACCCAGGCTGGAGTACAGTGGTGCGATCTCGGCTCACTGCAAACTCCGCCTCCCAGGTTCAAGTGATTCTCCTGCCTCAGCATCCTGAGTAGCTGGGATTACAGGCATGTGCCACCACCCCCAGCTAATTCTGTATTTTTAGTAAAGACGGGTTTTCACCATGTTGGCCAAGCTGGTCTTGAACTCCTGACCTCAGGTGATCTGCCCACCTCGGCCTCCCAAAGTGCTGGGATTACAGGTGTGAGCCACTGTGCCTGGCCAAGGATTAAAAATTTAAGTGTGTGTCTGTGGGGAGGAGTGGGGGGCCGGGGGAGGCGGTGCATCAGAATAGCAACAGGCTTTCTTATTGGTGGGAGGATGGAGGGAAAACTGGATGAGTTCCATTTTAGACATATTTAATTAGAAGTACTTACTAAACATCCACGAGGAAGAGTTCCACAGGTGACTGAAAATGGAAGCCAAGGGCTAAAAGTCTATAAAAATAATGGACACCTGGAAATCCTATCCAGAGTGAGTGACGGGAGATAATGTCAGAGTGGATGACTGCTGAAGATGAGTATGTAAAGCATGGATTATCAACCAGGTCATCAGGAACCACTTTCTGAGGAGAAAGTCCTGCCTCAGACATAATGATGAGTTGGGAAAAATGCTTGAGTGTTGCTAGTGAAGAGTGAAAGGAAGAAAACATTGAGGGTGATAGGGTTCAGTAAATGCTACCCCAAAATATGGTACCTTGGTATTTGAGAAAGTAGCAGAAGCAGGAAGGTTTCTGACCTCCTCCCACCCTTCTCCCCTGAAACAGGCCATAAAACAATTTTCTGACCTTCCCCTAAAGTAAGTCATAAGACCCTCATTCCAGAGGTGCCCTCGCTATTCCCTGAGGAAAGGAAATGTCCTTATCTCTGAAAACACAGGAACATTAAGAATCTGCACAAACAGGCCTTGTTAAGCTCCCCTCCAGTTTATTACCATTAGATCCTACCTGCTTTGACCAATCACATTTCCCCACCACTGTCTATTCTTCATCAAATCCAAGCACTGAAATACACAGGTTTCCCTGTATCTTTGGGTCTTCATTTCTGAAAACTTCATGTCATGTGAAACTTTTATTAAATAAATTTGTGTTATTTTCTCTTCTTAATCTGTAGTCTGTTAAAGGTGACTCAGCCACGAACCTAGTGACAGGTGGGAAAAAGCTAATACTTTTTCTTCCCTATGAGGGAAAGCCCCCCCCACCACACATATACTACAAACTTTTGGATCTAGTCCTCTTTAATATATTAATAATAGCTATCATTTACCTTCCAGAAGGTGAAAGGAGTAAAGACAATAAACAGTCACAAACGTAGAACCAGGAGCGTAGTGTAAATAAATTGAAGGTAAGTCTAGGTGGGGTCACAAACATTTTAAACAGCCAAGAGGAGTTGGCCAGGAAGCCATTTCAATCCACAGCCAGGCATCAGTTCAATATTGCCAGATCTTCTGATTTTCCAAAAGCCCCAAACTCTCATTTCAATATGAAAGTTTATGATTTCTTAAATGCTGACAAATTTTCTTTAAAACAATGTATAGGCACATGAATAGTCTTTGAACTGCTGGGTTGCTATGCAGGTCTACAAGTACTACAGATATGCCAAGCCAGGTGACCATTAAAATAACATTTTCTTGGTCAAGGGTGGTGGTTCACATCTGTACTCCTAGCACTCTGGGAAGCCAAGGCAGGAGGATCGCCTGAGGCCAGGAGTTCAAGACCAGCCTGGGCAACATAGTGAGACACTGTCTCTACAAAAAAATTCTTAAAAATTAGCCAGGCATGGTGGTGTGGGCCTGTAATCCTAGCTACTCAGGTGGCTGAGGCAGGAGAATCACTTGAGCCCAGGAGTTCAAGGCTGCAGGTAGCCATGACTGTACCACTGCACTCCTGGGTAAAAGTGAGACCCCAACTCAAAAAAAGAGAACATTTT
The DNA here is from genome assembly GCF_000001405.40 of Homo sapiens. NCBI lineage: Eukaryota > Metazoa > Chordata > Mammalia > Primates > Hominidae > Homo > Homo sapiens. The sequence continues at coordinate 87,175,341 of NC_000006.12, read as the reverse complement.
CTTTTGTATGGTTGAAGAGTTGAATCCAAACTGCAATGAAAAAGTAATGAAGGCAATAAAAACAATACCTTTCCAAGAAGTCTGGCAATAACGATGAGGGGAAAAAAAAGAATTAAGGAAAACCTTTTTTAGGAAGGAGAAGTTTCACATAAGGAGAGAAGAAGTCAGAGGAAGGGGCAAAATCTGAAGAGAGATGACCAGTGAAGCAAAAAGATGAGAAAGACATGTACTCGTCCATAGGCTAAAAGACAGAAGTGATGAAAAGTGATGAAGACTCAAAAAAGTGGGATGGTTCTCTGAAGTGGTGGGGATCAAGTACACATACGAGAAGATGCACTTTGGAAAGGGAACAGCCACTTCTTCCTTAGGTTTCCCAGGAAGGAAATGAAAAGTCCAGAGAAAATCTGAGATGACGACTTCGGGAAATGTGTAAGATAACCTCGGTCTTCTCAATAAATTTTTAGAAACATTAGCACTGAGTATATTTGCATAAATTTCACTGTTTGATAATATTGTTCCTCTGATAAAGTATAATTCCCCTATTCATACTATATACACATCGGTGTCATGATTCCAGAGAAATATATTTAAAATCTTAGGTACCAAAAAAATGAGTTTAATGGGCCTTAGTACGTAAGACAAGAATAAGCAGCGTAAGTCTTTAAAAATTAAATCAAAGGTATGAAACTCTTCAGGAATGGCTTTATTATGACTCTAGGACAAGAACATTCACTATCTTAGTACAGCGAAGCAAGCAGTAGAAAGAGGAAATAGGAGGAAAAAACACCAGTTTAGGAAGAAAATACTGTCAGAAGAGAACTACACTTTAACTCCCCTCATGACCCCTGCCAACAGTGCTGTTATATTCTAGAGCACTACTTGTCAAACTGTTCTGCAGCAGTTACTTTTTTATTTTATACATCAAGGTATCAGGTAAGACTGGGGAGAAAAGGGAGTTTCCCTATTCTATTTTTTAACTGTAAAACCACTATCTAGATGACAAGAAACTGAACAGTATTTTATTAACACTAAGATTAATGTTCTTGGACAAATCACACGGCTGCAGGTTGTTCAGAGGTGGTGCCGCAGGCTGAACATGTCCTTCCTTTCCTAGAGCTGCCGACCTATCCTGCTGCTTGGGTGTTGGTGAATTCCTGCCTGGTGGCCCAGCCAAAAGCACATCACTCTGCTACCTTAACAGGAAATACACTGGCATTGCAGAGAAGCTTAATGTGAAGCTCCTGCACTATTCTGAGAGCCTTTTAGGTGTCCCCATTGCATATAACATGAAAGTTGTGGTGAACTGGGAGATATTTATGATGATCAAGGACACATTAATCTTAACATTGAAGCAGATTTTGTTATTTTCTGCCCTGAACCAGGGTAAAAGGTTATAGTACAGTTAACAAAGTGTCTTCTAGTCAGACTGGCTATTTTGTACAAAAATATTTTAATACGTCCATCCCTAAACCTGAGATGTCAGCTGAGCAGTGGCAGGCTGTGGAGATAAATGTGGGTGATGAACCAGAATATGAAGTGTTTCATCTAGATTAAGATGCTACTGAAATATTCTGCATTTAGGGAAAACAATCACTAGTTTACAACCCAAGAGCTCTGAAGTTTCTGATAAACCAGCACTGAAGAAGCTTTTGAAAAACTTCCAAAGAAGAAAAAGAGAAACCAGAAAGACCCAGAGATGAATGAAGTGGATGATGGTACCACAAGCTAGCAAATTTTGCAGATGTCACCCCAAAGGAAGAGTTAGACTTACAGATTATTACTAATGTGAATAGCCTCTGGGAAGATGAGCCAAAGGAGGAGAAAAAGAAAAAGCATCAGGACTAGGACCTTGTTTTCCAAAGCAGTGACTCCAGCAGTTATCAAAGTGACCATAGAAAGAAAAAAAAAGAAAGAAACACAGTGAAGAAGCTAAATTTACCCCACTTTTGGAATGCTCGCCTAAACAGAAAATAAAAAAGTAATCTTCCTTAGGGAGTTTTAAATATGATTCAGTTTTTAAAAGATTGACTTATACACAATGGATGAATAAATGTTTTGAATGATATGGAATGCTAGTGTACATCAGCAGTTTACAAAACAGGGAACACTTGATAAGGAGTTGGATTTTTTTTTGTGCCAAAATTACAAAACTGACAATAAATTAATCTGGAGAATTCCAATATTATTAAAGTGCCATTTTACTGTATATAGAATAAAAAAGTAAGAGCTGCTGTCACTCTCAACTCTTCCATCTTTCCAGGTTTTATACTACATAAAGTTATTCCTATAATCTTAAGACTATCAGAAAGAATTATAATACAATATTACATCATTAAAAATGAGTTAAATATAGGTTTTTAATTTTATTTGAAACAGATTTCACCTTTAATCATTACATGCCATTTCATTTTTTAATTAAAAAAAAATTTTTTTTTTTTTTGAGACAGAGTCTCATTCTGTCGCCCAGATTGCAGTGGTGCAATCTTGGATCACTGCAACCTCGACTTCCCAGGCTCAGGTGATCCTCTCATTTCAGCCTCCTGAGTAGCTGGGACTACAGGTGTGCACCACCACGCCCAGCTAATATTTTTTATTTTTTATAGAGATGAGGTTTTGCCGTGTTGCCCAGGCTGGTCTCAAACACCTGGGCTCAAGTAAGCCACCTGCCTTGGCCTCCCAAAGTGCTGGGATTACAGGTATGAGCCACCATGCCTGGTCCTATGTTATTCTGCATTTAGAAAAACTCAGGGCATTTATTGGTATTAGGTTTCCTTTTATCATGACTACTATAGTACTTCTATTGTTTAACTTAGAATGGTTAAACATTCTAAAGAATGCTTAATTAGTCTCCAGGGTGCTAATGAACCACGCCACTCACTGACTCCTGGGCAACAATACTCACTATTCTTTCCCACCAGGTGCATATGTATTGTTTTCTTTTTTCTTTAAGTCTAAGAGGTTGATGAAAAGAGCTGTTCTTTTGTTACTTGTCCATTTGTGCCTCAACCATTCTGATTCTGGTGTGTCTTGGAGGAGTAGTCGGATGAAAGCAAGATAAATGTGATTCTGACTACTGGGAAATTTCCTGATTACTTTTTAATGATTGGGGTAGGCTATCATAAATTGTTCTAAAGAGAAAAACAGCTGTTCACTGCTTTCACTAAGAAAATGTAGCAAACAAGGTGGATGCAGTTCCTTCCCTCATAGGGTATCATAGGGTAAAGAGTACACAGTATAAGAGACTATAGAAAATTAGTAATTGTGCTAAGTGCTATGAAGAAAAAGAGATTGCCCATTCACAGTTACCTTTGTTAGTATTTGCAAACAGATAAATGGTTGAATTGAACTCTCCATGTCAGGCATTTTTGTTGCCATTTAACTAGTACCAGACATAGTGCTAATCTCATAGTTTAATGTTCAATAATAAGTATGTTCCGCTAGTGGTATATCTTGATTTAAATCTAGATGATAGGATATAGAGGTTGGAGAGTGGCAGACATTCCCACTGGTTTACAAGTAGATGTGCCAGACAATGAAAGGGTGCAAACCAGTATATTTCATTACAATTGAGATTCATGTGAGTATACAGCCCTTGAAATGTTAACTAGTCCAAGCTGACATATGCCATCAGTATAAAATACATACCAGACTTTGAAGATGTACAAAAAAGACTGTAAACTATGTCAATTTTTATGTTGGTGAAATTACAACATTTTTGGTATAGTGGATTAAATAACTTTTTAAAACTAATGTTATTTTATGAGGGAACATTTTGGATCTACTCCTCTTAAAAGTATTAATAGCTAACAATTACTCTGTAATTCTAGCACCATAATAAGCAAAGTACTCAGCAAACATTATGCCTTAATCACAACAGCTTGAAGCAGATATTATTACCTCTAGTCTATATGTAAGAACAGAGATTAAAAAAACAAACAAAAAAAAAACCAACAAAAAACCACAACCCTGAAGTCCTTCAGGAAGTGCCAGAGTTGGAATTCAAATCATAGTTCAAAATCTGTTCTTTTAGTTACTATATAATCCCAGCTTCTCTCTCATCCCCAGCCTCTCAAATTCTAGTTTAAAATTTTGGACAAAGGAAAGGTTTCAACTATAAAGCCACTAATCTCCTGGCACATTCACTCCCATCAACTAACTCCAAACCCTCCACCACACACATGCAAAAGTATCTTTTATAAATTATTATAAAGTCTAATCCTACTTTCTTTAAAAGGTAGGCTTCAAACAAATTAATCAGTAATTTAATGTTATTTTTAAAAGTGATAATCATGGGTAACTTGAAAACAGTGGAATTATTAATGTTTTAAAATTATGCTAGGTCATATCATACATAAAACATCCAAAGTGTTTCCAAAGTAGTCTAAGTGTAAATGAAAATGTTACTTTATATTACAACAATCATTTAAAATAATTATGGCTTTCATCAATTCTAATAACAACCATAAAAGGTCCCCATTTGAAGGATAAAGAAACAAAGAAAAGCTACAAGTGGCATGCCAAGGTCACAATAAACAATATGTGAAAAAACCAACATCCTTAGAATCCCAAGATTTTAATTCACAGTATCTAATGGGCTGTCAAGCAAACTATATATGAAAGACAAAATCTAGGATGTAGTTTCTTTTGCTCAAATAAAACAAGATTTATAAAGGATGGTTTTCATGGATTAAAAAACCCACACCACAAATATTTTCATTCAATTATAGGTAAATCCTCAAAGGTCTTTTGGTGTTGAAAATAATTTCTCCTTAGGCAGAATTTGCAGTATCAGGTAATCTTTTCAAAAATATTTCATAAGCAAGTCACAATACTGGATATACTGATCAATTTATTGCCAACATATTCAACTTCACTTACTAGGGTTAATTCTTAATTACTAAAGAAGCAGTTTTATGACACATGCATTCAGAAATGCTTTCTACAAAATATCTTCATGCTGATGAACTTCATGGTCAGTTTGAGGATATAAATTTTATTGACAATGTCATTTTATGCAATGTGCACTATCCTATTTTAGGGAGGCAATTAAAAAAAATCCCAAGCCAAGGCTTAAAATAAGATTATACAAATATGAATAGGTTAAGTCATGGAATAAATCACCAGATTCAAACTACTTAAGTATCAGGCTTTTATGTTTTAGTCTCCTAAAATAATATAATAATCTTGTAGAAGTTTTGTTTTTAAAAAAATTAAAATTTGCATTATTTCAGAATATAAATTGACAATGCTTTTGAGTTAATGTATAATGTTTTAAGTTTTGTATATAGTGAAATCTATCATATTTGCAAAAAGTAGGGAAAGATCAGCAATACATGCATATGTTCATGTAGAAAAATGCAAAATGTAAACTATTTTGAGTATATACAAATTCTAGGCTGGGCACGGTGGCTCACGCCTGTAATCCCAGCACTCTGGGAGTCTGAGATGGGCAAATTGCTTGAGCCCAGGAGATCAAGACCAGTCTGGGCAACATGGCAAAACCCTGTCTCCACTAAAATTTCCAAAAATCAGCTGGGCATGGTAGCGCACATCTGTAGTCCCAGCTATCCAAGAGGCTGAGGTGGGAGGATCACTTGAGCCCGGGAGGTGGACGCTGAAGTGAGCTCTGATGGCGTCACTGCATTCCAGCCTGGGTGACAGTGAGACCCTGTCTCAAAACAGAACAAAACAAAAAAACAACTAAATGCTAATGGCTCATCTTTTAAAAGTAGCATAATCATTCCTATTTACTGGAAATAATTTTCTCAATATCACAAATAACTACTTCAATCAACTTTGGTAAATCAAAATTAGTGCTAGACTTAATTTAAATTATTTATATGAAATAGCTGATATAATAGCTTTCTGATTATCTGTATAACACTGTCTGCAATGAGGAACCAAGCCAATTGTTAATTACAGGGGGCCTTCAGTATCCATGGGTTCCATACCCATAGATTCAACAAAACTCGATGGAAAATACACTGGAAAAAAAAAAGGAGGCTGGGCGCAGTGGCTCACACCTGTAATCCCAGCACTTTCGGAGGCTGAGGCGAGCAGATCACTTCAGGTCAGGAGTTCGAGACTAGCCTGGCCAACGTGGTGAAACCCCGTCTTCACTAAAAATACAAAAATTAGCTGGGCATGGTGGCGCACCTGTAATTGCAGCTGCTCGGCAGGCTGAGTCACAAGAATCGCTTGAACCCGGGAGGCGGAGGCTGCAGTGAGCCGAGATGGTGCCACTGCACTGCAGCTGGGGCAACAGAGCAAGACTCTGTCTCAAAAAAATAAAAATTAAAAAAAAAGCAATAAAAAGTAACAATACGACAATAAAAATACAAACAAAAAACCAAAACCGTATAACAACTATTTACATAGCATCTACAGAGAAAGTATTTGGGAGGATGTGCTAGGTTATATGCAAATACTATGCCATTTCATTTAAGGGACTTGAGCATCTGGGGATTTTGGAATCTAAGGGGGGTCCTGGAGCCAATTCTCTACGAATACCGAGGGATGATCATACTATTTTTAAATTTAATTACCTCTTTCTAAATATAAAACCTGTTATTGGCCAGGCACGCTGGCTCACACCTGTAATCCCAGCAATTTGGGAGGCTGAGGTGGGCGGATCACCTGAGGTCAGGAGTTCGGGACCAGCCTGGCGAACATGGTGAAACTCCGTCTCCACTAAAAATAGAAAAATTAGCCAGGCACAGAGGTGCGCACCTGTAATCCCAGTTACTCGGGAGACTGAGGCAGGAGAATCACTTGAACCCAGGAGGCAGAGGTTACAGTGAGCTAAGATCATGTCACTGCACTCCAGCCTGACAAGAGCGAAACTCGACCTCAAAAAAAACTATTACGAAGCTAATATATAACATCACCTCCTATATATCAGGCATCAATAAGGATGCCAAATGTTCCACATGAAGACATTTTCCAGGTATTTGAAATTTTATTTTTTAAAGCGCTGCTTAGTTTTAGCCATTTAACCATATGCCTCAGTCTTCCTAAACAATCACTTAATAAAATTTAACATTTTTTGATGACACTGGGTCATACTGAGCAAGTATTACATAGTAGTAATGATGAGGTCCTACAAGGCAATTTGAATTAACTTGGACACTAAAACTAAATGGTTCTTGAATCCTATGATCTCATAGGTCTTCAGATTAAACAATTCATCGTTAGTAAAGCATCTAACAGTGCCTGTTCTGAATACTGATTCCCTTTCTCTTCAATCTGGTTGGTCTTGCCTCTAACTCCAAGGTTCCGCCCATTTGCAGATTATGGAAATTAGGTAACTGAATTTCCTAACTTGTAAGTAAAACAACATTACTGATTTTGGACAATGACAGTCTGAGTGAGGATAGGTGCCTTCAACCAAAGACAATGCAGAAGCTTCACTAAGAGTCCTTTTGGTTCTGCCTTTATAGGTAAAGAAAGGACTACACTCTGGATAATCATATTTGCTTTAATTTTGAATGCCAGTTAGGTGGCATTTTCTGAATCAGCGAAGAATTCCTACACAATCTTAGTTCAAATTACTTTCTCAACCACATAAAGAGCAGTAAAATATATCTGACAAACATAGCTCTCCTCAATCTCATAATTTCAAAAGTATTACAGGAAAACTAAATGTACAAACAGCAAGGTTGTCATTAAAACAGAAGTTTTTTGTTTTTTGTTTTTAAGACAGCGTTTCGTTTCATTCTTGTTGACCAGGCAGGAATGCAATGGCACGATCTTGGCTCACCGCAACCTCCACCTCCCTAGTTCAAGTGATTCTCCTTGCTCAGCCTCCCAGGTAGCTGGGATTACAGGCATGTGCCACCAAGCCCAGCTAATTTTTGTATTTTTAGTAGAGATGGGGTTTCACCATGTTGGTCAGGTGGGTCTCAAACTCCTGACCTCAGGTGATGCACCTATCTCATCCTCCCAAAGTGCTGAGATTACAGGCATGAGCCACTGCACCTGGCCTAAAACAGAAGATTCAAGAGTCAGCTGTACTTTAACTGAAAACAAAATGTATTGAGGGAAAAAAGATTTCAGGATTGCCTTCAGAAGTTTAACTTTTGCAAGTTTTTCGCTGAAGTGACAGCAAATTTTTCCTATACCAATAGTACAGTGTCTGCCACAAATCACGCACCAAGTAACTGCTAATGGAATAAATAAATGATTTTTCCTGCAGTTCACTTCCTAGTTTAAGGAAATAAATGGTAGTATTTTTACTATTAAAATAGTTTTCCAACACTACTACAATAAAACAGTATAACCTATTTCAGGAAAAGAGTCAAGTAACTCTTTAACAATAGAACACGGAAAACACAGGCAGCAAAATATACTTAATTTGAACCTGGATTCTAACCATATCCTAACTCTGGGACCTTGGGCAAATCAAAACTCAAAAGTGTTAATATCTGAGGACAAGTAAAGCTCTGAGAAAAAAATCTCAAAGAAATACTTATGGAGAACTTACTACATCAAAGCATTGTATGTACAATGAAGGAATCCAAAATCTGAGGACATAGAGCATGCAATATAGAAACAAAAGGCAACAAATGCATACATATTTATGACTCATGTATACTTTTCTAACCAAAACTGACAAAGCTTGAAAAAATTTTCAACCATTGAAAATAAAGTTAAATTATACTGAAAAATCCATGCTATACAAGCAACATAACATAGTCAATGACAGAAGTCAAAAGTAACTCTCAGAGCAAGTGCAGACCAGAGAAGGGTATACTTGGAAAATACGTGATCATGCTGGGCTTTAAGGTACAGGTAGAGTTGAGAATGATTCAAAAACTACTTGTTTATGATGTCTTCCTTGTGCCAGACACTGTGCTGGGAGCCTTCACCAGTGTCTCTTACTACCCTCTATGGGTAGGTGTTTATCATCCCTTACCTCAGCCTTATTTTTTCAAAGAAAGCATGACTTACAGAGCTAAATATTTCTCCCAGATTGTGGGGGAGCTCATAGTTGAACCCAAAGCCATTTGGCTTTCCACTATTGTAACACTGCAAAGTTATCTAAGCAGTCACAAAGGCAGTAAAATGAACAGATATGCTTGTGAGGAAATTAATAAATTTAAAGGGAGCAGGAAGTTCCTGTAGAATAATAAAAAGTAATGCTGAAAAAAGTAAACAATGGAGGGAGAGCGCAATGGGTTCATGCTTAAATGCAGATTTTTTCCTATGCATCAGTATTTCTCAAATCGGGTTCTGTGAACATAATATGTTGGGTTTCTAGCATTCACTTTAAGAAATGTAAAACTGTCCAGGTGACAGGGCTCCCGCCTGTAATCCCAACAGTTTGGGAGGCCAAGGCAGGCAGATCACCTGAGGTCAGGAGTTTGAGACCAGCCTGGCCAACATGGTGAAACCTAGTATCTACTAAAAATACAAAAACTAGCCAGGCTTGGTGGTGCCTGCCTGTAGTCCCAGCTACTCGGGAAGCTGAGGCGGGAGAATCGCTTAAACCTGGAGGCAGAGGTTGCAGTGAGCTGAGATCACGCCACTGCACTCCAGCCTGGGAGACAAGAGCGAAACTCTATGTCAAAAAAAAAAAAAAAAAAGAAATGTAAACATGTATTTTAATTTTGATGCTTCTCCTAAATAAAAGAATGTTCTGGGCCAACTAGACTAAAAGACTAGCTTAAACATAGGAACTGCCTACTTTTTTACTTACTACTGAATTGAATCCCAGTGACCCTCTAAAATAGTATTTTTCAAACTGTGGGTTATGACCTATTGGTGGATTATAAAATCAAGAGCAACATTTTAAAATAAGTGAAAAACTGAATGTGCCACACATAGTAAAGATAAGTATGGTTTTGTGGTCATTTTGTTTCAGTGTGACAACTAAATGGTGAAGTAAAATAAAGTTATATCTTACTCCCGGGTGAGTATCCCTTATCTGAAAATGCTTGGGACCAGAAGTGTTTACCATTTCAGATTTGAAATGCTCAACCTGGATAAGCTGAGGTTAATAACTTGTAACTCTAACTGAGATCTACAGACTTACTCTCTTTGATTTCTGCAAACTGAAATCTGAGAAACACTGTTACAAGAGGTAGACTGCCACTGAGAAAGACAAAAGCAGAACTTTGGGGAATTTCAAAAACCAAAAGGAATGTTAAAAGCGAGTTCATTGGGACAAGAACTAGGATGTCATTATTAGACTATACAAGGTAGAGATAATGTAACACAACAAATTCAGACCAGGTTTAATATCAAGGTAAACAAGCATAGTAAATAAAGAGGTCATTCTGGCCAGGTGAGGTGGCTCACGCCTGTAATCCCGGCACTTTGGGAGGCTGAGGCGGGCGGATCAAGAGGTCAGGAGTTCGAGACCAGCCTGGCCAACATGGTGAAACCCCATCTCTTACCAAAAAAAAAAAAAATTAGACGGGCATGGTGGCACATGCCTGTAGTCCCACCTACTTGGGAGGCGGAGGCAGAAGACTCGCTTGAACTGGGAGGCAGAGGTTGCCAGTGAGTCGAGATCACCCCACTGCACTCCAGCCTGTGCGACAGAGCAAGACTCCATATCAAAAAAAAAAAAAAAAAAGAGGTCATTCCACAAATCTTCTAAAGTCTCAGTGATGGGGCGGGGATGCCTCTCTTCTATTTAGAGATTGAGATCAGAAAGCAGGAATGCGAATGACTTTTGCCAATCGAAGGGACAGTCAGATGTGGTTAGAGAAGATGAGTGACAAAAAAGAAAGCAGAAGCAGTGCTATTGAAAGGAAAAAAATTAAATGTGTCCCATAAAAGTGCCTCACACTACAGTAGGGAATAAAGGGAAAAGGGACATGTGGTAGAGTGTTATAGAAATGGTCCCTAAAGAATCACATCTCCCTGTACCCATAGTATGTGTGATCCCCTTCCCACAAGGTGGCTGAGTTTGACCACTTAATTGGCAGTAGCTAATGGGACATCATTATAAATATGACACCAGGAGGGGCATACAAAGTAAAGCATGTGTGGAAAAGAACTTACTCTCTTGATGCTATGTAAAGAAATCCAGACTACCTTACTAGAGAAGGCTAAGAACAGAAAAATGAGCCAGCCCAAGTGAAGCCTTTAGACCAGCCTGTCTGACAACCACCAGACATATGAATGAAACCATCTGGGACTATTCAGCCCCAGAAAACATGAGAGCTGACTGCAGAACCACTCAGCAGACCCACTGACTTGTGAACAGTAATAAAAATGGCTGTTCTTTTAAAGGTACTAAGTTTTTGGATAGTTTGTAACATGACAATAACTGATACACGATACTTGGCGGGGCGAGGTGGGCGAAACAAGGGTTGTAACATTCTGAAATTAACTTTTATTTCAATGCCTCAAACTCAGAAGGATGAGTCTTTAGGCCATGTAACCATAAATCTACACTTACAAGATTAATCAAAACTTCTTGGCTTGGCATCCTAAAGTCTTAGTCTGGTTTTAATCTATCCTTTCAATCCTATCACTTGGCATTTTTCTCCAAAAATGCCAGTTTGAATAGTTGGTCCATTTATCTGAGCTTTTATTCTCATCCCTCCCACTTCTCTTTGGTTATCCAAAATCCTTCAAGATCCAATGTAAATACTGTTTTCCTTTCCTGCTCAATTTTCAGCTAAAATAATTTCAAGATGCTCTACTTCTCTTAATCCATGCTTACTACCCCACTAGATGCCTTACTATCTAATACTGTCACTTAACAATTGATACATGCTATAGATTTTGTAAGCTCTTTATGGGTGGAGGTCCACTCCATAATTCTCCATAGCTACCTTAGTGTTCCCACATAAGAACAATTTAAACATCTGATTAGAATAAATCAAAAGATATATGTAACTAAAATGTATGTGGTTTTTTTGGGGTTTTTTTTTTTTGAGGCGAAGTCTCGATCTGTCACCCAGGCTGGAGTGCAGTGGCGCCATCGTGGCTCACTGCAAGTTCTGCCTCCTGGGTTCACACCATTCTCCTGCCTCAGCCTCCTGAGTAGCTGGGACAACAGGTGTCCATCACCACACCCGGCTAATTTTTTGTATTTTTAGTAGAGACGGGGTTTCACCATGTTAGCCAGGATGGTCTCGCTCTCCTGACTTCATGATCTGCCCGCCTCGGCCTCCCAAAGTGCTAGGATTACAGGCGTGAGCCACCGCGCCCAGCCCTATGTATGTAACTGAATTTTAACAAATCTTCTTAGCTGAACATATATACTTAGAGACTTTAGTCTTTCTTTTTTTAATGTAAGTCAAGGGGGAAAAGGTAACATTTTTCTTTTGAGATACATTGTGCAACTGCCAATGCCAAAAGAAAAACAATGAATCAGGAGGCTCTCCTGGAAAATAATACATTGTTAAAAGTCACAGTGTATGTATGCTGACAAACATATTAATGAAAGCAAACTTTCCATTTTACAACTATAAGAGCATACTCACACTGATTGGTTAATTTTATAAACTGAATTTATCTGTAGGAGTTGGGAAAAATAATGTAACCTCTCACCTTTGACAGAATCTCAAGAAAATAAGTAGAGCAGCAGTTTTATAGTTAAAAACCTATGAAAATCCTGTTTGGCAGGTTAGTAAATGTTATGAAGTACAGCTGCAGAATAAATCTTCTCTTCCCTCATTTTAATTTAGGTCCAAAAAGGATAAGAAGGGGGCAAGCAAAGCTTAGTTTTGCTGAAATTGATATAAGCATACTCTGCAAAGTAGAATTTATTATCTCTAACATGCAATCATACTAATTATGAACATTTAAAAAATTATTTCCCATGAGCACTATCTAAACTTCTAAAAGTTTAAATGACTTATTGCTCCCTCAATACCTAAAGTAATTATCACTAATTAACAAGCAAGCTGTCTTTTCTTCTGATTTAAAGTGTCCTACAAATTAAGATAGCCTCTAATAGTCAAAAAGAAAGTCTAATTTTTAAGGAAAATGCTTAGTTTCAAAGATCTTGCAGTTATAATGTAACATGTATATAAACAAAAGAATCAACTTGTATCAAACTGATGAGACATAAAATATACAAAGAAATGTCCTAAATATGTAATCTAAACATTCTGTAGCTCTAACAGTTTTAATTTGGTTTTTATTTCTTATACCAATCAGGCACCAATAATGGCTAACAAAGGTAATGAAGACTAGCTCAAATAGTACCTCCTCAGGAAAGCCTTCCCTGATACCCCAGCCTGAAGTGCTTACTACCTACTTTGAACTCTTTAAGTTGCTATACATAAAATTAACTTACTCTCCTAAATATCCACTGATAATGAACTGATTAATTAGACCCAGCCATAGACTAGAATTACTATATACTATAATAGGGAAAGCCAAAAACTTACATGAGCAGCTATGGAATGAGCTAGAAGATGCTTTTGGGGGGAGGGAAAGCAAGATACAGTGTAGTTATCTTTATTTTCTTAAAAAGAGCAAACTAGTTCTGGAAACCATTAGGGGATTTGTCTTTGTGGAAATGAGACTGGAACTCTAGAATGGGAAAAAGATCAAGTTTTCATTGTATGCCCTTTCTCAGGGTGAATTTTAAAAAACCATTTCAATTAGTACATTTTCAATTTAAAACAAAACAAAACAAACAACAAAAAAGCAAAACCAGGCTGGGTGCAGTGGCTCACGCCTATAGTCCCAGCACTTTGGGAGACCAAGGTGGGAGGACTGCTTGAGCACAGGAGTTTGAGACCAACCTGGGCAATGTAGGGAGATCTTGTCTCCACAAAAAATTTTAAAGTTAGGCATGTTGATGTGCACCTGTGGTCCCAGCTACTCAGGCTGAGGCAAGAGGATCGCTTAAGCCCAGTTGGTCAAGGATGCAGTGAGCCGTGACTGTGTCACTGCACTCCCACCTGGGTGACAGAGTGGAGACCCTGTCTCAAAAAAATAAAAATAAAGCAAAACAATTTGTTAGTTAATACACTGCCTTTTGACATCTTTTCAGCTGTCATTTTGAAGTGATATTTAAATATTATCTTACTAATTTATATCCCACTAGTTGCCCGTATCTTTTATCTCCTATAACATCTAAACCTAGGTCCTTGCATATAAATGCTTTCTTAAAAGTACAGAATTTATTATATCAAAATGTCAAATCTTTTCTTTAATCAGGATAATTATGCTGAATTTGCTACCCTCTTTAACCTAGCAAAAGTTGTTTTACTAACTGTTTATGCAATTGCTTGTAATTTCTGCTAAGAAAGTAGAAAGTTTCTTGACCTCTCATGGTCAGTATAAATTATACTTAAATATTGTTGAATATCATTTACCTGGACCTGTTCCAAATAAAGTATATTTCTGGAGCTTAACTATCTCAATATGAAAAGAGTAGAAGGACTAAAAAAAAAAATCTTCTAGATATACTATTTTTCTTTCTGTTCAATGTTTCTGAAAAGGGTACTTAGAGGAATTACGCTTTCATTTGTTGGGACGGTCCTGATCACTTCAGAAAACTTAGCATTGAAGCTCATGGGCACTAAATGCCAGTACCACATCCCTAGTCATAGCAACATCCAAAAACCTGATCCCACATATTTCTAAGTGCCATCAAAGAGAGAACTGGAGGTAGGGAAAGTACTATGCCCAGTTGAGAAGCCCTGCTTATATGAACTAAGAAAATTATATATATATATATACACACACACATCATATATATGTATATATACACACACACACACCGTATACATGTATGTATACACACACACATCGTATATATGTATATATACACACAAACATATTTTTTTATTAGAGTCTCCTGTATCTTATATCCTCTGTAACATCTAAACCTAGGTCCTTGCATATATATACACACACACACACACACACACATATATATACAAACACATGTACGTATGTATACACATACACACACGACTGTAATTCAACCCTTCAAAACAACTGTCAGCCACCAGATCACTACTGATCAATGGTCAATAACAGTTACAATCAACCAGTCGGCCAGTCCAGTATATAGTGCTGTCAGCAAATATCATACTCCAACAAATCAACTATTACAATGGCCAATTTTTCCAACGAACTATTATTTTAAAATCTCTTTAGAACAACTCCTCTGTTGGAATGTTTCTTTTAAAACTCCCAAATAACCTCCCTCTTTACTGTACTCACCTCAGTGATAAAATATATAAATCATAGTTTACTACGATTATCTGTCTACCTTCCTCCAGAGACTATAAACTCTTTGAAGCCAGGGACCATGATCATCCTTGCCTAGCCTGTATACAGTAGATGTTCAATAGAAATGTTGAATGAGTGACTACTGGCCCAGTCTAATACAATTAACTAGTCTAAAAGGTTCCAATTATAACCAATTTTTGTATAATAAATACAGTAATAATCCTAAAACAAGTAAATGCAAGAAATTACTTCTGGTTATTCTATATACTTATTCTAAGTCAATTTTAAGAAAATGAGTTGGTTATATTGCCCATATTAAAGCTAACTTTGAAAAGATACAAGGAAATTTAAGAGCTGGGCATGGTGGTGTATGCCTGAGGTCTCAGCTACTTAGAAGGCTGAGACAGGGCCGGGCGTGGTGGCTCACGCCTGTAATCCCAGCACTTTGGGAGGCCAAGAGGGGCGGAACCAGCCTGACCAACAAGGAGAAACCCTGTCTCTAGTAAAAATACAAAATTAGCCGGGCATGGTGGCACATGCCTGTAATCCCAGCTACTCAGGAGGCTGAGGCAGGAGAATTGCTTGAACCCAAGAGGCGGAGGTTGTGGTGAGCCCAGATTGCGCCATTGCACACCAGCCTGGGTGACAGAGTTAAACTACATCTTTTTTAAAAAAAAAAAAAAAAAAAAAGAAAGAAAAGAAAGCTGAGACAGGAGGATCACTTGAGCCTAAGAGTTTGAGGTTGTAGTGTGCTATGATCATACCTGGGCAATGTAGCAAGACCCCATCTCTCAAAAATAAAATAAAATATATAAAAAAATTTAAAATTTATGACGGGCGCTCTACTATGCCCATCCTCTACTTACTCTTCCCTCCTCCCACTTAAGCTTTAAGCAAATTCTCATTTAAATAAGCAAAGGGGGGGCAGGTGGCTTATTTCCAGAATGAGCAAAACAACACTGTTAATAAGAAAAACATTTAATGCCTTTCGTTTCTATTCTGCTACTCAGAATTCAAAAAATCTATTAATCTTCTACCTCACTCAAAAATAAAAATCTATAAACTACGGATCATAAGCAACTCCTGTTTCTGTGGGTTTCACCACATTCTCCAGAAACTGAACTTTTGCTCATAAAAATTACATAGAATGTAAACTAATTCATTTTTTAAAGTAAATGCAAAACTAAGGGTTACACAAGCACTGAGCATCAACACTGACAGAATATTAATTCTGAAGCCCATTAACTTTGACAAACGTTTATTCATCTTTGCCTTCTTGAAGCGTGTGACTATCCCAGTTTTACAGGAAAAGCTTAAACAGAAAAAGTTAAATAATAATCTCAAGGTTAGAAACTAAGACATAATTTCTAGCTCCTAGTATCCCTGGTACTATATTTAGATTGCGCCAATAAATTCTTTAATTGTTAACCATTGCTTCACTCAACTTCGTATCAAAATGCTAGGTGATAATTGCTAAGATACAATTTTATTTTTATTTTTTATTTTTTTGAGACAGGATCTTTCTCTGTCACCCGGGCTGGAGTGTGCACAGTGCACCATCTCTGCTCACTGCAACCTCTGCCTCCCGGGTTCAAATGATCCTCCCACCTCAGCCTCGTAAGTAGCTGGGACTACAGGCACTCGCCACAGCGCCTGGCTAATTTTTTTGATTTGTTTTGTTTTTTGTATTTTTTGTAGAGAAGGGGCCACGCCATGCTGCTCAGGCTCAAGCGATCCGCCCAACTCGGCCTCCCAAACTGCTGGGATTACAGGTGTGAGCCACCTCCACCCCTGTAAATAAACATAAATAAACAATTGTTTCAAGTTACCTCCACTTGACAAGATCACTAACATAAATAGGTTACCTGAGAAACAAAACAAAAAACCCCACCCCAGAAAATGTTCCAGAGGAAATCAGACACACTCTGTATCGTTTCAAATGGAGATTACTTTTAAGTGTATTTAAATTATTCTGAGCTTACAGTGTATGAAATATTTTATAATTTTTGAAATCCACAAATCCAGCATTTGTTTCATTAGTGTTTGATGTTTTTTTGTCAGTAGCATCAATAACAATTTATGTGGCAAGACTAATCACTTAATGAAACTGATATAGGAAATTACTTTCATTCTGATTTTTAAAATGCTGTTTCACTCATTAAAAAACTCAAGTCTGGCGGGACGCGGTGCTCACACCTGTAATCCCAGCACTTTGGGAAACAGAGGTGGGTGGATCACTTGAGGTCAGCAGTTCGAGACCAGCAGTTCGAGACCAGCCTGGCCGACATACAGTGAAACCCCAAACCTCATCTCTACTAAAAACACAAAAATTAGCTGGGCTTGGTGGCGCACGCCTGTAGTCCCAGTTACTTGGGAAGCTGAGGCAGGAAAATCGCTTGAACCCAGGAGATGGAGGCTGCAGTGAGCTGAGATCGCACCACTGCACTCCAGCCCGGGTGACAGAGCAAGACTCCATATCTCAAAAATAAATAAATAAATAAAAATCTTTAAGTGATAACTTTACAACGTCACACACTCACAAAAAAGCGGGGGGGAGTCCAGCTTGCATGAGATTCTATTTTCCCAGAATTATTAATCCTGCTTACAAATACTGCTGACAAAAAAAGAATTTACAGTAATTAGCCTTAAAACTATCAGTGGACACTATTAGGGGAAAATGTCTTTCAGCAAAGCTAGACTTTAATAGTTTTCACTGATTATTATATAAAAACTGATTCGACTTACAAATGAAATACTTCCTATTATGGGTATCTTAGAGAAATTTTTTTATCTCTAAAATAAATCTTTAAAGACCAATTAAGAATGAGTGGGTACTGCAAAGTAGAGAAACTGAGAAATTTCAACAATTTTTAAATATTAAAATTCAAAGGAATGAGACTTTAATTTTGCCACAGGTACTCACCAGACCTATTTACCTAAGTAGGGAGCTTTCACATTGCACATCCTCCTAGACGTCACCACTTGATCTCACAGTTTTTGTTTTTAAGATTATGAACAGCCATCAAATAATTTGTGACAATAAAGTGCATACAGCAACGGAGATTCTTTTGTATGTGATCACGTATCCCCGACATAATAAAGAAAATATTTCAATATTTGGAAGCTAAAAAATAAGTGAAAATGTAATCTACTCAGCTAAAATGGTCAACCATTGTTCTACGTTAAGATCAGTATTTTTCCAAAACGAATTCTCTGTAATGATACACTCACAAGTTAACTCTAAATATGACCTGTGTAAATTGTGTCTTCTTTTTCCTCCTCAAGACAATCAAATCAAAGTCTTCACCAGAGCCAGCAACACTACCTTGAAATTTTAAACCTAAGTGTAAGGCTCGTAATGAAGTGCAAATGTAGTCCCAAACTCTCCGATTTTCACCATGGATGAAATGATTTTCATCACTAGCAAACAGTGTTATTAACATTCCAAATTCTGGTTAGAATGCAGTCACTGGTGAGCAGTGCCCTTGGGCAAGCAAAGAAAAGATTTGAAACTACCCAAAGCACAGATCCACATGAACCTCAGTCTTCTCCCACTTCATCAGGAAGCCAAATAGGAAGGACTCCAAGAAACAGGGGTGAGGGGGTGATCGGGACAGAAAGGATAGTGGAAATCATACTCCTCGAAGGGCGAAAGCAAATGAGAAACGGACTCTGGAAAAACCGCCCCAAAAGGACACTCAACCTGAGACAGATGTACAGGCACAGCTCCTCTACACTAAGGAGATAAAGCTTTACCACAGAAGTGATGCACCAAGCAAGCAAGTATGGGCAGGAGGGGACAACCTCCGCCAAGCACCCCCTCCCGAACGTCTAGCTCAACTAGAAGGGGTCGGCGGGGACTGCTCCTCCGAACATCAACAAAGGCCCCTTCAGTCCTAAGGCGAAACTCGAACAACAAAGGCCCGGAGACAGCCAGGACAGGGCCGGGGCTGGGGGGCGGGACGGATGAAAGCAGGGGAAGGCAAAGGAATCAAACCAGTGGGGGCGGAGGCCCGTCGGAGTGGGAAGCAGAGGCGCAGAGGCGGGAGGCGCGGTAATCCCCAGTGCACAATAAAAGGAGGAGGAGGAAGAGAACCTGGCCTCCATTCTCCTACTCTCTCCAATCCGCACCGTGTACATTTCCTCAGCCGCGGGGACCGCGCAGTCCCGAGTTCAGGGAAGGAAAGGGGAGGGGGGATTTTCCGCCTTGACCGCAACTCCCTTCCCCCAGCCAGGAGCTGCAGACGACAACAACCGCCACAACTGCAGCCACACAAAGGCGCCTTCCTTCTACTCCCGCTCCCACCCAGGCGGAGGCGCCGATGATGCCAAGGAAGCGGCGACCACCTCTCGGCCGCCTAGCGCTCGCTCGCCCTCTTCCCCCTCTAGCTGGGGAAAGGGGGAGGGGACCACCGGGCGCCCTCACCTGGCACAGCTGCTGACAGTAGTCGGTGGCCGCTTCCACGGCCGGTACCCGGCTCTCCCGCAGCTGTAGCTCCAGCTCCTGGAGCCGCTCGCCCAGGCGCTGCAGCTCCGCGACGCAGCCGCCTTCGCCGCAACTCAACCTCTCCTGCTCGGCCTCTTCGTCCGCCATCTTCACACCCCGCTCCGTCGCGTACGCACCTGGGTCACGTGATAACACAATGCCACGTTCGGCGGGGTCACGTGCCGGGCGCGCTTGCACGGCGCCGAGCACGTACAAAGGGCCCGATGGGGAAGATATGGGGGTGGGGAGAGTGGCGCGAGAGAGCCCGAGGGAGGTGAAGGCAAGGGGAAAGGAGAAGGGCGGGGTTGGGGCGGTGCGGAAAACGGCGGTTTACTTACCCCGAGCGGGAAGTGGGCAGCAGCGGCCGAAAGGGGCGGGCTGGTGAAGGCCTGCTCTCGGTCACGTGGGCGCCGCGACGGGAAAAAGCCTAGGGAGGGGCGACCCTCTCCGGCGTCCCGATCCCGGCGTGGCTTTCCCCAGTCCACGAAGTCTTCTACGGACATATCCTCCTGTTCCCCAAGAGGATGGCACAGGGAGAGTTCTGAGTGGTCTCGGGCAATGGCTGCATTTGCTGTTGGCCTGTAAGCAGGCCAGAAGCAGAGGAAGAGAGAGAAGGTAAAACCCGCCCATGGACCGCAAGCGTGAGAGCCAAGGCAGGACTATGAACTGTCAAAATTGTCTCTGACTTCTCACCAGGCCGGAGAGGAGGGATCTAGTGCGTGAGGTACCAGATCTCGTCTCACTTGACTCTCCTCCTCTTCAGCACCAAGAACGCCTGTCCCCTGGAAACACATTCTCTAGGGGGTGGAGGCAACAAAGGAAAAGAACAATTGGGTCAGAGCAGAATGAGGTTCAATCCTCAGTCTGGAGAACGGAGCAAATTCATGAAAAGCATAGTTTAAAAGAAGTCAGAATATGAACAGACCAGATGACTTTTAAACCACGAAAACATTTCTAGAATAAGTGATAACTAACTACTCTGTTTCACCGTGATTTAGACTCTACTACACTCTACAGAAATCACCAACAATGACAACAGGCTATATATGAAAGCTATTGAAAAGAAAGTAGGTCAAGGAAAAAAAAAACACCAATAAGGACTCCATTAAAAATCATAACGGAGGAGAGGAAATTGATGCTAAAATAAAACAATATTGTCGAGAATTATTATAAATATCTACAGCATTTTTTTTTCCTAATGCTACAAATAGAGGTAGCATTCTGAACCACATTTTACTTACAAGCTGAAAAGAATTAATACTTGGCACTTGAACAAAAGAGTAGAAGAGGTGCTACAAAAATCCAAGAGCTTAACCCTAAAGTTCTTAATAAAACTAATATTTTTTTTACCGTTAGAGCATTAGACAAAAGACCTATCTCTCTTGCAACTGAATAGTCTACAGAAATTTAGAAACAATGATATTGATGAGGCACCCAGTCTTTTCATTTACTCTGAGTGAAGTATATTTTTTTAGTACAAGGATCTAAAATAAAAATACTTCCCATTGTGGGCAGCGTCCTCTTCAAAAGATTTCTAGTAATTAATGGAAAGTGTTCTACATACTATGTTGTCCAGAATAAATGTTTTATAACGCATCAGTGATGGTGATGTTTTTAAAGCGGCATTATATAAGGTGACCAGGCACAGTTAAACCCCTTATGAAAAACAGTATCAGTTAATATTACATATTAACAAGGTAGAATCTTCAAATGTTTAATCTTCAAATGTTTACTCATGGAAGAGACTGGGAAGTACATTCAAAGGCTGAGAAGAGAGGATATAATAGTATCACTGAGTTGAAAAAGGAACAATTAAGGCAGCTAATGATTTTTAATATTTTCAGTTCACTTTCCCAAGTTAAGTATTTTAGATACCCAAACCAGGTTTCACCAGTTTATGTTATCTTAGGATTCCAGTGAAAAAATGCAAAAAGGGAAATATGAGGTTAGCCAAATGTACCCGTAAATCCAAGGTAAGGTATCACAGGTTAGCAAGCTCATTTCCACTTCAAGTATAATGGTTTACACCACACCTAATCTATAGAAAGAAAGAAAAAATGGGGGTTGAGGGGTGGGAGACATATATATCCAGATATTGATTTTTAAGAGAATTGCCTGATAATGTAGGTCATTCCTACCTCTTGCACATAACAACCCTAAAACTATGGAGACTTGATTAGCAAATTGATTCTGAGCACCATTACTATCTGGTAAATGTCCATCAGCATGGATGGCCATGTCTTTATGTTTATTTAGTATCTGTGAACCCTATGTCCACATTCCTCCATTTCTTCTCCTTTGCACACACATAGAAATATTTAGAGCCTACAGGAAATGTAAGGATTGGGGGTGAGTGGTGTAATTAACACTCATTTATTGTGTACTTGATATTTGCAGGCACTACTTGGTTTGGGACAAGTCAGAGGCGAATAAAAGCTCTTCCTGCCTTGAAGAAGCTTACAGTTTTGTGGGAAAATGATCTGCAATGGGAATACATACGATATGACAAATGTTCTATTATGAAAATGCATGCCTGTATTCAACTTAGAACATCAAAGTAATCTCAGATACTAACAAGAATGTCCAACGAATCTCTACATAAGTGCAGGCTTTTTTTTTTTTTTTTTTTTTTAATGAGAAGGATTGAAAATACTATCCCGTGACAGGTCAACCTTGTCTTGGAAATCTCAGAAATCTCAATCTTATCCATAGAAAAGTCATGACTTCTGTGCTTATGTCCATTTGTTCTTTAAATACCAAACTGTCAGCTCATAGGAACCATTTACACACACACACTGACACACACACAAACACGCACACCCCTACTTACTGAGATGTTCCTGGGGAGATTCGAAGACCTGTTCCATTGAGAAAACAAGAATAAGCCCCTGGGGCAAAAGACTCCGCGTCTCTGGGGAACTCAGTATCCGCGCCGCGAGCACCCATGCCCATTTTGAACACAACGCGACTGCTAAGGACGTGGTGTAATCATATGGACCTTCACTCCCAAGAGACTCGATTTCAGAGAAAATCTGGGAGACAAATTTAGATCCCTACCCGCACCCACGCGATCAATAAAGCTGGGGAGACCTTTGGGGGAGGGGACAGATGTGCTTGCATCCGGGCCGTGCGTGCCTGCTTCACGGGTTTTCCGGGCAGCACCGGCCCGCACACGCCGGTGCACTCTTTTTCTGGAATTCTTGAAATAGCCGGGCCTGAGGACAGTAAGGGAGCTGAGTTGTGTCTGCTACAGACAAGCGGCGCAGAGCCTGGGGGCCAAGCCAGGGATGCAGGGAGCGCGGCGTTAGCGGATGACGGATAGCTCAGGGCTAAGGCCTGGCAGGTCCTTCCTACCCCCGACCCAGTACACCCCGCAGCCCCGCCCTCGCCCCAGCACGCGAGGTGAAAGCGCGAGGCCCGGGGATGGCGGAGAGCGTGCGCCACTATCGGGGCGCTGTCTCTTGCCCCGCTCTCGCCCTGGGCCGGAGAACGGAGAAGGTCCGCAGGCCTCGGGCCACGGAGGGCACCAGATCGGTCCGCTCTGCTCCGCTAACCCAGCCTGCGCCCCTCCACCCCGCCAAGGCCCTGCTGGGCGCTGCGCCGGTTGCTCGCGTCCTCTGTTGTCGCGGAGCCGCCGCCGCCGCCGCCCGCGAACCAGCAACGCCGACACCCAGCAGTTGCAGGCCCGGCGTTTGCCGCCGCGGTTTTTCCACCCAGCACTGAGGATCAAGCCCGCTGTAGCCTGGCTGCGACTCCCCGCTTGGGAGCAGAGGCCGCCAGGGGCCTCCAGGCCGAGAGATTCTGGAGCCTTTCCAGGGCGCGGCGGGGAGCGGGGCCTCCGGAAACCCACCCCGGGGATGCTGGAGTCTGTCCTGCAGAGGCCGTGGCGCGGGCACTGCTGCCTGATTTCGAAGAGGCTCCATCAACCTACTCTCTTCCAAAGGGCTGGGCAGCCCAGCCACAGACAGGCAGCCTCTGGATCTCAGAAGTGAGGGACGGAGTCTATCCTGGGTTTGGTCCAGTAGAAACCCCCCACCCCCACCCCCAGAGTCTGGGAACCAGTGCTGTGCCCACAGATGCAAAGAGAAAGAGCATGGGTTAAAGCGCTATTGGGATCGGTTAGACACCACACTTTTCCAAGGAAGACATTTTCTTCGAGAGGAACAGCAAAAGGAGTCAATATAATGTTAAAAATATTAAGGCAGGTGCTGTGCCACATGTTGAAGTGATTCCAAAAGCAGAGAAAACATGGGACTCACATTTAAGAGGATTAATTGTAGCCTTTGAGTTTTTCCCAGAAAAAAAAAAAAGGCTAGCATATATATTTTCATATATTTATATGAACAGGTAATTAAATAAGGAGGGATTTTAAAAAATTGTCTATTTGGATATCGTTTTCCTTTCCATTTGAGGAAAAGCCAAATGCAAATAAGGAGAATAATATTTAAAGAACATGCTTTTAATAGAGCCTCAATTATCCTTCTAATTTAACCAAGATGAAAATAATTGTGAAATAAAGCAAAATAAAATCTTGGAAGCATAAATGTGTTATACATTGTTCTTTTGTTTGTTTGTTTGAGACGGAGTCTCACTCTGTCTCCCTAGGCTGGAGTGCAGTGGCGCGATCTCTGCTCACTGCAACTTCTGTCTCCCGGGCTCAAGCGATTCCCCTGCCTCAGCCTCCCAAGTAGCTGGGATTACAGGCACCCACCAACACACCAGGCAAATTTTTGTATTTTTAGTAGAGATAGGGTTTCACCATGTTGACCAGGCTGGTTTCGAACTACTGACCTCAAATGATCAGCCCGCCTCGGCCTCCCAAAGTGTTGGGATTACAGGCGTGAGCCACCACACCCAGCCTGTTTCTATAGAGAATCCTGGAGTTGGTTCACAGCATTTCTCCAAAGAATCAGAGAGAAATAAATATTTTAAAGTGCCTTTCTTTTCCTATATTTCTAAATTTTAATCACTGTGCCTCATTTGCCTCATCAGAAATTCAAGGTTATTTAAAAAAATTAGAGAATACAACTTTTGTGGCATTTGGCTTTTTAAAGAAATAATACTGTGCAGATGTGACAAACTTGGAAATTCCCAGGTCTCTTCCCATTTTAGGACATCAACTTCTTAGTTTTGCTGGTTTCTGTAATTCTTATAGATATGTTCTTCAATATAACAACAATAATAATAATGTAAATAATATCATTTTGAGTAGTATTCAGCTCATGTATCAGGCCAGAATTGTTGTTCCCACCAAGTGTTTACCCTCTGTCACATTATCACATCTTTACAAAAATATTCTCTTTTTTTTTTATTTTTATTTTTTTCTTTGAGATGGAATCTCACTGTGTCTCCCAGGCTGGAGTGCAGTGGCTCCATCTCGGTTCACTGCAACCTCCGCCTCCCGGGTTCAAGCGATTCTCCTGCCTCAGCCTCCCGAGTAGCTGGGGCTACAGGCGCCCGCCACCACACTGAGCTAATTTTTGAATTTTTAGTAGAGACGGGGTTTCACCATGTTGACCAGGCTGGCCTCAAACTCCTGAACTCAGGTGATCCACCCGACTTGGCCTCCCAAAGTGCTGGGATTACAGGCTTGAGCCGCCGTGCACGGCCTCACAAAAATATTATCTTACTCATTGCTCCTCTCCTCAAATCCTCATCCTCATAAATTTCTCTGTAACCAGGCTCCTCTGTGAAGCCTTCTTTGTTGTGCTTGGTGTGCTCTGGTGGAGTAAAATCTGGGTGCAACATCTGTAAACAGAGTAGATTTGACTTATTTGTTCTGCTTTTCCTTAGGTTACCTGCCTCACAAATAGTCACTCTCCAAAGCTCCTATTGTTTTGATTTACTGCTTACTGCATTTTTATTTGAAATCTGTCATTTTGCCTTTTATTAAAGTTAGTCTATAGATGAGCCTTGTTCACCATCCTGTAAGCCCTTTGAGAGTAGAACTGTATCTTATAACCGGCTTACCTCCTCTAATACCCTTTGGCAAATTGCAGTATAATAAGTAATCGATAAATGCACATTGAACTAGATTCAATTCTGTTTATACTTGGCAGTCATATATTGATTTATACTTATCATCATTATTATCTAAAATATTCTAGACTCTACAGAGAGATCAGATGCCTTCTAAACTTTAGGACCTTATTTATAATAGTCTTTCAAATATTTTAGGAGACTAAGATTTATCAACAAAATTGTCTATAATCAAAGTTATAACACAAGTAAAATCAAAAGAAGACAAGATGTATGCTCAGTTATTACAGTATAACAGATGAACTGCAAATACATGGTCTCTAGCTTTCTCTTTCACAAACTTAAGGGAAAAACTCATGATGAAGCTACTGAGAAAATAATCATGTTAAGGAAACAATTGGATTGGAAATTTGGAATCTGTTGAGATAATTTTAAAAATCTGTATTGTGACAAAATGTAAGAGAGATGGCAAAATTTTAAAAAGCACAGATTGAGTTTTTTCCCTAACATCTAGCTCACTCCCTAATATGGGCCCTAAGACCTTCCTAGAAATCTAAGGAGAAAATAAACATAAGGAGAGTATCTCCAGGTAGGACTTATTCTTCAGGGAGGAAATAACCTTAGAGCAGAGTTTCTCAAACTTAGTCTTATAAAGAGTACTTAGACAATTTGACTTAAATGCAGATTCTCAGGTCACACCTCTAGAAAGTCTTATTCAGTACATTGAGGTTGGGCACTGGAAACCTGCGTTTCTAACTAACACTCCAGGGCCTTTCAGATTATACAGTTCTAGACCTGTGGTTGTCTAATTCTGTCTTCTCTTTCTTTTCTTCAACTTATGTCCCTTTCACCAATTTTATAAAAAATGCTTGAATACCTTCCTTCTGGCTCCATCCAGCAGTGGGCATAAAGAACTTTAAAACAATTAGAGCTAACTTGTCATAATTTCTTCAGATCTTCCTGATTATCCCAAGTGTTTGTTTTGTGAATCATTTGGACCCTAAGCCCTAGTTCAATGCCTGGCACATAGTGGGTATGTTTTCAATAAATATGCATTTTCCAATCCCTTCCTTGTGCATTCTCTAGCAAGGTTACTTGCTGAGGACAATAACTTTATTACTTATTAACAGCTGTATCAGAAGAGGTATGCAGGGATAGAAGGAAGGCAGTTCAAAACTTTTCTGTATTTATCTGCTATGACAAAAGGCATTTTTCATTTTATACATGTAAGGGTAAATGGAGAGGGAAGAGAGCCAGTTAAAATTTTCATCTGGTTGAGTTTCAAATGTCCATGGTTTCAATAGTCCCTATAATTGAGAATTAGGTGCTATTAATTTTTAAATTATAAACATAATCTCTGTTTGTGGTAAAAATTTCAAGCAGCAAAGGAAGACATAAAATAAAAAGTAAACATTTTCTTCCTCCATTTCTGACCTCTTGTTCTATCCCATTCACTACACTCAGGAATATTAATAGTTTCTTGCTTGTCCTTTAAGAATTTTTTTCTCATATATAAACATTTATGGTTACATCAGCTTCTCACTTTCTGAAACAAATCAGCTCATACCTCCTATTTGGGCAGTTCTTTGCCTTCCTTTTTTCCCTTAATAGTTCATTTAGAAATCTTTTCATGTCAGTATTCTTTTTAATGGCTGTGTGGTATTCGACAGTATAACACAAGATAATTTAATTATTTCATTGATGAGCAATTAGGTTAATTCCATTTTTTTAACTATTAAAAAGGATGCAGATGCAGTGACCTTCCTTGTGCACATATGTGATTATATCCATGGAATAAATTCCCTAAAGAGGAGTTGTTAGATCAAAAGCAGTGTGTAATTTTTTCTTTTTTTTTTTTTGAGACAAGGTCCTGCTCTGTCACCCAGGCTGGAGTGCAGTGTCATGATCATAGCTCACTACAGCCTGGATCTGCTAGGCTCAAGCAATCCTCCACCTCAGCCTCCTGAGTAGCTAGGACTACAGGTATGTGTCGCCATGACTGGCTAATTTTGTTTATGTTTTTGTAGATGCAGGATCTCACTATGTTGCACAGACTGGTCTGAACTGTGCTTGAGTGATCTTCCCTCCTTGGCCTCCCAATATGCTGGGTTTATAGGTATGAGCCACCTCTCCCAGTTGCAAGGTGTGATTTTAATTGTTAGATGGCCAAATTGCCCTTCCAAAATGTTGCATCAACCTATATTAAGAGAGCTGATTTTCCAGAAATCCCTAATAAAACTGTGATTTATCCACCTTAAAAATAATTTCATAGTTTTAAAATAATATCTCATTTTGATGAATGTTTCCCAAATTTTGGATCAAATTGAGCATCTTTTGACTTGTTGGCTGCTACTACTAATTTTTGAAAGGTATACACAGTTAAAATCAGATACTATTTTAAGCAACTCTTAACATTAATATAAAATTACACAAATATACTGTGCTTGAAATTGTTTATTAACTTCGATGTTAAAATGTATCTTTAAAAGCATAACTACTTCTCCTCCTCCTCCTCCTCCTCCTTCTTCTTCTTTTTTGAAAGATAGTTTCCCTCTGTTGCCCAGGCTGGAGTGCAGTGGCACGATCTCAGCTCACTGCAACCTCTACCTTCTGGGTCCAAGCGATTCTTGTGCCTCAGCTTCCCGAGTAGCTGGGATTACAGACATGTACCACCACGCCTGGCTAATTTTTTTTTTTTTAAGTAGAGACAGGGTTTTGCCATGTTGGCCAGGCTGGTCTCAAATTCCTGACCTCAGGTGATCCTCCTGCCTTAGCCTCCCAAAGTGCTGGGATTACAGGCGTGAGACACCATGCCCAGCCTAGATAACTTATTTACTTAAGTCAATGGAGGAATATGAAGATAGGGCTAATGTTTCTTTCCTTTTTAAATATTTCTGCCAATAAAATAGCCTTTGGGTATATTTTACTGCATATAAATTAGTGACAAAAGGTAAAATGGGGTACTTATTTTATACAGAAAATACATAGTGAAGCAAGGAGGCAATTTCTTTTACTTTTGCTTTAGGATGCCCATATCTTGCTGTCATTTTCATTCTACTGTAAGATTTCTTTCTTTGGTGCTCTGCACTATTTCGAGTGTAGAAAGGAACAGAACACTTATAAGCACTCAACTGTCTGGAGCATTTGTATGTCATTTAGAAAGCAAGAATCATTTCTCGCCAAGCACTGACTGGCACCACACAGCAGGGGTATAAAGCTGAACGGAGAAGCCATGAGAAATTTATGTTTCCCTTTTCTGTGAAATGCATAAAACTAGGACTTCAAAATAAACCAAATGTGCTTCAAATGAATTTTCAAGATTAAAATCAAAACTTTTTCTAACTTCCAAAGATCAGTATATGTTGCTCCTCACAGAATTATTAGAAACTGCTCTGAACATATTCATTTGAAGTTGTAAGGCTATAACTATGAAAACCAGCTTTATGACAAACTCAGCCTTTTGGAGAATTTTGCATCTTTCATATAATTAAGCTGTTTATATGGGAAGCAAAAGACTATTTTTTAAAGGGTAACTGACCACCATTACTTCCGTGTATAAGTTTTTTGCACTGAGAACTTTCACAATTACTCCAAATACGCTCCCTGCAAAGCATAATAAAAACAAAGCACATCATTCTGTTAAAGAGGTCTATATGTTAATACATTTGGCTTTGCAATATGCCATGCAGGATGCCTAGAGAGTTTGCAGTGAGCACCTTCATGAATTGAAGCCCAAGCTCATCATTTCTACCTCTGATTTCATAAGACCATTTTCTGTACATTTACTTTGGAAAATAACTTCCTGGTGAAACATTTACTACTGTGTTGTACAACTGTTAAGTTTCTATTTTGGGGGTATATCTTCAAAGACCCTTAAGACCTGAATTTGTGTTTTGTTTGCTCACGATATTGAGTGATTAATTTTCTCCTTGTTTTTGCCTATAGTAATATAATATGGTTCCTTTTTTTTATTATACTCTAAGTTCTAGGGTGCATGTGCACAACGTGCAGATTTGTTACATAGGTATACATGTGCCATGTTGGTTTGCTGCACCCATTAACTCGTCATTTACATTAGGTATTTCTCCTAAAGCTATCCCTCCCCCTGCCCTCCACCCCACAACAGGCCCCGGTGTGATGTTCTATGCCCTGTGTCCAGGTGTTCTCATTGCTCAATTCCCACCTATGAGTGAGAACATGTGGTCTTTGGCTTTCTGTCCTTGAGATAGTTTGCTCAGAATGATGGTTACCAGGTTCATCCATGTCCCTGCAACGGACATGAACTCATTCTTTTTATATGGCTGCATAGTATTCCGTGGTGTATATGTGCCACATTTTCTTAATCCAGTCTATCACTGATGGACATTTGGGTTGGTTCCAAGTTTTTCCTATTGTGAATAATGCTGCAATAAACATACATGTGCATGGTACTATAAAGTACCATGATTTATAATCCTTTGGGTATATATCCAGTAATGGGATGGCTGGGTCAAATAGTATTTCTAGTTCTACATCCCTGAGGAATCGCCACACTGTCTTTCACAATGGTTGAACTAGTTCACAGTCCCACCAACAGTGTAAAAGTGTTCCTATTTCTCCACATCCTCTCCAGCACCTGTTGTTTCCTGACTTTTTAACGATTGCCATTCTAACTGGTGTGAGATGGTATCTCATTGTGGTTTTGATTTGCATTTCTCTGATGGCCAGTGATGATGAGCGTTTTGTCGTGTGTCTTTTGACTACATAAATGTCTTCTTTTGAGAAGTGTCTGTTCATATCCTTTGCCCACTTTTTGATGGGGTTGTTTGTTTTTTTCTTGTAAATTTGTTTGAGTTCATTGTAGATTCTGGATATTAGCCCTTTGTCAGATGAGTAGGTTGCAAAAATTTTCTCCCATTTTGTAGGCTGCCTGTTCACTCTGATGGTAGTTTCTTTTGCTGTGCAGAAGCTCTTTAGTTTAATTAGATCCCATTTGTCAATTTTGTCTTTTGTTGCCATTGCTTTTGGTGTTTTAGACATGAAGTCCTTGCCCATGCCTATGGCCTGAATGGTTTTGCCTATGTTTTCTTCTAGGGTTTTTATGGTTTTAGGTATAACATTTAAGTCTTTAATCCATCTTGAATTGATTTTTGTATAAGGTGTAAGGAAGGGATCCAGTTTCAGCTTTCTACATATGGCTAGCCAGTTTTCCCAGCACCATTTATTAAACAGGGAATCGTTTCCCCATTTCTTGCTTTTGTCAGGTTTGTCAAAGATCAGATGGTTGTAGATGTGTGGTGTTATTTCTGAGGCCTCTGTTCTGTTCCATTGGTCTATATCTCTGTTTTGGTACCAGTACCATGCTGTTTTGGTTACTGTAGCCTTGTAGTATAGTTTGAAGTCAGGTAGTGTGGTGCCTCCAGCTTTGTTCTTTTGGTTTAGGATTGTATTGGCAATGCAGGCTCTTTTTTGGTTCCATATGAACTTTAAAGTAGTTTTTTCCAGTTCTGTGAAGAAAGTCATTGGTAGCTTGATGGGGATGACATTGAATCTATAAATTACCTTGGGCAGTATGGCCATTTTCACAAGATTGATTCTTCATATCCATGATCATGGGATGTTCTTCCATTTGTCTGTGTTCTCTTTTATTTTGCTGAGCAGTGGTTTGTAGTTCTCCTTGAAGAGGTCCTCCACATCCCTTGTAAGTTGTATTCCTAGGTATTTTATTCTCTTTGTAGCAATTGTGAATGGGAGTTCAATCATGATTTGGCTCTCTGTTTGTCTGTTATTGGTGTATAGGAATGCTTGTGATTTTTGCACATTGATTTTGTATCCTGAGACTTTGCTGAAGGAGATTTTGGGCTGAGACAATGGGGTTTTCTAGATATACAATCATGTCATCTGCAAACAGGCACAATCTGATTTCCTCTTTTCCTAATTGAATACCCTTTATTTCCTTCTCCTGCCTAATTGCCCTGGCCAGAACTTCCAACACTATGTTGACTAGGAGTGGTGAGAGAGGGCATCCTTGTCTTGTGCCACTTTTCAAAGGGAATGCCTCCAGTCTTTGCCCATTCAGTATGATACTGGCTGTGGGTCTGTCATAAATAGCTCTTATTATTTTGAGATACGTTCCATCAACACCTAGTTTATTGAGAGTTTTCAGCATGAAATAATCATGTGGTTTTTGTCGTTGGTTCTGTTTATGTGACAGATTATGTTTATTGATTTGCATATGTTGAATCAGCTCTGCATCCCAGGGATGAAGCCAACTTGATCGTGGTGGATAAGCTTTTTGATGTGCTGCTGGATTCAGTTTGCCAGTATTTTATTGAGGATTTTTGCATTGATATCCGTCAGGAATATCCATCTAAAATTCTCCTTTTTTGTTGTGTCTCTGCCAGGCTTTGGTATTAGGATGATGCTGGCCTCATTCTTTTTCTATTGGTGGGAATAGTTTCAGAAGGAATGGTACCAGCTCCTCTTTGTACCTCTGGTAGAATTTGGCTGTGAATCCATCTGGTCCTGGACTTTTTTTGGTTGGTAGGCTATTAATCATTCCCTCAATTTCAGAGCCTGTTTTTGGTCTATTCAGAGATTCAAATTCTTCCTGGTTTAGTCTTGGGAGGGTGTATGTGTCCAGGAATTTATCCATTTTCTCTAGATTTTCCAGTATATTTGTGTAGAGGTGTTTATAGTGTTCTCTGATGGTAGTTTGTATTTCTGTAGGATCGGTGGTGATATCCCCTCTATCATTTTTTATTGCATCTATTTGATTCTTCCTCTTTTCTTCTTTATTAGTCTTGCTAGCAGTCTATCAATTTTGTTGATGTTTTCAAAAAAACAGCTCCTGGATTCATTGATTCTTTTTGAACGGGGTTTTGTGTCTCTATCTTCTTCAGTTCTACTCTGATCTTAGTTATTTCTTGCCTTCTGCTAGCTTTTCAATGTGTTTCCTCTTGCTTCTCTAGTTCTTTTAATTGTGATGTTAGGGTGTCGATTTTAGATCTTTCCTGCTTTCTCTTGTGAGCATTTGGCGCTATAAATTTCCCTCTACACACTGCTTTAAATGTGTCCCAGAGATTCTCGTATGTTGTGTCTTTGTTCTCATTGGTTTCAAAGAACATGTTTATTTCTGCCTTCATTTCGTTATGTACCCAGTAGTCATTCAGGAGCAGGTTGTTCAGTTTCCATGTAGTTGAGCGGTTTTGAGTGAGTTTCTTAATCCTGAGTTCTAGTTTGATTGCACTGTAGTCTGAGAGACAGTTTGTTATAATTTCTTTCTTTTACATTTGCTGAAGAGTGCTTTACTTCCAACTATGTGGTCAATTTTGGAATAAGTGCGGTGTAGTGCTGAGAAGAATGTATATTCTGCTGATTTGGGGTGAAGAGGTCTGTAGATGTCTGTTAGGTCCACTTGGTGCCGAGCTGAGTTAAATTCCTGGATATCCTTGTTAACCTTCTGTCTCGTTGATATGTCTAATATTGACAGTGGGGTGTTAAAGTCTCCCACTATTATTATGTGGGAGTCTAAGTCTCTTTGTAGGTCTCTAAGGACTTGCCTTATGAGTCTAGGTGCTCCTGTATTGGGTGCGTATATATTTAGGATAGTTAGCTCTTCTTGTTGAATTGATCCCTTTGTCATTATATAATGGCCTTTTTTGTCTCTTTTGATCTTTGTTGGTTTAAAGTCTGTTTTATCAGAGACTAGGATTGCAACCCCTGCTTTTTTTTTGCTTTCTGTGTGCTTGGTAGATCTTCTTCCATCCCTTTATTTTGAGCCTATGTGTGTCTCTGCACGTGACATGGGTCTCCTGAATACAGCACACTGAGGAGTCTTGACTCTTTATCCAATTTGCCAGTCCGTGTCTTTTAATTGGGCATTTAGCCCATTTACATTTAAGGTTAATATTGTTATGTGTGAATTTGATCCTGTGATTATGATATTAGCTGGTTATTTTGCCCATTAGTTGAAGCAGTTTCTTCCTAGCATCGATGGTCTTTACACTTTGGCATGTTTTTGCAGTGGCTGGTACTGGTTGTTCCTTTCCATGTTTATTGCTTCCCTCAGGAGCTCTTGTAAGGCAGGCCTGGTGGTGACAAATCTCTCAGCATTTGCTTGTCTGTAAAGGATTTTCTTTCTTCTTCACTTATGAAGCTTAGTTTGGCTGGATATGAAATTCTGGGTTGAAAATTCTTTTCTTTAAGATTGTTGAATATTGGCCCCCACTCTCTTCTGGCTTGTAGAGTTTCTGCCAAGAGATCCACTGTTAGTCTGATGTTCTTTGCTTTGTGGGTAGCCTGACCTTTCTCTCTGGCTGCCCTTAACATTTTTTCCTTCATTTCAACCTTGGTGAATGTGACAACTATGTGTCTTGGGGCTGCTCTTCTCGAGGAGTATCTTTGTGGTGTTCTCCGCATTTCCTGAATTTGAATGTTGGCCTGCCTTGCTAGGTTGGGGAAATTCTCCTGTCTAATATCCTGAAGAGTGTTTTCCAACTTGGTTCCATTCTCCCCGTCACTTTCAGGTACACCAATCGAATGTAGATTTGGTCTTTTAACATAGTCCCATATTTCTTGGAGGCTTTGTTGATTTCTTTTTACTCTTTTTTCTCTAAACTTCTCCTCTCACTTTATTTCATTAATTTAATCTTCAATCACTGATACCCTTTCTTCCAGTTGATTGAATTGGTTATTGAAGCTTGTGCATGCATCACGTAGTTCTCATGCCATGGTTTTCAGCTCCATCAGGTAATTTAAGGTTTTCTCTACAGTGTTTATTCTAGTTAGCCATTCATCTAATCTGTTTTCAAGGTTTTTAGCTTCCTCCTGATGGGTTCGAACATCCTCCTTTAGCTCGGAGAAGTTTGTTATTACCGACCTTCTGAAGCCTACTTCTGTCAGCTCGTCAAAATCATTCTCCGTCCAGCTTTGTTCTGTTGCTGGTGAGGAGCTGCGATCCTTTGGAGGACAAGAGATGGTCTGGTTTTTAGAATTTTCAGCTTTTCTGCCCTGGTTTCTCCCCATCTTTCTGGTTTTATCTACCTTTGGTCTTTGATGCTTGACCTACAGATGGGGTTTTGGTGTGGATGTCCCTTTTGTTGATGTTGATGCTATTCCTTTCTGTTTGTTAGTTTTCTTTCTAAGAGTCAGGTCCTTCAGCTACAGGTCTGTTGGAGTTTGCTGGAGGTCCACTCCAGACCCTGTTTGCCTGGTTTTCACCAGCAGAGGTTGCAGAACAGCAAATATTGCAGAACAGCAAATATTGCTGCCTGATCCTTCCTCTGGAAGCTTTGTCCCAGAGGGGCACCTGTATGAGGTGTCAGTTGGCCCCTACTGGGAGGTGTTGCCCAGTTAGGCTACACGGGGGTCAGGGACCCACTTGAAGAGGCAGTCTATCCATTCTCAGAGCTCAAACACCATGCTGGGAGAACCACTGCTCTCTTCAGAGTTGTCAGACAGAGACGTTTAAGTCTGCAGAAGTTTCTGCTGCCTTTTGTTCAGCTATGCCCTGCCCCCAGAGGTGGGGTCTACAGAGGCAGCAGGCCTTGCAGAGCTGCGGTGGCGTCCGCCCAGTTCGAGCTTCCCTTGCCACTTTGTTTACCTACTCAAGCCTCAGCAATGGTGGACGCCCCTGCCCCTGCCAAGCTGCTGCCTGGCAGGTTGATCTCAGACTGCTGTGCTAGCAGTGAGCAAGGGTCCGTGGGTGTGGGACCCACCAAGCCAGGTGCAGGATATAATCTCCTGGTGTGCCGTTTGCTAAGACCATTGGAAAAGCTCAGTATTTGGGCAGGATTGTCCTGATTTTCCAGGTACAGTCTGTCACAGCTTCCCTTGGCCAGGAAAGGGAAATCCCCCAACCCCTTGCGCTTCTGGGGTGAAGGGATGCCCCACCCTGCTTCGGCTCACCCTCCATGGACTGCACCCACTGTCCAACCAGTCCCAATGAGATGAACCAGGTACCTCAGTTGGAAATGCAGAAATCTCCATCTTCTGCATCGATCACGCTGGGAGCTGCAGACCAGAGCTGTTCCTATTTGGCCATCTTGGAATGGAATCAATATGGTTCTATTATATTGGATCTTTGACCTCACTAGCAACTTCTTCAGGCTGTTAAGGTTTTTCTAAGTTTCTGCTGTCAATATTCTCATTTTACTTTCTACTTTGGCAATTTCATCCATCTTTATGGCTTTGATTTTATTCCTATGACTGTGACTCCAAATCGTATCTCAATTCCAGATCTGCTATCTGAATTTTTGCCTGATCAACAACTTCACATATCTAATCACCTGTTGGACAGCTCCACCTAGAGGTTTTGCCAGTGAATTTATCAAAGTCCCTTCCCACCCTTGCCCTCACTCAAGCTAAGCTTTCTCCTGACTTTCCTGTTTCTGTTCAGGGCACTACTATCTTTCCAAGTTTTAGGTACCAAGCCTTAAGTCCAGGTTTGACTCCTTTTCCTTTTCTTCATATGCCATCAGTTGTTCAGATTTGCCAATGAAATCTTTGTATCACTTCTCTTCCCCATTCCCAGTATCAACTCCAAGTGGTTCTCTGGATCTCTTCTAGGGAAAGTTTTCTTCATGTGTGTCTTTATCTTCTGGCTCTTCCTACCAAGACATTTTTTAAAGTTGAAATATATTTTAGTCCAAAAATAAGTCTGGGAGGATATGATAAATTACACTAAATACTGGAGTTACGTGGAAGTCCGATTAATGGTCCCCATAAATGTCTATATCCTAATCCCTAGAACCTATAAATATGTTAGCTTATATAGCAAAGGAGAATTAGTGTTGCAGTGGAATTAAGGCGATTATTCTGGAATATCTGTGTGCGTACAATGTAATCACAAGTATCCTTTAAATATGGCAGAGGTAGGCCATAGAGGAGGTCAGAATCATCCCATATCAGAAGGACTAGACCAACCATTGCTGGCTTTGCAGATGAAGTGCAGCCGCACACCAAGGAATACTGCAACCTCTAGAAACTGGAAAATGCAAGGAAATTTTCTCCTAGAGCCTCCAGAAGGAATGCAATTCTGCCAAAACCTTGATTTTAGCATAGTAAGACCCATTTGGGACTTCTGATCTCTCAAGCTATAGGATAAACCTGTATTGTTTTAAGTCACTAAGTTTGGAGAAATGTGTTACACCAGTCGTAGGAAAGTAATGTTAGTGCTAGTGTCATAAAAGGAAGGAAGATATTCTCTAAACTGGTTAATTTTAGTATAATTAGGAAACTTTAAAATGGACATATTTAAGGCAGATGTTAGAAAAATAAGAATAATTTGGGCTGGGCACGGTGGCTCACGTCTGTAATCCCAGCACGTTTGGGAGGCCGAGGCAGGTGGATCACCTGCGGTGAGGAGTTCGAGACCAGCCTGGCCAACATGGTGAAACCCTGTCTCCACTAAAAATGCAAAATTAGCTGGGCATGGTGGTACACGCCTGTAATCCCAGCTACTTGGGAAGCTGAGGCAGGAGGATCACTTGAACCGGGGAGGCAGAGGTTGCAGTGAGCTGAGATTGTGCTATCGCACTCCAGCCTGGGCAACAAGAGCAAAACTCTGTCTCAAAAAAAAAAAAAAAAAAAGAAAAGAAAAGAAAAGAAAAATAAGAATGATTTGATTCATATAATAATTTATCAAAATTAGCTGCTAATATGTTACTGCTGAAGGTAATTAAAGGATGCCACATGAAATAGACAAGAGATCCTTGATTCAGAGAATATTTCCAAATTTGTTGAGTGTCATATAGTTGGAAGGCAAATAAGCCTTTGTATCAAATTATTTATGCTTTGTTTCCCTTACTAAAACAAAACTTACTGGAATGATGTATATGCCCATCAGAGTGTGTTAAATTCAACCAACATAGCTGTATTCAGAATTTCAATATCACTAGCTGTATCAGAAAGTTCACCTGTATAACCAGCTTCCCCTGGGGAAGACTGCCTTCCTATGTAATTTGATTTCCATAGTTACATAGAATGAGAACCTGGCCTCTTGAAAACAAGGTATTGATCTGGTAAGAATCTACCTTATTCTTATTCATGAAAGCTGTTTTTAGTTGTAAGCATGTAAGGTTCTGAAAAATCACCCTATTTTAAAGGACTATTAACTAAGGTTTGGAGTGATGATTGTTACCCTAATTTGGCATCTAACTTTTTGTAGATTGCCATATATTCAAGTTGTGTCATATTCTGCAAAAATAATATTAGTCATAGAGAGGTCAAGAAGTTCTGGCCCATCAGGTACTTGGGAGGATGAGGTGAGTGGATCGTTTGATCCCAGGAGGTGGCAGCTGCAGTGAGTTGAGATTGAGCCATAGCACTCCAGCTTGGGGAACAGAGTGAGATCCTGTCTCAAAAAAAGAGGAAGAAGAAGAAGCAGGAGGAGGAGAAAGAGGAGAAAGAGGGGGAAGGAGGGGAGGAGGGGAGGAGGGGAAGGGGGAAGGAGGGGACGAGGGGAAGGAGAAGAAGGAGGAAGAGAAGGAGGAGGAGAGGAAGGAGGAGGAGGAAAGAAGCAGAAGGAGGTGGAGGAGGAGAAGGAGAAGAAGAAGGAGAAGAAGAGGAAGAAGAAGAAGAAAAAGAAGAAGAAGGAGGAGGAGGAATAAAGAAAGAAGAAAGAAGAAGAAAGAAGATGAAGATGAAGAAGGAGCAGAAAGAAGAAGTCATCCCTGGCCTTGAACAGAGGCCCTGACTTTTTATAAACTGCAAAT
Organism: Homo sapiens; assembly: GCF_000001405.40. Taxonomy (NCBI): domain Eukaryota; kingdom Metazoa; phylum Chordata; class Mammalia; order Primates; family Hominidae; genus Homo; species Homo sapiens. The sequence continues at coordinate 87,137,025 of NC_000006.12, read as the reverse complement.
TTCAAGTGGGCCTTATCCCCTTTTGGTTTGTTGGTCTTTCAACAAGATACCTCTAACTCTAATTTACATAAGAGTGGATAGGAGAAGCGGGGTTGGGTGGGGAGGATAGCTCTCTGAGAACTTTTATGGAGAGGTTAAAATAATTACAGAGTTTATGAGCCCATGAAGTTTACTGTTAGTCCTACAGAACTTTCAATTTCTTGCAGAGATTTCTTTCTAAACTGTAAAATTTCATTCTATGCAAATTGTTTAGTCCCTTCTTTTCTTTTCCTTTACCCTATTATCAAAACATTCCCTGGAAAGTTTCCTTTATGATCTCATATATGCATATATATATACAGCACTAGAATTTCGAATAATACTGAGTTCAATTCAACGAGGATAATGTATAAAAATAATTGCTGCATGTTTCTTTAAATCCAGAGAGAGTGCTTCTAGTAATGTTGATGTGGTACCATGTCAATATATGCAAGCATAATTCTTTGTTTAAAACTTAGCCATGAAATTCCTCCTGGCAGATGGGTTCCAGAACCCAAAGAAGTAGTGCAGTTTGGACTATGATGGGACGATAACAGAATAAGTACCCATATTAAAGAGGATTATACCATATAGAAAGAGCAGGAATTCCCAGGCACTCTGCAAATAAAGAAGCTGATATGTAAAAAGTTTGAAGTCCTGGTATGGCAATAGCTCATTTCTATCATCTCTGTATATTCCCTGTACATGGAGTTGCCTGATTTTCATTACCAGGATTTGTAATTACTAGTCAGATTCTTTTAATGTTTGGGCCCATCTACAGTTCCTAATATCAATTAATAGCATATTCTAATTCTGGTGTTATAATTGATTTAATAACTTGACATTCAAGTTTTTACCTTTTCTCATTTTGGTTTCTTGACTTGGATGCAGTCAATTGTAATCAGATAACCAAATGCAACTTCATGTTTCATGCAGCTTTTTCTAAAGATATTAGTTTGGTACTGCTTTCCAGGAAAGAAAACTCCCTACTTTGAACTCTTTTATAAAGTGAAGGTTTTCTGTGTAAAAATCACACAAAATCCAAATTAGCTTGCTGTACTATAATACCAGAGGCAGAGTGAACATGGGAGAAACGGTTCTAAATGTTCATATTCTAGCAATATGCAATAAATAACTTTTTTCTGTATATTTCCTTGAATATTTTAGTCAATCGATATTGAGAATTGTATTTTTTCTCAGTAAAATAAACCAAAGCCTCTAAAAAATATTTCCCAAAAATACAAAATCAAGGATGAACTGAAACTCAATTTTAGTACGTGCTGTATTAGGTCCTTCGGGTTTTCGATCGATGATAAACATATGTATATTATTTGTTAAATGTCTATTGATTTCAGCCTTATGTTAAGAATCATTGCTTAGTGTAAAAATAATAGGTGTTAAATTATTTTTAATTTAAATAATTTAAAATGAAATGAATACAAATGAAAATGGTAAAATGGTAAAATAAAATAAAAATGGCAAAATGAAAAATAAATATAATATTTCTTTTTAAAAATATTAATAAGAATATAATGAATGTAATAAATTCCTCTTGTAACATAGTTGACTAGCGATAAGAAGAATGTAGGAAATATTAGGAGAAGAATGTAACATTAACCACTTTCTAATACAAAGCCTTATAACATATATCTTCAGCAGCTAAATTTACTTTCCTCCAGCTCTTCATATATAGATACTTTTCATTCACACAAATCTTTGTATTATTTACAACTAATTTATGGTATTGTGATGATGGAGAATTTAGCAAGAAAATATTAACTTCCTTCTCTAAATCTCCCCTGAGATTAACGACTTGCAAATAGATTCTTTGTCAGAGATGCAGTCTCCATTTTTTAACACCAAGATAACAGCTCCTTACACAGCTATCCTCCTACTTGATCAGGGACAAAATGTCACTTTTGCTGAAAGCAAACCACTGCTTTGACAGCAATCAAATGATCAAAATTTCACTTTACAGATATAAATTGTCGATGGATTTTTGTAGAAAAAAGTTGTGAGTTATGAATGAAGGAAAACTGAAGGAATTTAGGACAAACAATTTTGTGACTCATTCAAAAATAAGGATTTAAATGTATTGCTAAATCCTGTTTGTCAGAAGTATTATTTTAATAAATCCTTCAATAATTTTTAGAATACCTTTGACATTGAACCAAATTGCCATAATCTGTGACTGCACGATGTTTCCAAATACAGTCAGACCTCTGCATCTGTGAATCCCACATGTGTAGATTCAACCAACCATGGATTGAAAATATTTTTTTAAAAAAAGAATGGTTGTGTCTGTACTGAATATGTACAGACTTTTTTCTTGTTATCATTCCTTAAACAACACAACCATTTACACGGCATTTACATTGTATTAGGTATTATAATTAATCTATAGATAATTTAAAATATCCTGGAGGATATGCATAGGTTATATGGAAATACTACACTATTTTATTTTTTAATTAAAAATATATTTAAAAAATTTTTATTAGAACAGAGGTCAATGTGCATACACCATTTCATATAATGGATGAGCATCTGTGGATTTTGGTATCCTCAGAGGTGGGGGGCTGTCCTGAACCCAATCCCCCAGGGATACTGAGACATGACCATATTGATGGATATGGTCCTTCTCCATTTTCTTTTGTTCCCTTAACCCTTGCCAGTAGTTAGGCCACCATTGCCCCAATGTTCATCACAACAGAACCAAAGAACCAAGGTAGCGACTTCCTGTTTTTGTTTGTGTGATTGTTAATATTGAGTGTCTATTTGATTGGATTGAATGATGCAAAGTACTGATCCTGGGTGTGTCATTGAAGGTGTTGACATGGAGATGAACATTTGAGTAAGTGGACTGGGAAAGGCAGACCCACCCTTAATCTGGGTGGGCACAATCTAATCAGTTGCCAGCATGGCCAGCATAAAAGCAAACAGAAGAACGTGAAAGACTAGACTGGCTTAGCCTACCAGCCTACATCTTTCTCATGTGCTGGATGCTTCCTGCTCTTGAACACTGGACTCCAAGTTCTTCAGCTTTGAGACTTGGATTGGCTTCTTTGCTCCTCAGTTTGTGGATGTCCTATTGTGGGACCTCACCTTGTAATCGTGTGAGTCAATACTCCTTAATAAACTCCCCTCTATGTATACATCTATCCTATTGGTTCTGTCCCTCTAGAGAACCCTGTCTAATACAGTTTGCTTTCTCGCTTGCTTTTTAAGTTCAAATGTTCAGGTCCAAGTATAATACAGAAAATATAGGCAGTATAACATTTGACAAAATACCTAAGTGAGTTCCACTCTGCCCCCATCTCCCTTCATTTTGTTAAAGAAATAAATTATTCAATGACACATGTTAAAGATGTTATTCAGGACCATCATGATAGGTATTGAGACCACGGCACTGGGATTTTGCAATGGAGACAGATTGGTCTCAACTCTAAAGACAGTATGGACAAGTGGGAATTTATAGCCAAGGAGCAGGATGGGGTCAGTGGATGAAAAATTACTATAAGAGGAAATATCAGGGTGGTGAGAGGGATTCTCACTAAATAGACCTAAACAAGATTCTTGCTGAAGATAGGCCAGGGTGACTCAACATCACCTGAGGGATGGCAGAAGATGACAACCTGATCGGATAACAAGGGTGATCACATGTCAATAGTGGAGGGTTCTTGCTAAGCTGACTTAGGGTTCTTTGCTAAAACTGGATTTTGGAAGGAAGTACACAGATGGGCCTAAGAGAAGGTTCAGGAGCCTGGCTAAAGCAAGAAATCTTTGTCAATTCCTACCTGAGAGCAAATTAAAAAACCAAAAAACCTCTTCCTGTGCTGGAAGAGGGAGAGAACATTGGAAATAAAACAAAAGAGACCCCTAGAAAAGAGGCCTGCACCTCTCCAAACCAATCCCTGGATAGAGACAGGGATGATTTGATAGACTATTGAGATAAATTTAGGCATCTAAGAGTGTGTGTGTCTAGTGTCCTGCTTTTTGCCAGGAGGCCCTTTGGATCAGATGAGATGTTTAGGGTAGCCTAAACAATAAAGAGACTTCCAGGAAGAAGTTCAGTTGCACACAACTTGTTCTTTCATCCCTAACTCTATTTTAAAAACCGTACATAGCAGATACGTAATTAATGAACTAGAGCTATTTATAAAAATATCAATGAGGCCAGGTGCAGTGGCTCACGCCTGTAATCCCAGTGCTTCAGGAGGCCAAGGCAGGTGGATTACTTGAGGTCAGGAGTTTGAGACCAGCATGGTCAACATGGTGAAACCCTGTCTTTACTAAAAATACAAAAATTAGCCTGGGCCTGGTAGCGGGCACCTGTAATCCCAGCTACTCGGGAGGCTGAGGCAGGAGAATCCCCCCTGAACCCAGCAGGTGGAGGCTGCAGTAAGCTGAGATCGTTCCAGCCTGGGCAACGAGAGCAAAACTCTATCACAAAAAAAAAAAAAAAAAATCAATGAATTAAACAAATATTTATTGAATGTTATGTGTGATCATTTTAGAGAACTACAGAGGGAATAATATGTGGCCCATACAATCAATGTTTTAAGAGTCGTAGAAAGGAAAAATTCAGAGTACAATGAAGTAAGATTCATGGAGAAAGCAGGTCTTGGGTGGGAGGTGGCAACCTATTTAGTAAAAATAAAACAACTCCCCACTCTGAAAAAAAAAAAAAAGGCAGTCAAGGAAAGAATAGGTCTTCAAAAGGATGATCTTTTATTTCTGGAATCCCTTCTAGGCTAAACTCAATCACTAAAGCATGAAAGTATAAAAATGCAAAAGAATTAAAAACCAATAATAAATGACAAGTCTTATTCCTCTTAAGTTGTTCAATCCAGCAATGAGTAAAGAAATGCTCTTTGTTAAGGATTAATTGTGGATGTAGATATACTAAACGACTTCACTTCAGCAGGCAAAAGGGAATTACAGCTTTTTGTTTTTTCTCCTTGGTTAGTCTTCAGGCAGCAATGTTAAAAAACACCAAAATTATTCTGAAAAGTAAATTTCCCTAAAGAATCAAGTGCATTGCTTCTTATGTTAAGGACCAAGTGCTGCAGTTTGAGGGAATTTCTTGGGTGCTAAATTGTGAAATCATGGTGTGTGTGTGTGTGTGTTTGTGTGAGTTTCTTAAGAAAGCCCTTTCACTTATACCTCTTGGCTAAGCTTCTGTTGCTTCATTACTTCCTCCAGGTGCTTTTCTCAGAAAACATAACTATTTCATTACTTACTCTGAAAGGGTATTATGAAGCTGCTATGGAATAACTTGTGTCCCTTCGAAATTCTTATGTGAAGCCCTAACTCTCAGTGTGATAGTATTTGGAATGGAGCTTTGGACAGTAATTAGGTTTAGATGAAGTCATAGGGTTGGGGCCCCATGATGGGATTAGTGCCCTTATAAGAAGAGAGGCCAGATAACTTGCCCTCTTTCTCTCCCTGCCATGTGAGGATACAGCAAGAAGGCATCTTCTGCAAGCTAGAAAAAAGGTTCTTGCCAGAACCCGATCATACCGGCATCCTGATCTTGGATTCCAGCCACCAGAACTTCGAGAAAATGAATTTCTGTTGTTTAAGCCACACAGTCTATGGTATTTTGTTATGGCAGCCCGAGCTGACTAAGAAGCATTGCATTTGCCAGCAAGAGGATGCTTTCTGAATGTCAAGTGATTATTGACTTTTAGTCTACCGGAATGCATTATCATGAACATAAACTACTGTCTTTTACCACTTATATATCATCATGTCAGTGCTGGAGCTGAGTCTAATTACAAAATGCCAGTGGCAAAGAGACACCAATTGTTACTGTTTAAGAGAGTATAACTTAGACAGCAGAACTAGGCACAAATGAAAAAGAAGCCCTTAATGTTAGCTCAGAGATTAGGAAGCCTCACATCTCCCTGTGTAAGGGCCACACTTTTACAATTTGTACATATTACAAACTTTCTGTTTATGATAAACTTTACTTATTACCATATATACAGAGCTCAAGATGTTTTTGCTTGATGCGTATGTCTAGTTGAACAAGTATAAACCTGAAAAGCACTCTAATGCTTATGATTTGAGCTGCAATAGCAGACTCTATAGCAATGCCTTCTTGGAAAGTGTGGTGTAGAGAACCTTCAGAATGTTCAGACTGAATGACTCAATGAATCCCAGATTGGTTCAATGGCTTGAATCAGGTATGAGGGCATGTGTAGGAGAGAAACTGCTTGAGTTATCTAAGCCATTCCTAAGCCAGGAACATAAATTATCAGCCCCACCTTTTGGGGAAAGTCACATTATCTCATAAATTATGGTGACTGTGCTATATATACAGAATCAGGGGATGTCTGCATGAAAGTAATGACTAGAAGCTACTTTTGAAGACTTGTAAGGACAGTAATTTTTCTTCAAGTGCAAGTTCCCTTTATATGAAATTCTGGTATACTTAACCTCATTTCTGATTATGTGTTTTGGTAAGCATGAAAATTTTATTTCTAAAATAGGTTACTGATTGTTTTGGGGGGCAATTAAGAAAAGAGTGCTGTTACAGTGACTCAGGCCTATAATCCCAGCACTTTGGGAGGCCAAGACAGGCAGGTGGCTTGAGCCCAAGGGTTCGAGACCAGCTTGGGCAACATGGCGAAATCCTGTCTCTACAAAAAAATACAAAATGTGGCAGGGCATATTGGCATATGCCTGTAGTCCCAGCTACTCAGGAGACTGAGGCGGGAGGATCACTTGAGCCCAGGGTGGTTGAGGGTTCAGTGAGCCATGATTGCACCACTGCACTCCAAACCGAGTGACAGATGGAGACAGAGTCTCAAAAAGATAAATAAATAGGCTGGGCACAGTGGCTCACATCTGTAATCCCAGCACTTTGGGAGGCTGAGGTGAGCAGATCACATGGGGTCAGGAGTTCGAGACCAGCCTGGCCAACATGGTGAAACCCCGTCTCTACTAAAAATATAAAAATTAGCAGGGAGTGGTGGTGTATGCCTGTAATCCCAGCTACTTGGGAGGCTGAGGCAGGAGAATGGCTTGAACTTGGGAGGCGGAGGTTGCAGTGAGCTCATGCCATTGCACTCCAGACTGGGGGATAAGAGCGAAACTCCATCTCAAAAATAAATAAATAAATAAAATAAAACACAAAATACAAAATAAAAAGAGAGAATTAGAAATAGAAAATAAAAAGAGAGAATTAGAAATAGAAAATAGGAAAATGGCAAAAATATTGATGGCATATTAGGAGAACAAAAGTTTAGAAATTAAGCTAGAGAAAGAAAGATGAAAACAAATCCAACTCTGGGAACCACCCTGCTACATCTGTTAGAAGCAAGGAACTGAGATACCTCTAAAGGGTCAGGTGAACTGGGGACTGCCTTTAGGCCTACAGTGGGATTCTGGGGGCCAATAGTAAACAGTACTGGGTCATAAAAGCAGAAAAGCTTTAAATATTTGAATGAAGAAGCAGGCACACAAAAAGAATAACTTTTAGGATGTCTATTAACCTATAGAAAAGTTAAACAAGTTTACCAGCATTTCCTTGAAACTATAAGGAAAGCAGATTCTAAAAAGTTTCTCATAATCTGGAAATGTAAATGTAAATTAATTTATGGTGCTCGTCATTATCCATTTGAAATGTTTTAAAATCCAGCCTCAACCTCAGCCCTTATCTAATAGATCAAATGCACAGTGAAAGGATGACTGTATTTGACAGATGTTTTCAAATCTGTTCAGTTTCACTATATATATGTTTATTTTATATATATATGATATCCCCGAAAGGAGTTATGATATATGATATATATACCATATATAATATATATGATATACATGATATATGATATACATGATATCATATATGATATACATATATATGATATATACGATATACATATATATGATACATACGATATACATATATATGATACATACGATATACATATATATGATACATACGATATACATATATGATACATACGATATATATATGATACATACGATATACATATATATGATACATACGATATACATCTATATCGTATATATGATATACATATATATGATACATATGATATACCGTATATATGATACATATGATATACATATATGACATATATGATATAGATATATACGACATATATGATATAGATATATACGACATATATGATATAGATATATACGACATATATGATATACATATATACGACATATATGATATACATATATACGACATATATGATATACATATATATGACATATATGATATACATATATGACATATGATATACATATATGATATACATATATGATATACATATATATGACATATATGATATACATATACATGATATACATATACATGATATACTTGATATATATGATATACATGATATATATGATATATATGATATATATGGTATATATCATATATAGTACATATGATATATATCATATATACGATATATATCATATATGATATATACCATATATAATATATCATATATAATATATCATATGTATGATATATATGATATCTATATCTATGATATATATGATATCTATGATATCTATGATATATATATCATATATATGATACATATCATATCTATCATATCAATGATAGATATGATAGATATGATATATTATATATGGTATATATCACATATTATATATCATATATCATATATACCATATATATGATATATGGTATATATCATAATTATATATATCATATATGTCATATATGTATATCATATATGATAAATATCATATGTATGTCATATATATCATATATGATAAATATATGTATGTCATATATATCATATATATGATAAATGTCATATGTATGTCATGTATATATCATATATATGATAAATGTCATATGTATGTCATATATATCATATATATGATAAATATCATATGTATGTCATGTATATATCATACATATGATAAATATATGTCATATATAGCATACATATGATAAATATATATGTCATATATATCATACATATGATAAATGACATATATATCATATATGTGTCATACATGTGACATATATGTGACACGTATGACACATATGACATGTGACACATATATGACACATATATGTGACACACATATATGACACATGTATGTGACATATATATGACACATATATGTCATATATATGACACATGTCATATATAGATATATGTCATATATGATATATGTGATATATATCGCTATATATCACATATATCATATATATTGATATATATGATATATGTGATATATATATATATATACATATAAGTTAAACAAGTTTACCTAAACATATTGACACAAAGTAGGAGAAACATTATAAATGATCTCAATTTCAGACAGGATTTGCTGCTAAATGAGTCCAGGTCAGGTCAGGTTTTGCTGCCAAGTGAGTTATGAATGCATTTTCAGTTTTGGGAGAGTTTTAGACTTCAGATGTAGAACTGTGGGATTGCAAACCTATATTACTTTGTTTTTTAAAATGCCAAAACTCTGTTTTGGCTAAGAATTATTACAGAGTTGTGCCAAGTAATACTTTTTCAACTATAACTGAGGTCATAGAACCTGTTTTGCACAAAGTATAGAGTACAAAGGAGCAGTTATGGTATCCCCGAAAGGAGTTATGTAGACATTCCCCCAGAGCGACTCTAGGCACAGAACCATTGGGACAATTTTGTCTTGTGAAGCTGGTCATAGGAACACACTCAAAATTTCCACAACTTTTTCAAATGTCCTTGTTTCTGACAAAGTAGAGAAAGTAAGTAATCCTATTAGCACACATTTTTGGTCCCACAGATTGTCAGGAGATGAGAGTAGTCAATTATGGGATGCTTAGCCTATTCATTCCAGAATGCTAGCTCACTCCACCAAACTCCAGTTTGCCCCCGAACAGTTAACAGCATGTTCTGCTCAGGTTTCATAATGGGGTGTGTGTGTGTGTGTGTGTGTGTGTGTGTGTGTGTGTGTGTATTTGTTTACCAGTAGCATTCTCTCAATTTCTCTCTTTCAGTATTGCTCCCTTTCTCTCAATATCTCCCTCTCAATATCTCTTTCTCAATCTCTCTCTCTTTCTCAACAAGTTCCCAATTTTGCTGCTAGAAAAAATGGTTGCATTGGCTATTACCAAATGTCAGACTAGGAATAGGCATGCTTTTGACTATTTTGCCTTTTATTGGTTTGAAAATTGCAACTCAGCCTGCAATTATTTTAGCACAAACCAAATCAAAAGAAACATAAACACCAATACCAAACCATGGCATCCTAGATATACAAAGCAGAAGCATTTCAGGAAAAATCAATAGACTGAACAAAACAGAGAAACGGAAAATAGTAAATACAGGGAATGTGAGGAAAAATGGATGACAGCCTCCTAGAGTAACTGAATAGTGGCTCATAACAGAAAATAAAGATGGAAAAGCAGTGTGAGACCAGGCATGAACTGATGTGCATGGGCTAAAGTGCTCCCATTACTAATCTTTGTCACCTATGTGATAAATGTTAGGGGGAATAATATTTATGATAGCAATAGCTAATGTACATAGGTAAGTTTTTATGTGCCAGATATTATCTGGGTATTTTATGTAAATTAGCTTATTTACTTCCTACAGCAACCTTATGAAGAGGGTACTACTACTACCCACATTTTATAGGTGAAGAGACTAAAGCAAAGAGTAGTTCAGTAAACCTGCCCAAATTTGCAAAGCTAGGAAAGCATGCAGGTGGAATTCAAGCCCAGATAGCTTCTTCTGTCTTCACTGTTAACAACCATCATATTCCAGTGACAAAATAAGTGTGGGGACCAACTAGAGGAAGAGTCATTGTAGAACTAGGTTGCAGTGGAAGTGAGAATGCCTAGTGGGTTTTTTTTTTTTTGAGATGGAGTCTCGCTCTGTTGCCCAGGCTGGAGTGCAGTGGCACCATCTTGGCTCACTGCAACATCCACCTCCCAGGTTCCAGTGATTCTCCCACCTCAGCCTCCCAAGTAGCTGGGATTACAGGCGCGTGCACCACGCTTGGCTAATGTTTGTATTTTTAGTAGAGACGGGGTTTCACCATGTTGGCCAGCCTGGTCTTGAACTCCTGGTCTCAAGTGATCCACCCGCCTTGGCCTCCCAAAGTGCTCGGATTACAGGCATGAGCCACTGCGCCTGGCCCCTTTTGATGAAATGAAGTTTCTAAGATGGAGGTTGATATTCTTGCCTGCTGAGTTTAGAGCTCAGAGACTGTTAAATCTGGAGTTGTGGCAGCCACTTGCTATCACATGGACACTGTGCCTGCTACCACCACAACAGAAGAAAAAGTCAGGGTGTGGAGAGAGGCCAAACTTCGAAAATAAGACTTGAGTCTTGAATCCAGTCATGTCCAAACTCTCTCTCTCACTCAAGGTTTTAGTTGTGTGAGCCAATAGATTCCCTTTAACAAACTTCATTTGTATTGGGTCCTTTGTCATTAAAAAATGTACTAACAAATACAGGGTAAGAGTTTGGAAGAGAAATAAGTTTGGTTTCAACGAGTCATGCTTGAGGTTGTTAGTAAAACAATAACTGGAGATGTTCCATAGATACTTGGGAATATAAACTAAATGAAAGCTCACATGCGGAGATGCCTGTTCAGAGACTCCTTCAACAGTTAGAGTTGATTACAAAGAGGCTAATTGAACAATGAGTGTGAGTAAACTCTACAACTCGGGTGGTTGTACAGTTGAGTGGAAAATCAAAGACGGAGCTCCAGGGAAGTGTTCTTAATATTTTCAAAATACGTGTGCCCGGTCAATAACATTTTTAAGAAAATTTTCCAACGTAGGCTTAAGTAGTTGCAAAGTGTATAATTTCCTGCCTATTCTGACATTTTAAAGTAAAATGGTTATATCACTCTGTTAAATATATCACATGAAATCCAAAAGCTGTACCAATTTAATATTTATCATAAACCATTAAAAAATACATAAGTAAACTCTTCTTTAACATAGAAATGCACATCGTCAGCTTTTTTCTTGAACTCATTTCAATTATATTTCCCTAAAGTATAATTTTACCCTAAAGTAATGTATTTTAATGCTTAGAAATCTTTAATAAATCATTTTATACTTCTCTGCCACAAAAATATGTATAAAAACCGAACCTAAGACACTTTCATTTTCTGTGATTGTAGGGCTCTATGCTAAAAATGCTTTTCTAGATTGAGGTTTTAAAATGATTTTCAGTACCAATATACCAAAACAATGTATATATGTTATGATTTGGTAACTAATTATTAATACAAACCATTTTGGAAATGCATGTGGAGATAGCTGTTAGTTACATCATTGTTACCTCTATGCCACCTGCAGTGGTAATAATGATAATAGGAATAATAATAGAAGTAGTTAACATATATTGACATTTATTATGTGCCAGGCATTGTCTAAATCCTTTTCCTTTTAGTTTACTTACTCTTCACAGCAATACTATGATGTGGCGACTCTTACTACCCACATTTTAAGTCTGTCTGTGGATTACTATTACTTATGATTACTTCTCACTAGAAGAAGACGGGATTTTCAGTATCGATTCTATTTTTTAATTTTAATGATGTACAATCTGAGAAATCTTTACTCCCATAAGTAACTAAGGGGAATAGAAGGTTTTATTGTGGCAATATTATTCAATTTTTAAAACTTCGTTCAAGTTATGTGCTAAAAAATTGTATTTTTATTTTATTATTTAATTTTTAATTTTTTGTTTATTTTTATTTATTTATTTATTTATTGAGACAGGGTCTCACTCTGTTACTCAGGCTGGGGTGCAATGGCACAGTCACGGCTCACTGCAGTCTCAACCTGTCAGGCTCAAGCGATCCTCCAACCTCAGCTTCCTGAGTAGCTGGGACTAAAGGCAAATGCCACCATGCCTGGCTAATTTTTATATATTTTTTTTGTAGAGATAGAGTTTCACCATGTTGCTTAAGCTGGTCTCAAACTCCTGGGCTCAAGCAATCCGTCCACCTTGGCCTCCCGGAGTGTTGGGATTACAGGAGTCAGCCACTGCGCCAGGCCGCATTTTTATTTTAAATTATCTCATTGACAACACAATTAGGTGCTCCTTCAATTATGTTGAAATCATGGAATTAGAAACTACCTAACTTGCAAATATATTTGTTGCTCAGTCATTAGAGTAATTTCATTTCTGGGAAGTCTCCCAAAGAGGCTTCACTAAGAGTTATCAGATGATTATTAGTTCCTCTTACTCTTTCACTCAGAGGCATCTCAATATACACAGAAAATGCTAGGAAAATCTAAAAGTTGTTAGTTCACCTTTGCAAATATAATATTTCACCTGATATGTGATTTACTTATTTTTGGTAAAATTCTTGGAGCTTCAGGGTTAGTTCATTCAATCTATGGAAAACATCCAAAGTGTAAAATAATTGGCCAAACCAGTCGTTTTGTCAAACCAATGAGCCAAATCATACTTTCCTTTTTTTTTTTTTTTTTTTGAGAATGGGTATCACTCTGTTGCCCAGGCTGGAATGAAGTGGTGCGATCACAACTCACTGCAGCCTTAATCTCTCAGGCTCAAGCGATCCTCCCATCTCAGCCTTCTGAGTAACCGGGACTACAGGCATTTATTTATTTATTTATTTATTTATTTTAGAAATGGAGTCTCACTATGTTGCCTAGGCTGGTCTTGAACTCCTGGACTGAAGCAATCCTTCTTCCTCAGCCTCCCAAAGTGCTGGGATTACAGGCATGAGTCACTGTGCGGAGATTCACGCTTACTTTCCATCAGAATAAAAAAAAAGACTTCATTTTTGAATGAAATATATGAGTTAATATACATCCCAATAATTAAAATCTTCCTTCCTAATTTTAAGACCAAGATAAATATTTAGGTAAGTCATGAAGCTTTGGCAGGAGTTTGTTACAGAATGAAATAACGGACTGCCACTTGTCTGAGTCTCTTTTCTTCCGAGAAGAATCTATTGTTTAGGGTAATGCATTTTGTGATTATGTGTAGAAGTTGGAAGAGATGAGGTTGTTGAGCAAAACTGCCATGATTTTTGCGGCCCCACTCAATCATACATCTATGGTTCACTATGAATAGAAACAGATTGGCTGCCCGTAGCTTCCCAGCCCGAGGCCCGGGGGGCGCGCACCTCTGTTCCGGCGCGGGGCGGGCCCTGGCGGAGGGACTGGCGGGTCCCTTCCTCCGCGCCGGCCCCAGGCCCGCCGCCGCCGCCGCCGCGCTGCGAGACCCCATTCCCGAGCTACCGCTGTTGTCGCTCACTCGGCGCCTCCCTCCCGGACGCCCTCTCCTCTGGACGATGGCGCGCGGTGGCCGCAGCCGCCGCCTGGGGCTAGTCCTCGGGCTCGTCCTGGAGATGCTGCTGGCGCTGGTGCTGGCCTGCGGGCGCTGCGGGCCAAGCCCACCGTGCGCAAGGAGCGCGTGGTGCGGCCTGACTCGGAGCTGGGCGAGCGGCTTCCAGAGGTCAACCGGAGCTTCCGGTACCGCCATGAGGCCTTCCTGGGCAAGGAGGACTCTAAGACCTTCGACCAGCTCACCCCGGACAAGAGCAAGGAGAGGCTGGGGAAGATTGTTGATCGAATCAACAATGATGGAGATGGCTTTGGCACTACTGAGGAGCTGAAAACCTGGATCAAACGGGTGCAGAAAAGATACATCTTCGATGATGTCGCCAAAGTCTGGCGGGATTACGATAGGGACAAGGATGATAAAATTTACTAGGAAGAATACAAACAAGCCACCTATGACCTAGGAAACCCCGCGGAGTTTCATGATTCTTCAGATCATTACACCTTTAAAAAGATGCTGCCGCGTGACGAGAGAAGATTCAAAGCTGCAGACCTCGATGGCGCCCTGACAGCCACTCGGGAGGAGTTCACTGCCTTTCTGCATACCGAAGAGTTTGAGCATATGAAGGAAATTGTGGTTTTGGAAACCCTGGAGGACAACGACAAGAACGGTGATGGGTTTGTGGATCAGGATGAATATATTGTGGTTATGTTTTCCCATGAGAATGGCTCTGAGCCAGACTGGGTTTTATCAGAACTGGAGCAATTTAACGAATTCCGGGATCTGAACAAGGACCGGAAGTTGGACAAAGACGAGATTCGCCACTGGATCCTCTCTCAAGATTATGATCATGCACAGGGTGAGGCCAGGCATCTAGTATATATGAGTCAGACAAAAACAAGAATCAGAGGCTAAAGAGGAAATATTGGAGAACTGGAACATGTTTGTTGGAAGCCAAACTACCAATTATGGGGAAGATCCCACAAAAAATCATGATGAGCTTTGATAGACACTCACCAGAATATGCCAGACTGTCATAGGCGTTGTTATTGTCTTGGATGGTTGCTACAATTGTCTAATTTACAGCAGTTGTGTTCCTAAAAAAGCAAGTTTATACCTCAGATTGGGGTATAAAAATTGTTTTTCACTCAGTATTTACTGGAAAATGGACATTACTATTCTTTCAGTAAGATTTCTCTCAAAACACATGAAAACCTTGGTAAATTGCAGTTCTCTCTGGGGATATATTGGTACAGCATGACTTTTTAAAAGTTTTTTTTTTCAGCTGGGCGTTCTGGCTCGAGCCTGTAATCCCAGCAATTTGGAAGGCCGAGACGGGCAGATCACGAGGTTAGGAGTTCAAGACCAGCCTGGCCAACATAGTGAAACCCCGTCTCTACTAAAAAAATACAAAAAAAAAAAAATAGCCAGGCGTGGTGGCGGGCACCTGTAGTACCAGCTACTTGGGAGGCTAAGGCAGGAGAATCACCTGAACCTGGGAGTTGGAGGTTGCAGTGATCCGAGATTGCGCCATTGCACTGCACTCCAGCCTGGGCGACACAACGAGACTCTGTCTCAAAAAACAAACAAACAAAAAACAAAAAAAACCTTTTTATTATTTTTTTTTAAATTAAAACTTAAAGGGGAACAAAACTTGAAAAAGCTCTGTTCTTCAGAAGTTGGGTGGGTTGGGGGAGGCAGTAATATGAAGTGACTACTATGTATTTTAACTACCAGATTTTATATATTTACCACTGTTAACTAGTTGGAAAGTGGAAATTCTGATCAAAAGTGGTATCATCCTAGGTAAGCTTATTTCAGAATAAGTCTAATATTTCAGATTCTTCCTTCTCGACTTTATACTCTGAGCTGTTACTGTAAGTGATGTGTATGAAACCTCCATGCATTTTCCAGGATGGACCTGCTAATATGCACAATAAATCCATGTCTTTGTTTTTCTACTAAAAAGCAATCAAGAAAGATAATGTGAAAAAGAAAGGAATTTAGAGGTAGGGAAAAAGATGAATGTCATACATTTGAAGAACTATAGGAAAATTATAAACACTAAATATACTTGAGAAAACTTTCTTGATATGCCAGTGAGGTAGGCCTGATCTTTGAAATAGTGAATAGGAATACAATGCGTTTCCTCGATGATCACTGATTAGAAGGAGGTGGTGGGATCCTTGGGAAGCCAAATGTAGTAAAGTTCTGGATCATGTCCCATCTAGTCCAGTGAATCCACGACCCTCGGGCCTCTCCCCCAAGAACAGCTTATGCTATGGAATGAGGACAAGGTGATACTCTGAGTCATGGACTGAATTGGCAGACACAACCTGTACTTATTAAAATTCCACCTTGTAAGGAGGAGGTGAATGAAATAAAGGATCCCCCTAAGGATTTAAAAAAAAAAAAAGAGAGAAATAGGTTTAAGACAGAGAAAAATGCTAAGACCTACTGTGGGTTTATGGTGTCCTCATTAAAGATGTCTTCATCCCATTATCCTCAGCAAACTAACACAGGAACAGAGAACCAAACACAGCATGTTCTCACTTACAAGAGGGAGCTGAATGATGAGAATACATGGACACATGCGGGGGAACAACGCACACTGGGGCCTGTGGGGAGGGGGTTGGTGGGGGGGAGGAAGAGCATCAGGAAGAATAGATAGTGGATGCTGGGCTTAACACCTAGGTGATGGGATGATTTGTGAAGCAAACCACCATGGCACTTGCTTACCTGTGTAACAGTAAGCACACGTACATCCTGTACACGTACCCTGGAACTTAAAAGTTGAAGAAAAAGAAAAAAAAGGATGGCTTCATCAACACAGATATTTTGAATTCTCCCTATGTTTTCACTCTAGAATTTTCATTCTCAAGGCGATTCAATACAGTCAGTTTTGGAATGCATGAAAGACATGTCTTTCTTTTGTAATTGAAAATGCAACTGTGAAAGGTGAGGGGAGATAGGAAGAAAGATAGGAAGAAAGAACAGGCATATACTAGGTCAAGTTTTCTATAACTAATGTATGCCTTCTTATTAGTGAACTTTTTGTTTGTTTGTTTGCTTGTTTTTGAGATAGTCTCACCCAGGCTGGAGTGCAGTGGTGCACCTTGGGAGGCTCGCTGCAACCTCCGCCTCCCAAGTCCAAGCGATTCTCCTGTCTCATCCTCCTGAGTAGCTGGGACTACAGGTGTGCACCACCAGCCCGGCTAATTTTTGTATTTTTAGTAGAGAGGACATTTCACCACGTTGGCCAGGCTGGTCTCGAACTCTTGGCCTCAATCAACCTGCCCGCCTCAGCCTCCCAAAGTGCTGGCATTACAGGCATAAGCCACCACATCTGGCCTTCTATTAGTAAACTTTGAAAGGTCAGTTGATACCTTGTGTGGTTCCAAAAAGGTTTTAACAGCTTAAAAAGCTACAAATAATAAAGCAAAATAAAATGAGGGAACCAGAGTAAATGGAACATCAGGGTTTAGGAACGCTTTTACACTGTTGGTGGGAATGTAAATTAGTTCAACAATTGTGGAAGACAGTGTGATGATCCCTCAAGGATCTAGAGCCGGAAATACCATTTGACCCAGCAATCCCGTTACTGGGTATATACCCAAAGGATTATAAATCATTCTACTATAAAGACACATGCACATGTATGTTTATTGCAGCACTGTTCACAATAACAAAGACTTGGAACCAACCCAAATGCCATCAGTGATAGACTGGATAAAGAAAATATGGCATATATACACCATGGACTATTATGCAGCCATAAAAAAGAATGAGTTCATGTCCTTTGCAGGGACATGGGTGAAGCTAGAAGCCATCATTTTCAGCAAACTAACACAGGAACAGAAAACCAAACACCACATGTTCTCACTCATAAGTGGGAGTTGAACAATGAGAACACATGGACACAGGGAGGGGAACATCATACACCAGAGCCTGTTAGGGGGTTGGGGGAAAGGGCGGGGAGAGCGTTAGGAGAAATACCTAATGCATGCAGGGCTTAAAACCTAGATGAAGGGTTGATAGGTGTAGCAAACCACCATGGCACATGTATACTTATGTAACAAACCTGCACATTCTGCACATGTATCCCAGAACTTAAAGTAAAAAAAGAAAAAAGAAAAAAAAAAAGAAAGTAACATAAAGCTAAGAGCAAGTTTGGAGCACAGAACATAGTGAGAGGCCCTTCATTCTCTTGTTAAGTTCAGGCCATAACTGTGAGTACAGTAGTCCCTTCTTACCCACGATTTCATTTTCCATGATTTAATACTAAAGTAAATCATGATTTGAAAATATCCAATGGAAAATTTCAGAAATAATTCATGCATTTTAAATTGTAGGCTGTTCTGAGCAGTGTGGTGAAATCTCCTGCCATCGCACTCTGTCCTGCCCGGGATGTGAATCATCCCTTTGTCCAACATAAACACGCTGTATATGCTACCTAGTCATTAGTCATTTAGTAGGCCACTCAGGTATTAGTTAGGAATGACTGGGAGCACAGTTCAGAATCCTAACAAGGCAGCCACCTCACCTCTGCACAGAGATGCCTGTGGCAACACCTTTGCAGAGGGCAAGATTCTTCTCCAAAAGTAATATGTGATGAGCTCTAAAACACAGATAAATGAGATCTCAGAAGGTCAAATTCCATCACTCTAATCATGTCCACAATTATTTTACCTTGGAAAAACTTTGGGCAACTATAATTGAACATTGGCCTTAGCCATAAAACTATTTCAGAAAAGGAACCACAGAGTGTATAACTTTAAGAAATATAATTTCCTGGTGAACATATTAAGTTAAAGTGTAAAATATTGATAATGGACTTATGGAGTTGTAAATTATGAACCAGTTTACTGTTGGGTAATAGTGAACAAAAATAATGGTTTAATTCTAGAGTACTTGGTCTCTAGCTCCTTTTTGGGAAGTAATGGGATAGGAAGGTTGATTCTCTCTTAAAGCCAATCTTGGAGTACTTGAAATAGAGGCATGTCATCTACATATAAAAGAATATCTTCCTTATTTTCAGAGTAGGGTCATATATCTAAATCATAGTGTCAAATAATAAAGGTAATGTAAAAGAGTGAATATTACAGATTCCTATTTTGCCTCAATGGAAATTGTTAGCTGATACATGAAGAAACCACTTCCCCACCTCCAGAATAATGCTTAAGCAAATGCAAATATATACAGATTCTAAATGGGCATCAAAAGCAAAACAAAACAAAATTTTAAAGTGAGTTTATTCACTGTGACCAATAATTCATTTTGTCCTCTAAGTCAAAGGAGTAGAAGATAAATGAAAGCCTAGAAAATTATTATATGATTTGTAACAGAGCCAGTAACACTTATCAATTGTTTCATTTGATCCTCTTGCATTTTCCAGCCCCCTTGTAGTTAGTGAGCTCATGTGACTAGCTTTGGTCAATAAAATGAAAGCCAAATTGATCTTCAGGCAGAGGTAGTAAAAAGTCTATGTATAATTTTCTAGTCTCTTTTTTCTCCTGATTGAGGAAGTTGTGTATTCCCTATGGGGCATCTACAAGTTGGTGGGCATTGGCCAACTTAGGTCTCTGAGTGACTACGTGGAGCAGGGACTTTTGCTGACCTGTAATAGACATGTATAATGAGCAAGAAATAAATTTTCACTATTGGCCAGGTGTGGTGGCTCATGCCTGCAATCTCAGCACTTTGGGAAGCTGAGGTAGAAGGACTGCTTGAGTCTGGGAGTTCGAGACCAGCCTGGCCAACATAGTGAGATTCTGCCTCTACAAAAAATAAAAAAGTTAGCTGGGCATAGTGGAAAATGCTGTAGTCCTAGCTACTCAGGAGGCTGAGGTGAGAGGATTGCTTGAGCCTGGGAGTTTGAGGCTACAGTGAACTGTGATCTTGCCACCATATTCCAGCCTGGGCTACAGAGCAAGACCTAGTCTCAAACAAAGCAAAACAAAACAAACAAACAAACAAAAACTTTAACTATGTTAAGACACTGAGAATTCAGGATTAATTTGTTACTACCATATAACCCAGTCTATTCCAACTAATACAGTTTTTGTAATAGATTTCTCCACAAGATAATAAGAGAGGTTAATAATGTTAATAAGGAAATAGCTTTATCTAAAGAATGCCTGATCCTCATGGTGAACCTTGGTTTGAGAATCCTAGCATTAGTTTAAAAAGCATGGAGCTAGAATACACATTGGAAGAAAGATATAATAAGCTAGTGGGTTAAAAAATTCCCCTTTACAAAATGGGAATAAAGCATTTCTGGGATCTAAACTCACAGGTTTATGTGTGTAAAGTTAATAAAGGTAAACAAGGTAGCATGCATTTAAAGCAATGCTTAAGGCATACCAATTCTAGGTCAGAAAATGTTGCGCTATTCTTTAATTCATTTAGGTTGTGCTTTTAAAGTGAGTATACTACATGTGAGAACAATGCTGATATCCAGTCAGAGAGCATTCTGGGAGGGGAAAAGTCTGAGTTTGGGTTTAAACCTTTGTAAAATGACGATAACATTTTCTATCTTTCAGGGTAGTTATGAGACATAATTATATCAACATGATACATACTAACTGCTTAGTCTATCTGAAGGAAAAACAAGCTTTCTTTTTTTCTTTCTGCTATACTGTCACAGTCAACACAGAACACTTATGTGACCAGATGTGTGAGGGGTTTCCCCCGCAACATATCCAACAGACACCAGCTGGGTGTCCTATGATTCAATTCAATTCTGACACTATCTATCTGGAGATCTCACAGGCTAAGAGCTCAGCCCACACTTCAGATGCCAATTACAAGCAATAGGTTATCATGTACACTCCTAACCAACTTTGTATAACCTGAGGTTCCCATGCTTCTCCTCCTTGGGTTTAACAAATTTGCTTGGATGTGTCAACCTAAATAACACACAAAAAGAGGCTCTCTAAGAGAAAAAGATATTTATGTGGGGATAGAGCATTGTAATGGGAATATGCATGCCATAGTAAATTATGTGCATATTCAAGGATGTAAAGGAAGACAAAGGTTTTTAAAGTAAAAAAATGAGGGGGATTACATCATTGTTTTGAAATAATTATACTTAGCTAGAAGGATCAAAGACAAGGGTGACACCGGTCTGAGGTTGAGCAAGCAGTTGCTGGGCAGATGTCCTTGCAGAAGCCTTTTTTTGTGTATGGTTGTGATGGTCTTATGCAAAGAGGTAGTTTTTGCAGAGTCTTTTGTGATAGCTTTTGTTATTATCAGATATAAAAGCATGAAAACCTCTCTTCATGGCTCTATTTGTCAGGCTTTTTGTTTGTTTAAACGTTAGTGACTTCATTTTGATTCTGATAACTTTCACATTTCCTCCTTTCGGTCAAGATCTTTGTCCAAAAGCATCACTCACTGATCAATCATCCTGTAGGTAGGTCTTAATGTCCCTTGGTGCTGGGATAAACCTGTCCTGGTTGTGGGGAGTGATTGGTGACTAGGAGTCAGTGTCAAAACCCTTTTAGCCATGTTTTAGCAATAAAGAAGGTTTGAAGGGAGTGGCTCTCAGGTTAAGTCTACCAGGAATCCATTATTAAGTTTAATTTTGTTTTTTCTGTAGCATTTTGTTATCATCTCAAAGTGCTGGGCCTTCTCTTTTTGTTAGGAGTTGTACTTCTGCAAAAATTTAACAAGTAACGGACACAAAGTTTAAAAAGGGAACATACAAAGTAAAATTAATAGTAATATGACAGTTGTAGTTTGCATAATGATTTTGAGCCATGAACCTAGGCTTAAAGATAACAAATTGAATACATCAAATTACCATAGAGAATTAAGTGAGACCTGTTGTAACCATGTGGCCTGTTTTCTTATTTTGTGTACATGGGTCTCAACTTTTCCGCAGAAATTTTTCCAGGTACAGCCTGTAGTATTGGCAATAGCACAGACATTTTCTTATTTAACCAATGAATTGGTTAAAATTCTTAGAATAGTTTCTGTTAAGTTACTAGCAGAAGGTATTGATTGTAAAATTTCAATTACGCTGTTATACTGCCAAGTAAAAAGGTAGGCATTAAGTGGGATAAGACTCTCATTGTGTTATAAAGTTTTATTCCAACATCTTGGGGGAAATCTGTCTATAGTATGAAAATGTCAGCTTCTCTGGCTTTGCAGTTTGAATGTGTCTGATCATAACTTTGGGTGATTTGTTGAACTTTGGTGTGGCCCATCGATCAGACATGAGGCTTGTTTTCTGAAATTCATCTAGTTTCAGCTTATAGGGATTTAGGAAAAGAAAAGTTTTCTGTGTTTGTTTTTAGTTGGAAAGTTGTAGCCTAATATTGAAGGAAATGAGGAGAATTCAGGATCTACTCAAGTCTACAGGTAGACAAAAAGAACCTGAAAACAATGCACAGAGCTACAATCTAATAACAGGTTTATTATAGTTTTTCTTTAGAAACATACCTTTTTCTCTCTACATTGATCATATAGGGGTTTTAGACTTAAAAACTTCTTGATGCTAGGAAGCCAAACCAAAGCAGACTTTAGATTTTACTTACAGTCTTAAGATTATTTGGACTTCCATGAAGTGATAATCTTAACTACAGTAAAATTGTGAACTCTGGAAGCCAGATGTTTTATGCACCTTCTTAAATATGACATTTTAGCCAAAGCCTTGGTAGTAAAACCAATGTTTCCAATTGTATCCTGCTTATAAGGAGAGGACAGTTCTTTTTTTTAATTGAACTTATGGAAACAATCATATGATAAAAAATAAGAATACTTATGAATAGTTTCTGAATTTTGGAGTAATTAGATGGGAGAGAAAGCAAGTGCTTACATCTTTGTTCACAAAATAATTTTGTGAACAAAATTATTGTTCACAATAATTACCAAATTATTGTAAACTATAGATAGCTAGCTTATGAAAAAAAGCTTCCTTAAATTTGAAAACAAAATATTTAAGTGAAGAACCAAAAGTGTTTTAAATAAATCATAAAAACATTATTTTGATCAGTTAATTAATTAATTTTACATAATTAATTTTTTGTTTCGCTTGATCTTGATTAGCAGTTTTATGAACCCATCAATCTCTTTATTAGAGTTCTGGAAATATGTTTTCAGTCCAATGATTTTAAAGTTATCAGAAATCTGTGCTCAAGAGTACTTGCTAGAGTCTTTTCCATAAAAAGCAAGTTTGGTCTGTCATTGGTTGCAAATGCTTTTAGAGAATAATTCAAAACAATAACCATGGATGACAAATATTTAGAATATCCACGGTTAAAATTTCATAAAAGTTCCATATAATGAGGAAATTTAGATATTCCAATTACATGCAGCATTTTAAGATGATAACCAGTATCATGACTGACAGTCACATCAGGAACATCAGACTTTTATAAATTTCATATAATCTTTAGAATACTCAAATTAATAACATATTCATACAAATAAAACTTTTAAAAAGATTTAACATAACCAAATTATTACTGATAACATATTAGATTCTTATGAATTTGCATAATTTTTTTTTTTGAGACAGAGTCTCACTCTGTCACCCAGGCTGGAGTACAATGGCGGGATCTCGGCTCACTGTAACCTCTGCCTCCCGGGTTCAAGTGATTCTCCTGCCTCAGCCTCCCGAGTAGCTGGGATTACAGGCACGACACCACGCCTGGCTAACTTTTGTATTTTTTACTAGAGATGGGGCTTCACCACGTTGGCCAGGCTGGTCTCAAACTCCTCACCCAGGTGATCTGCCCGCCTTGGCCTCCCAAAGTGCTGGGATTACAGGCGTGAGCCACTGTGCCCAGCCTGAATTTACATCATTTTTGAAACATAACCATAAATATAAACGAAAGAAGATCTAGTATCACTTATCATTTGACGATGCCTCCCATTCAATTTACCAAATAAGCCTAATCATTTACTATCTCTGGAAATGAGAGATACATTCTTTGATGCTTTCCAGGGACCCAACTGGAAAATTCCAAAGTTAATTACAGGCCAAAACCACTTAATTTAGGATTTTGATCCTGGGGAACCCTGCCAGAGATGTCAAAATGTTCACAACACTTGATCAAAACAGTCACAGGTCACTGTAAAATAATACTTATTCATTTAACTGGAGTAATAACCAAAAGAATTCAAAAGTAATACAGAAAATTGCATGGCTATGAAAACCTTACCCTTTTAAAGTTCAGTTTTCCTAAGAAATCACAAACCTTAGCTGGGCATGGTGGCTTATACCTATAATCTGGAAGGCCAAAGCAGGAGGATTGCTTGAGCTCTGGAGTTAGAGACCAGCCTGGTCAACATAGTGAGACCTCATCTCTGAAAACAAAACAAAGCAAAAACAAAAACAAACAAACAAAAGAAAACAGCCTGGTGTGGTGGTGTGTGCCTGTAGTCCCAGTTATTTAGGAGGCTGAGGTGGGAGGATCACTTGAGCCCAGGAGATCAAGGCTGCAGTGAGCCATAGTCATGCCACTGCACTGCAGCCTGGGTGAAAGAATGAGACTCTGTCTCAAAAGCATAAAAAACAAAAAAACCGAATAAAGACAAAGACAATACAGGAAAATATCTTCATAAAACTTAAAATATTTGTGTTTTTTTTTTTTTTAGGCCACTTACCAAAAAGGTAAAGAAAAACCTCTCGTGGTGTGATTGCTTCTACATATGGGAAGCCCACTTAGATGACCTGGAAATCAAACCTGATGAAAAGTGTACTTGACTTTAATCAGACACAGGAAGAATGTGTCTAGAATTATGTGTGTACCCTACATTATAGAGTAATGTAAACAAAAAACTAATACCTTAAGGAGGCAAATAGAGTAACAACATAGGAAGTTTCCTAGTTATATGGAACAATTCGAACACATCAAGAAAAGCCAAGAGTGCAGAATCAAGTTATACTGGAGGAAAATATTGCTTTTCCAGGACTTCAGGGTAAGCATTTTAGTGTCAGGCTATAACAGCAGAATAAGAACCAGAGGAAAAAAAAAAGAAGATAATGAGAGTTAACAAAAAAGTTGAAGGAGATAGTTATCACCTCAGCCAAGCAAAACAAGATACCTATTGAAGGGGAAAAAAACTAAAGGTATGATGTATGACCTGCAAATCACATGCAGCAAGGTACAGGAAAAGTTGAACTTCTGAGATATAAATCTGAGATGCTTCCAAATTTTTTTTACCTTAGTAAATAAAATAAGCATTCCAAATAACAAAGACAGTATTTTCAACTGAAACTAGAGAAATTAAAACATCTCAGAAAGAAATCTGGCAGAAATAGAAACTGTCTATAGTTTAGAAGATGCCTGTTAAAGAAACAGATTTCAGAATTAATCAAAACCTCTTTTAATTTTACTAAGAGCAAATCAATACTTTGAGGAAACCTTGTTGTTCTAACATAGGGCGACTAAATTTTTTGTTTTCTATTAGTGTATGGTTACCATCAAAGCTCAATCTACAGAAAGACTTCTAAATAATTCCTTTCTAATTAATTATAGCCAACTAGATTACACACAAATTTAAAAAATAGGGCTCAGTGGCTCACGCCTGTAATCCCAGCACTTTGGGAGGCTGAGGTGGGTGGATCACCAGGTCAGGAGATTGAAACCATCCTGTCCAACATGGGGAAATCCTGTCTCTACTAAAGTACAAAAAATTAGCCGGGCATGGTGGTGCATGCCTGTTGTCCCAGCTACTTGGGAGGCTGAGGCATGGGAATCTCTTGAACCTGGGAGGCGGAGATTAGTGAGCCAAGATCACACCACTGCACTCCAGCCTGGTGACAGAGCAAGACTCTGGCTCAAAAATAAATAAATAAATAAATAAATAAATAAATAAATAAATTCCCCCTGCATTAACCTTATTATGACTTACTCAGATGACTGATGACATGCTTGGATTTTCTGCTTTGTTCTACACTTCCTCTTTCTTAGATGACCAGTCATTTTATTTTAGGACAAACATTTACTACACAAAAATCTTCCTTGTACAAAATGATTCTCTCTTCTTTTTAACTTTTATTACCAAAAATACATCTTCATATCCACAACTTTGTTCACATCTCTCTCCTACTTATTGACTTCTTTCTATCTTGTTTCTATTTATTTCCTATATCCAGAGTTTGGATGTAGGAGACTATTTAAATAGCCTGTGAATTAGACAAAATTATTCTTTTTTCCCTCAATAAAGAACATATTATATGCCTTTCTTATAATTTTTCTTATTAAAATGCATTTTACTTTTTGGGTACACTTTATATACAGAACTCTATACATTAAATAGAATTTTAACTTAGTAACTTTAATTGTTAGCAACCGATTTTGAACTGTCACATCAGTATTTTTGAGATAAGAATTATCTTATAATTTTTAGAAATATCTCTCTCCCCATAACATAATTTTTTAGGTATAATACACCCAAATATATTTAATCTTTCAATAAAATTGAAGAAGCTAAGAATAAACTTATTCATGTTCAGCAATTTGTTTCATTTTTTAAAAATCTTATTTGGAAATGACCCAGACATTTAGTGACTATCTATTTCTTAATTTAACATAACTTTAAGATTTCAAATTACATAAAAGTTCTCCTGAGTAGCTGAGACTACAGGCATACACCATCATGCCTATTTTTGATGCTTATTCCAGTTACATTTACCTAACTTATTTATTTTTTAACAGTTTTCCTAGATTACTTATGAAAACTGAGATATTAGACAAAGCTAGTCATCATTTCAAGCTTTTTCCCTGTTAAACATTTTTTTTTTTTTGACACAGTGTCTCACTCTGTTGCCCAGGCTGGAGTGCAGTGGTACGATCAAGGCTCACTGCAACCCCCGCCTTCTGGGCTCAAGTGATCCTCCCACCTCAGCCTCCTGGGTAGCTGGGACTACAGGCATGCATGCATCACCATGTCCAGCTGATTTTTGTAGTTTTTGTAGAGACAAGGTTTCACCATGTTACCCAGGCTGGTCTCAAACTCCTGGGCTCAAGCAACCCACCTGCCTTGGCCTCTCAGTGCTGAGATTACAGGTGTGCACCACCATGCCTGGTCCATTAACCATTTTTATAGTCTTGAATATTAAGTGTTCATCTAAGTAAGAAACTTAAAATAAAATATATGGATACTTTGCTGATAACTCAGAAGATACAGCTTTTTTCATTAAACCAACTGTATTAGTCCATTTTCACACTGCTGATAGACATACCTGAGACTGGGCAATTTACAAAAGAAAGAGGTTTACTGGACTCACAGTTCCACGTGGTGGAGGAGGCCTCACAATCATAACAGAAGGTGAAAGGCACGTCTCCCATGGCAGCAGACCAGAGAAGAGAGCTTGTGCAGGGAAACTCCCATTTTTAAAACCATCGGATCTCATGAGACTTATTCATCATCATGAGAACAGCATGGGAAAGACTCGCCCTCATGATTCAATTATCTCCTGCCAGGTCCCTCCCACAACACCTGGGAATTATGGGAGCTACAAGATGAGATTTGGGTGGGGACACAGAGCCAAACTACATGACCAACAAAATCAAAGTGGTCTTACTCATCAAAAAATCTCATAAACAGAGATCATTCTGTTTTCAGCTGGGTTTATAGTTTCACAATTTTTGTGTCAAGCCCTAACACCTTAAAACGTCTATTGGTGACAAATGTAAAACAATGTGACCTGTAAATCCACCAAAAATGTATGCTGACAATTTTGAAGACATTTCTATTTTTATTTTACTAATAATTTTAAAACCAGCTTATTTATTGAAGATTTACTTAAGTCACATGAACTAAAAAGCATTAGGGTTAATTATTACTTATATGAGTGCTTACCTATCTAAGCCAATCTGAATAGAATTCCTTAAGGGATTTCTGGTTGACTATGCCAGATTTTTACCATGTAGATACAACATATAACATAACGTATGGACATATGTGTAAACACACCTAAACACATATACGCACATAAGAATCTGATAACTTTCATTGTAGAATTCTAGTCATGAGGTAGCAGTACAGACTCACTGGTTTATAAAAGGCTGTTGGATCTCAATTATATTTCTGACAAAATTGGGACCTATTCACATGACTAAACTTTATTTGCCTCAATAGATAATCTAATAAAGACTGTGGACCAAAATTTTGGGTAAAGCAGTTTCCATGGCAGTTTGATTTTTAAGAAACCTATTTCACCCATTTTTTTTTTCAGTTTCACCTGAACTTAGGGTTAAATTTTCAATTTCTACAATTTAGGCTGGACTGGCTGAATTGCATAAGAATAACAAAATCTCCAGGTAGCTTTGAACTATGAAGGAAGATCCCCTTTCTCACTTCTCTCTAGCAAACTCCAACTCATTTCTCAAGGTCCAACTCAGAAGTTCCCTCTCCCGTGAAGTCTTCTCTGAGTGTCTCCTTTACCCCCTTTCTTCTCTATCACCTTCCACTTTTTCAGAGCTTAATTGCTCTATCCTGTGTGTTCCCATAATCCTTTAAGCATTCTTCCCTTGGTGCCATGATATGATATGAAACCATGATATGTTGTATTTGGTTGTTTTTCTTCATGTATGCTTAACTACCTGCCTTGAAGATGAATTCCTTAAGAACATGACATGCTTCAATCTGTGTTATGTACTACGCTAGATAAAGAATATGCAATGAGGCTGGGTGCGGTGGCTCACCCCTGTAATTCCAGCATTTTGGAAGGCCGAGGCGGGTGGATCATTTGAGGTCAGGAGTTTGAGACCAGCCTGGCCAACATGGCGAAACCCCATCTCTACTGAAAACACAAAGATTAGTTGGGCATGGTAGCCTGCACCTGTAATCTCAGCTATTCAGGAGGCCAAAGGCAGGAGAATCGCTTGAACCAGGGAGGCGAGGTTGCAGTGAGCCAAGTTCGTGCCGTTGCACTACAGCATGGGCGACAGAGCGAGACTCCATCTCAAAAAACAAAACAAAACAAAACAAAACACGAGAACAAAAACAAGAAACAAAAAAAATTCTTTACTCCAAAGGAGCTAACAGTCCAATGAGAGGCAGAGCAGTAAATTCCAGCAGTGTGTGATGAGGACTATGGCAAGGGCGTGGAAAATACAGCAGGAGCATTTATGGAGTCACTTCACTTAGAAGGAGTGAGCAGGCCAGGTATGCATCAGAAAGTTGATGCTTAAGCTGAATCTTAGAGGTTAATAAGAGTTCTTGGACAGACAAGAGAAAGAATATTCCAGGCAAGGTCACAGAGTCATGAGAGAATATGGTAGCTTCAGTGCACTATGAACAGTGTGATATCATTGGAACAAAAAGTTTATGTTGGGGCCAGATGAGAGATGAGGTTAGAGAGAATTTTAAGGGCAAAATTGAAAAAATCTTAAGGGTTATGCTAGAAAATGAAGATTCCATTTCCAAAAGTAATTGCGAAGTGCCTGGCATAGAATATTGACCATTGCATCGCTGATCATTTTGAGGCAGAGACTGCTCACAGTTGATACAGAAATCAAAAGGCATGGTCACGGAATTGATGGTTGGCATTGAGACTGTTACACTGACATCTTTGCTTTGGGAGAGAAAAATCAATATTGAAGCCCTAAATTTTCTGTGTTTTTAAAATTCAAAGATCAAAGACATAAATATGACTGGGAAGCTGTACATAAAAGAAAAGATGAGTAAAATTGGAAAGCTTGGAAGTAATATACACTTATTACTTACTTAGGGTTCTTCTGCATTCATAGTAAACTAATTGCTAGTAGCAGGGTTCTTAGCCTGGGTTATATTGATCTTTTTGAGGTTCTGAAAACATCTTGAAATTCTAGGCTAAGTTTTGAGCACATGTATGTTTGCTTATTTTCCTGGGGAGAGGGGTTTGGGATTTTTCCTAGGTTTAATAGAGCTCTTGGCCCCAAAAAGATCAAAATCCACTAGGCTGTAGCATATACAACTAGAAGAAAAGGACAAAGAGGCAATATTGTTTAGACATTGCATGGTAGATAGTCATGTAGGAATTTCTTTTTGGGGAATGTAGAGTTAGCAGGTAAAACAACATTCAATGCTATAGTAAACAATCCTCCAAATGAAGCGGCTTATGATAATAGCACCTGATTTCTTACTCAATTTGAAGATCAATGCAGTGAGTGGTGGAGGGCAGGTGGGGAGGTGTGGGGCTGTGTATCATAGTGTGTAGGAGGTTCTCATATGCATAGTCCTTTAAAGATAGGCCTCCTTCCATCCTGTGGCTATGCCATCTTCAACATGGCACCTCAAAGTCATGCTGGCATCCAGGGGAAAAGGGAGAGCAGGTGGGGAAGGCACATTCCTTTAAAATGCCTTGATGGGGCAATGGCACTTCCCTTCTCACATTCCATTCACAAGAACTGATCATATGGTCCCACTTCCAGGTGTAAGGGAGATGTAAAATGTAGTTTATCTAGGTGCACAAGAAGAGGAACTAGTGTATTTTGCTAGTGTATTTAGCAAATACACTTCGTATTTGGTAAATATCTGGCTAGCTTCTGTCATGGGGAATTTGAAAAACTGCTTGAATTCTTATCTGCTGGTTATGGTTTTGGTCTAGCTCTAAATGGAAAAGAGAGATTGAACTAGATATCCTCTACTAAAGATCTTCCTAAGGTTGTGTGTAAGGGGTTTTGAAAAATGTGTCCTTTGCTTAAAAAATGTATAGGTCAAGAGCACAACTTCAGGAATTCTCTGATTCATCAACAGCCTCAAAAATAGTCATCCAACCAATAACTCAGATAGAATGTAAGATAGGGCTGTAAGACTTTAACATGAAGAAAAAGATTTCTCCCTTATATTCCTTTATACACTGAAGATATCCAGCAGTCTTTTGAGGCCTAGCACATTTTATTGTCAAATAAGATTCACTTTCTGCTTTTATTCTGATTAGCTTCCTTCTAAAGTACTAATCCAGGAACTCGTTAACTCAAACTGCAGAACTAGTCTATTCCAGAGGGGAACACAAAGATCAACTTATGTAGATCATCTAAGAACTGGAGCTTATTAAAATGCTTTACTTTTGAAAGACATTTTCAAGTGACTACTTTAATCATATAGAATTTTGCTAATTAAACAGCCAATTTAAATGCCAACTCTACTAACTGGATTTTGAGTTACAGTTAATTTTAATTATTTCTGTTCTATAAAAATATACATAAGAGCTTTTTAATTTTAATTCCACTTTTTATGCAGCAGTTAACTCACCCACACAGTCAGCTCCAATAGTTGCGAAAACAGAAATAAGTGGTAGCTGAAGGTATAGTTTCCTAATTTTAAGCTTATAAAAAAATGTATTTTTTGAATTGTATAGAATAAATTCTTCCCTTTCATATCTCCTACCAGTATCACAAAGGCAAAGCAGACAGTGTGGTCTGTATGAATGTAATCCTGGTCAAATTCTGACTTTAAGCAGTCTTTTTCTGACTTTAGTTTTATTTCCTCATTAAAAAGAGTCCTTCCTTTTCCTCTTGATTGCTAAATCAGTTTTCTGGCTCTGTCTTCATGCCCTTATTTTAAAAATGTATTGAAAACTTACTACTTATCTGTGTGATCTTAAGCAAATCCCCATCCACTGTAGAGCCTTATCTGCAATATAGGAGTAGTCTCATAGGTTTGTTGAGAAGGCCTCAAACCAGATGATGAATAGTAGAGTGCTTTCAAATCTTTCAAGGGCTCTAGAAATGCAAGCTACCATTATCAATGTAACCATCAATAACCCAAATAGGTAGAATAGATACTATAAAGTTTGGGGAAGGAGGAGAGTATGACTCAAATAATCTTACTGGGGTGAGAAATCAGAGTGCGGGGGCAGAACTTTCCTGGGTCATGGTGTAAGAGGGGGATTTAAATACGTGGAGAGGAAAAGAAAGGGCATCTCAGACAGGGCTATATGACGTGTCCTGAAGGAAATGCACACGGGGGATGAATAAATCAAGCTGGTTGTCTCTGAAGCAGTTTGTTAACCTGAGTATATTGAGGAATAAACTTAGAAAGTAGATTAGGATCAGCAGAGGAAGTCTTTTTATTGATAAGGACCTCAAGTTGATTTTTGATTAGAACACAATGGGATGAGGTTGATATTTTCAGAAGACTCATCTGGCAAGAAAGGAGAGTGACCAGAGGCACTAAGACCAGTGAGAGGGGTGTCATGCCAATCCTGATAAGAAAAAAATACAAGTTTAAACCATATGAGAACAATGAAGTAAGAAGGAATGATATAAAAGAGAAGTAGAAAACCACTATTATCATCATCATCTACTGCTGCTACCATCAAAACCACAAAAACCATGGCATTACAAGAGTGCATCATGGATTTGGTGGACAGATAAGGGGAGCAGTCAAGAAGGTCTTCAAGCTTTAGAGTTTTGGTGACTAGGAAAATGACATCAACAACCATGATGGTACTGTTGCGGGAGACAGGGATGCAGGCTTTAGTTTTGGACGTGATGAGTTTAAGGTGGAGGCTATAGATGCAAGTGAAAAGTTCAGGACTCCACGGCTTGCCACTTCTCGCTTTGAATGTTATACCCTTCTAATATTGAACTGCTTGCAGTCTCTTGTGAAAACCACACTCTCATACTTGCATGCCTTTTTATCTTGCTGTTACCACTAATTAGAATACCCTCTCATCTTCATTTTTATTTTTTTAAAGTCAGGCCTACTGATACATAATCTACATACAGTAAAATCTATCATTTCTAGACACAGACATAGGTTTTGAGTATCAACAAAAATATACAAGCATGTAACTGCCACTTACTCAAGGTATAGAAAACTTCCTTTGTGCACCTTTGTAGTTAATCTTCTCACCCTATTCCCAAACCACTAATTGATCTCTTTCTATAGTTTTGCCTCTTCCAGAATGCCATATAAATGGAATCATACTGTTAGCTTTTTGTGTTTAGCTTCGTTCACAGTGTAATTATTTTGAGATTCATCCATGGTGATGAACATATCAGTAGTCTGTTTCTTTTTATTGCTGAATAGCATTCCTTTGTACCAATGTGCTATGCTTTATATCCACTTTCACTAGTTGAAGAACAATTGAATTACAGTTGGCCCTTGAAAAACACAGATTTGAACTACATGAGTCCACTTAAACATGAGTTTTATTCCACCCCTGTCACCCTGAGATAGCAAGACCAACCCTTCCTCTTTCCCCTCTTTCCCAACCTACTCAATACGAAGATAATAAAGATGAAGACCTTTAACGATGATGCACTGCCATTTAATGAATAGTAAATGTATTTTCTCTACCTTATTATTTTCTTAATAACATCTTCTTCTCTCTAGCTTGCTTTATTGTAAGAATAAAGTATGTAATGCATGTAACATACAAAATATCTGTTCATCAACTGTTTATGTTATAGGTAAGGCTTTAAGTCAAGTGTAAGCTATTAGTAGTTAAGTGTTTGGGGAGTTAAAAATATTTTTTTCACATTAAAAATATTTTCGACTGTGCAGGGGTCAGCACCCCTAACCCTTATGTTATCCAAGGGTCAAATGTATTTTCAGTTTTTGGTTATTATGCATAGAATTACTATAAACGTTCATGTGCAAGTCTTTGTGTGAACATATATTTTAATTTCTCTTGGATAATTACCTAGGAGGGAGATTGCCAGATCATAACATAAATTTATGTTTATGTACATGTATATTTAACTTTATAAGAAACCGTCAGGCCAGGTTCAGTGGCCCATGCCTGTAATCCCAGCACTTTGGGAGGCCGAGGCAGGCGGATTGCCTGAGCTCAGGAGTTCCAGACCAGCCTGGGCAACATGGCGAAATCCCGTCTCTACAAAAAATACAAAAAAAAAAAAAAAATCTAGCCAGGCATGGTGGCACATGCCTGTAGTCCCTGCAGCTTGGGAGGCAGAGGTGGGAGGATTACTTGAGCCTGGGAGGCAGAGGTTGCAGTGAGCAGAGATTGTGCCGCTGCACTCCAGCTCTGGGCAACAGAGTGAGATCCTGTCTCCAAAAAAAAAAAAAGGACCTGCCAAACTGTTTTCCGAAGCAATTGTACAATTTGCATTCCCACCAATAATGTATGAGAGTTCCAGTTACGCTGTATCCTTGCCAGTAGTGACTGTTTTGGGCATCTACTCTCTCCCTCTCGTTTATTGCTCTAGAGGAAGTCAGATAATGTGTTGTTAGCAGCCCTATGGAGAGGCCCATGTGATGAGGAACTGAAGTCTGTGGCCAATAACCAGTGAGGAACTGCAGCTTGTCAGCAACCATGTGAATGAGTTTAGAAGTGCATTCTCCAGCCCCAGTTGAGCTTTTAGATAACTGTAGCCTCATATGACAGCTTGGCATGTCAGCCCCATATGACACCTTTTGAGTGACCTTGATTCAGAACCACCCAGATAAGGGGCTCCCAGATTTCTGACCCTCAGAATCTATGTGAGACAATAAAAGCTTGTTGATTTAAGCTGCTACATTTGGAGTAATTGGTTGCATAGCAACTGATAGTTAATACACTGAATGAAGACACTGGCATGAAGCTCAAGGGAGATGTCAGGTCTGGAATAGAGATTTCATGTGAAGCCATGAGAGAGGATAAGTTTTGTATGTTTTGTGCTTTAGGCCAGAGCTTTCTACCCAATTTCTGCATCTGGAATGTCTCTAATTATCTCAAAGAATATAAACAATTCTCAAAACAAAATTCATAATAGAAATACAATATTTTTGGGTTAGGGAGAGGGGGTCATATAGTTAAATAATGATAATGTTGTCTCAATTCTCTAAAATCTAGGAATCAGTCTCCATATGGTTTCTCTCCATCTCTTTATTGGCAACTCTCATTCTATGTTTTATGGTATTCTATTCCTTTGGCAATTTTCAGGTATATACAAATTATTTAACGCCCACTCTTTCTCCTCTTTCTTCTTTTTTTTCTTCTGGAATCCAGCCTTAGCATTTCAAAGAATGACCCAAGTTAAAACCACTCCCAGGGAGAATGGATTTAAATGCCTGATATGGCATGGTGGCCTTTGAAACTGATCAGGCATAAAGAAAGACAAAGTGGGAAACCTTTATTCCCTACTCCCATTTGGCCCCCAACTCTCAGAAAGTACATTTATCCTGGAGATGTGAGTGCGGGGAATGTACGGGTATGGAGAAAGTGTCTTAGCCCATTTGTCTCTTTGTGTTGTTATAAAGGAATACCAGAGGCTGGATAATTTATAAAGAAAAGAAGTTTATTTGGTTCACAGTTCTGCAGACTGTACAAGAAGCATGGTGGCTGCATCTGCTTTTGGTGAAAGCTTCAGGTTGTTTCCATTCATGTCAGAAGAGAGGGGAGACATTGTGCAGAAGTCACCCGGAAAAAAAGGAGGCAGAGAAAGGGGAGGGAGGTACCAGGTTCTTTTTAACAACCAGCTCTGGGAAGAACTCTCATGGGAACTTGCATAATAGAGCAAGAACTCATTCATTACCATGAGGATGGCACCAAGCTAGTCATGAGGGATCCACCCGCATGATCCAAACACCTCCCATTAGGCCCCACCTCCAGCATTGGGGATTGAATTTCAACATAAGATTTGGTAGGGCCAAACAAACCATATCCAAACCATAGTAGAAGGACTGCTGGCTAATGGCTCATTCATAATGCATCTAAAAATGCTGGAGAAATAGGGAGTTAACTTGGTGACAGAGAGCTTCCCAGTGTCTGAACAATGACTGGGACTTGCTGCAGTCCCACTGAGGCCTGGGCTGTATTTAGAGGCTGAGGATGGACAAAATTCCCCCACACTCCATTTCAGCCAGAGCCCAGGGATAGAGGTGGTATGAGTGGAGAAGGGGTGTTGAGATAATGTTTGTGATTAGGTTTCACTCTCCCCTTAAATGTATTTTCCATCGAATAGCAGCCAAGATTTTAGACGAGGGCAAGTGGCACTACTGCCCACTCCTAGAAGGAACCATGGGACTCCTGTTATCCACACTGTTAAAGTGAACTAAATAGAGCCTGAGAAGGACTGCATACTTCTATGTTTGAATCTTTGTGGACTAACTGTAACTTAGCTTAATAGACAAAATAGAAAACCTAACTTGGGAGTATGCACCTGTAACAAAAAGTGAGTCTTGGCCATTCCCAGCGGCCATACTTCAACCAATCATAGACTGTTGAGTGTTCAAACTGTGTTCAAATAAGGCAAACGCCAGCCTGCAAGCAATCCAGCTATTTCTGTACCTCACTTCTGATTCCTAGATGTCACTTTACTTTTTTTGTCTATAAATTTGTTCTGACCATGAGGCACCCCTGGAGTCTTTCTGAATCTGCTGTGATTCTGGAGGCTGACCAATTCATGAATCATTGCTTCTTTTTGCTCAATTAAACTCCACTAAATTTGATTTGTCTGAAGTTTTCTTTTAACAACATCGAAAGCATCATCCAAAGGAAATCTTCCCTTAATAAAAGTGGCTTTGACTCTCTCCCACCAAGTTCTTCCACTATCTGTAAAGCTCCACATGGCCATTTATACAGATACTCAGAGAGAATACCCAGAGGTTCTGAATGTAGTACCCTTACCTCTCATGGCAAAATAGGCCAGCTTTTTAAGGATGAAGATCTTTAGGCAAACCCATGCAAAATATAGTATCTCATAAGACTTCCCCTGCAAAATTAGGGTAGGAAGTTACTTCATCATTTACTCTTTCACCTCCCCATCCTGCAATATGCATAAAACTGAACAATTCTATCAATACAATTGCTTCTCTTTCCTTCTTGTACAAAACCTGTTTCTCTCATGAATCCTTTCATAGTTGATTACTGAAAGCTTTCTGAAATGGAAGTGGGAGGAGATATGTGCAAAGCAAAAAGAAATGGAAAAATGTTAAAAAAATTAGTTTTCACCTGTGAGATTTTTCTCCCTTTCTTGGCAGCATTATTTGCCTAGTCTATTGACATTTCAGACTAGAGAAAGATTAGCTATAATTGTACCAGCAGTTTCTTTATCTCTCTGAGGGTTCCAGTGACAGAGGTTGTTAGCTTGAGAAACAGGATGTTTGCATTATTGATTAGGCCACACTGTTTTGACTGAAATAGTAGAGAATATTCTTGGCTGCTTTACATGTGTCAAGTCAGTTTGCTTCTTGTCCATCAGTTGCAGGGGGATTTTGTTGCTGCCACTGTGTTAGATATCACATCTCAGGTGATTCTTTCTGACTGTCAGTCACCTTATCTGTTGTTGTTGATTAAAAACCTCATCTCAATCAAGAAATTTTCTGCTGCCTGTTTTGGTGTTTGTGACCAGGAGATAGTTGTTTTGGGTCTTTGAGCTGTTTCTCATAGATTCTTAATAGCAGGATGTTTCAGCTGTTTGTACAGAGGGGAGGCTCACAGAACTGAACAAATAACTTTACCATTTTTGATTTAGTTGTGCTACAGGGACAGTTGAAGATGAAAACAAACCATATTGCTCCTTACTTACATTCCTGTATTGCTTAATAAAACAATGCTATGCAGTCACGGTTCTCAAGCTTTGACTGATGAAATGCAAATTTCTGGGCTCAACTGAGAGAGATTTTGGTCCAGCAGGACCAGGATAGGATGGGACCCACGAACCTGTATTTTTAATCCACACCCTAGTAGTTCTGATTTTAGACAAAACATGAGATATACTTCAAGAAACACAGCCACACAGCATTAAGGAGTCAAGTGAAGATTAGAAAATTAGGGTGTTAGGAGCCTCATGACAAGTCAAAGAGAATGGTGAGGGAAAATCCCAATGCTTCTAATTTATAGTAAACAGACTGTTAGCAAGTTAGTGATATGATTTATGTCTAATTTCTCTTTGATAATGCACTTTCGTTGATACACTTGGTAAAGAGACACTCGATAATTATATCTAATAATAATCTAAACAAATTTAAAATATTTAATTATCATTGATTGAATATTTTTATTAATATAGGTCACAACAGTAGAGAACCCAAAAATGGACCTCAAAATATTTAGGAAGTAAGTAGAATTTCAAATTAGTGGAGAAAGAAATGTTGATTATTTCATACATGTTATTACAACACCTGGCTTGTCATTTAGGTTTAAAAAGAAGATAGATTTCTACTTCATTTCCAAAATAAATTACAGATGAATTAAAGGGCTAAACCTAAAATAAATAACACTGTATACAGTTGAGAATAAAATATGGGCACTTCTTTTTAGAATCTTGGCATTACATAAACTCTGCAAGTCTAAAAGTAAAAGATACATAAATTTGACCTCATAAAAACAACTGTAAAACTACCATAAAAGAGTCAAAAGTCAAACTTAAAATTAAAGACAGAATTAAGAACTTGAGAAAGATTTTTGAACAGGCAGTTCACAGAAAAAAAATTCTAAATGACCACAACTTATGAAATTATGTTCAGTCCTGCTCAAAATTATTTACATGCAAATAAAAATAAAATATTGTTTTTCATCTGTTAGTTCAACAAAAATTAACATATTTCATAGCATTAACTTTGAGGAGGGGTGGAGAAGAGTGAGTACCTGAGCAACTTCTACTCAAGTTTAAAATACTCATATTCTTTGATCCAACAATTCCACTTCTAAAAACTTATTCTAGAACTATAATTATATATGTAACCAGAGCAAGATGATAATTATAATATTGTTTATAACATTTAAAAACTGGAAATGATGCAAATGGTCATTAATAGAATGCTGGTTGAATAATTCATGGTCCTTTATATCTTGCAATATTCAAAAGTATGGGTTAGATCCACACATTTGGATATGAAAGAAACCACCAAGATACATTGTTATGTTTTTAAAAACAGAAAGAAGGCAAGGCACTAAACAATGTGTATCTTGTGTTTCTATTTGTATACAGCAAAACCCCCGAAAATGTATGTATATACATAGTAAATTTCTGGAAACATTAAGAAATTTTAAAAAATAAATACCTTTGGGAATGGAATTAAGGATTTTGGAGTAAGAGGAAGACTTATTTTTCATTGTATATACTTTTCTACTACTTGAAAATTTAAAATTGTGTAATGTATCGTTAAAATTACCAAAGAAAAAGCCACTTGGAAATGCAAGGATTTTACATACCTGAGCTGTTCTGATTACAGCATAATGTTTGTGATAATCATGTTTTGCTATTAGAAAGTTCAAATTATGTTGAATAAAACAATCAAGTAAGCATATGAAACATTTACAAAGATGGTTATTTAAAAAAATTCAGCGTGTAAATGCAAAACTTCATTAGGAAAAAAACTCATGCATTTAACATAGTGTGTACATACTTAACTGTGTCATACTGCTTTGCAAAGAAGTTCCTGACCTGTATACTCTATAGGGCTCTCAGGACCTTGCCTAGTAAAGGTGGCGAGTTGCCCTGTGTCATCCCAGTTCTTCAGCCAGCCTATCTTTTTGGTGACAGATGCTTCAAACTTTAGCAGCTGGGAGGTAACTGTCAATGACTGAGGAGTGGTATTTTTATCCTTCACCCACCAAACCTGCTCTTACCCAGAGTAAAGAAAATAGAAAATAGAACTATCAGATATGGGATAAAACTGTCAATAATAAATGGAAGCAGCCACATGAAATAGTGAAACTTAGAAACATGTTTTTGTTAACAGTACTTTCCCCAATTATAAAAGTAATATATGTTTGTTGTAGAAAGTACAGAGAAGTATAATTTATACCATACCAACAGAGATTCTCTAAGCACAAAGGCAGGGGTTCCTCTAATTTTTGTATTCTGTTTGTTATTTTAAGGAGAATTTCAACAGGGATGGAGACTTAAATATAATTTGTTTGTATATACATAGAGTATCTGCAGAAACACAAGTAAGAAACTGGAAACATTGCTTCTGAGTAGAATAATTGAGGAAATGGGGAAGATAAGTCAGGTGTTAAAGGCACTGACTTTTGTATTATTTATGTAGCCACATCACTAAAAAAATTAAAAAACAGTATGTAAACTTTAAAAACACAATAAACATTTTCATAAGAATTCCCTAATATTCATAATTCTTATATAGAAATGTGAAATAAAAATAAAATCCACTATGAAATCATAAGCCAAACAAAAATAATTTAATAAGAGCATCCTAGAAACATTGTTTCTATGTAATCATTCAGATAAAAAAGAAATAAAAGGATGTAAAGAAGGCACAAATAAAAGAGAAAGAATAGAACAAAGAAGAGTGAAATGCCTAGATGGAAAGATTTTCAAAATAAGTCTGCTACATTGAAAATATACTGCCAGTTGGTTGATATTTAAATGTAGAAATTCTTGAATAATGGTGGCATCAATCATCACTAGGAAGGCCCGGCACGGTGGCTCATGCCTGTGATCCCAGCACTTTTGGAAGCCGAGGTGGGTGGATCACTTGAGGTCAGGGGTTAAACCAGCCTGGCCAACATGGTGAAACTCCTGTCTCTACCAAAAATACAAAAATTAGCCAGGCATTATGGCGCACACCTGTAGTCCCAGCTACTCGGAGGCTGAGGCAGGAGAAGTGCTTGAACCCGGGAGGTGTAGACTGCAGTGAGATTGTGCCACTGCACTCCAGCTTGGGAGACAGAGCGAGATTCCGTCTCCCCCACTCGTCCCCCAAAAAGGAGCATCACTAAGAAAAGGTGAATGGTTGGGATGCATACTGGAAGGAAACAACGGAAATCTGAAAAGGTGTAAGAACCTAAACAAATTTGTTTATCACAGAAAATAAATCACAAAACAACTTTGCGTTCTTTGGCAAGTTTCTTTATGTTAAACAAGAATTGCTTTTTGCATCACATAGATCTTCTAAACTCTTTGTTGAAGAGGTCCTTGGTAGTCTGTATCTAAGCCAGTTCCTTACGGAAGTGGCACTGAGCGGAGTAGATAAAGATAGGAACTTTTGAAGGGTCATAATCTCTGTGTGCAAAAAAGAAGCCACAGTAGTCTGAAGAGCTGTGCAGGTTTTAGGGTGACACTGGGTTGGGAACCTTGGAGCTAAGTGTCCCACACCTGGCAAGCCATGACATACATATTTTCTGTTCAGGCAGAAACTGAGCTTTACAAAAGTGAAATGAGAAAAAAAAAAAAACCAAAAACCAGGCACGTATATTGAGAACCATTCAGTCCTTCTTAGAATTGCCTCATACCTTTCTCATGCATCTTTATTAAATTCAGATGCAAATTAATTTTAGAAAAGTCTAAATAGGTGTGTGTTTTATTTTTCTGTTTCCTAATTAAATAGTGGTATAAGCCTGGAAATGCTCTATATCTATTTTCGGAAATCTATAGCTCTTGTTTAGGTAAATATCAGGTACTTAGCTAATTAAATGTCTCTTGTTTATAGGAAAGTGTCAGCTTTCAGGATGTTATGTGTATGGCTCAATAAAATTACGTACAAAGTGACAGCGTACTCTCTTTTCATGGGCTGACCTTGTCGTCACCATCACCTGAAAATGGCTCCAAACAAAAATGACCTAAGGGTTGAAACAAGATAAGATCAAATTGACGTCATGGTAAAAATTGACGTCATGGTAATTACACCAAGTACCCTTCAATCATTGGATGGAATTTCCTGTTGATCCCAGGGCTTAGATGCAGGTGGAAACACTCTGCTGGTATAAAAGCAGGTGAGGACTTCATTAACTGCAGTTACTGAGAACTCATAAGACGAAGCTAAAATCCCTCTTCGGATCCACAGTCAACCGCCCTGAACACATCCTGCAAAAAGCCCAGAGAAAGGTAATATGAATGAAATAATTTTGGGGGACTTTAATTGAGGAGTAAAATATTTGAGAATATGAGGAAGATTCCAAAGTCTCTGCATATACCTTAATAAGAACTGAGACAGGCTTTTACTCATTCTCTTTTCAGCACTTATGATTGAATTAGAAGGAAGTCTGTAAAATTTGGCTGTGATCATAGGGTAAGATGTTATCTAACAGAAGCCAGAAACCCAATGTCTCCTGCTGAGATGCTTGAGTGCCTGTCAGGATCTAAAAATTTTCCTCAAGAATTACTGTATGTCATTGGAAAGACGTTCTTTTGAGTGGCTTCCAGGAGCCAGACAGAGGGCAAGTAGACATTATGATATTGTTTTATTATCCATTTTTAAGTGATGTATAGCTATATCTTCAAGCTGGCCCATGATAAAGTGGTTCACTTGTTCAGCTGAATGACTATAGCTTCTGATTATCTTTTGAATAGATGTTCTCATGCAGACTTGAATAGTAGCATGGAATTTCTTGAATGTCGTTGTTTTCATTTTTCTTCTTTAATAAAATGCTACAAAAATCAAAGTTGGTAGTATTTCTCTAGCTATTATTCATGAATTTGCAATGATAAGTCACTTGCCCAAGTCTAATTGATTAGTTCCAATGAGTTTCTGGAAACTTTTTTGCAGCTAACCTTGGTTATCTTAGCATTAGCATTAATTGGTGGCTGATTGGGAAATAGACACTAGAAAATAAAAGACCTTTTTTGTCCCTCCTTATTAGCGTTGAAGAATAGGCTATGGGCACGTGTGAAGAACTATGGGCTGACACTATATGGGTCCCTTAGGAATGCAGAAGCTCCCTTTCATCTCTGTAGATATTTTGTTTCTTAAGCTCTTCAATCTTTTTCCCAGTCAAAAGTCAGATATTTTGCTTTAGAAAAGGAATCTTTTAAAGTTTCTGAAAATATCTTTTAAATAATTACTTGACTTAATACCAATTCAATTATTCATAATATTGGTCAACCAAATTGCATGTAATACATTGCTATATTCTTGAATTATTTAAAAAAGACAAGAGTGGTCATCATTTATAAAAGGTTCGTGGTTTTTCATGTTAATTTCAACTTTGGTTTTCTTAAGTTTATTATTTTTTTTGCAGTAAGAGTCATTGAAATTTTAAGTGAGTCATATTCCTTACCATTTCCTGCTGAAAAGGGTAGTGTGTGAGAAAAATGTTAGAAAAGCAATTAATTATGTTCCAGAGCAGATTTTCAGTTGCAGTGTACATTTCTTTTTAATGTGAGACCCAAATTTACATGAAAACTCAAAGTAAGAGCTGGGTAACAGAAATGGCTAACTTAGAAGGTAATGTACGTCTTGCTTAAAAGCACATCAAAGTAATCTACTTTCTCAAAGAGAAAATTTACAGGAGTGAACTTACATTTCTTTTGAGAACAGCATGGTTCATAGCACCAAACTTCATTTTTACAGGTTGTGAATCCTAGAGTAGTTTGCTATCAACTTCTGATCTTTGCACATTCTGGATTTGGCATATAATGTTACAGCAGTGCCATTGTAATGTTGCACAAAGTAGTCTAGCAATTTCTTGGTTCACCAGGCTTAGAGATAACATTGTAGAAATGATCCAGCATCTTTAACACTCTGTGGTTTAAGGTGGGGCACTTAGGGGTAGAATCAATAACAATGTTAGAAATCAAATTAGACAAGATAACTGAAACAGCATGATCCATGTGTGACTCCAAGTTATAAAGGAGGACATGGATTAATGGTATACTTCTAGGCTATAGGGGTAGTACAAGTGGAAGGACACCATCTTAGCATCAGATCACTTTCTGAGCAACTTTGGCAAATCTTTTAAATTCTCTAATGTGTAGTTTTTTAATATATGACACAGGTGTAAAGAAAATAAAGCAAGTGAATGTATGTGAAAGCCAATGCTGACTGGGCACGGGGGCTCACGCCTGAAATTCTAGCACTTTGGGAGGCAGAGCCGGGGATATCACTTGAGCCCAGGAGTTGAAGATCAGCCTGGGCAACATAGAGAAACCCTGTCTCTACAAACAAAACAAAACAAAAAAACAAACACAAAAAACCACTCCCAAATTAGCCGGGCTTGCTGGCACACTCCTGTTGTCCCAGTTACCCGGGAGGCTAAGATGGGAGGATCACCTGAGCTTGGGAAGTTGAGACTGTAATGAGCCGTGATAGTGGCACTACACTCCAGCCTGATCCACAGAGTGAGACCATGTCTCAAAAAAAAAAAAAAAAAAAAAAAGAAAGCTAATGCTTTTTCCCCTTTCCCTGTTCCCCTGTTGTTCCCCACTGCAGACAGTCCTTATAGCTTGATCAGTTTAAAATACCTGAACTTGCTCTCTTTTCTTTTCTTTTTTCTTTTCTCTCTCTCTTTCTTTCTTTTCCTCTCCTTTCCCCTCTTCCCCTCTCCTCTCCTCTCCTCTTCTTTTCTTTTTCTTTCTTTCTCTCTCTCTCTCTCTCTTTTTTGTTTTCAAGACGGGGTTTCTCACTGTCTCCCAGGCTGGAG
Organism: Homo sapiens; assembly: GCF_000001405.40. Classification (NCBI taxonomy): domain Eukaryota; kingdom Metazoa; phylum Chordata; class Mammalia; order Primates; family Hominidae; genus Homo; species Homo sapiens. The sequence continues at coordinate 87,092,478 of NC_000006.12, read as the reverse complement.
TACAGTGGCTCGATCCCAGTTCACTGCAGCCTCATTCACTCAGGCTCCAGTGATCCTCCCACCTCGGCTTCTAAGAGATGGGAAGCAGGAACTGCCAGGTCAGTTAAGGGATATACCTACTACTTGCCCAGTGTCACTACTGCTATATTCCTGATCTAAGCAGTCAAGGGCCTATGTAGATGAAATGGGGTACAAAGATAAAAATACAAAGACAGACATACCACTGTTTGACGTGGGAGTGACAAGGTCACACTGCAAATAAATGTAGGCTGAGGGGTATTTTTGTGGCCATTTTTGGAAAGTACAATCTGCCATAGCAGTAAACACAGGGGCAATGAACAAGGGGCTTCACTTTGCAGCTCCTCTGCTCTGTTTTTATTACCAAAAAAAAAAATCCTTTTAAAGTAAGATGCCTAGACAACATAGTGAGATGCCCACTTCTTTTCTTTTCTTTCTTTCTTTCTTTTTGAGACGGAGTCTCTCTGTTGCCCAGGGTAGAGTGCAGTGGCGCAATCTCGGCTCACTGCCGCTTCCACCTCTCGAGATCCCATTTCTAATTTAAATAAAAAGAAAGAAAGTTTCTTTGTGGATGAAGAGATAGACGTGTACATAACTGGTTAGACTGTGGGGCATCATCTAAGAATTATAAGCCAAGTGATAAGTGAGTGCAGTGGAGAAAGATATTTATTTTGTCTTTGGGGTTGGGTGAAAACTTCACAGTGAATCTGGCTGTTGAACAGCTCCTTAAAAGACTCTGAAGTAGATGAACTGAAAAGGGAGAGAAAGAAGGCCAAGTTGAGAAAACTCATGTTTTCTTGGACACATATTATCTTGATGTGGTGGGTGATGGGATATAAGGGTATGTTGGTGTGTATTGCAGGTTAGTCTGAGGTTGTGTGTACAGGGCCTTTGAAGTTCGGAAAATACTCATGTGAAATACCAAAAGAAGCTGAGATTAGTAAATCTGACTTTAGATTGAGCATATTTTTGCAAAATAGCATAAATCCTAGCAGAATTTAATTTCTCCCCCTGATTCTTAATATTTTCTTTTGAATTTTAAAACAGAAAAACCTGAGGGTGATTAGGATGATAAAAATATTTATTAAAATGCTTTCAAAATCACCTAGAATTTGAAGGCTATTCTGTTTTTACTTGGTTAATGTCATCTCTTTTCAAAATACAGGCAAAGAAAGGTAATAGTTTCTGCTACAGCAATAGTGATTTTTGTTTCACTTTTTCAATCTTCTTTTCACTTTATTATAAAGGCAATTCTAAAATGCGCATTGACTTCATGCTTTCACATTCTCAAATCTTATTATAAATGTTTCTCTCTGAATTAATTCTGATATAGTTGTTCACTGCATAATGGCTGAATTTTCATAATATATGAGCTGCAATATTAAGGCACAAACATGATACTAGTTTAAAAAGGAAACTAGTTTTAATTCTGAACATTTCCTTATGGCTTTGTGTATTCTCAAACTTACTGATCTCAGAACCTGTTTACACTCTTAAAAATTATTGAAGAGCCCAGGCTGGTCATGGTGGCTCACGCCTGTAATCCCAGCACTTTGGGAGGCCGAGGCAGGTGGATCACGAGGTCAGGAGTTTGAGACCAGCCTGGCCAATATGCTGAAACCCCGTCTCTACTAAAAATACAAAAAAAAAAAAAAATTAGCCAAGCGTGGTGGCATGTGCCTGTAGTCCCAGCTATTCGGGAGGCTGAGGCAGGAGAATTGCTTGAACCCAGGAGGTGGAGGTTGCAGTGAGCCAAGACTGCATGACTGCATTCCATCCTGGACAATAGAGGGAGACTCAATCTCAAAAAAACAAAAAAAAAATTATTGAAGAGCCCAAAGAGCTTCTATTCATGAGTTTATATCCATTAATATTTAATGGCTTAGTGATTATGCTAAAGTTTAAAAATATTTATTCATTTAGAAAAATCCATCATATGTTAACACATATAACATATATTTATTTTTTAAAAATGACAATTTTCAAAAAAAAATTAGTGATGAGTGGCATTGTTTTACCCTTTTGCAAAACTCTTCATCGTCTGGCCTAACAGAACATAGCTAAATTCTCATGTGCTTTTTCATTCAATCTGTTGTAAAATTACATGTCATGTAGCCTCTAGAAAATTTCTCTGAACACCCAAGAGGATGAAGAGGAAAAAAAGACAAACAACATTTTAGTATTATTATGAAAATCATTTTAACCCCACAGATCCACTGAAAATCTTTGGGGTTCCCAGATCACACTTTGAGAACCACTGACTTAGAACAATATTTATTCAGTGTTAATTATGAGTGAAGATAAATAGAACTCAAAATTACTTACATATAAATATATATATTAGGTAGAAATAATGACATAGGTTTGTTTTAGCCTTCATACTTACACAATCTGAATTTCTATACAGGTTGAGTATCCTTTATCTGAAATGCTGAGGATGAAAGGTGTTTTAGATTTTAATTTTTTTTGGATATTGGAATATTTGCATACACATAGTGAGATATCTTGGGGATGAGACCCATGTCTAAACATAAAATTCATTTGTTTCATATACACATAGCCTGAAGGTAATTTTATATACTATTTTAAATATTTTGTGCATAAACAAAGTTTCTGTTAAGTACTTATATGTGGAAATTTCCACTTGTGTAATCATGTTGGTGCGCAAAATGTTTCAGATTGTGGGCCATTTCAGATTTCAGATGTTCAGAATAGATATACTCAACATGTGTTATAAACTTAGTTCTGCTGTCTGATAAATTATTCCTAAGAAGTATTATGGGTTAATATAAACATCTAGCAGAAACTCAGCCCTATTATGTCAGTCTACATGAAAAATAACCATAAGTTTTGACTCATATGTACCTTTAAACCTCATTCTGAATTTTTTTAAAAAAACTTTTATTTTGAATAATTGCAGATTTAGAGGAAGTTGCAAAAAATGTACAGAGAAGTCCTGTATATCCTTCAGCTTGTTCCCTCATTGAAAATTATCTTGTATAACTATAGTACAAGGTGAATACTAGAGAACTGACATTGCTGCCGCCTATACAGCTTATTCAGATTTAAGACACACACACACACACATAATACTAGTGCTCTGTTATGCAGTTTTATCCCATGTGTAGATTAGTGTGACTAACATCCCTATCAACATGCGGCTGTCCCATCACCACAGCTCCCTTGTGCTATCCCTTTAGAGCCATACTCACCCTCATACACTTCTTTCCCAGTGCTAACTCTTTGAAACCATTAATCTATTCTCTATCTCTATAATTTTGTTATTTCCACAGTGTTATATAAATGGAATCATATAGTATTCAGCCTGCATTCAGCACAATTCTCTTGAGATCCATTCAAGCTGCTGTGTGTATCAATAGTGTGTTCATTTTTTTGTTGCTGGACAGTATTCCATGGTATGGCTATACCATCATTTGTATGACCATTCACCTTCTGATGGACATTTGAAATGTTTCCAATTTTTGGCTACTCTAAACAAAGTTTCTATGAATATTTATATATAAGTTTTGTGTGAACATAGTCTTCATTTCTCTGAGATAAATGCCCAAAAGTGCAACTGTTGGGGCATATGGTAAGTACATGTTTAGTTTTATCAGAAACTGCCAAAGTATTTCCCAGAGTGGCTGTACCATTTTGTATTCCCACTAGACCAGCAATGCCTGAGTTATCTGGATTCTCTGCATCCATGCCAGTATTTGGTGTTATTTTTTATTTTAGCCATTCTGATAGATATGTAATATGTCATTGTAGTTTTAATTTGCATTTCCTTAATGGCTGATAATGTTGAATACTTTGTGTTTATCCTCCATCAAATGATTGTATATTTTATATCTCATATATAAGTTTATATATATTTTCTTAGGTATTATCTAGTTTAAGTTCCATGTTTTACAAATAAGGACATTGAGGCTTCTTAACAGGATGACAGATAATTTAAAATTTAAATTTTAAAGAATTTAAAAAGAGAATTTTTTGTAATTATTATTAAACCAATTTCTACAGTTAATGTGAGAAATGGGAAGATTCAGTTATCTATCTCTTTCCTAAGGAGAACTTTTTTTAAAAAAAATTACATGGTTTTAGTATATGTTGGGAGCTAAAAGCAGGGAGGTCAAGACACTGATGACTATTATTAATAGTAATGTTGAAACTACTGGTTGTTGTTATGACTGGTAAGCCAATTTTAGATTAACTGTTTTTTGTTTTTTTTTTTTTGCCATGTCTGTCTGCAGGAGCGCCATGGATTACTACAGAAAATATGCAGCTATCTTTCTGGTCACATTGTCGGTGTTTCTGCATGTTCTCCATTCCGCTCCTGATGTGCAGGGTGCGTGACCAAATTTGTGGTTCAAGTAATAAGGACAACACACATTTCTAGATGTACATCAATAACTCCATTAATTACATTTCTACCACCTTTTCAAAAGTAATAAGTCTTTGCTGCTGGATTCATATCTAGGCACTTGTAGATTGTGAACATAAAATTAAATTAGGTTCAGAAAATGTGCAGTGAAAATGATATCTTACACAACCATTTATGCAGCAGCCTATACATTTTCATCGGAAATAGATTCCTTTTTATTCTTGAGTCTTACAAGAAGAAAATGCTCCTTATTCAGTTAGCTCAGTTATTTTTTACATTTCTCCCGGCAGATTTGAGATTTTAACATTGCCTTTGTAGATGAATTTTCACATCAGTTAACAAGTGAGAAAAACAAAACCATTTTATACAGTAAATTTGTTTTGCTGTATTGTCTGAAAAATCTCATATAGTAGCTGGTATAATTCCTTCTGCTTTGAAATTGTGAGCTACTATTGGTTATGGTTTTTCTCTATATAAGTGGTAATATTTTAATCCAGGTCCCAAGTGCAGGCGCGTGATCTAATATCAGGCTCTCTACACTCACCAAGCTTTCTTAATTCTGACATATTTCTCTCTGTCAATATTTGGAGTTACTGTGGGAAAAACAATAGCAGATTCTAAAGGGAAAAATATTTTTCCTCTGTGCAAAATTCTCTTTTCAGATGAACATGATGTTTTCATCTGTCAAGTTTTGTGTTTCCTCTAGGCATACTGTTAGCATTGGGATAGAGAATCCATGCTTGAAGAGAGACTACAACTGAGATTTTCTATGCATATCTGTAAAAAATGTTTGTTTTTAAGTTTTATTTCCCATGAACATTAATCAGTATAAATATTAAATAGATATTATAGATGAAGATTAACATATAACCAAAAAGCACTTACTTAGTTTCCTTTCATTTTTGATGAAAAAATAATATTCACTATCCCATAATAAGGAAGCATTCACAGTTTCTTTTCTTTGTTGCCTTGCCTTGTCTTGCCTTGCCTTTTCTTTTGAGACAGAGTCTCGTTCTATCACCCAGGCTGGAGTGCAATCGTGTGATCTCAGCTTACTGCAACCTCCGCCTTCCGGGTTCTAGTGATTCTTCTGCCTCAGCCTTCTGAGTAGCTGGTATTACAGGCACCTGCCACCATGCCCAGCGAAATTTTTGTATTTTTAGTAGAGATGGGGTTTCACCATGTTGGCCAGGCTGGTCTCGAATTCCTAACCTCTGGTGATCCACCTGCCTCAGCCTCCCAAAGTGCTCGGATTACAGGCGTGAGCCACCACATTTTTTCTTATTTTTTTGAGTCAGGGTCTCACTTTGTCACCCAGGCTGGAGTGCAGTGGCATGATCTCGGCTCACTGTAGCCTCGACCTCCCAGCTTCAAGCGATTCTTCTGCCCCAGACCCTCAAGCAGCTGGGACTACAGGTGTGCACCATCACGTCTGGCTAATTTTTGTTGTTGTTGTATTTTTTGTAGAGACAGGGTTTCACCATGTTGCCCAGGCTGCTCTCAAACTCCTGAGCTCAAGCAATCCACCCACTAAGGCCTCCCAAAGTGCTAGGATTACAGGCGTGAGCTACTGTGCTGGCCTCATAGATTCTTTTTGAGTCTTTTTTGGATATTTTACTCTGCCTTTTTTTTTCCCTGATAGATTGCCCAGAATGCACGCTACAGGAAAACCCATTCTTCTCCCAGCCGGGTGCCCCAATACTTCAGTGCATGGGCTGCTGCTTCTCTAGAGCATATCCCACTCCACTAAGGTCCAAGAAGACGATGTTGGTCCAAAAGAACGTCACCTCAGAGTCCACTTGCTGTGTAGCTAAATCATATAACAGGGTAAGAACCTCAAGATCCCCAGAAGCTTTCTAACAGCCCAATCAGAGAAATGTTCATAGAGCCCACCCATGGAATTTAATGCCAAAGGTGTCTAATGACCCAGCCTCTGTCGAGCATTTGTACAGGTGGGGAATACATTTCTACCCATTAATTAAAAGAGTCAATTGTCTTGTGGGTATAGACTGGATTTATTCAGAATGAGGAGAATAGGGGTAGAGGTGACAAGGGGCAGGTTGGGAGAAAGTACAGCTTACTTGTGCTAAAAATATTTCCTAAAAAGGAGACTGTGCAAATGTAGTATGCATCTACTTATTTCAGCAGAATGCAAACAATTTTATGTAATATTCTTCAATTTTGTCTCTATCTATCTATCTATCATCTAATCTATAATATGTTTTTTTTTCCTTCCCCTTTAGGTCACAGTAATGGGGGGTTTCAAAGTGGAGAACCACACGGCGTGCCACTGCAGTACTTGTTATTATCACAAATCTTAAATGTTTTACCAAGTGCTGTCTTGATGACTGCTGATTTTCTGGAATGGAAAATTAAGTTGTTTAGTGTTTATGGCTTTGTGAGATAAAACTCTCCTTTTCCTTACCATACCACTTTGACACGCTTCAAGGATATACTGCAGCTTTACTGCCTTCCTCCTTATCCTACAGTACAATCAGCAGTCTAGTTCTTTTCATTTGGAATGAATACAGCATTTAGCTTGTTCCACTGCAAATAAAGCCTTTTAAATCATCATTCAATCACTGAATTATCATTTTTCTTCAAAGTAAAGCCAGTTGCTTTGGACAGCATTAATGGAAGAGAGTGGGCCATTGGGTGAGTTGGGGCCAAATGTGTTTGGTGACCTGACATTGGAGAGCCTTGCTGTTACCACACCTAGCAGCGTGTGAGTCCTTTCAGCCAGTGGGCTACTTATAAGACATTTATTAGGGCAAGAGAAGAAAATATAAGAACTTCTATTTATATTAATTTTTATATAACTTTTTAAGTTTCCATTTTGATGGATTTTATAAAAGCACAGATACATTAGTATGGTAATACATGTATACAATTTATAAATCAATAATTATCCATATATTGGGAACATTTGATCAGAAACTTTTTACTGTTAGAAGGGGACAATAAAAAACAAACAAACAAAAGAAAAAGAAAAGGGAGAACACTTCTCTAGGATTTGGGAAAGACAAAATTATTCCCAGACTGAAGTTTCTATTTACTTGCTTTATGCCTGGCTGAAAAACGCTCATCTTATTAGTCCCTGGCAGCCAGGCTATAATTGAATAGAGGCCAAGGAAAGGGCATCATTGCACCAATTGAAACTGGGCATTACTCTGAAATACCAGAGGCATCAGATTTTGTTCTTCACATTCAGATCTGGCTCAGAACTATGGTCTAGGTCAGATGCCTGGCATATTCACTTTGTTTTTTAAAATGTTTAAGATGGCCGGGCATGGTGGCTCACACCTGTAATCCCAGCACTTTGGGAGGCCAAGGCGGGCAGATCACTTGAGGTCAAGAGTTCGAGACCAGCCTGGCCAACATGGTGAAACCCCATCTCTACTAAAAATACAAAAATTGCCAGGCATGGTGGTGGGCGCCTGTAATCCCAAGCTACTCAGGAGGCTGAGGCAGGAGAATCACTTGAACCTGGGAGGTGGAGGTTGCAGTGAGCTGAGATCGTGCTACTGCACTCCAGCCTGGGCGATAGAGAGCGAGACTCAGTCTCAAAAAAACAAACAAATGAAAAATGCCTAAGAGTAGTGCCATGCTTCAACACCACATCTGTTGAGCATTTATACTGAGAGGTGGTCCTTACCTTGAGGACAATGGTATTATAAATATTAAATTATATTAGCCATGGTGGAGATCATAGCTACTCAAAAAAGTTCTACTCCTAATGGAGCCTGTAATTTAAAAAAGATAATCACACTGGTAACCGGTAAGGTTTTCAGAAAGAAATTTTGATCATCACCCATTTGTCGAAATTTTATTTCTGAGTGGCAACCCAGTTCTTTGTTCCTTAGCAGGCTGGTAAACATATCAGGTGTTAGGGTAGTAAGTTAAAATAGGAAGTGCATGTACTTTTTTTTTTTTTTTTTTTTGAGACAGAGTCTTGCTCTGTTGCACAGGCTGGAGTGCAGTGGTGAGATCTTGGCTCACTGCAACCTCTGCCTCCCAGGTTCAAGTGATTCTCCTGTCTCAGCCTCTCAAATACCTGGGATTACAGGCACATGCCACTGTGCCCGGCTAATTTTTGTATTTTCAGTAGAGACGGGGTTTCACCATGTTGGCCAGGCTGGTATCGAACTCCTGACCTCAAATGATCCGCCCGCCTCAGCCTCCCAAAGTGCTGGGATTACAGTTGTGAGCCACGGAGGCTGGCTTTTTTTTTTTTTTTTTTTTTAGTAGAGATGGGAGTTTTGCCCTGTTGGCCAGGCTGGTCTCAAACTCCTGGCCTCAAGTGATCCCCCATCTCAGCCTCCCAAAGTGCTGGGATTATAGGCTTGAGCCACCATGCCCTGTTTGTGCATATACATTTTAAGAAACATGAAAGGACACATGAAGATATTAGTGCATTTCTTTATTTACTTATTATACTTTTATTGAATGTATAGTAAATGTTGATATTTTGTTAGATCGCTGGGATTTAGACATCAGGAATCTCTGAAAGATAAGACTAAGAAAATATAATACTGCTTAATCAGAGAAACAATTGTGGTGATCATTGGTTCATTAAAATATTTAGCAGATATTGACTGAGAACCTACTAAGTGTTGGGTCTGGAGAGCTTGTTTGGAGGGCTCATCAGTGATGGAAAGTTTCTGAAACTCCTTGGCTAGAATGTCTTTGTTCATCTGGGACCATCCTATTTGACAGAAAGAATGGAAGGGACACTCGAGGAGTAAAGAGAGAGGACAGGGACATCCCCGTGTCCATTCAGCTCAACCAGGTCAACCCTGGTGAGCACTAGGGTGAAATGTCATAGCCATACTTACCTCCTGTCTTACCATTTGCCAGGCATGGTGCTGGTCCAGCGACGGCCAAGAGGAATAAGACACAGACCCTGCCCTGAAGCAATTTACAGTCTAGTGCAGAAGGGCAGCGTAAGCAACAAATTACAATCAAGAGACATGTACACTATGGGAGAAGAGCGAACTTTGGTGGCATAAAGGGAGGGATAGCTTATTCAGCCTGTTGGGGCTTGTCATAGAGAGCTTCACAGGGCAATATGATCCTTCAGATGGGTCTAGAAGATAGGCAGAGAGATGGGGGACAGTACATTCTAGTTTGAGGAAACAGCATAAGCAATTTTTCTGAAATAAGAAACACTAAGATGGTCACAGAATTTCAAGGAGTTCAGTGTGCTTGGACTGCAGGAAGCTGGTTGGAGGACTGGAACTGTAGAGATAAATATGCACCTGTCAAGAAGGTCCTTGTATAACATGCAAAGAAATATGGATTTTAACTAGGCTTCTAGTTTCTCAAGCTGGAGGGCCTGAGGGTTCCAGAAGCTGCAGAATAAACAAGCACCTTTCTGCAGGATCAATTTTGCTTGAAGACTTGGGGAAATGTAATTTTTACTTCAAAACAAAAATGGATGTATTATAGAATAGAATGCAAAATTGACAAAAATAGGAAGAAAAACAGTGACTTAAAAAGAAACTTCATGCTGAGGGTGGGGCCTTTCGGATCCTGCTCTTCTGAGCCCTCCCAAACCTCCAGTTTCACTCTTGCATTAGGAGTACTTAAATAGAGGAGTTTGAGGAGTTCTGCTAACATTAAAGGAAGGGTAGTTGCTGGACTTCCAAGCTTCTGGATGAGTCTGGCTGAGAAAATAGTTGTCATGACTTTCGGGACAGTCAATTTGAAAGCTCTGATATGAGCTCTCTAGAGAAGAGATTATAAGCTCAGCTATATAAGCAGCAAGGAGGAAGAGATGCAGGTGTGGAGGCTGGCAATTTTGTCTCAAGATCATCTGTGAAAATACCTGAAAGAAATCCTAAGGCAGAGTAAGCACAGGTTTGAGGGGGTGCTTCTATCAAAAAAATTGTCCATCATTCACCTCAGCTAGAAAGCTGCTCTGAATTCTCCCCTGTGAGATTCCTTCCTTATGGCTAAAACATGGTATCCCAAGCACCTGCTTTTTAAATGACAACACTCCCAGGAGATGCAATGTGGTTGGCCATAAACAGTTTAATGAACTATTACACAAGTTTAACAGACTATCAGTTCTGTCCACACTGGGAGTTCTGGACCCTTGTTGGCTGGGAAAGGGGGGTGTCTGGCAGAGTATTGAAAAGGATAAAGCAAAGATGCAAGACTTCTACTACTTTGTAATTGTGTCAAGATTTGATGATGAGAAGAAACTCCAAAGTGATTATAGTGATATTATTGGTGACTAGGACTCAAGAAGGAGGTCAATATAACAGTGATGGCACTTGGCCATCGGCCCATCTCCTGGGAGTGAGAGGAAAGGGCAGGAAATGATGAGAGGGAAAGAAAGATACTAGGAAGGGAGGAGAAAGAAGAATGAAGCTGCATAAAAAGTGTGGAGAGGAAAAATGTGTGATGGGAAGAGAGAGAAGCCGGAAAGGCTGCTGGAGAGTCAGTAGCCTCAGAGGTGGCAGAGCTGGAGTCAAGCAGAAAGAATAGACCATTACTCTACTCATGTCCACCCACTCATGCCCACCCCTCTTCCCCTCTGTCAAAATCTAAATAATCAAGATCTCTAGGCTGTATGCAACTATTGTACAAATTGGAAAAGGATGCTTTCTCTGGGCAGGCACAGCACCTTGAGTAAATGGCTTCACAATCATAAGGTGCAGAAAAACATCTTTTCCCTCAGGCAGAGGTGGAGTGGGGTCTGGATAGTTGTTAGCCCTCACTTCCTGGATGGGCACCTTTGTGCAGTACACAAACTGTGCAATCTTACATGGCAGCTCTATCTATAATCTCATCATAGTAATATGACCATTGTTGCATTTTGAAAAATAATGGCCTAAATTGGTGAGAATCTTGACATCTAAGATTCCAAATGTTGATGTATTTTTACCCTAATACTGCTTGGGGTGGGGGATCCTGGATAAAATATTGGTCCAAATACAGTTTTGTTTGGTTTTATTATGCATGGAAAAAGTAGAAGGGACATCCAGAATCTGGCAAAGGACAGGAAGGTAAAACCAAAAAATACACATGCAAATGACCATGAAGCTGACATGAGGAAATTGGCTAGGACCACAAACGTCAATAAGACCAGAGAGGTTGACTTACTTGACAAAAAGTTAAACAACATCAAACTGCCTGACATTAATACAGCTCTTCTACTTTCTTAGAACTTCCCATGTCTAATGCATCCATGTTTTTCACTTAGCCCCTTCCAGACTGAGAGTTGGAACATGTGGCACCATCTTCATTTGACAATTGGATAAACAGAAGTACAAAGCTTTGGTTGTATAGGAACAAAGAATGTGTATAGGAAAAGTGAGCATCTCCATTTCTGAGCTGCTTCTTTCTAATTCCAACTTCCTTCCAAATCTATGACGTTTTCACTTTATCTACAAAGAACTATTTCCCCATGGACACTAACAGAAAACTCTCCTTGAGATTTGCCCAGGTTGAAAACCCATTCTATTAAAAGATCTGATATTTGGTCTGTGAATTGTCTACTAATGCTTTGTCTGGAAGCTTGGGCTTCAGCTTCACCCTTATAGCTCTTCTTCCTTTACTCAACGACTTCTTCAGTTATTTTCTTTCGAAACTTAATTCATATCTCAAAGCTATCCTATCCCTCAGGAGGAGAAACATGAAGAGATTTCTGTGTTGTGGAAGACGACTAGGATATCCATATTCTTCTATTCAAAACTGGGTAGCATGAGGAATTGCAAATTTTAAACGCTGTTTTCACAAGGAACTGAAGCTGGATCTGAGTTCCCTCAGAACAAAGACAGAAGTTAATTATTGCATCAAACTTCAAAATGAGAGACAGAAAAAGAAAATAACTATTGGATTTTAAAAATGAATTTCCCTTCCGAACTCCAGAAAAGCATATGCTCTGAAAAGTATATACTTTTCTATTGAATGTGACTCCCAGGGCTCACTCATCTCTAGGACTTGAAAGCTGAGGCTTTGGGAAAAAGGAGGGAAGGAGGGTCAGGAGAGGAGTCTCTGAAGAAGCAGCCAGAAGCTGGGCACATTATCGAAAATTTGTAAGAGAGTGTTCAACAAAGACATTCTATTGTTTAAAAACCATTTCCGTTAATGGGATGTTAGCAGAAAGTAGAATAGTAAAGTAAAAGCACTAAAACTGTATCAGTTTTCTCCAAATGCTATTGATCAGAAAGTGTGTTTGAATTATAGTCACTTATTTTGCTGTAAATTGTCTGTGAACAGTAATTGATTCTTAGTTAAGTTGACAGCAAGTAGAATTTCAGTACGTGCAAATTTACTTCTGTATACCTTTTTCCCAGTTGCAACTCATGTTGAGGATAACTGGACAAGGCCAGCATTAGGACTAGGCCTAGGAAATGGAGATGAACTCCGGGGCAGAAGTAATGGTTTGCCCAAGATGGCTTCAGAGGGATAAAGGAAGAGGAAGAAAGAAAACCCGGGCGTAACCTAGAAATGTACCACATCTTTGTGAAGATGGAGAAGTGGGACAGGCTGTGTGTATAAAGGGTTGCTGGCAGGCGCTTGGGTTGAAATTATGGTTGGAGGAACTAAAGTCTTAACCTTGGGTTTTAGGGAGATAATTTACCATCTAAATTAAATTATGGTTACCACCACAGTTATTCTAGTGACTATGTTTCTGTGCGACACACTCTGATATGGAAGACAGTGATAACATCAGAGATGCATTCGCTGTTTACATGGGCAGGGTGGGCTCTGAGAGCTCTGGGGTAGGCTCTGTTATTCCTGAAGCTGAAGACACAAGTGCTGGCCACAGCGTGTGAAACTGAGCGTGGCCAAAGAGAAGCCCTCCCTCACTGCCAGCTATGGATTTCTTCAGTCCGCTGCAGAACTCACTGCTGCCCCTTGTGGACAAGTGGTCCATGGAGCTTCTGGAAGAGTCAGTGGGTGAGGCTGGGAGCGATGCTAGGCCGAATGGGTCCAGCTGACTGGGCACATTTGTCTTCATGCTTATGGGATCTTTCTGTTCATTTGCTCCTGATGTGCCCTTTTAGTGACATCCAACTACCTGTGGGGTGGCAGCTGTAATACTTGTGCACTTGGCAAGAAATATTTGATAAGCTAAACCTAAATTCCAAAATTCCTTCAGATTATTATAAGAATTTCAATAATACATTTGTCAATGCAAGGAAAGGAAAAACATTTAGGTTAAATATGTAAGCTCAAATTTCAAATTGAAATATCTGAAAATATTGTATCTGGGTTTCATTCAAATTTGATACCCTGTATTTTTCTCACAACTGTATTTTTTTTAACCAAGCCCCATATGGACATCCACAAACACCTTCTAGTTCATCCTACTTTTTTCTCTGTGCTAGGACATAAAAGGTTTAAAAACAGTTGGCTAGGGGACTAGATATAGATATACAAAAAAACTCCAGCAAAACAAAAATAAAAAAACTCAGAAAACTTCTTTGTGTTTGGTTGCCATCTGCAATAAAGCAAGGCACACAGTAAAGCATCTAATGAATATTCAGGAAAGGGAGATCCTGAAAAACGTTTAGCAAGCAAAGGATGGAAATGGAATTAATTATATAGTAACCTGTTATTACTAATTTAAGATGTGTGAAATGCCATTAACATTATCTTCATTTGGCTTGCTGTCTTTATTGTTTCACATTAGTGAACATAAAAATATTTATATGCGCTTACATAGTAACCATTTTACTATCTATATGTATCCCATAACATTATGTTGTATGCCTTAAGTATATATAATCACATTTATTTTTAAGGCTGGGTGCACTGGCTCACGCCTGTAATCATAGCACTTTGAAAGGCTGAGGTGGGCAGATCACTTGAGCTCAGGAGTTTGAGATCAGCCTGGGCAACACGGCAAAACCCTGTCTCTTTAAAAAGTACAAAAACATTAGCTGGGCGTGGTGGCAGGCCCCTGTAGTCCAGCTACTTGTGGGGACTAAGGCAGGAGGATTGCTTGACCCCCCAGAGGTTGAGGCTGCAGTGAGCTGAGATTGTGCCACTGCACTCCAGCCTGGGTGACAAAGTGAGACCCTGTCTCAAAAAACAAAAGCATCTACTCTAAGATAAATATTCATTACAAAGAGAAAAATTACAACGTTACAGTGGAGAAAGCTGGCTAACACAGCGACTAAGGTTAACTTCACCAGCAATAATGTTGGATACCAACATCATAAGACCCCCCCCCGGAATCATGCTCTGAGAAGGGCTGAAAATGCATGCACTCAATCTAATTATGGAAAAGCATCAGACAAACGATTTGAGGAAAAATCTACAAAATAACTGGCCGGTACTCTTAAAAAATGTCAAGTTTCATTAAAGACAGGGTAAGATCAGTTGCTATCACAGATGAGAGGGGACTAAGGAGACATGACAAGTAATGCAAAGTGAAATTCTTGGATTGGATCCCAGGACAGAAAAAGAATGTTAGTGGCAAACTGACGAAATTTCCATAAAATCTGTATTATTTATTTATTTTTGTTTACTTATTTTTCAAGACAGGGTCTCATTCTGTCACCCAGGCTACAGTGCGGTGACCTGATCTCGGCTCACTGCAACCTCCACCTCCCGGGTTCAAGCGGTGCTCCCACCTCAGCCTCCCAAGCAGGTGGAATTACAGGTGCATGCCACCAAGCCCAGCTAATTTTTTGTATTTTTAGTACAGACCATATTTCACCATGTGGGCCAGGCTCGTCTCAAACTCCTGACCTCAAGTGATCTGCTCGCCTTGGCCTCCCAAAGTGCTGGGATTATAGGCGTGAGCCACTGTGCCCGGCCTAAAATCTATATTTTAGTTAATAGTATTGTACCAGTATATCTCTTGGTTTTGATAATTGTACTTTGGTTATGCAAGATATTATCATTAGGGAAAATGAGTGAAGCGTATATTTGATCTCTCTATTTTTGCTACTTTTCTGCAAGCCTAAAATTACTTCAAAATAAAAATGTAATAAAAATCCTTTTAATCTGATTTCTGAATTCCTTACTCTGCTGTATTGAGTCCTTTTATGAACATTACTGAACCATTTGTTTGCCAAATCACAAGGCTCTACGCAATTGGCTCCAACCTATCTCTGCAGCCTCATGTACACATATCACTCTGTCTACCTTCTGGCCACACCCAACTTTTGTCTCATAAACACGTGTATGCCTTCATATCTCCTGCACCTCTGGACTGGATGTTCTCATTGCCTACAAAGCTCTCCCTCTTCACTGCATGGGGAAATCTATTAACTGTTCAAGACTCAGTTCATGTGTCTCCTTCTTTGTGATGCCTTCTTGGATTTCTTCTAACAGAATTATTCACTCTCTCCTTTTTTCCCCAATGTTTGTTGAACTTCCTTCTATTATAACACATATTAATTTGTCCACCTATTCATTAAGCAACAAATATTTTGGAGTATCTGCTCTGTGCCAGGCACTGTGGTAGGTATTGGATATACGTTGGTGAATAAAATAATATAGTCCTCCCCTTCATGAGTTTATATAGTCAAGAGGCAAAGACAGAAAATAAACAAGCAAACAAATGAATAGATAAATATATAACTAAAAATTGTGGCAAGGGCTATATAAAAAACCCAATAGCACATAAAAATAGAGAGTAATGGGGTAGGATGGGTAGACATTTTTGGATAAGACAGAGAAGGCTTCTTTTAAAATGACCATTCATTTCATTAAAACATTCTCATTAAAAAATTCTGGTAATACAGAAAAGTACAAAATTCAGTATAAAAAATTACCCATAATGCCATCACTCAGAAACAATAATCATAATCAGGCTTCTTCTTTTTTTTTTTTTTGACAACAGAGTGCTCTGTTGCCCAGGCTGGAGTGCAGTGGTACGATCTCAGCTCATTGCAACCTCAGCCCTCTGGGTTCAAGCATTTCTCCTGCCTCAGCCTCCCAAGTAGTGGGACAATAGGCACATGCCACCACGCCCTGATAATTTTTTGTACTTTTAGTAGAGACAGGGTTTTGCCACCTTGGCTAGGCTGGACTGGAACTCCTGGCCTCATGTGATCCGCCTGCCTCGGCCTCCCAAAGTACTGGGATTGCAGGCGTGAGCCACTGCGCCTGGCCCATAATCAGACATTTTAATGCTTATATACATACAGAAGGATAAATGTACAGATCAAAGTGATCATATTGTTCATGTTGTTTCAAATAAGTATTTGATAGATACTAGGTTTTTAAATTTTTTTTTTTTTTTAATAGGGTCTCACTCTGTCACCCAGGCTAGAGTGTAGTAGTACAATCTCAGCTCACTGCAACCTCAACCTCCCAGGCTCAAGCCGTCCTCCTACTTCAGCCTCCTGAATAGCTGAGACCTACCATGCTTGGCTAATTGCATTTTTTGTAGAGAGGTGTTTTGCCATGTTGTCCAAGCTGATCTTGAGCCCCTGAATTTGAGGCGATCCACCCACCTTGGACTCCTAAAGTGCTGGGATTATAGGTGTGAGCCACCATCCCCGGCTTGATAGATGCTAGTTCTAAGACAATGATTCTCAATCTTGGCTGCCCATGAGAAAGCCCTGAGGTGTACAGGTATAAAGTGCAGAGATGGGGGAATCAGCTCTCCCTGCAGTAGGAGGTTGGGACAGGGACCACTTTATGGAAGTGGAAATGTCTACGCTGGGCTTTGACCGTTCACATGATTTCACAAGGTTGAAAAGGAGAACCAAGGACATTCCAGTGAGATGGAACAGCTCAGAGGCATGGAGTGAGGGAGGAAGTAGTCTAGGACTCTGCACAGGGGTTCAGTGCTGTGGGCTGGGAACTGTGGGAGTCATGGCTAAATCAAGATGTGAGACCCAGGTGACAAAGGGGCTGGTGTGCCACTCTAAGGAAAGTTTTGCTGTCAATCTATGTAAGGAGGTTAGTAAAATAATTATCTCTGTTACTACTATTTTTTTTGAAATGGAGTCTCGCTCTGTTGCCAGGCTGGAGTGCAGTGGCGTGATCTTGGCTCACTGCAACCTCTGCCTCCTGGGTTCAAGTGATTCTCCTGGCTCAGCCTCCCGAGTAGCTGGGACTGCAGGCCCGTGCCACCACGCCCAGCTAATTTTTGTATTTTTAGTGAAGACGGGGTTTCACCATTTTGGCCAGGATGGTCTCGATTTCTTGACCCCCCTGCCTTCGACTCCCAAAGTGCTGGGATTACAGGCGTGAGTCACCGCACCCGGCCCTTTTTTTATTTTTTAAAAATCAGTAAAGAAAGTCAATTAAGCTACTTATATGTTCCTTAATCAGAGTCCCCTGTGACATATTCTTCCTTGACTTTCAGTCTCATTAAACATTTATCTAACATAATTTTCTATGCTTATTAGAGCAGAAAATGAATCTTGTGCAAATCAGCTTTTTGCCCTTTTACTTAGTTTCAAGAAGACTCAGAAGCAGGCATAGGGCCTAATTCAATGCCTTTCCAGATGAAGAAAGTCTAGCTCTTGGTGGATTTCCAGATTTCAACCGCCTCTGAATTCTTGGTGACCATGTGACTCCATTCATTGTTACTCCATGGTGGACTTCCCTAATGCTGACCAGCCTCCCCTGAGTAGAGGACATGTTCTTCCAGCCAGATTGGACTGCTCCCAGGCCCCAGCTGGGTCCCCACCCCAGTGCCTGCTCCATGCCAGGGGCCATGTTCCTGTCTGTTTAGGCCCAACCCATCTAGAGGCCACTTGACATGCTGAGTGAGAAAAAGCCAGCTGGTGTGGCTTGAATGTGTGAGGGCAGGCAGAGGTACATTACATAGGATTTTCACATAGCTTTTATCCCATCTACAAAGAGAAAGGAAATGCCACTGTTCTACTGCCTCACACTTGTGGCAGGCCAGGCCTCACTAACAGCTGTTTCAGCACTGACTGAGTGGTTAAGTTAAATATTAAAAGCCAGCGCCCTTATACAAAGGCTGGGATGTAACAAACGCCCATGAAGAGTTTTGCGTAGGCCTTTCCTGGGCCTTAAAGCATGACCAAATAATGAAGGAATTCTTACTAGGACCCATTTAGGGTTAAACAAGTTTTATTGTGGGTCTGAAGAAACTCCCCAGGCCTCCACAAACAAGTTTATTGGGGATCTGAAGGAACTCCTCAAACCTCTGTGATTTAGCAGGAGGCAAGATAAGGGTAATCACCCCAGCACCTGGACCCATTTAGATTAAGTAAATTTACTGAGGCTCCAGAGAAAGGTCTTCAGGACTCAGACCTTAGTTATAGATTACAATAAGTTAATCACGTATGTCTTTAGATGAATGCATACTTACATGTAGACATATAGCTTAGAAGGTATATCAGCTCTGGGAAACTTTGTAATTTTGAGTTGGTCTGATGATAATTTCCAGGCCTTCTCCCTGTAATCGGTCACAGAAATAAAAACTCTCTTCCTCCCCAGTTCATCTGCATCTTGTTATTGGGCTGCGAAAAATAGCAGCCCGACCCTCAGTTTGGTCCAGGAACACACTGACAGTCTGTTCATAGCCAGATAATGACCATAAATAGTTCTAAAAGTAACTTTGATAAGCAGGATTTAATGATTATAATTATACTTGGCTGCAAATAATGGGGACCAATTACTGGTTAAGAAAATCCCACTTTGGGAGGCCAAGGCAGCTGGATCACTTGAGCCCAGGAGTTCGAGACCAGTCTGGGCAACATGATGAAACCCCATCTCTACAAAAAAAGGTACAAAAGTTATCCAGGAATGGTGGCATGTGCCTGTAGTCCCAGCTACTCAGGAGGCTGAGGAGGGAGGCGGAGGTTGGAGTGAACTGTGATTACACTACTGTGATTACACTCCAGCATGGGCTACAGAGTGAGTGAGACTCTGTCTCAAAAAAAAAAAAAAAAAAAAAGGAAAAGAAAGAAAAAGAAAATCCTTGATGCCATTTCAGCTCTGATAGTGACTCTTTCTGTGGTGGTGGGAACTTGGTGGCCTGATTCATTTTTCCCATATGGATAAATGGAGGCTACATTAGTGATTCCAAATTCAATCGGAGAATAGAAGGCAGGATTTCTTGTTCCTTTAGGGAACAGAGAGGTCTTACCTTTAGATATGTGCTTCCTAATTAAAAAAAAATCATATACTTATCCAAGACTTTAAACATGACAGATGTTGTGCTGAACCTTAGACCCAGTGAATTAGAATCCCAGTGCTTGAGCCCAAGTTTATGTATACTTTAAAACTCCACAGTTGTTTCTAATGTGCATCACTGATTGAGAACTGCTGTGCCAGATGATTATCAAAGCCCTATTTAATTTGGCATAAGATCTCAAATAAGAATGGGGACTGGTGGCATCTATTTTTGCTTTTGAAACTGCTTTCCCTAAGGTCTTAATTTTGAAGCACTGCCTGAAAATCCTGTATTTTGCATTTCTTTTCCCTTTAACTCTCTTGAATAAACATCTTGAACTAAGCATCAGCAAAAAGAAGCAACGATGATTATTGTCTTTAGTCCCTGGAGTTTTGCCTTTACTTAAATTAGAGGAATTTCCTGATAGATTTATTTGTTATGTCACTTCACATTTTTATGTGAGGGAAGCTGGTTATGGGGTTCTTATCAGTGTACAATCTTTTCTATAGGACAAAGGCAATAAAAATCATCACCAGCACAAAAAACAACTCCATGAAGCTACAGCACAATGAAAATGTTGTCTTTAATCTTTCTCTTTGCCAAACAAATTCAAGTGTTTATTGTCTGTGTATTCTTTACTCAAAATAAAGAGAAGGTGTTCTACTTAGTCTTATGCCATAATCATTCCATTAATCAGAAGTATCAAAGAAAGCCTAGATGACAGTTTTAAATCAGAGTGATAGATGTTAATGTGGCTCTGAAAGAATTTAATTTCCTGATCCAGGAATTAAACATACTGAAGTCATTTGCTTGGACTATCTATTCTCTCCATGTGTTGACTTAAATGTAAGTACATTATTGAGTTTCCTACACCTTTTATAGAAGCAATAGATGCCAGTATCCATTAGAGGAGAAACGCAGGGCAGTGTGTCTAAGACGTTTTGGATAAATTCAGGAATGCTCTCACCAAGAGGTTCATGTACATTTCCCTTCTTACAGATAGGTAGAACTGTGTGACCACTTTTGGCCAATGAGCTGTGAGTGAAAGTGACTTGTCACTTCTGGGCTGGTATGAGTTCTCTTTGCCTCCCATAGGCACTGAGGATGTTCAGCTAATAGCGCCTCCATGAACCTGGGTCCCCAAGGGACTACATGCAGCAGGGCTCCCCACCTGCAATGGACACGTAGTGTGAGTGAAAAATTAACCTCTGTTCTATTGAGCCACTGAGATTGCAGTATAGCCTGCCCAGACTTGACCAGGGCAGGCATTAAGAAGTATCAAAAAACATCCCAAGACAGGGGCTCCCTTGCTATGTTTTCTTCAAAATGATCTGTGTTTGGAAGATCAAAGTCAAACTTGTGGGGAGAGGCATGGATGGGAGCAAGTATACAATTTATTTCACAGACTTTTTGGCCAGAGTTCTTTGATGCTTAATTAGAGAATAGCTATTTATTCAGAAATGTTAAAACTATTTTACAAATGTGCTGTATGTCCTTTCTTGATCATTGTTAATATTTCTTGGTAATAGCAGTCTCCGTTATATCCTTAGAAGTGGCTGGAGTGAGGAGGGCATGGTGGCTCGCACCTGTAATCCCAGCACTTTGGGAGGTTGAGGTACCTGGATTGCTTGAGCCTAGGAGTTCGAGACCAGCCTGGGCAACAGGGAGAAACCCTATTTCTACAAAAAATACAAAAATTAGCTGGGCTGGTGGTGTACACCTATAGTTCCAGCTACTGTCAGGGCTGAGGTGGGAGGATTGCTTGAGCCCAGGAGGTTGAGGCTGCAATGACCCATGTTCACACCACTGCACTCAAGCCTGGGTGACAAAGTGAGACCCTGTCTTGAAAAACAAAAATAAACAAAAAAAGAGGTTGTTGGGATGTTTTGTTGACCAGAGCCTGAAGGAAAAATTGACCTGGTGGTGCTTGGTGCCAGTCTGGCTTCTACTTTCACCTTTTGGCAACTCCAACGATACTTTACGACCTCAGGAAGTCCAGAAGGACTGAGTATCTCACACTTATCTTCTTAGAAACTGCTTAAGCTTCCACACCCTCAGGACTACAGTTACAAAGATCTGCTAGGCTGGGGGAGGAGTTCTCTCCAGCTTTGCTCTGGTGAATAATCCTTTCAGAGCCTTTATGCCAGTCCAGGACCTTTAGCAACAGAAATTAATATACACCTTTCAACAATCCCTGCCTTCAATCTGCTTATGATCTACCTGAGGAAAAGGACATAAAAACAAGGGTAGAATAACAAAATGAGTGAATATGTACAGATAAATAAATGAGTGGTCAAAAAAGAAAGCTGTGGAGATTCCTACTCAAAATAGTGACTTCAGGCTGAGGGAAAGGAGAATTTGACCTAGGTGTGAAGTGATAAGTCAACTTTTGACAGATGGAGGTGAGCATACAGACAAGTGGAATGGTATGTACAAGGGCATGGAATGGATATGCAGGAAGATTGGAATAAAGCAAGACCTGGGAGAAGTCAGTGAAAAGCCTGGAAAGATAGGTTGGGAGAAATGCCCCACAAGTGTTCCCAAAGCTGGAAGAGTCTACAGTGTTCCCCAGCATGCTGTTAGCATTGCTGTAAACACACAAGTTAAGGGCAAGATTCTTGCCAAGAGAATTAATGTGCATATTGAGCACATTAAGCACTCTAAGAACTGAAATAGCTTCCTGAAACGCGTGGAGGAAAATGATCAGAAAAAGAAGGAAGCCAAAGAGAAAGGCACCTGGGTTCAACTGAAGTGCCAGCTTGCTCCACCCAGAGAAGCACACTTTGTGAGAACCAATGGGAAGGAGCCTGAGCTGCTGGAAGCTGTCCCCTTTGGATTCATGGCATAATAGGGGTTAAGAAAAATAAAAGACCTCTGGACTGTAAAAATGTTTCTCTTCATTGAGTAGAAGTGTGATGTCTCCTTTCCCAAAGAAATATTTAAAGCAAATTTTCATTCTGTCCTTATTCATTGTGTAATGTCTTTACTATTCAAATTGAATATATTTCTTGCTAAAAGATGTGAGGTGGCAACAAATTACTCAATTGGTTAGAAATTGGCTAGGTATTATTTATGAAATATTTGTACTGGTTTGAAGATAGTCCCTCTAAATCATCATGGAAGAAATAAAATAATTTACACACACAAAAAAAAGATAGGTTGGGAGCAGACTGTGGAAAGCACTGGATATTGGACTAATGATCTAGAACTTTCAGCTTTTAGATATTTTCAGCATCTAGCCACGATTTATTTATTTATTTGTTTATTTATTTATTTATTTATTTAAGACAGAGTCTCGCTCTGTCGCCCAGGCTGGAGTACAGTGGTGTGATCCCCACTCATTGCAACCTCTGCCTCCCTGGTTCAAGCGGTTTTCCTTGCCTCAGCCTCCCGAGTAGCTGGGATTACAGGAGCCCGCCACCATGCCCGGCTAATTTTTTTTTGTGTTTTTAGTAGAGACAGGGTTTTGCCATTTTGGCTGTGCTGGTCTCGACCTCCTGACCTCTGGTGATCCACCCACCTCGGCCTCCCAAAGTGCTGGTATTACAGGCATGAGGCACCACTCCAGCCTCATTATTTTTTTTAAGCATGGAGAGTATCATAATCCTAGTGGCGCTTAAGTAGCAGTAGTCTGTTGCCAGGAGCAAGGTTCGTTGGACGGAAAGGACATGGAGGTGAGGATACTTTCATGGCAGACAGTGGTCATGTGTGGAGAAGGGGGGAGATAAGAAGGTTGTGATTACAAAAGGGGGTGCAAAGTGGGTTTCTGTAATGGCTGCCTCCTGGAAGGCAGTGTCACATGGAACCTCTTAGTCTCAGCACCTGGAGCTCCAGGAAGGAAAAATTTCAAGTCAGATAGAATTCTATATATACCATTTCTTTGGAACCTTCAGCCCTCAAGATTCCAACATCATGATCTGAATTTCAGCACAGTTGCCTTAGTCCTCATGTCACTATTTTGGTGCTGCCTGGGTGAAGCAGTAGAAGCCGGTGATGCAATCACTCTCTTGTTAGGTGTGGTTCTCAGCGTTACAGACATTCTTGCTTGCTTGGGGGTATATGCACGAAAGAGAAATGGACAGATGTGACTTTGAAGGGCCTACTGAATCAAGCCTCACCCTGAAAGGCTTTGTGCTATTGAGGCTAAACCTGAGCTTTGGTGAAAGTTTCCAGGAATCAGTAAATAGGGGAGTTTTACATTTTTCATTGTTTCCATGAAATGGGAACAAAAAAAAAAGAGTTTTCTTTACAACAAATAATGCACAGAAAAATGCAGCCTATAATTTGTATTTGCTGGTTAGAAAGAAGGTCAAGGAAGTAAGATGGCTGAAATTTACATAAGTAATATTTCATAGTTTTAGAATTCTCAAAGCACGTGAAATAGGAAGAAGGAAGTTCTTGCCCAGAATCCTAGAAAATCACCAGTATTCAGTTATAATCACTACTTCTTGAATCATTGAGGAGTCTTTTCTCCATATTTTGATTTGATTTTTGTTTTGTTATCTTCCAAGTTAATATTGTATTTAGATATCAAATAGCCAAAAAGGGAAACTTTTATCTCTGGGGAAAAAACATTTAGAAAAATGTATTCAGTGTATCTAATACTGAAATGCAGGAAAGATTTAATGTAAAAAAACACTATAGACATTGACATGGAAAAGATTTAACGTTAAAAAAGCACTTTATATCAACTGAGTAACATCCTCCTGATGAGAAATACTATATTAAATATAAACCCATTATGTTGTAAAAGAAAAAAAGGGTGGGGTGCAAAGCCGACGATATTGCATCAGTGATAATGGGAATGGTCAACGTGTTAGCTTGTAGAGAGTGCCAGGCACTATCAAAAGCATTCTATACTTTAACTTATTTAATTCCCATAGAAACCTGTGAGGAAGGTATTCTTATTTGTATTTCACAGGTTTAAAAACACAAGGGAGTTTAAGTCACCTGCCCAAGCTCTCACAGGTGGTAAGATTTGGGGTGCTCTTAAGTGACTGCCAGAGGTGCTCTTCAGTGACTGCCAAGGGATGGAACTGGAGAGCGATAGTAGAATCCAGACTTTTTGCTGAGCTTCTCTGCTGGGAGGAGAGGGGATGCTAAGCCTATTTTGGGTGAAACCTCCCCTTGGGAAGCTAGAGCATTGCCTTCCTTTTTCCTCAGATCACAATGCTGCTGGGTGGGACCTAGGGGGTAATGGGTCGGGAGTAAGGTAGGTCATAACCGGCATATCTTCTCTCTGACTGAGTTTGTTTTTAACTAGGACATCCTGAGACTTCAGTGAAATATGCTGATGGGAAAGGAAGAGAATGAGTTTCGGTGCAGAAAGGCAGCTGAGGTAGGTATTGCCATTTCCTAGCTGAGTATCATTGCACAAGTTACTTAACTTTGCTGAGGCTTTTTTTCCATGCCTGCAAAATGGAGATGATAATAATTCCTCCCTCTCCCTCAAAGGGCTGTTGTATTAAAAGGGGTGAAGATGTGAAATACTCAGCATTCACATATAATAAGTACTGCTTTAGTGTTAGCTATTTCGTTATAACTCAATTAAATTTTGTTAAACATGTACTATTAGCCCAAGAAAAGAAAACTGGAAATTGGAAAAATGCTAGTGTAGCTACAAAAGAAAAATGCTAATATAACTGGAGCCAGTTGAGACACATCCGATTTCCCTCCTCTCTTTGTCAAAGAAACTTTCAGCTCATGCTCTGGAGGTAATGAAAAGCTCATTATTATTTTCTCTTCTGGTTTGCAACTCTTCCTTTCAGGGGTTTGACAAAGGGGGAAAGCACAAGTTGCCTAATCTAAAACAGCATAATAATCGGTTGTCTTAGTGGCATTTCACGTTTTATTTTCCCAAGGGGATGGTTGCTGGAGCAGATGGACTGTCTGGGCCCCACAGGCAGCCTCTGGGCCTTCTTACAGGAATGCATTTAACCTATACTCATAATATACACACATTCACACAGTGTACCTATGCAAAATAAAGCTGCCAAGCTGCAAGTGCCTCTGTGCAATTAAAAAAAGGTGATAAAAAAATACAGCAAAACAAATTCTCTATGCAAGAACTTCAATTCGTTATGATTGTAAGCCTCCAATCTCACTCTCAGCTTAAGTCAATAATTGCATATTATTGATCTCTGAAAACCACTTCCGCAATCTCTTTCCGAGCTGGCTGTTTTTTTTTTTTTTCAGTTGCAGAGATGCTTTCTTTCTTTCTAAAAGATGGCCACTTCCTTTCATTCAGTGTTTGTGCTTCTTCACGTATCAATACAAGAGAAAAAAAATATTGTAAATGTTATGTGTCTGAAAATGAGTCCGTGGCTGGCTGCTTTTTATTTACTTGCTGGTTCCAAGGTGCTTTTGTGGACTTTGAGCTCCACCCAGTGGCAATGTGTAGCCAAAAACCTTAAAAAAAAAAAAAAAAAGAGACATGATTTGGAGATGAAAGAAAATATCAGAAGCAATTAATTAGTTTCCTTTTAAATGACCTAGAGAACCTGGTGTTTCAAAAGCAAGAATATGAACAGGTCATTGCAATCCAATCAACATCACTGTAATGCTGACCTTTTCTTCCTTCTTGCTTTTTCTTGCTTTGGTTCTTTTGTGCAGTTTTATTATTATGGTTGCTGCCATGTGTTTTTTTAAAAAAATGAGTTTTTGTGATGGTTTGTAATGCCTATTCCCTGAGGCTGTTAGAAACAGACATGTTAGTAGTTTAAAAGTGGATTGATAGCAATCTAATTCAAGTCCGCATGTTCCCACCACCACTCCATAGGGGTCTCTGAGATGTGTGATGCTGCTCTACTGAGGAGAGAGAGCTGCCTTGTCTGCTTATTGTAACTGGGGCTGGCCACATAATTCTTCTCTGTTTTTAAATTCAGGGTACTGCTAACCTTGTCAGGCAAACTAAATTCGCATGTGTTATAGACGCTCACACACTGTTAGCTCACACCAAACTCACAAACAAGAGGGTCCTTTAGATGCTATCATTGCTTGTCCTGTGCCAAGTGCAATGTCAGGGAAATCCAACACAGGTCCTTCCTTTTACTCACATCAAATTTCATCCTGTTGGTTTTGGTCCTAGTGTTGTTGGGGACCACAGTGTTTTAGTCATTTGGTCTATCGTTATATCATCTAGAAATTTAATAATCATTTAGGCTATGTTTCAAGCGATTGATAAACATTTGAATAAGACAGGGCTAATAAGTGCCATGGCAGCACACCAGCGTTCTCTGTCAACTGTTAATCAACATTTTGGGGGTTGGTTTCAGGAGTTTAGCTGGCTACTGTGAAGTTAATAAAATAATCACAACTATGACCATTTTTTTTTTTTTGAGATGGAGTCAGGCTGGAGTACAGTGGTGTGATCTTGGTTCACTGCAACCTCTGCCTCCCAGGTTCAAGCAATTCTCCCTGCCTCAGCCTCCCGAGTAGCTGGGATTACAGGCGCCTGCCACCACGCCCGGCTAATTTTTGTATTTTTTAGTTTCGCCATGTTGGCCAGACTGGTCTTAAACTCCTGACCTCAGGTGATCTGCCCACCTTGGCCTCCCAAAGTCGTGGGATAACAGGCGTGAGCCACCACGCCTGGACAACTATGACCATTTTTGATCATCTTTTATACCCAGGCTTTGAGCTAGGTCCTTGACATGTAGTATTTCAAGGACTCACATTTCTGCAGAGTATGCATTATTATCCTCATTTTGTAAGATGTCAAATAGAAGACTGGAGAGATTAATTGATACAATCAAGGTCACACCCAGCTTGGAAGTGATGGAGCTAAATTTGAACATACACCTGATTGACTTCAAGGTCTACAGACTTTTCATTAGACCAGATTGCCTCATTGTTCCATCTTCTGGAGGCGTGACTCTCTGAAAGATGACCCATGATCAAAAGAATGAGAGAAATAGAATTACAATTCCACACAAGTTTAGCTGGAAACAATTAGTATTGTTGGAATAATTAATTAATTCATTATTATTGTTATTTTTGAGATGGAGTCTTGCTCTGTTGCCAAGGCTGGAGTGCAGTGGTGTGATCTCGGCTCACTGCAACCTTGGTCTCCCGGATTAAAGTGATTCTCCTGCCTCAGCCTCCCAAGTAGTTGAAATTACAGGTGCTTGCCACCCTGCCCGGCTAATTTTTGTATTTTTGGTAGAGATGAGGTTTCACCATGTTGGCCTGCCTTGGCCTTCCAAAGTGCTGGGATTAATTAATTCATTATTAACGCAAGTCAGGACTGCATATGTATAATTGTTTCCGGGACTATGACAAAGTTACATTGTGATGAGACTGTCAGTCTTCCTTATGTCAGTATGATAAATGGAGTAAGTACCAACTACTCATTAGTGAGTTAAATGTATTCAAATCCATTAGAAATATATGACTACCATTTAGGATGAAGACTAGTAACAACAGTGCATCCTTTCTCTTCTCCTGACCCTAGTAGGGATGCTTTTCATGTTCTGCTCTTAGGTGTGATGCTTGCTGTAGGTTTCTATTTAGTAGCCATCATTTGAATGAAGATTTCTTCTATATCTAGCTTGCTAAAGGTATTTTAAAAAAATCAAATGCTTTTTATGTGTCTAATTAAACAGTCATATTAAACATTTTATTGTAAAAGACATCATATACAGAAAAGGTCTATAAGACACTATGTATGGTCCAAAGAACAATATTAAATGAACACCTTGTATGAAACCACTTGTTAAAGATATTTCTGCTGAATGTTATCAGTTTCTTAGAAGCCTTCTGTGATTCCCTTTTCTTCTTCCCAGAAGTAACGATTATTCTTATATTTGTGTTAATGGTTTGCTTTTCTTTATGGTTTCACCACCTGTGTACATATCATTAAGGATGTATAATTTAATTTTGCCTATATTTGAACTTAATCAATGGGACTATACAGTATTCTCCTGTACTTACTTTTTCTGGCCCCAACATTGTTTGTTTTAGATTCATCCACATGTATGCACCATACTATAGTTCATTCATTGCCCGATAGCACTCCATTGTATGCTGATGCCACTATGCATTTATTTACCATCCTGTTGATGGACATCTGAGTTTGTTTCCAGTTTGGGGTTATTACAAACATTGCACTATAAATATTCCTGTACATACCTCTCAGAACACACATGCCCTTTCTTCTCTGTGGTGGCCATGGAGGTGCTGCACTCAGATGTTCTTCAGGGGAATTAGCTTTGAGAAGCACGGCTGATTGACAGCCTCCCACTGCCACACCTTTGGATCTAAGGTGGGTCTAAAACTGCTTCCCTGTCCCATCCCAACCAGTGGCCAAGATAGTAAGACAAAAACCTTATCAAGCTCCAGGAATTGGTGCCACTGTTAAATAAATAATGCAGGGATGGTGGTCTCTATCTTTTCTCCATTTAATTTGTTGGTGGGCTTTTAAGTGGGTGCAAGCTGAAAATAGCAGCTGCATTGGGGATGGCCTTGAAAAATCTCGGTGGGCTGAAGGCTTATTTATTTTGCATCTTAGGTCTTCCATCTGAGGTAGGTTTCCTTCAGAATACAGTATACTCTTTTGAATTTTTAAAAATAAGGATCTGTCAGTAGTTGTTTCTCTGTTTTTGTTTGTCTAAAATGTCTTATTTTGCTCTTATTTCTGAAAGTCTTTTCCTCCTTCTGCCCTCCATCTCCCTTTTCACTCTATGATATGGTTTGGCTGTGTTCCCACCCAAAGTCTCATCTTGAATTGTAATCCTCATAATCCCCACATGCCAAGGGAGAGATCAGGTCGAGGTAATTGAATCATGGGACAGTTTCCCCCGTGCTGTTATCATGATAGTAAGTGAGTCATGAGATCTGATGGTTTTATAAGTGTTTGGTTGTTCTTCTCGCGTTCATTCTCCTTCCTGCCACCTTGTGAAGATGATGCCTTGCTTCCCCTTTGCCTTCCATCATGCTTGTAAGTTTCCTGAGGCCTCCCCAGCCATGCGAAACTGTGAGTCAATTAAACCTCTTTCCTTTATAAATTACCCAGTCTCAGGCAGTTCTTTACAGTAGTACGAAAACGGACTAATATACTCCCCTCCATCCCTCCCTCCCTCCCTCCCTTCCTTCCTTCCTTCTTTCCTTCTGTCCTTCCTTTCAATGGGATATAGAATTAGAGGTCAGTAGTCATTTCCCTCCACACATTTAAAGATATCATTTCACTGGGTTTTGTCTTCCATTGTTGCAAAGTTGAGGTCAGCTTTCCATCTTGCTGCTTTCCTTAGGCTGCTTTTAAGCTTTGTAGTTTCAGTATGGTATGTCTGGTGTAGGGTTTTTTTTTTTTAAATTCTTGGGATTTGTTGGTTTCTTAAGTCTAAAGGTTGTTGCATTCCATCAGTTCTGAAAATTTCTCACGTCAGGTGTAGTGGCTCATACCTGTAATCCTACCACTTTGAGAGGCCGAGATGGGAGGATCACTTGAATCCAGGACTTTGAGACCAGCCTGGGTAACATAGTGAGATCCTGTCTCTATAAAAAATTTAAAAAAATTAGCCAGTATGGTGATGCATGCCTATAGTTCTGCTATGCAGGAAAGCTGCAGTGGGAGGATGGCTTGAGCCTGGGAGGTTGAGGCTGCAGTGAGCCAGGATTGCACCACTGCACTCCAGCCTGGGCAACAGAGCAAGACCCTGTCTCAAAAAAAAAAAAAAAAAAAAAAAGCCTGCAGAAAACCCAAAATAAACTTCTCAGTCATTAGCTCTTAAAATATTTTTCTCCACTGTGTGTTTCCTCTTGAAAACATGGAGGAATAAATCAGCATAAATAACAAAAGTGTTCAGATTTGAGAGAATTAACTATCTAAGAAATATTTATTTTGATGGAAATATGTATAAATTATAAAATATATCTTCCTTTTTTTTTTGAGACAGTCTTACTCTGTTGCCCCAGGCTGGAGTGCAGTGGCACAATCAATGGCTCACTGCAACCTTGAACTCCTCAGCTCAAGTGATCCTCTTGCCTCAGTCCCAGCTACCCACTAACCTTTTTGAGAAATGAGGTTGAATCATGTTGCCCAGGCTGATCTCAAACTCCTGGGCTCAAGTGATCCGCCGACCTTAGCCTCCCAAAGTGCTGGGATTACAGGTGTGAGCCACCGTGCTGGGCCTCCCTATTTTTCATACAAGGATATGATCAACTATGTAATCATTTATTGCAGTGGGAAGCAGGAGCTGGCTCCTACAGATTGAGGAGAGCCGTTGTTAAATACTCAGGAATTTTGCCAGCTGGTCATTACTATTAGTAGCTTGAAATTGGCCATTGGCGTTGGTATTCACACCTGAAATCAGCAAATGCTACAAATTAGAAGTTTTGCTTTGTTTTGGGGTTTACTGGAAAGCCTGTTTACCAGGATCCCAATAGTTCTCATGCTTTAATCTGTTCTCCACATGAAGTAATCTTTCTATAATGCAAATCGGTTGGGTTGTTTTTCTTCCACAACCCCCTTTATCCTTGGGTGTGGTCTAATGTTCTAGCATGAAGCTGTAGCATCAGGAGTGGCTTTTGGCAGGAATTTAACTCTTCTAGAATCTCATTAGTTTTTCTCCATAATTTGATCCTGAAAATTGATATTTTCTCAATGATATACAAAGCCCCTCTTCTCCCCATGCAACCACATTGCCAGATGGTCTTTCCTGCCTCCAGTCTCTCCCTCCTCCTTCTCACCTTCCACAGATACAATACATAGCAGCTTCCTCTAATTCTGAACTTCCATGTCACACTAGCTAACTTATGCCATCACAAGGCCAGCTACATAATCTGCAGGACTCAGTACAAAATAAAAATGCAGGGCCCCCTTTCCAAACAGCAGGGAAAAAATATAAAGCCTTTTCCTTTCTTAAGTAGTCTCTCTCTCCAGTGGTTTTTATTTGCTACTTAATGTTATTCTAAGTACAGAAAAATTAAAAATTTAATTCTTTTCATGAATTTTACCATTCATCTTCATATTGTTTTTAAATATAAGAACACTTATCTCCTATTTTGAATCACTGAAATTACCCAATTTGTATTTTGTAGCTCGTACATGTATGTATATGTCTTTGGTTCTCTTCAACGGAGTGGAGACGCTTCATGCAACTACCTCAACTGCCTCAACTGGTTTTTTTCTCCAGATATTTATTTTTTTTTCGAGACAGAGTCTCGCTCTGACACCCAGGCTGGAGTGCACAGGTCAGATCTCGGCTCACTGCATTCTCTGCCTCCTGGGTTCAAGCAATTCTCCTGCCTCAGCCTCCCAAGTAGCTGGGACTACAAGTGCGTGCCACCATGCCTGGCTAATTTTTATAGTTTTAGTAGAGACGGGGTTTCGTCATGTTGGCCAGGCTGGTCCTGAACTCCTGACCTCAGGTGATCTGCCCACCTCGGCCTCCCAAAGTGCTGGGATTACAGATGTGAGCCACTGCGCCCGGCCTTTTTCCAGTTTTTAACACATGCATGTTCTACCAACACTCCTACCTTTTATTTAGTGATGAGTTAAGGAAGAATTGAAATAAGAAAGAATTATGAGTTACTCCTCCTCTGCCCTGCTTTTTCTCTAAGTCATTGTTTTCAGAAAGGATATCATAGATATTCTTGATCAGTGATGTTTCTTAGAACACCATTGCCTTCTTTCTTCACTGAAAGCAACTTTTGGTTGGAATGGAAAACGTAGCCTCTTGCGCTATTGAGAGGTGACAGCCTGCTGGCAGCCCTCGCAGCCCTCGCTGGCTCTCGGTGCCTCCTTGGCCTCAGCGCCCACTCTGGCTGTGCTTGAGCAGCCCTCCAGCCTGCCGCTGCACTGTGGGAGCCCCTCTTGGGGCTGGCCGAGGCCGGAGCCGGCTCCCTCTGCTTGCAGGGAGGTGTGGAGGGAGAGGCAAGGGCAGCAACCGGGGCTGTGCACAGTGCTCGTGGTCCAGCGCCAGTTCTGGGTGGGCATGGGATTGGTGCGCCCTGCACTCCGAGCGGCTGGCCACTGTGGCCAGCCCTGGGCAGTGAGGGGCTTAGCACCCAGACCAGCAGCTGTGGAGGGTGTGCCCGAATTCTCACGGGGCCTCAGCTGCCTCCTCATGGGGCAGGGCTCGGGACCTGCAGCTCCCCCATGCTCGAGCCTCCCCCGCCTCCCCTCCCCCCACCTACCCTCCTCCCCTCCTCCCCGCCTCCCCTCCTCCCCGCCTCCCCCGCCTCCCCCCAGCCTGCCTCCTCCCTGCCTCCCCCACCTCCCCCGCCTCCCCTCCCCCTCCCCCCGCCTCCCCCTCCCCCACCTCCCCCACCTCCCTCTCACCCTGCCTCCCCCTCCCCCTGACTGCCCCTCCCCCTGCCTCCCCACCTCCCCCCTGCCTCCTCCAGCCTCCCCCCTCCCCCCACCTCCCTGGCCTCCCCCGCCTCCTCCCTCCCCACCTGCTAATTCCTAATTATCCCTCAGGCTCTGGTGTGGATCCTAGTTTCTCTAAAAGCCTCTCCTGAGCTTCCTCTAGTGGGTTTTATTCCCTTTCTCTGTGGCACTATAGCATTCTCTGTCTTACTCTATCATTCTATAGTAACCAAGTGTATTGTATTAAAATAATCTGTAACCTCATTTAGATTAAGCCTTTCTTATGAACAGGAACTTTGTCTTATCCACAGTTGTATCTCAACAACCAGCCTATTTCCTTACACATCCTAGATATTGAATAATTATTCATAAATATATAAATGAGTGAATAAATAGAGAAATTCTTTTATAATAATTTATTCAGATTTAATGATGTCACAGAAGCTATTGAGTGTGTACTAGGCTTTCAATTTTTGATGGTCTGTTTCATCCCATGATATCAAACTGCTGTCTGCTATTCCTTGTGAAGTTTTGTGTTGGCCTTTCTCCTGCTTCTAACCTGTTGAGGTCTTGGAATGTAGGTTTTACACTAGGTAGAGTTTCGCATAAAAAAGCTAAGTGGACACAGCAAAGAACCTGAGTTTCTTCTCCGAGCAAGTACATAAACTGTAGTAGACTGTGACAGATGATCTATATTGGCTTTTCAGTCAGTTTTGTTTATTTCCTCATTCTTAGCTATGTTTGGAGTATGTGATGTATTATTCTGTTCTGAATTGCCATTTTCAGTTCTAGTATCCATTCTTAGTCCCTTCTGGAAACTTGTAATTATGGCCTGAACCCATCAGCCCCTCTGCTGTGTGATAGGAAGGAGGATGCTGGCATGCCTGGAAACATTCTTGTCGGGACCCTTTTGGGACCAATCCCATGGAAAACATAGCCTCCTTACCTCCTGGTAAGAGACGCAGGAACTCCTCCTGTTCCTGTGTCTTTTCCTTCCCTTCTCTTTTAAGCAGCAGGGGTTCTTGTGAGTTTTGAATCTAATTTAAGACAATACAAGCCTCATGTAGGACTACAGGCCCTGTGCCCCATGTCAGCCATTCCTTTCTGTTTTCCACTTTCCCTGCTTTCCCTTACCAATTAGCAGCCATGATTCCTGTCCAGTAGCTCAGTCCCTAAACCAGGCTTCCTGTGCTGTACTCAGGCATGATTAGCTACCTGAACAACCATCCTTGTTAGTGAAGATTAACCAAGTCTTGACCTTCTGGGTCAAAAAATACATCCTGGGTCTGTGTTAAAAAATGCATATTCCCATTGGCTTTTGGAGACATGGTTCTAGTATTTTCCAAATCCTACCTCTTTGTTAGAGAAGTTTAGGGTGTTATTTCTGAACACTTAACTTGGAACCTGATTCTCCAGCCCTCCTATGATACTTTGAACTACCCCCGATCCTTTTATATAAAAATTCCTGGCTGGGGCCAGGCGTGCTGGCTCACGCCTATAATCCCAGCATTTTGGGAGGCCGAGGCAGGTGGATCATGAGGTCAGGAGATCGAGACCATCTTGGCTAACATGGTGAAACCCCGTCTCTACTAAAAATACAAAAAATTAGCCGGGCGCAGTGGCGGGTGCCTGTAGTCCCAGCTACTCAGGAGGCTGAGGCAGGAGAATGGCATGAACCCGGGATGCAGAGCTTGCAGTGAGCTGAGATAGCGCCACTGCAGTCCTGCCTGGGCGAAAGAGCAAGACTCCGTCTCTTAAAAAAAAAAAAATTCCTGGCTGGGCATGGTGGCTCATGCCTGTAATCCCAGCACTTTGGGAGGTCAAGGCAGGTGGATCACCTGAGGTCAGGAGTTTGAGACCAGACTGGCCAACATGGTGAAACCCTGTCTCTACTAAAAATACAAAAATTAGCTGGGTGTACTCGCTGGTGCCTGTAATCCCAGCTCCTGGGGAGGATGAGGCAGGAGAATCGCTTGAACCCGGAAAGTGGAGGTTGCAGTGAGCCGCTGCACTCCAGCCTGTTCAACAAGAGCAAGAATCTATCTAAAAAAAAAAAAAAAAGAAAAAAACAATTCCTTTCATTTCTTAATCAGTCAGCAATAGAAGTTTGTAAGTGATAACCTAGACTACAGAGAAAGATCTTTGGCTTCCTGTTTTTTTCTCTATTTCTCTTTGCTTTTTAAGGGCTTTACCTCAATTCTTCCTTCTCCTTGCACACAGAGCATCATAAGAAACTACATCCATTGAGAGAACTTCTCAATGGGACCTGTTGCCTCTGCTGACTTCATTTCCTGTTTCTGAGCATGCTCATTCCTTCCCTGTATCAGCACTTGTCTCAGACCAAATTTCTCAACATGAATTCACCTTTAGATTCCCAGTGCATATCCAGGGTGCCACTCATCTTTCCTTCTTGCTCCACATGCAAGATTCATTCTCATCTTCTGAATTTTTGTGTCTGAATTCTAGAGTTGTCATAAACAAAGCTAGTTTCTCTACTGGTGTTTTCTTGTTCAATAGAGAATATTTAACATATATTTACTGATACATACTGTGTACCAGACACTTTTCTAGGGACTGGGATTTCAGCAATGAACAAAGCATACAAATTTCCTGCCCTATTATACCTTATATTTTAGTTAGCATGTATGTTAGTTATATATTTAGTATATATATAATACATACTAATTATATTATATATTTATTATATGTAATTTATTGCATATATATGATATATAATTTATTTATATAATTTGTATATGCATTTTGTGAAAAACAAGTAAATATATACTGTGGCAGATGGAGATGAGGGCTATGGAGAAAAACAAGCAGGAGAGAGGGTCACGGGAGGGTATAGGAATAGATTTGTGTTTTACACAGGGACTGGCAATATGATGTTTGAGAAAAGACATGAAGAAAATGAACACCTGTATGGAGAAAAATATTCCATGTAGAGAGAACAGTAAAAACAAAAACTCTGAGACAGGAATGTGTGCTTGATGAGATGACAACTTTGCCCCATAAATCATTTAGAATGTTTCTCATTCTGCAAATGTTTCTAAAACATTATGTGGCAGAATTTCTAACCAAAAAGTATAATCATCCGTTCCTATGGTTTGAATGTGTCTCCCCAAAAGCAAGTATTGGAAACTTAATTTCCTATGCAGCAGTGTTGGGAGGTGAAGCCTAATGGGAGGTGATTAGGCCATGAGGGCTCTGGAGGGGATAATGCCATTTTTGTGGAAGTGGGTTTATTATTATAGGAGTGGGATCCTTATAAAAAGATGAGTTTGGCCCCGTTTTCTCTTTCTCAGTCTTGTCCTTTTTTGCCCTTCTGCAATGGGTGACACAGCAAGAACACCCTTGCCAGATGCAGCTCCTTGACCTTGGACTTCCCAGACTCCAGAACCATAAGCCAATACATTTCTGTTTATTATAAATTACCCAGTCTGTGGTATTATGTTGCAGCGGCACAAAACAGACTAAGACATTTCTCTTTTACATTCAGTCTAACTAGAGGCAGAACTAATTGTTTTGCCTGGGTTTTAGAAGCTGTTGTGCTTGGGCTTAGGGAGTTTAAATGCCTCTTTGTTTTCTATGTCACCCTGTCATCATGATACTTGAAGATACATTTCTGGGATTCCAAATTTAGGTAGTCTTAATTTCTTCCCCTAGTGGAGTAGGGTTTGGGCAATTATATATTTAATGAGCCAGGTTTGGAAACCCCTGGGATATTGGGAGGAGGACAGGGTTAGGATTTGAGTATTGATTCTCTTCTAGATGGCCATGATGACTGAGGAAGACAGTATGGTACTCTGCCAAAAGTAAAGGTGCCAAACATGGACTGCTGGGTTCTGCCATTTATAGCCACCTAGTATGTTCCTGATGCAATCCCAAGGAGGTTGGGCAAATACAAACACACTGCATGTAAACCACATATAAGTTAAATTTTGCTGAGATAAACCCAAAAGACACATTTTAAGTAAAGGACACTAGTGAACATCAGTCTGGGGCCTATTCAGTGAGTCTTTTTAGTCAGAGTTAGTAGAAAACATATTGAACATGGCAAGGGCACAGACACCAGCCCGTCAGGGGTGTCTCCCAGAGGTCTCTTACTGTGCCAGATGTTAATTCTTCAGTTATTGAATTTTGAGGAGATGAGACAGGGACCAGGGGAAGGGGCTAGGGCAGTGTTCATTCATGAAACAAGGTTATTCTCTCTTTTTAAAATTACTTCAATAAGAAAATCATCGTATTCATCATACCAAGGATTTCACAGGCTGTCTCTGTGAGAGGGCAGGATGCAACATCTTGAGAACCACACTACTAGACTTGTTTTGAGGATTAAATGTGTAATAATGTATGTAAAGTACTTAGAACAGTCCCTGGAGCAAAGTGAGTATAAAATAAATGTTACCTACTATTGTTATTATTGTTATTAAGTCATTAATTTCTTTGAGCCTTAGTTTTCTCATCCATGAACTGGAGATAAAAATAGTGAAGATATTATAAGAATTAAATGCAATGATGTAGGTGAATACACTTTTATAGTTGTAAAAGGTAATGCAAATGTTAATTGTATTAATCATTATGCAGGGAGGAGAATGGGCAGAGGGGAAGAGACAAAGTCTTCAAGGACTTTAAGGGGAACCACTGTTTCTGGACAGTATGAGTCTAACTTGCACCGAGTGGGCCAGGGGCAGCAGTAGGGGGTTCAGGGAGGGTTGGAAATGCCCTACCTCGCTTTTGAATCTACTGAGTGCCATGTGCTAAAATTCAAAAGGATGATTCCTATACCCTGAGTACAAGGGTATGGGAATTAAATTTTATTTGAAAACTACTCAGAGCCAGGTACTGGGTTAATAATAAGTGTAATAATTATTATGGTAACAACAGTATTGAAAAATAGGCTGGGTGCAGTGGGTCATGCCTGTAATCCTAGCACTTTGGGATGCCAAGGTGGGAGGATTGCTTGAGACCAGGAGTTCAAGACCAGTGAGGGCAACATAGTGAGACTGCCTCTACAAAAAAAAAAAATTAGCTGGGTGTGATGGTGAGTGCCTATAGTCCCAGCTACTTGGGAGGCTGAGCTGGGAGAATCACTTGAATCTAGGGGGTCAAGGCTGCAGTGAGCTATAATTGTGCCACTACACTTCAGCCTGGGTGACAGAGTGAGACCCTGTCTCAGAAAAAGAAGAAAAAAGTAAAAGAAAAAAAGGAAAATAGAGAAAAACTTACATTGAGTGCGTAGTTTGTGGCAGGTGTTTCATCTATGCCATGCATTATAATTCTCTGAAAATCCCTGTGGAGGAAATAGAAAACCCCATTTTGCTGAAGAGGAAACTAAAACTAAAATAGTTCCTTTTCATTTTGTTTTTGTGTTTAGTGCTTCTTACCCTCAGCATACAGCCAGACTGACAAACCCAACCCCAGAAGTTCACGAAACTTTTGTTCTGTCGTTTCTTTTGGTTTAAAAAATTTAGAAGTTGTAAACAAGCTGATTCACCCCAGCTTGCAGTTGGTAGTAACTGCAGTTTTCTCTGCACAATGTTTTCACTTCACCTAAACAGAAGAATTGATGCAAGTTTTTTTAAACTGGTAAAACCTTGATAAATGTATTGGCATTAATAGGAATCATAAATTAAAAAACTCAAAAGATAGTTATATATTGAAACATA
Organism: Homo sapiens; assembly: GCF_000001405.40. Lineage (NCBI taxonomy): Eukaryota > Metazoa > Chordata > Mammalia > Primates > Hominidae > Homo > Homo sapiens. Next base: position 87,054,019 of record NC_000006.12, on the reverse strand, counting down.
TGCAATATTCTGATATCTCAGAGTAAAAATTCCAACTGTCTTCAAAGACCTTCAAAGAGATCAAGGCTAGAAGCATTGGAAATGTGAATTACATTAAGACTGACTGCTAGCTATGAAAATAGCTCGAAATACCAAGAAAATAGAACCAGCATGAACAATCATGTCCAGCAAGGCCAGAAGGCTGCCTGCTACTTTTCTTGGGCTTACTGAAAATTTTAGATAAGATAGATCTGGACATTTCTTTCCAATGGTGGGTCTTTGATAAGCAGCCTGGTATCATGAACAGATAGCATTCATTAACTTTCCATTCAGTCCATTTTAGGAAAACTCACTTTGTTCATTTTTATTTATAAAATAGTTCTTTTAGGATAATACATTGTGCATGAAGTAGATGAATTAGATTTCACACAATATATGCATGCTGTCTTTTCTATCTGAAAATGACCTGAGTGTCTCAGCATCAATTGCTCTGTGTTAGCATCTCAGTTGTGATGACAGCTTTTCCGTGATTGAACAGCATTCTCATTTTTTGCCTATGATCACCATTCATATGCTTGTGAAAGATGCCTGGCTGGCAATGGGGCACATGGTGATGAAAAAAAGATCAGAGACATAAAAATGTACAGCTGGAAAACATTCTAGACATTATCCAGTGTTTCTCAGACTGGAGTAAAATATGGACCTCTTTTAAGGGCAAATTTCTAGGGCCCTTTGTATTGGCCTACATTATTTATAATATTTAAATATTTACATCTATAAAACCAAGGTTAAGACTAATGTGACATAATATTTTGCTAAAAATTTATAATACTGAATTTAATACAAAAATATAAAAAATGTTTGGGCTTTATATGTCATTTGAAGATCTGATTCTTTTGATCTTGAACATAGTGGACCATCATCTGAGTCCTTATTATTATTGATATTATCTTGCCTTTAAAAATAAATTTCTATTAAACCAGTAATCTATTAAATGGACTTATAAAGGTATATTTCAATATTGAAGATTTAAAACGTTTCTCTGTCTCCTAGACTGGGATGCAGTGGCATGATTTTGGTTCGTTGCAACCTCTGCCTCCTGGGCTCAAGCCATCCTCCCACCTCAGCCTCCCTAGTAGCTGAGACTGCAGGTGCATGCTACCATGCCTGGCTAATTTTTGTGTAGTTTTGGTAGAGACGGGGGTCTCACCATTTTGCCCAGGCTGGTCTCGAACTTTTGGGCTCAAGCAATCCACCCTCCTCAGCCTCCCAAAGTGCTGAGATTACAAGCATGAGCCACCACGCCCAGCTTAAAAAGTTTCTTTCAACCAAAAAACAGGTAGGTAATAGGTGTCACATTTATCCTAATGATCTATCTCAGCTGGTGTATATAAGCAGTATGTTGGCTAGCAGAGTGAATATGATTCTGACTGTCACAATGTTGTTGTTTTTGTCAGCATGTTCAATGTGCTTTATGATACTTAAATTCTACCACTTTTATTCTCTATTCAAACACTCTGAACCCTTCATTTAACAGTGCCAATGAGATACCACGTAACTTACCTTGTTATAAATTTAATCATTTATTTATTACATTTATATTTTCCCTTTTCTCATTAGCCTGTGAGATGGAGCACATTATTCTGTTTTACTATATTGGATTGAGATAATTAAGTGAGTAACACATGTAGAACAATGCATGGCACCTAGTAAGCATTCAATAAATATTACTCTTATAATCCTTTGCAGAGTCTGAAACCTAAATTTATCTAAAAGATGCAAAGAAGCAGCAATTACAACCTTAGTATAAGAGATAGATACAGCATTCCTATTGCCAAACTTTGTTTTGGAATGAGCTGGATCACACATTTAATGGATACGTATGTTTAGGAAATGGAAATTCTTACAGAGATGTTTGTTAAAGTTGCCATCATATTTATTTTGATGTAATGATGTCCCCTCTCCCCATTTTTCTTAGATTCTTTGGCGACAGTGTGGGGAACTTGGAGCTTCTGGTAAATAGTAACCCCAATTCTAATTCAATTCTAATTCTGGGATAGGGTCCAGTCAGGTCTGTTTTTGTTTTTATCCTTTAAATGAGCCAGGATCGAGAACTACTGAGTTACATAATATATGCATTCAGCCCATTATTAGCAAAAATGACATAATCTTTCTCCACCTCAGTTTTTTCATATATAACGTGAAGATTGGGTGAAGTACTTTTTAATTAATTTTTTTAGTTCAGGTACCACAAGTTTGGCTAGCAACTGTTCTTCTTCTATGCATAAATATTTCAACAAACTTAACTCTCAAAAATTATACAAGTAATTCAGTTTCATTGTAGAAAAATTAGGAATAAAGATAAGTAGAAAAGGAAAAATAAAAGCCATTTATTGACATTTTATAATCTTTCCATACTTTCAGAGTGGGTATATTGTATGTGTGTGTTAAACTTATTATTATTATTATGAGTGTTTGAGAGATTTTTTAACAATATCTGTCTGTTAGCTGAAAAACTGAGCAGAATAACATATCAGTAGTTTCTCTTGTTGTTTTTAATGTCAAATAATCATTCTCCGAAGATTCAAGGACATTCAATGCCTGTATAACAGTAGTGTATGTTTTTAATTATTTGGTTTACAACAAATAATTCACAGCTTTATAAACGATAAACTTCTTTTTACCCTCATTTATCACACTCCGTTTCCTTAAGGATTAAAGTAGCACCTTGATTGTATTCTGCACCTTCGTCATTAGAATTTTCTCTCATCACATTCCATTTAGTATGTGAGTTTCTAGCTAATGTGTTGCATGTTAGATTTTATTTTGCAATTTTTTATTTTGGAGATAGAGTCTTACTCTGTCACCCAGGCTGCAGTGCAGAGGTATGATCATAGCTCACTAACCTCAAACTCCTGGGCTTAAAAGATCCTTCTGCCTCAGCCTCCTGAGTAGTTAGGACTAAGGCATGCACCACAATGCCCAGCTAATTTTTTAATTTTTTTTTTTTAGAGATGGGGTCTCACTATGTTGTCCAGGCTGATCTCAAACTCCTGGCCTCAAGTAATCCTGCTTGTCTTGGCCTCCTAAAGTGCTGGGATTGCAGGTGTGAGCCACTGCACCTGGCCCTGATGTGCTTTTTAAACTATGTGGGTGAGAATGTTTACCTGAATTTTGGGGTTAAATCTGTAATCAAGGAACTATGCATGAGGCAAGATGGGTGCAACTTTGAGAAATTTAGTTTAATTCCACTTTTTGAAAAAAAGTATTGTATACCTTTCATAATGGCTTGAGGCATGAAACTTTTCAAGGGAATTCTCAATTGTATCTTTATTCACAAAACCCACTAGAGTGAAACTATAAACATTATCTCTTACAATATTTTCTTCTGCTTCTTCTTCTTTTGTGTTTGATCTCTATCTAGTATGCAATCTGACATGAAGACACTTTCTACCAAACCTGGAATATTTGGATTGTATTATTTCCCTGCTACTGCTCTTTTTTATATGTAGATCAATTTTGAAAACTGGGTTTTAAGGGGCTGATAGTTCTTTGATAAAAATATTATATATTAGTGCTGTCTGTCATACATGACACATTTTTTCTGTCTCACTGCCTAACTAGAAACTTGCAAACATTATTTAAGTTGGAGATAGGGCTCTGGACTAGAATTTGTGTTTTTTCACTTTACCATTTGGCACAGTTATCAGTTGAGAGCTTGGAGGTACCATTGTAAAATATAATCGTTTATTAGTTTAAGGAAGACCATGGGCCTTCCTGGCTCCTGACATTCTGTTAGCATGTTAATTCAATGAGGTTGCTAGAAAGTGTTAGAATATGAAATTCGTAACTACTTATACAATAACCACCTAGTGAGAAAAAATGAGTGTTTAATATGAGATGAAGATGTATTTTATTACTTGCTAATTGACCATTTAAAAATGGATACAAAGAACTAAAATTATAGTTAATAATGCAAGTGTAAATATAGGTCCAACTTTAATAAACATATCACTTCCTTTTTCAGATGCTGCCCACAAGTCTGGGCTATTTATAGTTTTAAACCTTCTCTTGTACCATTCACATCACCAAAGCTTCTCTTGTTGAGGTCACCAGTGACCTTTATGTTGCTAATCCCCTGGTCAATTCTAAGTTTTCATCATCTTATCAGCAGCATTTGGCAGAGCTGATCATTCCTTCATCCTGGAAACACTTTCTTCATTTGGCTTCCGGAACCCCACTAGCCACTTTTTCTCCATTTTGTTTTGCTGGCTGCTCTTGTCTTCCCAATCTTTTAAGTTTGGTATTTCCCAGGGTAAAAGCTTTGTTATTTTTACTCACTTCATTGACAATTTTACACAGTTATATACTTCCAAATATCAATCATATTCTAACAACACCTAAATTTATCTCTCTAGTCTGGACCTCCCTTCTCAATACCAATCAGGTATATAACCAAACATCATCTCAGCATAGCTATTTGTAAGTCTAGTAGAAGTCTAAAATCAAACTGCCCCCTCTCTGATCTTGTTCCTCTCATGGTTTTCTCTGTTTCAGTTAATGGAATTCAGTCCTTCTAGTTGTTCAGGCAAAAATCCTTAGGGTTATTCTTGACCTCTCTTTTCTTCACACACCCCACATCTAATCCCTCACTAAACCTCATTGGCTCTACTGTCCTGAAAAATATGTTCTTTATTGACCACTTTTCACCACTAGTCCCCTGGACCATATGACTATTATCTCTTGTCTAGATTATTGCAATAGCTTCCTAACTCATCTTGTCTCCCTACACTGTACTCTTAACACAGCAATCAGACTGATCATTCTGTTAAACATTAAGTCAGATCATGGTTCTCTTTCTAAGAACTGTCCAATGGCTTCCCCATTTCCCTTAGAGTGAAATTGAAGTCCTTATATTATGCAGCAAGGCCCTATTTGATCTGATTCCCATAATCCCTAAAACCTCATCTCTCACTATTATAACTGTTCTGACATCCCCTGATGCTGCCTCTCTATTCCATGTCAATCACACTTCACACTTCTTGTTTCTGAATAGGTTGGGCATGATCCCACCTCAGTGCCTTCTTACTTGTTGTTCCTCTGCCTGGATTGCTCTTCGTTAGCCATCTATATGGCTCTCTCCATTATCTCTTTCAAGTCTTTTCTCTAACACTACATTCTCCTTCAGGCCTTCCAAGATTACGCTATTTAACATTTTAATGCACACTTCAGTCAATGCTCAAGGCTGTAGCATTCCATCCTATTTCTATGCTTTGGTTTTCTCTATTCCATTTATCACTTTCTAACATAGTATGTAATTTACTCATTCATTTTGTCTAGCATCTGTCTCCCCATACTAGAACATAAACTCTATAAAAGCAGAGATTTTTCCCTCATGCCTCAAACTATGCAGAGCATGTGGTAGACTCTCAGTAAATGTTTGGTAAGTGACTAAATGATTTTGGTAAGAGTGCTGATAATGCTCTAAAAATTAAAAAATACTTTAATATTTTAGAAAAATTCATTTTTTTCAAGATATCACCTAGAGTTGGGGATGTCATAGAGGAGGGGGAGAGAAAGGAAAAACCTTTAAAAATATTTTAAAGGTTTTATTTTATTGGCAGAGTTTAGAGATTAGGGAGTTAAGATGCAAACAAATGGAAATTAATATTTTCTTATTGAATTGAAGGACAATATTATAAAATGTCAATTCTCACAAAACTAATAAATGAATTTAATGCAATTCTGTATTAGTCCATTTTCACATTGTTATAAAGAACTTCCCTGAGACTGAGTAATTCATAAAGGAAAGAGATTTAATTGACTCACAGTTCTGCATGGCTAGGGAAGTCTCAGGAAACTTGCAATCATGGCAGAAAGGGAAGCAGGCACCTTCTTCACATGGCAACAGGAGACAGAAAGTGCAAAGGAGAAACTTCCAAACACTTATAAAATCACCAGATCTCATGAAAACTCACTATCATGAGAACAGCACTGGGGAAACTGCCCCAATGGTCCAATCGCCTCCCTCCATGAGCAGATAAAATTTAGGTTTCTTTAGTTAATGAAGTTATAAGCTATCATTATTAAAAATAATGGCATATTAAAAATTATCCTGGAAAATGTTCTGTAGATAGGATTTTTGTCTCATTAGAATAAGCTTGCTAGAATGCCAAGTCCAGGATTGGCAAAAATTCCGCCTCACTGCAATTTCTTTCAAGTCCCTGTTTTCTTTTTGTGTTTCACATTACATTAGCTTTAAAACCAGGAGAATTAAGTTATTCTGAGCAGTTACCAGGTGAGTACAGATGGTTTTGTATGGTTGCGGGGTGGAAAGCTCTGTGGCACAAATTTATAGTCATAAGCTGGGTATGCCAAAAGAGTGGAGGATATCCACTTCTTTATGTGAGCTCTGTTTCACCAACCTGTTTTACTTTTCTCCCACTCACTCATCTACAGAAAAGCAGCTGAGTGAACTCTTATGTATCATGATCAATAATCTCTCACTTGCTCCTAGAAACAACATTGTTTCTCCTGTTTGTTCCTGGGTACTTTTCATACGCAAAAAACCCAGATGACATATGGTTCCATTGATTAAGAGTGTCAAAGCTTAGTGACTAAGGGCACATAGGAAAATATCTCTAGGGGTCAGATCTAATATATTGCATGGGTTTATTTGTGGTGCCAGTCAACTGTTCCTGGTTTCTCTTTATGGACCAAATAAACTAGCTAAATATGAGTTACAGCTACAAAGTTAAGGGTCTTCTAGTCTGGTCTGTTCATCTTGAGAATGTGAATTCTGTTGTTATTTTATGAAACTTCTAGGTTTCACAAAATCCAAATAAATAGCTGGCTTATAGTCAGAAATCTACCACATCTAACTGGCCTGTCTACCAGACATGTGCATTTTAAAGGTGGCTTTTCTTACTTGAGATCATTTTGGCATTACACGAGCAGTTTCTGAAGCTCTGGTGGAAATGCATTCTTCAGAGAATATGTCCAGTATCTCACCTAAGACTCCACTGAGACTACCAAAGCTCTTTTATCTTTCAGTTTCCTCCAAGCATAAAAATGGCAAAAGATTTAATTCTGAAAATGCTACAAGGATTTTCTCTAGCATTATTTGTTTGAGATTAATCTCTACTTAGGTTGTCAGTTTTTGCATCCTCATTGGCTGATGAGAAAAATATTTCAGTATAAGTTTTGATATAAAGGTGGATTTCACCTGTTTGAAATTTTTGGAGAAATGTATTTAAATGTCCTTAAAGCTAAGCAAAACTGACCAAATATGCAAAATTCAAAAATATTATATTATTTGATAGGAGACAAAAAATAAATGCCATAATAATTATACTGTAATAGCATTAAAATATACTTTTCATCAATGACAAAAATGAATGATTTATTTTGCATGTGTTACACTTAGTTTTATGGTTCCTACTTGGTTCAATTTTGGAATCTCTTATGCAAGAACTAGAGATATTTGGGGACTTGAGTTCATGATTAACCCAAATAACTGTCCAACATATTTCTGTTGAAATGGATTGAGATTTGAATACTCTTTTTGTGGCTATAGCATGCTGCATGTTTGGTGTATTTAAAAAACCAAAGAACACTTCTTGTTCTGTTTGGAAATCTTTCATTGTTTCACTAGATTTCAAGTAACTTTGGAAGTAAGAGATGCTGGACTTTGGTGCCTGTATTGCAGCCATTTGAAATACATTATAGAGCTAGGACAGCAGAAAACTAGTAAAACCCAGCTGGTGAAAACTAATTACATTCCCATGCTCCCATTTTATGAGACAATCTCTTAAATTTTGGAATTGATTTCCGGATTGCCATCCCATAATCCTCCTGTACTTAGAAAAAATGTAAGCTCTATAAATGACCAATTTAAACAAGGGATCCTAGGAATTAAAGTCAAGGGACTAGGGGAATGATAGGCTATTATTTGGATTCACAAGGCATGTCATTTAGCTTTTATTGAATAAGAAACTACCCCAAAATGTAGTAGTTTTAAACAACAGCCATTTATTTAGCTCACAATTCTTTACATCAGCAGTTTGGACTGAGATGCATGCTGGGTGATTCTTCTGGTTTCAGCTGGCACCTGTCAGCTCTGCTTCCAGGGGTTGGTTAGCTCTAAGTTTGGGTGGCAGGGCTGACCACATGTCTTTCATATCCCTTAGGCTAGTTGGGCTTCTTCACATAGTAGTGCTGGTGGCAGGGGTCCTAATAATAGCAAGAAGGGACGTCCCAATACAAAAGTACTTCTGAAGTCTCTGCCTGCATCGTGTTTGCTAGCATCCCATTGGTTAAAATATGTCACATGACCAAGCTGAGCGTCAAGTTTGAAGGCATTGAAACTTACATGACGAGGAGGATGATGGATACAGGGAGAGGAAGCATGTGTGACTATTTTTTCAGCTTACTGCATATGGTTTATTAAGACCAACTATTGAATTAAGTGGGGGAATCCTGGTCGTATAATTGTGACACAACCCAAAAGATGTTACTGTTTTTTTAAATATTAGAGATGTTTCAAAGATAAGCTTAGTGGCAAATAACAGGTATGTTCAGCTAAAATTAACACTTTATATAAAGACTTTTGGTAATGCTATTTGGATTATCAGGCTTTATGGATTTCAGAGGGAATCGTGAGCCCTCTGTGCTTAAAGTTTCTATGATCCACATTAGAAAGTCCTGAGAACTTTTGCTTAGGTTCTAACATGGTTACCTTAGAAAATTCAGTGAAATCCACCCAATCCTTATGTGTCTATAGTTTTAGTAAAATTATGTATTTTTAGCTAATATGTGTTAATATGTATGTAATTATATCATGGATGACTTTTAGTGGAATGGTAGTTGTAAAGGCAAGTTGGAATAAGATACTGCATTCTAAAAGGTTGAGAACTGTTGATTCACAGAGCTGAAAGAGGCAATTTTTCATCACTGCCTAATATTAGAGTGACGACAGAAGTGATAGGATTCATCTGTAAAAAAAATACGATCACCCCACCTCCCTATCCTACTCAGTCTGTTCTACTAAAGCTTAGCTTTGGTATTTCAGAAAATTCAAGATACAATAATATTTAGTTTTAAGAAAATCACCTAATTTTTTTCTTGTCTAAATAATTAGCACCACTGTATATAAACTAAAGTCAAATTGTTTTCGTACTTAATATTTCAAGTAAGAACTTTCTGTTCTATGTTAAAACTTTCCTAAGGACTCTCTCTTAGACTACTGCTTAGTGATTCTTTCTATGTCTTTTAAGGAAATTACTAATTTTCAGACTCCTTTTATGTTTCTTTCTTGTGATAGATGCAGGATATTTTCTTGACCCCTTTGTGGGACTCAGGACAGGGATGCCTCATTTACTCAGCCCGCCCCTGTCTATTCCTAGTGGGAGGGAGTGTATGAGCAAATGAGTGCAGGAACTGTAGTGAGAGAGTGTGGGAACCAGCCAACCACTTTTGGGTGGCAGCAGGTGCAAATTCTGTGCAGGCCCCATGGCAGCATCCAGGTGGGGGTGCCTGTGATCCCTGAAGCCCCAGAGGGCATGTTACAGTGCTGTTTCAGCTCTGCCATTCATGGACGGCTTAAGTGTTAACAGCTCAGTGGGCCCTTTGCCTTGTCACATGGGGCAGTTGTCCTCCACTAGTTAGGGTAAAGGGCCAGTGTGACAACCTCTTTTTTTTTTTTGGGTATCCACAGTCATGGCTCCTGGGTTCTTGTCTACTGTCCAGGAAAAATGAGGTCACACAAACGAGTTGAAGGATGGTAAATGTGGAGGATTTTATTGAATGCTGAAAGTGGCTCTCAATGGGAAAGGGAGCTGGAAAGGGGATGGGATGGGCAGGTAACCTTCCTCTCAAGTCTGGCTGTCTCCAGCCAGACTCTTCTCCAAAGTCAAGCTGTCAAGCCATTCCTCTGAATTCAAATCACTTCTTTCCAATGTCCAGCTGCTTCACCCCTTCTCTCTGACTGAGTCTGGGGTCTTTATAGGCACAGGATAGGGGGCAGGGTGGGCCATGAGTACTTTAGGAAAAGGCAACATTTGAGCAAGAAAACAGGCATAGAAGTTCTCACTTTGGGCTGTGGGTTTTAGGCTTTTTGGTTTGAAGGTGGGGTTTTGTCAGGGACCCGCCCCTGTCTGCCTAAAATTTCTCTGCCTCCTGTTGCTATCACTGTCACGTACTTGTTGTTCCAGAATTGACTGTGATGTCAAGCTTAAATAATTTTCCAGATGCAGACCAGCTTCAGTAATTAATATTATTTGAGAAGGTTGATTTGAAGGAGAACATTATTTGGGAAGGTTGATTTGAATTGAATTCAAGTCACTTTGATGAGAAAAATATTTATTGAATTATGATTCCACAAAGTGTTGAGCTCTTTTGATGTTTAAAAGTCAATAGTGCCTCCGTTGTAGGAATTTATACTTCATTTTAAGACCTGCTTATGAAAAAGTACTAGAAATAAGAGCTGTACTGCATAGCTAGAGTGGGTAGCATGGATCTTGAAATGAAAGAAGAGTTAATTCCACAAAAATGGCTAAGAAATAGGAGTTCTTCAAGGAGGTGGGACATGAGGTAAAACAGGAAGTGGGAACTCTTGAAATGGAAGTCACTAAGGAATTGAGACTCTAAATCATAGATAGAGTCTTAAGCACTGAAGAGTCTCTAATTTCTAGATTCTGCTTTGTTAAAATTCATTCCAAAGTGCAAGGTCCTGAGGTACCAAGAACAAAAGGAGCAATCCAGGAATCAAACTTTCATGGGATGCCCAGAGCCAAAAGAAGAGTGACCAGGGGGTCATACTTGGGAGTAATGGGAACTGGTGCCAAGTTCTTAAATAAAGATGGATTAAGGAGGGCCTTGGCTATCCAAATGAAGATCTTGTTTTTTTTTTTTTTAAACATTTATTTATTTATTTTTATCGACATGTAACAATTGTATATATTTATGGGGTACATGGTGACATTTTGATACAATGTATAATGATGAAATCAAGATAATTAGCATATCCATTTCAAATATTTATCAGTCTTTGTGTTAGAAACATTCAATATCCTCTCTTCTAGATCTTTGAACATACACAACACATTATTGTTAAGTTATCCTACAGTGCTACAGAAAACTAAAACTTATTGGTCCTATCTAGCTGTCATTTTGTATCCTTTAACAAATCTTTTCTTATCCCTCCCTACCCCCTACCCTTCCCAACCTCTAGTAGCCTCTGTTCTACTCTTTATTTCTATAAAGAGACTTGGGTTTGACTTGTGCACATCAGGGACCCAGAAATGTTAAAAAAGAATTTTATTTTTTTTAAGATTTGAGGACTGAACACTATTTTTTTAGTTATTTGGTTAAGGATGAATGGTGCCTGAAGGAAGAGCCTGCCAACCTGCTCTTATGGCCAGATCAGAATAATTGGAAACCAGCTCATTACTTATATACCAGTGGTGGCAGCTGATTTATTTTTCTTTCTTTCTCTTTCTCTCTTTCTCTTTCTCTCTTTCTTTCTTTCTTCCTTTCTTTCTTTCTTTCTTTCTTTCTTTCTTTCTTTCTTTCTTTCTTTCTTTCTTTCTTTCTTTCTTTCTTTTCTTTCTTTCTTTTTGAGACAGAGCCTCGCTCTTGTTGCCCAGGCTGTAGTGCAATCGTGCAATCTCAGCTCACTGCAATCCCCGCCTCCTGGATTCAAGCGATTCTCCTGCCTCAGCCTCCTGAGTAGCTGGGATTACAGGTGCCTGCCACCATGCTCAGCTAATTTTTTTTGTTTGTATTTTTAGTAGAGATGAGGTTTCACCATGTTGGCCAGGTTGGTCTTGAACTCCTGACCTCAGGTAATCCGACCACCTCAGCCTCCAAAAGTGCTGGGATTGTAATCTCTGTAGACATGAGCCACCATACCTAGCCAAAATTTATTTCCTTTTGGTACTCGAATTCTGCTGCACTCATGGTAATGCTTGCAATTATTCCTTTTGGGTATATGGTACAGATGGAAGTTTCAGATTCTCCATTTGGGATAACACCAATATCAAATTAATGGCATCTGAATAAATGATACATTATTTTGAAGAAAGGTGTCTTAGAACTCAGAGAACTTAGAACAACTTAGAGCTAGAGAAGAGAATTAAACTCTGTATTTTTATTCTGGCCATTCTTACACTAATCAGGGTTCTGTTATTCTATAAAAGTTAGTATTATGGACTAAAATATGATCCTTTCAAATCATATGTCAAAGCCCTAAGCCCCAGTGTGACTGCATTTAGGAGATGGGGATTTTAGGGAGGTAATTAAGGTTAAATGAGGTTATAAGCATGAGGCTCTAATCCAATAGGAGGGATGTCCTTATAAGAAGGGAAGGAGACACCAGAAAGCTCTCTCCCCCTCCACCCAAACACAAAGGAAAGGTTGTGTGAGGACTTGGGAGGTGGCTGTCTACAAGCCAGAAAGAGAGACCTCACCAGAAACAGAATTTGCCACTACCTTGATCTTGAACTTCTAGCCTCCAGAACTATGAGAAAATACATTTCTGTAGTTTAATCCAGGCTGTCTGTGGTATTTTGCAATGGCAACCTGAGCAGACTCATTCAGACAGTAACCTTCAAAATGAAAGACATTAGGTCATTTGGGCTGTGGCTTAGAGCTGCCTAATTTGCCTTGTTGTCTATAACTAAGTTCTACGCATGGGAAGTATCTAGGGTTTTCTAATAAAATTGCTAAGAAAATTACTTCAGAATTTCTGATAAAATTTTAATAATAACTTTAAAATTTATAATAAAATTACTTTTAAAAGTGTGAGGTCTCAGATCTTGACTTTTGTCATCATGGTGTACATGCCGTTCTCAAATTTTAGGGAGGAGTTTCTTGGCAATACTTTGGCAAGGACTATTATAAATTGTGGTCATGGATAAGAAATTTGGGAGACAATTTCCTAAAGAAATCTACACTGTTGTGCTGATAAGAGTAGTCGTGTTTCTTAATACAGAGCATCGATTCATGAACTCTAATTGAAGTTTGTGAGTGACCAAACTCTTCACGATAGCAGGGACTGACACATGTATTTGTGTAGTGAGTAGATTGTCATTTGGTTGCTGAGCATTATTTAACGCTATGCCAACAAGCTCTTTCTCCTGAATAATCCTGTGTTGCAATGTGTATTTATATAATAGTTGGTTTCCAGGCAGAATCAATATGATTTTGACTTAGGTTTTCTAGGACTCTTTTAGGATTTGCATTCTCTTAAATATCAATTAATGTGACTCTAAAATTAAAGCTGGTCTGCCAGACACTATTTTTTGCCACAGGATGTGCAATAATAACAATAATATTCCCTTCTTTCCTCCCTCCCTTTCTTCCAAAATGCTACCTGTTTCTAACCTTGTTGTCATAGAAAAAAATCTATCAATTCAAACAGAACCCATTAAGATTTTTTTTTCAGGTTAAAAATATCTTTTAGTAGGATAGTTGCTGTAGTTTCAACATCAGTTCTGGTCATGGCTAGCAGAAGCAATTCTGCATTGGCTGGTAGGCTTGTAATCTGGAATTGGTGCTCTCTGTGTGGCTCATGCCCAAATGCTGTTTCTTTCTCTCATGGAGCATTTTATGGACTTTTAAGGAACACCAGCTTCGTTTCCCTTACCAAAGCCTTCTGATGTCCCTTCTAGTCTACACTATGCAGTCTCTTTCTGCTGGGCTCACTGTATCTCTTCAGGGAGTCCTCTGGGGTAAGGGCCCTTAGAGGTCACTCAAGCCTGACTACCTGCTGCCATACTCACCCCAGGCCTTTGGAAACATTCTTCATCTGATGGGTGCAAGTGCAGCTTTCTCACATCCCAGGTTTATCTCCTGGCTCCTAAAGCCATTCCAGGCAGCTTCTCATTTTAAGAATTTCTATATAAAAGGTAGGCCCCAGTACCTACTCTCCAATTCTGTAGGATGCAGGTTAAACTTTCTCTCATGGCTGTGCCAGGACAGAGTAACATAAGCCTGCAGCTCAGTACATGTTCAGTTGGGGGTTCCCTTCCTCATTGTTCACCTTTTATCCTCCTAGAAAACACCACCTTTCTCTCTGAGCATTCCTCTGAAAGCCCTGTCCTTGAGCTAGTGGTAGGGGAAGGTGCTTATCTAATCAGAGTGGAGTTTGGGGTTGGAATGCCTGACACTCTTGACAATTCTGTTTGAAGGACTCACCAATAACTTTAAGTCATTTCTTAGCTTTCTCTCCTATATCCTGGTGATGTGCTAAGGGTTATAATCTTGATTTTTTGGATGCTTTTTAGCCAGTCCTGTATTTGGTGCCTCTCTAAAATGTAGAGATACCCGTTATCTGTTAGTTTCTGCTGAAACTAGATTAGATTAGGAAATGTCCCATTTAATATTCAATTGTAAGAAGAATAATTGGAATTGTGAAGAGGAAAGAAATCTCATAGAATTAATAAAAATGAAATGTAAATGTGTCATCAATAACTTACAATCAAGGTAGAAAAGCATAACAGGAAAATATGTTTTATAATTGTGAGCATTGCAATGTGAGATACTGCAGACAGTTAAGCACAGATAATAAACACACCGAATGCTATCTTAGGCATCTATTTTATTATATGAGCTCTTTATAGGGTATGCATATGAAACGACAATCTACAGGAAACATATTAGAGAGTATAACTTAGCAAAGTGTTCACATCAATAGTACAGCATTTGGGGGGCAGTTCCAAGATGGCCAAATAGGAACAGCTCCAGTCTACAGCTCCCAGCATGAGCGATGCAGAAGACAGATGATTTCTGCATTTCCAACTGAGGTACCCGGTTCATCTCACTAGGGCTTATTGGACAGTGGGGGCAGGACAGTGGGTGCAGCCCATTGAGCATGACCCGAAGCAGGGCGAGGCATCGCCTCACCCGGGAAGCGCAAGGGGTCAGAGAATTCCCTTTCCTAGCCAAGGGAAGCAGTGACAGATGGCACCTGGAAAATTGGGTCACTCCCACCCTAATACTGCCCTTTTCCAATGGTCTTAGCAAATGGCACACCAGGAGATTTTGTCCCATGCATGACTCGGGGGGTCCCACACCCATGGAGCCTCGCTCATTGCTAGCCCAGCAGTCTGAGATCGAACTGCAAGGCAGTGAGGCTGGGGGAGGGGTGCCCGCCATTGCTGAGGCTTCAGTAGGTAAACAAAGCAACCGGGAAGCTTGAACTGGGTGGAGCCCACTGCAGCTCAAGGAGGCCTGCATACCTTTGAAGACTCCACCTCTGGGGCAGGGCATAGCTGAACAAAAGGTAGCAGAAACCTCTGCAGACTTAAATGTCCCTGTCTGACAGCTTTGAAGAGAGTAGTGGTTCTCCCAGCAGGGTGTTTGAGATCTGAGAATGGACAGACTGCCTCCTCAAGTGGGTTCCTGACCCCTGAGTACCTTAACTGAGAGGCACCTCCCAGTAGGGGCAGACTGACACCTCACATGGCTAGGTACCCCTCTGAGATGAAGCTTCCAGAGGAACGATCAGGCAGCAACATTTGCTATTCAGCAATATTCGCTGTTCTGCAGCCTCTGCTGCTGATATCCAGGCAAACAGGATCTAGAGTGGACCTCCAGCAAACTCCAACAGACCTGCAGCTGAGAGTCCTGACTTTTAGAAGGAAAACTAACAAACAGAAAGGACATCCACACCAAAACCCCATCTGTACGTCACAATCATCAAAGACCAAAGGTAGATAAAACCACAAAGATGGGGAAAAAACAGAGCAGAAAAGCTGAAAATTCTAAAAATCGAGCACCTATCCCTCTCCAAAGGAACACAGCTCCTCACCAGCAATGGAACAAAGCTGGATGGAGAATGACTTTGATGAGTTGAGAGAAGAAGGCTTCAGATGATCAAACTACTCCGAGCTAAAGGAGGAAGTTCGAACCCAATGCAAAGAAGCTAACAACATTGAAAAAAGATTAGACGAATGGCTAACTAGAATAACCAGTGTAGAGAAGTCCTTAAATGACCTGATGGAGCTGAAAACCATGGCACGAGAACTACGTGACAAATGCACAAGCTTCAGTAGCCGATTCGACCAACTGGAAGAAAGGGTATCAGTGATTGAAGATCAAATGAATGAAATGAAGCGAGAAGAGAAGTTTAGAGAAAAAAGAGTAAAAAGAAACAAACAAAGCCTCCAAGAAATATGGAACTATGTGAAAAGACCAAATCTACGTCTGATTGGTGTAACTGAAAGTGACGGGGAGAATGGAACCAAGTTGGAAAACACTCTGCAGGATATTACCCGGGAGAACTTTCCCAACCTAGCAAGGCAGGCCAATATTCAAATTCAGGAAATACAGAGAACGCCACAACGATACTCCTCAAGAAGAGCAACTCCAAGACATATAATTGTCAGATTCACTAAAGTTGAAATGAAGAAAAAATGTTAAGGGCAGCCAGAGAGAAAGATTGGGTTACCCACAAAGGGAAGCCCATCAGACGAACACCTGATCTCTCGGCAGAAACTCTACAAGCCAGAAGAGAGTGGGGGCCAATATTTAACATTCTTAAAGAAAAGAATTTTCAACCCAGTATTTCATATCCAGCCAAACTAAGCTTCATAAGTGAAGTAGAAATAAAATCCTTTACAGACAAACAAATGCTGAGAGATTTGTCACCACCAGGCCTGCTCTACAAGAGCTCCTGAAGGAAGCACTAAACATGGAAAGGAACAACTAGTACCAGCCACTGCAAAAACATGCCAAATTGTAAAGACCATCAAGGCTAGGAAGAAACTGCATCAACTAACGGGCAAAATAATCAGCTAACATCATAACGACAGGATCAAATTCACACATAACAATATTAACTTTAAATGTAAATGGGCTAAATGCTCCAATTAAAAGACACAGACTGGCAAATTGGATAAAGAGTCAAGACCCATCAGTGTGCTGTATTCAGGAGACCCATCTCACGTGCAGACATACACATAGGCTCAAAATAAAGGGATGGAGGAAGATCTACCAAGCAAATGGAAAACAAAAAAAGGCAGGGGTTGCAATCCTAGTCTCTGATAAAACAGACTTTAAAACAACAAAGATCAAAAGAGACAAAGAAAGCCATTACATAAAATGGTAAAGGGATCAATTCAACAAGAAGAGCTAACTATCTTAAACATATATGCACCCAATACAGGAGCACCCAGATTCATAAAGCAAGTCGTTAGAGATCTACAAGGAGACTTAGACTCCCACACAATAATAATGGGAGACTTTAACACCCCACTGTCAACATTAGACAGATCAATAAGACAGAAAGTTAACAAGGATATCCAGGAATTGAACTCAGCTCTGCACCAAGTGGACCTAATAGACATCTACAGAACTCTCCATCCCAAATCAACAGAATATACATTCTTCTCAGCACCACATCACACTTATTCCAAAATTGACCACATAGTTGGAAGTAAAGCACTCCTCAGCAAATGTAAAAGAACAGAAATTATAACAAACTGTCTCTCAGACCACAGTGCATTCAAACTAGAACTCAGGGTTAAGAAACTCACTCAAAGCCACTCAACTATATGGAAACTGAATGACCTGCTCCTGAATGACTACTGGGTACATAACGAAATGAAGGCAGAAATAAAGATGTTCTTTGAAACCAACAAGAACAAAGACACAACATACCAGAATCTCTGGGACACATTTAAAGCAGTGTGTAGAGGGAAATTTATAGCACTAAATGCCCACAAGAGAAAGCAGGAAAGATTGAAAATTGACACCCTAACATCACAATTAAAAGAACTAGAGAAGCAAGAGCAAATACATTCAAAAGCTACCAGAAGGCAAGAAATAACTAAGATCATAGCAGAACTGAAGGAGACAGAGACACAAGAAACCCTTCAAAAAATCAATTAATCCAGAAGCTGGTTTTTTGAAAAGATCAGCAAAATTGATAGATTGCTACCAAGACTAATAAAGAAAAGAGAGAAGAATCAAATAGATGCAATAAAAAATGATAAAGGGGTTATCACCACCAATCCCACAGAAATACAAACTACCATCAGAGAATACTATAAACACCACTACACAAATAAACTAGAATATCTGGAAGAAATGGATAAATTCCTCAACACATACACCCTCCCAAGACTAAACCAGTAAGAAGTTGAATCCCTGAATAGACCAATAACAGGCTCTGAAATTGAGGCAATAATTAATAGCCTACCAACCAAAAAAAGTCCAGGAGCAGATGGATTCACAGCCGAATTCTGCCAGAGGTACAAGGAGGAGCTGGTACCATTCCTTCTGAAACTATTCCAATCAATAGAAAAAGAAGGATTCCTCCCTAACTCGTTTTATGAGGCCAGCATCATCCTGATACCAAAGTCTGGCAGAGACACAACAAAAAAAGAGAATTTTAGACCAATATTGCTGATGAACATCAATGCAAAAATCCTTAATAAGATACTGCCAAACCGAATCCAGCAGCACATCAAAAAGCTTATCCACCATGATCAAGTGGGCTTCATCCCTGGGATGCAAGGCTGGTTCAATATACACAAATCAATAAACATAATCCAGCATATAAACAGAACCAATGACAAAAGCCACATGATTATCTCAATAGATGCAGAAAAGGCCTTTGACAAAATTCAACATCCTTTCATGCTAAAAACCCTCAATAAATAATAAGAGCTATTTATGACAAACCCACAGCCAATATCATACTGAATGGGCAAAAACTGGAAGCATTTCCTTTGAAAACTGGCACAAGACAGGGATGCCCTCTCTCACCACTCCTATTCAACATAGTGTTGGAAGTTCTGGCCAGGACGATCAGGCAGGAGAAAGAAATAAAGGGAATTCAATTAGGAAAAGAGGAAGTCAAATTGTCCCTGTTTGCAGATGACATGATTGTATATTTAGAAAATGCCATCGTCTCAGCCCAAAATCTCCTTAAGCTGATAAGCAACTTCAGCAAAGTCTCAGGATACAAAATCAACGTGCCAAAATCACAAGCATTCTTATACACCAATAACAGACAAACAGAGAGCCAAATTATGAGTGAACTCCCATTTGCAATTGCTTCAAAGAGAATAAAATACCTAGGAATCCAACTTACAAGGGACGTGAAGGATCTCTTCAAGGAGAACTACAAACCACTGCTCAATGAAATAAAAGAGGATACAAACAAATGGAAGAACATTCCATGCTCATGGATAGGAAGAATCAATATCATGATAATGGCCATACTGTCCAAGGTAATTTATAGATTCAATGCCATCCCCATCAAGCTACCAATGACTTTCTTCACAGAATTGGAAAAAACTACTCTAAAGTTCATATGGAACCAAAAAAGAGCCAGCATTGCCAAGACAATCCTAAGCCAAAAGAACAAAGTTGGAGGCATCATGCTACCCGACTTCAAACTATGCTACAAAGCTACAGTAACCAAAACAGCATTGTACTGGTACCAAAACAATGGAACAGAACAGAGCCCTGAGAAATAATACCACACATCTATAACCATCTGATCTTTGACAAACCTGACAAAAACAAGAAATGGAGAAAGGATTCCCTATTTAATAAATGGTGCTGGGAAAACTGGCTAGCCATAGGTAGAAAGCTGAAACTGGATCCCTTCCTTACACTTTATACAAAATTTAGTTCAAGATGGTTTAAAGACTTAAATGTTAGACCTAAAACCATAAAAACCCTAGAAGAAAACATAGGCAATACCTTTCAGGACATAGGCATGGGCAAGGACTTCATGTCTAAAACACCAAAAGCAATGGCAACAGAAGCCAAAATTTCCTCCCTTTCTGCATTGTACTTTTTGGAAGAAAGTCATTTTTCACAGCCCACACTAAAGAAGTGGGAGCCTTCTTGAAGGGGCAGTATCTACATTATTTGGAGAACTTGATGGGAGATTTTTCTATTTACCCCATTTATTTATTTAATCATTTATTTATATATTTATGGACTCATGATAGTTATTTTATACTTTGGCTATAATCCAATACTATGTTATTTTCTTTGTTGCTTAAACTGGTCTAGGTTTGGCCATTGGCAGCTCCAGTATCCCATCGACATACACCTATCATTGTGTTTTTTGGCACATTTTGTTTTCTGGAACTACAAGATGCTTCAGACTCTTTTTATATATTCCCTTCCCCAGCCGTAGAACCAGCCATTTCTTAAAGGCACCCCAGTTCCCTTTATTGGAGGATGGTGTTAGGAACCAAGATCTGAGCACTGAGTGTGCTCACTGTTACTGGTGACTAGTTGTATTTTTAAACTTTGGAATTTCTATACTATCAGGAAAAAGTAAACAATAACAATTGTGGGTTGTGTATATGCATCTGTCTGTTTGGGCCAGAGATTAATGAAGAAATTTCCAAAAACACTAATACCTGGAAAGCACAATCTGAGAGAGGTTTTAAGTTTCAAAGGCTGAGGACTTTCAAGTCAATGAGGACAGATTTTTCTGGATGAGGGGTGGAGACTTTTGCCTTGAGGAGAAGTGGCATGCATTCTAACCTTTAGGCATTGAGTTTCCTGAGACGGAGGGTATAGAGATGATTGTTTTCATGAGTGTTAGAGTCTTGTGTCCTCCTTGTGGGTAGCACCCTAGTAGGGACAGGAGCTTTGGGATACCTGGGTGGGTACTCTATTTAAAGTGTAGGGGACTAGGTACCTCAGGAGAATTCTCCGCAGCAGAATTTGGCATCAGGGAAATACAGAGACAGCCGATCAAGACATCTTTAAGTCATCCATATAGTCTGAAAAATGAGAATGGTCTGAGGATAAGGGCTCTCTTCCATGTTTTTCTGGAGTGCATTTGCCCTGAGTCCATTTATGCTTTCCGTGTGTTCATTCCAAACAACAATATTTTATTTATTGCTTTTTAAAAAGTAAAAATCAATCAACCTAAATTTTCAGAAATGTGTCTATGTACTTCTGTTTCAGTTTCATGAATTTTTTTGTTTTCTATGTGCCTTTGTTGGAAACTTATCTAACAAACATCCAAAGCACAGTTGGATATGATTGTTAGGGTTCTCCGGTGTTTAGGATACTGTTCAGGAGCTTAGGGTAACAAGAAAAATAAATATTTGGTGGGGGAATACTCTGATTACTATTGCTGTATAAGAAATTACTCCAAAATGTACTGGCTCACAACCACCATTTATTTGCCCACAAAATTGTTAGCAATCAAGAAGAGTTTGGGTAGGCAGTTTTTGCTTAGGATGCCTCACACATTTGCTATCAGATGTCAGTTAGGTCTGCAGTCCTCCGAAGGCTCACTTTGGCTTACAAGATGGCTTATTCCCATGGAAGTAGATGCTGGCTGTCAGCTGGGAACTCACTTGGAACTGTCAATCAGAGCATTTACACCTGGGCTCTCCAGGATGGTGGTCTCAGGGTAGGTCAACTTACACGGTGGTGGCTTCTTCCAGAGCAAGCATTCGAAGACCAGATGGAAAATTGATGGTCTTTTCTGACCTAGCCTCAGATGTCAAAGTATAATTTTGTTTTATTTTATTGGTCTAGTCAATCATAAACTCATCTAGATTCAAAGAAAAGAGACATAGCTCTCACCTCAAGATGGGAGTAGTATCATATAGTTTAGAGCTATGTTTTAAAACTGCCAAAGCAATAAAACGCTTTCAATCTTAAATATATCTCTTACCCTGTCTATGTAAGTGTGCCTGTCTAGCACTTGAGTTTTGATTTTGAATGTCATAGAACAATTTTTACTTGTCCCGTATCTTTGAAGCATGAGCTAATATTCAAGATTGAGTCCTAAGGAGACAAGGCACTAGATGGCTTGGCTGCTGCAACTCTGGGGATGTGCACAAGGCATGGCAGTGCATGAGGCATGGTGAAGAGAACCAGCTCTGCCATTTACTGGCTACAGGACCATGAGCAAGCTACTTAGTTTCTATGAGTCTATATATCCTCAACCATAAAATAAGCACAGTGATAGCATTCATTCATTAATTTCTTCATATAATTATTGATCATCTATTATGCATCAAATCTACAGGATTATAGTGACGATTATGCATGAGAAGTGCTTGTCAAAGTGTCTGGGACGTGGTTAGAACTCAATAAAGGTTTTAACACCGTTATTATAATTAGTGGTAATATTTTGTCAACATGGTGTAGGTGAGGTAGATGAACCTGTGATTCAGCCTGAGACACATCCAGTAGACCAGAGGAATGGATATATTTAATGGTCTACATTAACTGTGGGGACATTTTCCAGGCTGAAAAGATTCTGCATTCGGGGAAGGGGAAACTTTGAATAGAGCCAAGCAACAATCAGAACGTCAGCTTTCAGCCAGGTGTGGTGGCTCATGCCTGTAATTCTAGCACCTTGGGAGCCTAAGATGGGAGGATCGTTTGATGCCAGGAATTTGGACCAGTCTGAGCAATATAGTGAGACCCTGTCTCTAGAAAAAAAAAATTAGCCAGGCGAGGTGGCGTATGCCTGTAGTCCCAGCTACTCAGGGGGCTGAGGTGGGAGGATCACCTGAGTCCAGGTGTTTGAGACTACAGTAAGCTATGATCATGCCACTGCACTCCAGCATGGGTGACAGAGCGAGACTCCTGTCTCTAAAACCAACCAACCGACCGACCGACCGACCGACCGACCGACCAACCAACCAACCAACCAACCAACCTCAGCTTTCATCCCAGATAGGAGGCACTCAATCTATGGGCAGGGCAGTGGGGAAGGGGCTCCACGCTTACCACATGGACACGAGGTTCTACACCATGAGGCCTGTTATTAGGTGTCTATTGGTATTATGAGCTACATTGTGGCCCCCGCATCTCCAAATTCATGTGTTAAAACCATAAGGCCTCACACCTCAGAAAGTGACTGAATTTGGAGAAAAGGTCCTTAAAGAGGTGATTAAGTTAAATGAGGCTGGTAGGGTCGGCCCTATCTGATCTGACTGGTGTCCCTACAGGAAGAGCAAATTTGGACACACAGGGAGACACCAGAGTTGTGCGTGCACAGAGGAAAGACCATATGAAGATGCAGTGAGACAGAAGCCATCTGTAAGCCAAGGAGAGAGGCCTTGGGAGAAACCAAACCTGCTGACATCCTGATCTTGAACTTCTGGCCTCCAGGATTGTAAGAAAATACATTTCCATCATTTAAGCCACCAGACCATGGCATTTTGTTATGGTAGCCCTAGAAATGAATACAGCCATTGGGCTGGGATGTGAGGGACAGGTAGAAAAAGGGTGGGGGGTGCAGAAATCAAAAGAGAACTCTGGGACTAGGAGCCAGGGTCCTCGGGGATAGGAAGAGGTGTGATACAGGGAGCATAAGGTCTCAGATCTGACTGGCAGCAAAGATGGCTCAGGAACGCCCTTTAGGGTGTTCAACATGAGTAGATGGTGGGTCTCAAAAGTGGTTGTTTGGGAAGTAGGGCCTGGTGGGTCTTCATATGGGGAATGTTTTGATAAACTTGTCTATGAGAGGCTGGGAAACCCAGGGGCTCCAGAGATGATGTGTTGGTGGTGGTGGGAGTTGGTCATGGAGGGCTATCAGGGATTTAATTGGTTATAGCATTAGGCTAACCATAATTTGGTTTATTGTAGGGGTCATGATTTTTCTTTGGGTCAAAAGTATGATATTTATGCCATGCAGGGTGTTCAGTGTGTGTGCATGAGTACGTGTGTGTATAAAATTGTATGGGAACTAGGAATGTATTTTAGTTAAGTTCACTTGGGTCTTAAAGTTATCTGACTGGTTAGGGCATTTACTCATATTTTTATGTTGCCTGCACTTCTCAATAGACCATTCTTATAGAGTCTGATGCAATCGGAAAATTTAAAAATAAGAACAAAATTCACTTCATGATTATTATGCTTCGTAAATTAAATATTAAGTGAAACTGGTTTACCCAGTAATGATTTGAAAATTTACCCAGTAATGATTTGTTTTGGGTTTATATTATTGGCTTAATGTTTTTGATGCATTTTTGTATTTTGTGTAGCCCTTTATTTACTTATTTTATTCCCCAAGTCAGCCTTCCCAGTGTTCAGGCATATTATGAAGCAGATTAGAAGGTCATGCAGAAAGAATTCATATGTACACTGGATGATAATGTTATGGCCAGTAGGGGGCATCAAGGAATTGTCATAAGTACAGGCTTTGATTAAAAAATACTTGCATTTTAATTGCCAAAGCATCTGTTCTAAAATAATTCCAAGATGTAAATGTATATTTAAAGCATCATGTTTACATTACCGAGTGATAATTTGGTCCCAATCAGTATAGATACACCTTAATTATACATTTTAAATAAGAGTGGATCTTATTTATATCAAAATGGTAATTGCTGAATTTTGACACTCAGGAAAAATATAAAGGGTGAAATTTCAAAATAAATAGTATGATTTCGGCTTCTGAAATACTGTTTGTATATATAGCCCCTTCCTCATCTCATAAATGTGGGAATTGAATATACGCTCTCCAAGGTCTAGTTTCAGTATAATATGACAATAATTTTTTATTTGTTTTTCTGGGAACAGCACTGAAAACAGGAGGATTTAGGTGCATCGTGTATCAAACACTGGAGGGCTCTGAGATCAAATCAGAACTTGGGTTAAAAGTGCTGGGCAGTTTCCAGATAGACATCAAATGTCTGACTTCTTAGCATTATTTATCAAATTAGAATCCTTTTAATATCATTGCATTATCTTAGGCAATTTTAAAGATTTTCTGACTTTAATTCCCATCCCCTTCAATCTCTTTTTCTGTCTTTCTATTTTTCTCTCTGGCTTTATAGTTAACGAAAGCACTTTTCGAGTATTACATAATTTAACTCTCACAACAATCTGGGAAGTATTTTTACCCATATTTTATAGACGAAGAAACTTTCCTGATACCATTCAGCTAATAATTTTGGAATTGAAATTTAAACATAGGTTGTCTTACAGCATATTCAATATTCTTTTCAGTCTACCAGAGTGTCTCAAGTTAATTTCAAATATATTACTTGAGAGAAGTAACCTAGTAAACTATGATTATTATTGCATATATTTTCAAGAAGCATAAGAGTTGGTGGAATTAACTGTTCTGATTTCTCATTAGCAAAAATGCTATGGCTTCCTCTGTATCTCCAACTCTGGTTTTATCTTCTGTCTCTGTGTTGGTCTCGTTAGCTTTGGTGCCTTCAAATAGAGAATATGGCCACTGGCAGCTCTGGGCTCCCATTTTAATAATTCTTAGGCACCAGCCATAGTCCCAGGAAAGGACCTGGATTGAGCAGACCTTGGTCACGTGCCCACTCCTTGCTGGGAGTGGCATTCTGTGATGGAAAGCCTCCTTGGAGCCATATGAAATGGGGATGGGGGGAAATTTCCTAAGCTGTTGTCGGAGCTGTTTCCAAAGGAAGAAAATGTTTTCTGACCATGGGCTATTGGTCCAGGGTGGGTGCTACAGAGGTCTGTGGGCAGCTGGGAGCAACAGGAGGACCCTGGTGTCTGATGGTTATCAGAAGAGTAAAGAGCACAGAAAACAAATTTCACTTATTTAATTCCTTTACTGGCATCCAGTCCTGGCTGAATGCAAGCAAGAACAAGTGTAGGAAAGGCCCAAAGAGTATAACAGTGTTAAGGGTTAAACTTCAGAAATACCCTGTAAGGTAGTTTTTGATTGTCAATATAACAAGAGCCAAGGAAAGCAAAACTATGATTCCTGGCTTTTCTTGATAGTGTAGGGCCCATCCTCAAAATGAGGAGGTGTGATGTGCCTCCTCACCTGGGATGACTTTCTGTATTGAGGCTTTTATCAGGACACACAGGCCTGAAAATTCTAGCTTCCTGAAGGGGAACAAGGTGTAAAGCTCACAGAATATAGTCAGGTGGAACTCTGGAAGCTAGGTGAGCCATTTTTCAGATGCTGACTTAGGTGCATATTTAAATATCTTGTGTTAATGGTATAGACCCACATCCTGAAATTTAAGCACACATTTTAGATTATATTGTATTAAATGCAAAGTAAAGAACATTTTGTTGGGAAAGGGTCTTTTATTGATGTTTCTTTATTGCTTGTTTTATGTTTGTGTGTCTTGCTGTTGCAGCTGTTAGGACTCTGGATTTGCAGTATCCTATAATTCAGGTGTGACAGAGGCTAACTAAATAAACAGAAGCAGATTCCTCTCTTTCCCATTTCCTTTCTGCTTCTCTTGGCCTTTTAATTGCTTTGAAAGACAAGGTAGATGGTCTCAGGATCCCAGTCAGCTAAATTCTCCTAGCTCAGTTACTCTCTTTAATCTTGCCTGAAAAGGATGTTTAAGATCCAGAAACTTTGTTAGGACAACAAAATAATTAGTTGAAAATATATGAACCCATAGGATGAAAGACATTTATAAAATATTTAATTTGAAGCATAAATGCACATAGCAAATTATTTAAGCAGTATTATTATAACTTAATTTTGGGTCAGGTATTAAATGCTAATCCCTCTGCACTGGGCTGTGGGCAAAATGAGTGATGCAATGAGAACTCTGTCCTGGACCTAGTTTTCTACCTTCATGGCTCTGGTTCTACACATCTGCTTGAGGTCCCAAGTGTGGACACTCATCTCCACTGTCTTTCTGAACCAACTTGCTCAAAGGTCAGTTGGATTTTCTGCTGTAGTTCCATCAGAGTCCTGCAAGTATGCCTGTATTTGCTTGTTCATTCTTTCTCTGTTCTTAATTGCTATTGCTGAAATCATGATATGCAGGAAATGCAGATTTCATTCTCCTGCCAATTTCTCTTCAAGTGACTTTGAGTGAGAATGACTAACACTAGGTTATGGGAATCTATGCCATTTAACGTGTGGTCCCTAGACTAGAAACATCAACATTACTTGGGGATTTTTAGAAATGCACTCTCTCAGGTACTGCTCTAGACCGTAAAGGAAATACTTCCCTTTACTGCACTTTAACACACTGTATTGAAAATGCTACTTAAATTGCTTCTCACTTTCATTACAGTGAAATCTCAGTCAGGGAAGGGATCTCAATTGTCTAGTTCACCACTAGATATCTAGGACCTAGCATAATTCCTGGGACATAGTAGGTGCTCAGTAAATGCTTGTCGAATGATACATGAATGGATATCTGCTGGTGTGAGGGATGTTTGCTTAACCATGTTGTTAAGTAACCAATGTGTTTAGAAAGACTCAATGAAAGAGTAGTGCTAAAAGTGGAGAAAATGAGGTATGTAATTAACACCTCTGATTATATTGTTACTTCACAGAAAGATTTTCTGCCTAGTTGACTATGATTAAGCAAGGATGGACAATCTGCAAAGTAGAAAAAGAATTCATCCATTTGGCAATAGTGACTTGCTCTGTTCTACTATATTATCAGATTGTGAGATTTATGTTCTGCTTCTGAAATTACTACATGGTCCTTTTTGCAATCTGAAACTTTGCTCTCTTTCAATTTAAAGAGTTTATCTTCTAGTTAAATCTACTTGTCTTTCATCCTTCAATTTTATTTCTGAAATTTCTCTAGCATCTCCCCACCTTCCCCCTCCCCTCACTTTCTTCTTCTTCTTTAATATAGACTCCCCCTTATTTCTCATTGGCTTTTCCAACACCTGTTTACCTGGTCTTCATTCTTCCATCTTCTGTCTTTCATTCAAGAATGCTTTCAAAACTGCAGGCCTCATCTTGTTCTCCTTTGGTTAGAAAACCTTGGGTGACTTTCTGCTGTCTGCAGGATAAATCTATTGTCCTTAGCAAGGCATTTGAGGCCGTTCATGGACACTCCTCCCTGCCAGCCTCTTCTCCTGCCATTCCTCTTTTTACCCCATACTCTGGCCACCACAGGCCACTTTTCATTCCCTGAACACCATTTATATCTCAGCATCTACATGCCTTTGTTCATGCTGTTTATCTGAATAAATTGTCAGCCTAGCAAACTCATATCATGTTCCAGCTTAAAATGTGATTATTCCAGGCTCCTTTTTCCTATGTCTCACAGAAATTTTTATTTAGGCTTCTGTGCTCACATAATGCATTGTACATATCTCTATTATAAAATGTGTCACACTCTATTGCAATCACTTATTTACTCGGCTTTCTCTTCCAATAGACCATATGTTCCTTAAGGGCTGGGGCTGTGCCTATTGACAACACAATGTGTTGCAAAGCTTTACACACAGAGTCAACAAATGTTTGTTGATTGAACTTTATCTTCAAATTATTCTCTAGTAGACTGAATCCTCTCCTCCCCGCACTGGATTTTAGTAATTTTTCTTGGTTATTTCTTTTCAGAAAAGACTTCCCTAACTATATGTCCACTTTATTTGCTGGAGTATATTCAGATCTGTAACATATAGATCTATAGCATATAACATCTATTTATAAGATAAGAGGAGTTGATTCTGTCCCCTAGGATGGTTGTGACTGGGCTAAGCCTGGCTGAGCACATGGTGGTGGTTAATATCATGGCTGTGCTCTCCAAATCCCTTGAAAAACCCAGAGGATGCTAATGGGGCTGGTGAAGCCTGGTCCACAAACCTTGTTCAGATCCTCTAAGTACTTTCATCTCTCGGCCCACTACCCCTCCCATCCTTCCTTCACTGCTCTTTCTCACTCTCAAGGCCAAAACTTAAGAAAAGTCAGTTGTTCCTTACATCACTTCATCCTAGGAGCCAAAGCAAAAATAACAAAAAAAGGAAAGCAGCAACAACAAATAATAATAAATAGAATTGAAATACAGGTAGTAAAAAGTAAATGGAGGAATTTAATTTCATGGAGGGAAGTGAAGTGTATCAGGGAGTAACAGAAACTCTGTACATTTCCACAATGGAAAGGTCAATAGAAATGAAAATCATGACTTGAATCTGGCCCAGTTGCACTTATTGTTCTGGTTTATTGTAATGGTAACTGTTGCAATAAGAGTAAAAGGAATCTCTGGACTACTCTTACAGCTAAACCTTAAGGATCTGGGAATAGTTTGGGACCTGGAAGGCTGTTTGGTGTTGGAAGAGGCATCTCTAGGGGTTAAGTGAAATTGTTAGTTTCTCAGCAGCAGGAATTAACTGAGTTCCTTCTTGTCCTGTGCATTGAATGTGAGTAAGCTGGGGTTTTATTCAGCCTCTATTTGCTTATCTTTCTCCTTCTGATCCATTGACAGTGGTATGTCCTTTGTATATTTTTAGTTCAAATTCTTGAGAGAATAAGAATGTCACCATCTCAACGAATCACCTTGTGTTTGGGGGAAGCCTTTTGTATCAGACCAAGTCATAGAACATGGCCATCCTTGGGCCAGGTGCTCAACTCCCCCGAAAAAATCATCTGCAGGCAGAGAATAAGGGTGGGGGCAGGAGGTGTCACATAGTGCTACATGGTGCTTTGTGCTTAAGAAACCACCTAAGGTTGCTTTTCTCATGGAAGCTGTACCTGATCATCCATTTAGAAGAAGTTTGTGGTCAGGGCATGCATTCTATGGCAAGATCTTTTCAATATAGAAAACATTTTGGAGACTCTGATTATGATTTATCTTCAGCATGATTATTGAGGCTGATATCTCATTTTCTCCTATTACAGTTTGTATAGCATCCAGCAATCATACATAGAATAATATGTATGTAGTACATCTGATATTATGCTTCGATATTACATTCCTAATTGCACTCTCCTAACCATTTAGCCGATGACACTTGCCTGTATCAACCTGATCTTTGCTTTCCTTACTGAGGTGGAGGACACTGTTTTTGGTTCTGTGTGTGTGTGTGTGTGTGATTCGAATGGGAAGTCAGGTCTTAGTTTTTATTAGTAAAAAAGTGATAAATGAGAAATAATCAGGTAAAGCTATCAGGTAAAAACCTGCATGCTGCCTCAACATTTTTATAGTATTTGTCAAAACAATTTACATTTTGAGTATTATTATTGTTCTCTATAAAACACTTCTCCCACCCTCCAAAGTACAAGAAGAAAGGATGGCTAAATGTTCAGCTTGCAGCCTCAGCTTTTTCATATGACTAATTCATACCTCTGAATGCATATTTTATTAGCATCTTTCTTACTAACTTACCTAAATACTTTTGCTAGATTGCCAAATTGTTCTCCTTTGTTATCCAACTTCCAGCTCAGGCTTGATTTCTTAACTGAGCAACTGATTTATTCATTTGCCAATCTCTTATTGAGTGTTTATGAACTGGAAACACTTGAGGTTACTGGTCTGCTTATTATTAGACTGCATACAAGTCTAAATTTTTCTCAGTAATCTGTTTCCAACATCTTTCTTTTGGATGTCTTCATATATTAGCTTTCTTGAGTCTTTACTTGATGTATGATTGTTGGATACTAGACAAGTTGGAAAAATATGATAGCCCATATGACCTTATTTCTTGTATCTAAAAATACAGGAATATGTATTCCTGCTTATAGATATTCTTTATATATTTTCTTTGAACAACCATCCCTTCTCTATTCTCCAGAGTTTCCAGGATCATTTTCATTTTCCCCAAGATTCGTATGTGCAAAATGTTCTCCTATGCCTCCTTTCCCTCCCACCCCCTTATAATTC
The DNA here is from genome assembly GCF_000001405.40 of Homo sapiens. Classification (NCBI taxonomy): domain Eukaryota; kingdom Metazoa; phylum Chordata; class Mammalia; order Primates; family Hominidae; genus Homo; species Homo sapiens. The sequence continues at coordinate 87,023,507 of NC_000006.12, read as the reverse complement.
TCTCTAAAATACCATTTTATACAGAAAATAAATATAATCAGCTTTCTACAAATCTGTTCGTAAGATCTGGGTCTCATGGTTTTCCACTTGGATCATCTGCTGCACCACTCCCACTTTTTTTTATCTCCTTACAGAGATCCCAGCGCCTAGTATGATGCTAAAGTCATAGCATAGGCTAAATTAACATTTTTAACAACAAACGACAATTGATATTATTAATATATTCTAACCTCTGCTCTTTCTGTT